>NC_000021.9:24225652-24855575 GCF_000001405.40 Homo sapiens
ACATTACCAATGTGACTACTATTTAGTTTTATATAAGGCTGTATTTTTTTTTCCTTCTAGTTTTGGTGTGGCCTTTATTTTGCTTATGGCATCCTTTTTTCTAGCTTTACTGAAGTATAATTAAAAAGTAAAGAAATTGTACATATTTTAAGTTGTATCAAATGATTTGGTATACTTTTACATTGTGAAATGGCTACCACAATCAAACTAATAAGTACATCTATCACCTCACGTACTTTAACTTTTTGTGTGTGTGCCTGTTGTGAGAACACTCGAGAGCCATTCGCTTAGCAAATTTCATATATAAAATGCATTATTAATTAACTATAGTGACCATAATATACATTAGATTCTCCAAACTGATTCGTCTTATTACTGAAATTTTGTACTGTTTGAGCAAAATCTCCCAGTTTCCCGCACACCTTGGCCACTGGCAACACCATTCTGTTTGTGAGTCTGACTATTTTAGATTCGATACATAAGTGAGCTCATACAATGTTTATCTTTTTCTGTCTGACTTATTTCGCTTAGCATAACTTTCTCCAGTTTAATCCACCTTGTCATAAATTACAGGATTTTCTTCATTTTAAATGGTGAATAATACTCCACTGTGCATGCGCGCACACGAGTGTGTGTGTGTACAATTTTAACAATGTATTCATACATGGACAGACATGTTTCCATATTTTGGCTGTGGTAAATAAAGAAAATGGTAGTGCACATAACTCATCTTGTTACTAATTTCTTTGCCTTTGGATATATACCTGGAAAGTGTATTGCTGGATTATATGAATATTCTATTCTTAATTTTTTTGAGGAAACTCAATACTGTTTTTCATAATAACTGTGATAATTTACATTTCCAACAGCAGTGTATAAGGGTTCTCTTTTCTCCACACTCTTGACAATATTTGTAACTTTTTTTCTTTTTGATAATAATCCTAACAGGTGTGAGGTGATATCTTATGCTTTTGATTTGCATTTCCCTGATGATTAGTGATGTTGAGCAACATTTCTTGTATTTGTTGGTTATTTGTATGTCTTCTTTGAAAAAAATGTCAACTCAGGTCCTTTGCCTTTTTTTTTTTAATTTCATCACCTCAAATATTTATCATTTCTGTGTTGTGAAAACATTTAAAATCCTCTGTTTTACTACTTTGAAATATATAAGACCTCATTATTAACCATAGTCACCATGTTTTCCAATACATACCAGAACGTACTACTTACATGTAACTGAAACTCTGTGCCCATTGACCAATGTGTCCCTTTTCTACATCTACCTTCACTGCTGGCACCCCACACCATTTTCAATCACGTAAATTACTTTATCACTGTTGAGTTTTATGTCTGTCTTATATATTTTAAATATTAGCTCCTTATCATGGTTTACCCCTATTGTATGGTTTATTTTGTCTCTATTATATGTTATATTTGCCCCTTATTATATGGTTTGCTCCTATTATATGGTTTATAATATATTAGCCCTGATATATGGTTTGAAAACACTTTGTCTCATTGTGTAGGCTGTATTTTTACTTCGTTGTTTCCTTTGCTGTGCAGAAGCCTTTTCATTTGATGTAGTTCATTTGTTTATTTTTGTTTTGTTGCCTGTGCTTTTGATGTCATATTAAAAAAAATTGCCAAGACTTCAAGGAGCTTTTACATTTAAATTTTTAATCCATTTCAATTAATTTCTGTGTATGGCGTAAGGTAAGGGCACAATTTTGTTCTTTGACATGTAGCTATCCAATTTTCCTGGCATAATTCATTGAAGAGACTATCATTTTCCCATTTGGTTTTCGTGATACCCTTGTTAAAGATTAATTTACCATATATGAGGGGAGGCTTTGTTTCTATCTATTTTGTTCTATTGGTCTATTTATCTGTTCTTCTGTCAGAACCATACTGTTTTGATTATTATCATTTCATAATATAGTTTAAAGTGAGGATGTTTCTCCAGCTTTGTTTCTTTATTCAAAATGCTTTGACTATTCATGGTCTTTTGTGGTTCCACAAATGTTTTAGAATTGCTTTTTCTATTTTTGTGAAAAATGCTGTTAGAGTTTGGATAGGGATTGCATTGAATCCGTAGATTGTTTTGGGTAATACAGACATTTTAACATTATCAGTTCTTCTAGTCCATGTACACAGAATAACTTTCCATTAATTTTTGTTTTCTTAAATTTCTTTCATCTTTTTTTGTAGTTTTCAGTTCACAGATCTTTCACTTTGTTGGTTAAATGTGTGCCTAAGTATTTTATTGTTTTATTAATGCTATTAGGAATAGGATTGTTTTCTTAATTTCTGTTTTGGATAGTTTGCTGTTATGTATAGAAAAACAACATATTTTTTATGTTGACTTTTTATCCCTCTATTTTATGAATTCTTTTATTCTAAAAGTATTTTGGTAGCATGTTTAGAATTTTTGATATTTAAAATAATATGCTTTGCAAACCAGAACATTTAACTTCTTCCTTTCTGATTTGGATGTCTTTTTTTTTTTATCTTGCACAGTTGTTCTAAGACTTTCTGTACTATGTTGAATAGAGGTGGTGAGAGTGGGCATACTTGCCTTGCTCTTGATTTTTGAAGAAAGCTTCTGGCAATTCACCATTAGGTATGATGCTAGTTGTGAGCTTGTCATTGTGGCCTTTATTATGTTGAAGTGCATTCCTTTTAAAAATAACTTGCTGAGTTTTTTTTTCATAAAAGATTGTTGAATTTTGAATGTTTTTTTCTGCATCTTTTGATTGAGATGATCAATTTTATTATCCGTTCTGTTAAAAAGGTGTATCTTATTTATTGATTTACATATGTTGAACCATCCTTAAATTTCATAGATATGTCCCACTTTATCATGGTACATTATTACCTTGTAATAATTTTTTGAATTGAGTTTCCTAGTATTTGTGGCTTCTTCACTCCCCTAGTTTGACGAGTGAGAGGGAGTGTTACAGTTCTTCCACTCTCATAGTTCAGCAAACAGGAGGGAGTGTTACCATCTTTTCACTCCACACGTTCGGCCAGTTCCAAGTTCTTGTGTCACAACCAAGAAGAATGAGGGACGTGGACACCAGAAAGTGCATGAGGCAGAGTAGAATTTTATTAAGCAACAGAAAGAAAGCTCTCAGCAATGAGAGACGACCTGAAAGAGGGTTGCCAGTTGCCAGGCTGAGTCCAGGATTTCTATGGGCTTGGAATGGGGAAATGAGTGCTGATTGATTTATGAGTAGGCTTAGAAAAAGTGCCATTCAGAAAGAGGAACGATAGTGTAAAGAACCAAGCAGAGACTGAAGTGGAGGCTTGGCCAGGACCCTGGCCTGGGGCCAATCAGGAGCCGAGTAGGAATATAAGTTCTCACTCCAGTCTGCGGATTCTATCTGGAATTGGTAGTTTGGTTTTCAGGCTTCAGGATGTTGCTGGCTTGAAGGTTGAGTTTTGCCAGGGACCCATCACAATCTGCCTAGGAATTTGTCTGCCTCTGATTGCTGTCATTTTGTTGAGGTATATTGCATCTATGTTCACCAAGAATATCAACTTTTAACTTTTTTTTTTTGTGGTATCCTTACGTTGCTTTGTAATAGGATAATAACAGCTCGGAAAAATCAGTTTGCATGCATCCTTTCCTTTTCAATTTTTTGGAAGAGTTGAAAAGTATTTGTGTTAGTTCTTTAAATGGAAGAATTAACCTGTGAATTCACTGTGAACATTCACTTGGTCATGGATTTTTTGTTGTTGTTGTTAGAAGGATTTTTATTAAACCTTTAATCTTCTTACTTAATTTTTACTTCAGATTTTCTATTTCTTTATGATTCAGTCTTAGTAGGTAGTATGTTTTAAGAATTTATCTATTTCTTCTAGGTTATTCAATTATTGGATTATAATTGTTCATAGTAGTTTTTATGATCCTTTGTATTTCTCTGTTATCAGTTGTAAGTTCTCCGTTTTCTTTTATGATTTTGAGTCTTCTCTCTTTTCTTAATACAGACATTAAAAGCTATGTACTTCCTTCTTATAACTGCTCTTGATGCATCCAGAAAGTTTTGCTATGTTGTATTTCTATTTTTGTCTGTAGATACATTTTGATTTTATTTTTGATTTCTTCTTTAACCTATTGTTTTTCAAGAATATGTTGTTTAATTTCCACATATTTGTGAAATTTCCAATTTTCCTCCTGTTAACCTATCTCTAGTTTCAAAACATTGTAGAGAAAATTTACCTGATACTACGTTATTCTTCTTAAATTTGTTAATACTTGCTTTGTGGCCTGCCTACTATTCCTTATTTAGAATCAAAAGCGTTCTTATTTTATCCAAAACCTTCCATATGTATATTTCTGAATTTAAAAAATTGCAATAGTAGTTCATTATTCATTGAAATTCTTCAGAGTGTATCAGTAATTAAAGTCTTAAATATTTTTGTAAAAGTAAATAAATCAACATAAGAATGCTATAAATGTAGGAGATTCTGGAAATTGTATTCACTGTATGATAATGTTTAACTTTATGTCCACCTATGTTTCTCACACTTAGAGGGAAAAAGCAAGTCTTCTGTTATAAAGGTTTCCAAATGCATAAGCTTAGATAATTATTTTTCTTGAGTCTAAAACTTGTTTTTTTACAGATAAATTATTATACAAAAGAGTTGAGGTTTATAATTGAAGAACAAGATAGGTTTCAATTCAATTCAAGAGAAATTTTGTTATTTTATTTAGGCTTAGATTGTTATGTGTGTGTGAATATATTTATATAAAAAAACTTGAAAATATTATAAAATATACCATCTAAAACACACACAAAAATTGTAATCACGATGTCTAAATGACTCTTTATTTTTAAAAAAAGTATCCAGGAGTCCAGAGTTTTCCTTTTTTTTTTTTTTTGGTAAGGAGTCAGATACCAAATAATTTAGGCCTTTTAGAAAATATGCTCTTTCTTATGACTGCTTAGCTCTACTGTTGCAGTTTAAAAGTAGTTAAAACTATTGGCAAATAGAAGGAGTCAACTATGTTTCAATGAATGCATTTAGAGAAACAGACAGCAAGACAGATTTGCCTGGTGAGTACTATTTTGCTGACCTGTGCTCTAGGATTAGAAATATTTTCTTTTATAGGATGAAAAAACCGAGCATCATATAAATAAAATAAAATGCTTAATGCATACAACTAGCTAAGTAATGGGAGGCTATGTCAAATCAGTACAGATGATCTCTAGCACATTATAGAGTATTAAAACTCATTTTTCTTTTCACTGCTCCATATCTGTGTTAAATTTTATGATGAATAACCTAACTTACATTAAGATGTGCAAATATTTTCTTCCATCGTGTAGCTATACTTCTGGCCCTTGGACTTTTTATCTGCAGGATTAAAGACTAGAGACTAGAAAATGCTGCATAAAACAGAAGGTTTCTCTTTTCTTTTATTGTGAGCCATATAACCTTAAATGGAATGTGAAGAACTCTAAGGTGTTTCATAAAAGCAAATATATTTTATAAGAGATATGGAAAATATGATATACAGAAAGTTCTAAGAATCGGGACAGTTTTGTCTAGAGGAAAAAGGGCTTACACTGATTTAATTGCAATCTTCAGCATATGAAAATATGTTCTTATTAGAATAGATTCTAGATTTCTTTACGTAGTAGAAATTTTCAAAAATGGATTTTGAAAGTTTCAACTAGCAATCACTGTCTCCTTTTAAATATGGGTTTTTAAGAAAATCATTATATTTTATTTTTTTCATCAAATTTTAAGAGAATAATATTAGTATATATTAGACATAATACAAAACTGGAAAAAATGCGGTATAGTTCTGATTTTATATCTAACTAGAAATGAAAATTGTGCAAGCTAATTCATTGGTGTATTGTTTCTTATTCAGAAAACAGCATCTGTGAGCCAGGTTTTCTCGTTGAATCTAAAATATAATTGTTTCAAAAACTTCTCAGCTAAATACAGCAAGAAAATATATGTCTTCACTAACACACACAGACACACACATACATACACACACAGTTCAATAAATTCTCTGTAACCATATTCATTTATAAAAAGCTAAAAAGCTAAATATGAGTTCATACTGATGCCTTCACCTCAAATCCATTACCATATTGACTATTCTGGACAACTTCTTTGCTCGTATTTGTAATATATGTTCTTAGTCCAATAGTAAGAACCCTGGCTCCCACATCTGCCATCCATTAATTCAATTGTTCAGTTCCAGTATATATGTTTATTGATGTAAGAATTTTTAACCCATACCTCTATTGGAAAAATGTTATCAACTAGAGAACAGTACATATGTATTACAAACTAAAATTCATTTCCAAAGTTGCGTAAGATGGCAACTTTTCCCTCCACTCCCTTCACTGAGGTTGTTTAATACATTTGAAGTGCAGTTATATTCTCTTGTCACAATCTGCATTCCTTCCAAGATCCCATGTTTTTCCAATTATTTTTAAATGTTGCATAGATTATTGTTTACTCTTTTTGCTATAGTTTTGTAAGTTTTGACAAATACAAAACTTCTTATATGCAATATTAAAGAATTATACAGATTATTTTAACTGCTTTCAAAATCTCTTGCACGTCATCTATTCAGCCTTCCTCCCTTTCTCCTGAATGTATGCCAACCACTGTTACTTCTACCGTTTCTGTATTTTTTTCCTTTTCTAGAACACTATATAATTGGAGGTGTATAGTGTGTAGCATTTACACACTGGCTTTCTTCTCATAGCAAATATCCGTTGGTTTCACTCATTCTTTTCTTGGTTTAATAGCTCATTTATTTTTTCCCTGAAAAACCTTCCATTGAATGAATGGATTGACCACAGTTGGTTTATTCATTAATCTACTGAAAGACATTTCAGCAAATTCGAATTTTGGACTCTTATAAATAAAGCTGCTATATGCTTTCATATAAAGTGTCTTTATTTGCTTGTTTTTGCTTTGATATTTCTTGGTTTTGTAGATGTAGGCTTGCAAATTAATAAATACCTGGAAGTGTAATTTTTGGATATTATAGTAAAACTATATTTGGTTTTTGTCTTAGTTCATTTTCTGTTGCTATAACAAAATATCATGGCCTGGGTAATTTGAAAATAAAACAAATTTACTTTCTAAACGTTTGGAAGCTGGGAAGTCCAAGAACATGGTGCTAGCATCTGCTGAGAGCCTTCTTACTTTGTTATAGTGTGGCAAAAATGCAAGCGAGCATGCAAGAGAGAAAGATTAAATTGGGCCAAATTCCTCTTTCTCATGAGCCCTCTTTATTATGAGCTCACTCCCACAATAACTAACCCACTCCTAAGATGGCAGCATTAATGTATTCATGAGATAGAAGCCTTCACAATCTAACGACTTCTTAAAGGCTCCACCTCTTCATGCTGTTACGTTGGCAGTTACATTTTAATATGAGTTTTGGAAGAGACATTCAAATCATAGTATCTTTGTAAGAAACTGCCACTCTCTTCTAAATTGACTGTACATTTCACTTTCCCACCATCAAGGAATGGAAGTTCATGTCACTCTACATCCTTGACAGCAGTTAATATGGTCAGTTCTTTGGATTTTAGCTAATCTAATATGTGTGCAGTAATATGTTAATGCTGTGTTACATTGCAATGCTTTGTTGACAAGTGATATTAAACGTATTTTCATATGCTTATTTTCAATCTGGATTTTTTTTTCTGGTTAAGTGTGTGTTCATATCTTTTGCCCATAGTGTAATTGTGTTGTTTGATTCTTTATTACTGAGCTTTCAGAGTTCTTTGAATATTT
Organism: Homo sapiens; assembly: GCF_000001405.40. Taxonomy (NCBI): domain Eukaryota; kingdom Metazoa; phylum Chordata; class Mammalia; order Primates; family Hominidae; genus Homo; species Homo sapiens. The sequence continues at coordinate 24,233,435 of NC_000021.9, forward strand.
TTGATATATATTTTTATCTTTTATGTTTTGCAAATGTTTCCCCTTAGTCTGTGATTTGTCTTATCATTTTCTTTACAGTTTCCTATGCAGAGAGGCAGAGAGTAAACTTTTCATTTTAATAGTGCAATTTACAATTTTTAGTTTCATGGGATAGAGTGTTTGCTGTTATATCTAGAAATTCATTACAAAGCCCAAGGTCACCTAGAGCTTCTCCTAGATTTTCTTACAGAAGTTTGATACTTTTGCATTTTGCATTTAGGTCTGAGATCAACCTCACTTTAATTTTTATAAGAGGTAAATTCTATGTCTGGATTCATTTATTTCTGCATATGAATGTATAATCATTTTAGCATCATTTTTGTAAAGATTATTTTTTCTCCAATGAATTGGATTTGTTCATTTTCCAACATTTACCCAAATATATTTCTGTGGCCATATGTTTTAGTTTTATGTTCTGTTTCATTGTTCTAGGTGTGTATTATATTATACCACACTGTCTTAATTATTTTCATGCATTGTTATTAGATACATGTATCTTTAAGATTATTATGTCTTCTTGGAGATTTGACCTTACTATCTTTATGTAATGAATGTCTTTATCCTTGATACCTTGCCTTATTCTGAAGTCTTCTTTGTCTAAAATTAACATATTTATGCTACATTTTATTAGCATTAGCATTATATATCTTTCTCCATCAATTTTATGTTTAGTCTAATGGTATCTCTATATCGAAAGATTTTTTGTAGATATCATATAGTTGGATCTTGTTTAATATCTTTTTAAATTAAAAAATAATATATGATGTTTAGATGGTATTTAGACCACTCATATTCTAAAATCTGCCCCAGTTGTAGCTGTTTTCTATTTGCTGCACTTGTTGTTGTCTTCCACCCCCAACTCTGCCTTTTAACTCCTTTCTGGCTTAATAGAGCATCTTTTTTAAGATCCCATTTTCTCTTGTCTCAGTATATTTCACTTCTTTTGTAAAAGAAATATATTTGTCCTAGAGTTTGCAATACAATTTTACAACCAATATAAGTCCACTCTGAAATAGTACTGTATCACTTCATGGTTTTGCATGTACCTTAAAACACAGCATTCTCAAGTCTTCTCTTCTGTGTCTGGTAATATTGTTGCCATTCATTTCACTTAGACAAACAATATAGTTACCCAATACAATGCTTGTTATTATTTTAAACTAGTGTTATCAATTAGATTAGATGAAATAAAAGTAATAATTTTCTTTTGCCTTAATCTATTCCTTCTCTTATTACTTTATATAGATTCAAGTTTTTCATCTATATCATTTTTTTCTCTCTGAAATACTGTTTTTAACTTTTCTTTCAGGATAGCTGTGTCAACAAATTTGCTTGGATTTTTGTTTGAAAAACCTTTATTTCTCTTTCATTTTTGAAGGGCATTTTTCCTGGTTGTGTTTTCTTTACTTTTCTTCCATACTCTCTTTGTTGCATGTTTTTTTAAATGAAAAATCTGTTTCTTTATTTTACTTGTTCCTCAATATTTTATCTTTTTCTTTTATTTTTGGAGCTGCAATATAATATCCTGGTGTAGATTTTACAGTATTTTTTCTGCTTGGTGCTCTGAGAGCTTCCTGTTTGCTGCCAGCCATTAATTTTTGGAAATTTCTGGCCATGATGATTTTAAATAATTCTTGTGCTCCATCTTTCCCTCTCCTTCTGATATACCAGTTGTACAAACGCTGCCCCCCTTTTTTTTAGAATTTTCTCACAGTTCTTGGATTTTTTTCTCTTTGCATTTAAATTTGAGAAATTTCTATTGACATATATTCAAGTTCAGAAAAGTTTTTCTTTGTAGTGTCAAGTTTACTAATGACTTACCAAAGGCATTCTTCATTTCTGTTACAATGTTATTGATATCAACCATTTTCTCAATATTTCCTTAGTGTTCCCATTTCTCTGCATATGTTATCCATCAAATCTTGCACACTGTAACCTTTTTTAATTAGAGACCTTAACATATTAGTCATAGTTATTTTAAATTTTCTGACGTAATTCTAAATATTGTCATATCTTCATTTCTAATGTTGGACTTAGTGTGTATGTGTGTATATATATATATATACTATATATGTATATATATATATCTTTTGTAAGTTATGTATGATGTTTTATGTAATAGGACTGAGATAAGTAGGCCTTTTGTTGTTTTAGGTTATTCTGGCTAGAAGTTGTTCTGGGTTTAATGCTTACTGTATCTGTGTCCTTGTTTTTTCACTCCTCTGTTGCTTCCCTAAAAACTCCTTCTACAATAAAATCCTGCACCTCTTTTACGTGTAATCCAATATTGAAATCTTGTTGATGTGGTGTTAAGATGTAAGGGAGGTCAAGTGTTCTATAACTTTATAATTACATCTCCGTCTTTTAAGGGTCTGTGTTCCTGGTCTATGGTTTTAAATACGCTTTTTATCAACCTTTAAGTAGGAAAAGAAATCTAGTGAGAATAGGAGTTGGTAATTGCCTGCTCACTAAGTGAGATAAGGCTCTGATAAAGTATTTTCCCCGATGGGTACTCATTTGTTAAGAACATTTTGGTTGTATTTCTAAATGGTCACTTCCCTACACTCCTGCCAGAGACCATGAGGGGATTTTTCTTGACAATTCATTGTAGGGATGAGAGGAGAGTTTCCAAACACCTTACATTTCACAAGTAAACTCAGAAGCCACTTGCTTTCAAATAGCACCAAAATATATAAATTAAAATATTTCAAATCTTATAGACTATTTACTGGATCCTTTTTCAAACAGTTATTACTTCTCATTTAGAAAACTCTCCTTTTCCTGGTTTTACTTGACAACACACAATCTAAATGCATTTTTTTCACCTATGGATAGTGATTCACCCTTTCCATGTCATTAATGTTTAGGTGTTCCCAAAATACTTTGTAAATATTGTTTCTTACATTTTTACTCTTTTCCACAGATATTCTATATACTCCCATAGCTCCAGTTCATAATTTGTCGATTATTTTTACCTTTATATTTCCAATAATGTCTTCTCGCTTACTATTGAGTACTATACTCAAATTAGTAAACTAATACTCATCCTGTGAAAAACGCCACCTTCTTGCAAACACCAACAAACTTGCTGTCTTTATTGAATATCTCCACCTTTGACAATGACACAGTGGTGCATATACATATCATTTTATAAATATTCACAATATTCATGGATACCCCCTTCCCTGCAATTCACTCCTATGATCCTCAAATGTTATTGGGATTCAAATAAAAAGCCCTATTTTTATAGTCATAATATATACTAATTAATTATAGGTGAAAATATAGGAACAATCTTCTTTTAAAAAAATGCATATTTACTTTTCCTCCATTTTATTATTTGGATGAGTGGGAGTTTATCAGTGTTAATATATTAAATATGAATTTCTCATTGATTATCTGAGTATACACAAAGGCAGGTGTAATTATTTAATATTTTCCACGCTGCTTTAGGACATTAAATTTAAAATAATTTCATTATTTTATTTATGCATGTAAATATATATGTGTGTGTGTATTACACATACCATCATATGCCTAATGAAGATGATTTAAAATTTGCTAAATGCTGCATATTGTGTAATAAGTGTGGTAGGAAACAATATTTATAGTTTTACAACATGAACAGTTATAAAATAAAGCAATTGATCTCCCTGGTATAAAAGCTTACTTTTAGATGTAATTTTTAAAATAATTAAATGCAACATTTCAGTACCTCCTTCAAGAAGAAATTATGTAAACCCATAGAAGAAAATTTGATGGTTTATAGGCAGGAGAATGAAGCTGTATGACACCTGATAGGTGGTGTTGAATCCTATTGATACATTTAGTAACTGATTCTACAGATCAATAATGGCAATAATCATGGTGATTTACTGTGAAGGGAATATATTTTGGTGGTATTTAGGCCTTGACTGACAATATTTAAAAGACGAATTGAATAATCTGCCATGTTAAGCTTCTCATGAAGACTTTAATGTATCTTTGATTTGCCATAAGAAGAGTGAATTCCTTATTGTTTAAAAGCATTGTGTTGAATCAGAATATTTTATTAGATCTGTGCAGTGTTTATATGTTAAAAAAGAAAACTGAAGTTAAATTGCCTTTCAGTGAAGATTCCTAATATTGATCTTGAGTCCTTTTTTTTTTTTTTTTTGAGACGGAGTCTCGCTGTGTCTCCCGGGCTGGAGTGCAGTGGTGTGATCTCAGCTCACTGCAAGCTCCGCCTCCTGGGTTCATGCCATTCTCCTGCCTCAGCCTCCCGAGTAGGTGAGACTACAGGTGCCCGTAAATCACTACTGGCAAATCACTTCACTTTATTTATTGGAGACTCCATTCTCTCATCTATTAGATAGAGATTGTGCTGCCTACTTAACAGATTTGCTGAGTCCAAGGGGAAAATATAACTAGCGAATTATCTAAAAGATTGATATCATATTACAAATAAACAGCTAAAAGCTGACCTTGATTCCTGGATTATTATTTGAAATGACTTTAATCCCATTCCCAATAAAAAAATACAGACCTGTTTACATTATTATGATTGGGATATGATCATGATTTATTAGCTTTTATTTCAATAGAACTGTTGTAACTTTACTTATTCTAACAAGAACATTTATGATGATTAGAACCTTGATCTTTTCTTTATCCAGCCTATCACTGATGGGCATTGAGCTTGGTTCCATGTCTTTGCTATCATGAATTGTGCTGCAATGATCATATGCGTGCATGTGTCTTTATAATAGAATGACTTATATTTCTCTGGGTATATACCAAGTAATAGGATTGCCTAATGAATGGCATTTCTGTCTTTAAGTCTTTGAGGACTAGCCACACTGTCTTCCATAATGGATGAATGAATTTACACTTCCACCCAATAGTGTATAAGGGTTCTGTTTTCTCCACAACCTCACCAGTATCTGTTATTTTTTGACTTTTGAAGAATAGCCATTCTGACTGGTGTTGGATAGTATCTCATTGTGATTTTGATTTGCATTTCACTAATAAACCGTAGAATACTATGCAGCCATAAAAAAGAAAAAAAGACCATGTTCTTTGCAGGGACATGGATGGAGCTGGAGGTCATTATCCTTAGCAAACTAACACAGAAACAGAAAACTAAGAACTGCATTTTCTCACTTATGAGTGGGACCTAAATGATGAGAACACACGGACACATGGAAGGGAACAACACACACTGGGGCTTTTTGGAGGGTGGAGCATGAGAGGAGGGAGAGGATTAGGAAAAACAAATAATAGATACTTGGCTTAATATCTGGGTGGTGACATAATCTGTACAATACAGCCCCACTACATGAATTTACCTATGTAACAAACCTGAACTTGTACCCCTGAACTTAAAAGTTAAAAAAAAGAACCGTGACCTTGCCATCATCAATAACTGTAACTTCTTTATAATCTCCATTTCATAGATAGGACTTTCTGTCTATCAGATAAATTGAAAGGCATAGGTTTGCTATCTACTCAATCTCTCTAGTTTCCTGATTTCAACAATCTTTGACCCAGAAAAACATCTAATCCATTGGTTCCATCATCTTTTGACTGTCCTGTTCCCTCTGAATATTTTCTCACCATCTGTTTCTCAATTTGTTTCATGGTCAAACACTATAATTAATCTGTTGCTTACAACTGCAAATCATTTTGCAGTATTAATTCTACAAAATCATTATCAAAAGCCAGTTAAATCTATCTTATTTCTAGTTTATGTATACCCCTCCCCACAAGAAGCTGAATGAGAATGGAGCATGCACTCTACCCTGGCATTTCAAATTTTTCTTAACCTATTTTCCTTTCTTTTTTTAAAAAAAATTGTAATGCTTACTTTTCACTTTATAATATTGTACATAATATATTCTGTATATTGCTGATGACCTATTTATTATGTATATTTCAAGAATGCAATATCTCATGGGGTAAGAATCTTTGTTTTTTGTTCATTGATCTATTCCAAGATGCAGTTTCTGGTACCTAGTGGGTCACTCAATGTCTAATGTTGAAAAATAAATTATGTATTTGATATTTTTTCTTATTCTACACATTATCTTGGATATTTTAGAATATTGTTTCACATTAGCCACACAGACTACGAAGACTGATTTATTGTCCTACAGTTTCTCTAAGTTTTCTGTGTATAAAGTTCTAAGTCACATTTTCTTCTTATGCCTACTCTTTGTTCATGGTAGGTATGTATATATTACTGGGGAGAACTCTTGCAGTATTGCTATATCTGCTCTGACGAAGTCTTCTCATTTTTAGTTCTCCCTTACTTCTGGGTCATATCGTTTTCCAGAGAAGCATAATTATAAAGTACAGAAAAAATAATTTTTAGTATCATAGGAAAGATGTGAACTCATCATACTGTTAAGTTTTATTTTTATGTAAATGCACTTAATAGAAGTTTTTTCAGTGTTAATCTAAGATTTTTTTTTAAATAAACTGTGTAACTTACTTCTTTTTAACTCTTATTCAGTCTTTGCTTGACATAATAAAGACCTAGGTTATAAAAATATTGAAAGATACATAGGTGAGGTATGACCTAATATTATTTGCATCTAGATCCATCTCTAAAATTAGAGTCTTTTAGTCTTAGACTAAAAATCATAATCAGTGAGTATATATTCATAACTACAAAGCTCTTTATAATATTTTGAATTTGCCCACATAATTATTTCAGAATATTTTTACAGAATTGCTCAGGGGTTTAAGACAACTTCAGAAAAAGTAGCATAAGCAGATTAATTGCTCCGAGATTTTGTAATTATATAGAACTGTTCTTAATTAGTGGAAATCAGTAAGAAGCCTGTCCTGAGTAACAGAATGTACTGAATAGCAATATCCTTTACTTGTATCCACCATGTCTTTTTCTACTCCTATTTTATGCATAATAAATTAGAAGTGAATTAAATGAAGTGAAAACTCGTTTCTTGATGGAGTAGAATACTTAACATTCCTATTTTTGTCTTAAAATTATGTAATTTAAAAAAGTATTGACAAGTTAGTAATGTCAGTAGAAAAATCAGTCTAAGTACTTTTAAGAAAGTGATTAGTTGCTTTACTACTTAGTGGTTAGATGCAGGCTTATTCAGAACAACTTCACAGACTAAATCTCTTCCTAAAATACGAAGTTCTAGGGAGTAGGCAAATGTCAGTGTCTTGAACATAAATAGGCTAATATAAAGGACTTTCATATTTGCTAAACTAATTACTTCTGACTTAATCTATATCTCTCAAAGTTCTGAACTTCATAGAAAAATAGCAATATACTCCCAGGTTGAAATATCATGTTTAATTCTGAAAGTATTTGCTGCATATCTTTAAGTACAGAGTCACTGACTGCACTAATTACCTTTCTCAGACAGAAACAGAGATTTCTCAGTAGATGCCAGCAGGAATAGGTTCTAATAGGTTATGAATAGAGGATTAAATTGTAGAAGCACATAGTCCACCTTCCCATTGCCTTCCATGATTTTTGCCACAACTTAAAAATAACATAGAACTTGGAGTGGGTGCCCTAAAATGATCAATATTTTAATTCTTAACTACATAATACATTGAAGATTCAAAAGATAAATTAAATTCAATTACTGAAGAATATAAAAACAATAATGATTGAATATCTGAAATTGCATTGTAAAAATGCATACCTTTACAAAAATGTTAGGCATTCCTCCAGAGTGAATTCATAAAGAATAGGTGAAGCAATGGAAAGAGTATTTGACAGTTTAACAAAGATTGGAAATGTAAAATCTGAAAGACAATTTTAAAAAGCTAGGCGTATAAAAATTAAGGAAAAGATAAGCCAATGACAGGGAAGAGTTCTTGCAAAAACCCTGAAGTAGAAATGAGCTTGATTTATTCAAGAGAATAATTGAACATTAGGGCTTTTGAACATAATTATAGAGGAGAAAAACGAAGCGGTGGAGAAGTAGGGAGTCATTAGCAGATATTAAAATCTGAGGTTTTCTAAAATTTAGAGATGGTAGCATAGGGGAAAGGAACTTAGAAAAGCTATTGAGATGAAGCAGCCAGTGAGGATAGAAAAAAAAAGAGGACATTAAGAGATGATGTTTCAAGTAAAATGAAAATGGTCTCCTCTGTAATGTGGCTGAACATTCAAATGAGACAAGATAAACGAAGTGGTAACTGGAATATATATATTCCTCCAACAAAGCTCATTGTCAAGTATAAGATTTTTAAAAATGAAGGTTGATCGAGAAGATTTGAAAGTTTACTATGAATGAAAGAATATTAGAGCCAAATAGGTGCCATAAAAATAGCTTGAGTGACAGATCTATACTGCATAGAAACATGAAGTATAGTTTATAAGGGAAAATAGTCCAGATAATTAGGTCTATGATGAAACAAGGGGGTTGGATGTTGAAGGACAACTAAAGCTAAGATGTTTGGTAGGCAGCAAGTGTGGACACTGAGGTTAGCTTGAGTAATGGCAGCAGTTTTAGTGAAGAGGGTTTTAAGTCAAGTGTCTAGTTGTCCATGGAAGAGAGAGTTTGGCCAGAAGTTAGAGAGGGGACAACAAACAGAAGATTGTAGGATGGAAGAGAGGTTTTGTTAAGTTTTATAAAAAGAAGAGTACTAGTATAGAAATTGCAATGTAGAAAGATGGAAGTATGCTACCACTTACGTGCTTCTGTGATTGGGAGAAAAAGAGAATCTTTTTTTAGAGAAACCTTCAAAAGGAGAGTTATTTCTGGAACTCTTAGATTATAGAATAAACTTTATAAGTATGTGGCATGGAAAATGTTACTCATATTAGCACCCACTCCTCTTTGTGTCTGCCTTCCTGCTACACTCACGGTAGGGCAAGAAATAGGGGTAGGCTCCAAGGTGGTTTCTAGTCATTTCTCTGTCCTTTAAATTATCCTTCATTCAAGCATAATATTTGAAAAACATGTCTATAAAATTACTTTGTTTTGTTGCATGTATATGTGTGTTTCTGTGTAATCATGCCATTTATTTTAATTATAAAAATATTCACGTTTTCAATAACAGAATTCTTGAATTATATGTTTGTTGTGGTGAGAAATGTTTGTTAGAATTCAGAATGCTAAAAATATTTATAGTGACAATTATTCTACAATTTAAATTTAAATAGTATGAATTTTTCTCTTCAATTAAGTAGTGTGCAATAAAATTTAACACATGCTTAGAAAGCAATTACCATCATATAAGAAGGAATGGGAATATTTTAATTGGTTTGTGAATTACTTTTTCTAAATAGTACAATCATTTTTCTTTTGAAATGAGGTTAAAAAACCAAAATCTAAGCTAACTATATGTAGTTATGTCCTAGATATCTTTGTTTAATGCATTGTTATAATTATGCTGAATAATCAAAGAACAATAGGAAATTTGAAAGACTGATGAATAGAATACTATTTTAAGTCAAACAATTATTGACTTATTTGTATTCTTTGTGGTTTCACCAAACTAATTTTCACCTTTTACTTACTTGAACTATAATGGGGACACCTAACTTATTTTAGCTGTGTAGATTAATTCCATTTAACACTCTTTCTCAAATACTTGTAGACTTCCATTTTTATCTCATAATTATTACCATAATTGAAGATAACTCCTATAAATTATTTATTGTGGTGATCTACAGATATAGTGGGGAAAATGTATTACATTGAGCAATATAATGTCTATAATATATGTAGGATAATTTACTACATAAGATTTCTAAATATTACTTTCTGTTATGAACAAATTATTGTTACGTAAGACCTGTCAGGTCATTTGGGGAATCACCTAGCCATGCAGGACCATTACCTACAGTATTATTTTCCAGGAAACTGTGAATTTCTAAATAATTCAACTGCTAAGTCTCATATATTTTCTAATTCACAATATTTAGTAACTAGAGAATTGCATCATCTACCTATAAAAGAACACCAGAGACAGAACACATTCTCTTTCTTCTTACACAAACATTTCCCCAGCTTTATTGACATATAGTTGACAAGGTATATAATGTATACTTGATAAAATTATATAAATTTGAGGTGCACATAATGATTAGATATACATATATATTTTGAAATGATGATCACAATCAATTATTTAACACATCCATCACCTCATATAGTTATCTTTATTTTTTCTTGGGTGTGGTGAGATTATTTAAGATCCATTCTCTTAGCAAATTTCAGGTATAAAATACAGTATTATTAACTATAATACTTGGAAAGCGACTTTATAGCAGAGAAAAACATTTTATAGTGATATTGATAAAGCAAATTATTTAAAATAAGCTAATTTTACCTTCCTCTCCTAAGGTGGCATAGGCGCACACAATAAATGTAGACATTAGCACACAATTGTTCTGGTGATATCCTATTTGGGAGAGATTTTTAAGGTCACAAAGTCTAACATTGCAGTGTTTTTTGCATCTTATAAACATCTCACTCCAGCCTTAGCTGCAACTCTTCTAAAGACTAAATGTTCTACTCTTAAGAGACAAGGTCACTGGATTCAATCTACATATTGTTATTGCATGTATTTTCTTCCTCCATTGAATCATGCCAAATATTTCTAATTTTCTAAATAATTATATTTAAAAAGTCATAGACTTGTAAGTGCTTTCTTCCTCTAGCCATCGTACTACCATCTCCTCTACCATTTCCTAAATTTTATGGCTCTAATTGTTTACATCACCCTTAAACCAATTTTCCAGCTGAAAATAATCAGCACAGAAAATAGTTCAGTTATTATCTGTCTCCCTTCTTAACAATATATGGTTTTCCGCACAATTTTCCATTGTTAGACTCTTAGAATATTATTTCATTTTCTAGGCACCCTAAATTAAGACAGCTAATATTATATTACTGTCATGCAATCTAGTTTCTAGATTTAATCATTTGAGGGGGAATGAGTTGGGTTTCTTTTTCCATGTCCACCTTCTCCGTGGTTCCAGGTAATTGCTACCATACAATTGACATTGGTTCAGTGATCTCATCTACAAGTTCTTTCAGTGCATTAGGGGCAAATATTTTGTCCTTTGCCTTGAACTGATTTAGAAAGCTAGTTGCTCTTGGCTGGGCATGGCGGCTCACACCTGTCATTCCAGCACTTTGGAAGGCCGAGGTGGAAGGATCACTTGAGGTCAGGAATTTGAGACCAGCCTGGCCAACATGGTGAAAACCTGTCTCTACTGAAGATACAAAACTTAGCTGGGCATGGTGGCGGGCGCCTGTAATCCCAGCTAAGTAGGAGGCTGATGCATGAGAATCTCTTGACCTCTGGATGGGGAGGTTGCAGTGAGCTGAGATTGCGTCACAGCACTCCAGCCTGAGTGACAGAGCGACTCCATCTCAAACCCTTAAAGTTGCTCAATTGCTTTGTTTGTTTGTTTGTTTTTCATAGAGATTTGGTTTCACCATGTGCAGGCTGGTTTCGAACTCCTGAGCGCAAGCAATCCACTGGCCTCGTCCTCCCAAAGTGCTGGGATTATAGGAGTGAGCCACCACGCCTGGCCTCTCAATTGCTTTGAATAAGTGTTTTCTTATCAATACTGTTCTACTACTTTTTATTTGGATATAATTGATAGAAACAAATTATACCTAAATAAAAAGTGGAGGGAAATAGACTTGACAGATTTATAGATTTATTGCTGTTTTAGTCTTTAACATCTTACCATGTATTACAAGCAACAGATTTAGGACTGTAGTGTTCTTTCTTTTTTCCTCCAAATAGAGTCAAGAAAATCTTCTCCTATCCTTTGAATTTTTGCAAGTAGTAATTTAATCTGGGTTTCTATTCTCTGAACACTATTCTTAGGAGTTTATAGCATTCTTGTTCAATGTAACTGTGCCCTCTTTGTTCTTCTTTGTTGTTTTTCCAGAGCCTCATGTTATACATAATAATATATTTAAGTAATCCATCTTTTCTTCCTCATTTTCCAATTTGAAATTGCATTATTACATTATCAGAATATCATTTTAAGGAGCTTTATAATTTTTTATGTGATCTTCTCTTTAAACCTAGATTTTACTTTTAGAACCATATTTTCTCTGAAAGTTCTGAAGACTGTCATTTCTTATAATTTCCTGTCTTGGGTATTAATAGTAGTAAATCATTGTAGATTTGTTTTAGTATCTATTAGAAGCCAGTTGCTAATTGACAGTAAATAGTAAATGTTGTGCCCATATAGTAATTATTACCTTCTTTATTGTTTCAACTTTTATTTTTATTTTTATTTTTATTTTTTGAGACGGAGTCTCGCTCTGTCACCCGGGCTGGAGTGCTGTGGTGCGATCTCTGCTCACTGCAACCTCTGCCTCCTGAGTTCCAGCAATTTCCGTGCCTCAGCCTCCGGAGTCGCTGGAATTACAGGCGCCGGCCACCATGTCTGGCTAATTTTTGTATTTTTAGTAGAGAGTGGGTTTCACTATGTTGGCCAGGTTGGTCTCGAGCTCCTGAACTCAGTGATCTGCGCACCTCGGCCTCCCAAAGTGCTGGGATTACAGGCATGAGCCCCTGTCCCCGGCCCAATCCGCCTAAAATCTCTTAGTTCATTCTTATGTTTTCTATTTTTTCTTATTTAATTAATTTACATATTCTTATTCGATTTTATCTGGCAAATAAATTCCTTATCTAAAGTTCATTTGGCTTTAACTGTATTAGTTTTGATACTGATTCTCGCTAAATGTGTCTAGTTTCCTTTTGTGTTACAGATTTTTTAATTGTGAGCTCCTTTACTGCAGTCTTTTTCTATACGTAATTAATAGAAATTTATTTCACGTTTCTTCAGACAGAATTTTTTTTTTCCTTTGAGACACCAAATTTCTATCAAAATGGTACCACTTTATGTCAATGTCTGGTCTTGGGGTTTTCTAAAACAAATACACCACAGAAATTTGAGGCTGAAATTTAAGTGAGAGTTTGATATTCTCAGTGGCCAATACTTCTTTCAAAATTCAACATAGGGACTGACACACTTTTTTTTTTTTTTTGAGAAGGAGTCTCTCTCTCTGTTGCCCAGGCTGGAGTGCAGTGGCAGTGATCTCGGCTCACTGCAAGCTCCACCTCCCGGGTTCACGGCATTCTCCTGCCTCAGCCTCCCCAGTAGCTGGGACTACAGGTGCCCGCCACCACGCCAAGCTAATTTTTTGTATTTTTAGTAGAGATGGGGTTTCACTGTGTTAGCCAGGATGGTCTTGATCTCCTGACCTCGTGATCCACCCACCTCCGCCTCCCAAAGTGCTGGGATTACAGGCATTAGCCACCGCATTTTCCTTATGAATAGATTACTTTTTCGTAGTATATATACCCTTTTACTAAAAGAGTAACCATTCCAGTATGATAGCGTTATCTTAGAAGTATCTAATATCCAGATCCCCCCACCCCCGCCCATTGCATGGAAACCACTCTTTGTCCTTTTATCCTGTCTTTGTGACACACTTAAGAACTCAAGGCTCTTTGAAAAACAGTTTTTCAACACTTAAGATGGCTAAACACAGTTATAATATGATCAGGCAATTCCATTTCTAGATATATACCCAAGGGAAAATTAAAACATATGTCCACACAAAAATTTAAGTGTTCCTAGCAGCATTATTCATAATAGGTCACATTCACATCAACTGATGTGTAAACAAAATGTAGTTTATCCATACAATAGTATATTATTTGAAATGAAATAAAGTATTGATACATGCTACAATGTGATAAATCTTGTAAACATTATGATAAGTGAAAGAAGCCTGTTCACAATGGCCACATACTGTACAGTTCCCATTTATACAATATGAAATGTCCAAATTAGGCAAATCTGTAGAAGCGGAAAGTAGATTAGTGGTTGCTATGACTTGAGGTTGAGAGAAGGGACAGTTGAGGTGAGGGCTGAAGGATAAACGGGTTATGTGGGTGTAAATGAAAATATTCTAAAACTGATTGTGGCGATAGTTGTACCATTCCGTTAACATTCTAAAAGTCATTGGATCGCACACTTTAAATGGGTGGATTCTATGGTAAGTGAATTATATTTCAATAAAGCTGTTAAAAACGTTATCTACTTTCATATTATTTTTAAGAGATATTCTCTTCTCTGAAATAATTCAGTTTAGCAAATTTATTCTCAAAAATTTACAAATGTTGGATTAAAACAGAACTACTATATATTTAAATAAGCTCCACCCTTTCTATAACAAATGAATAGCTAGATAGATTGATAGATGAAAGACAGATAGGTAGATAGGGAGATAGATAAGATAGATAGATAGCTATAAAGAGATATAGACCAAAACAAATGAAGAGATGAAGTTGTGTCTAATGGCTTAGGGCTTAATGCAACTTCCAGTATTCATGCTCTGATAAGTGAATGCTAAATCTTGTAGCTGGAAAAATGAGAATGTAAAATAGATACAAAAACACAATAGAAGCAAAATATAACTCAATATGCCAATCACTTTGTGAGTTGGAGGTGTTGCTTGGACATTAAATGAAGATTTTCATCAGGCACTTAGAAATATGATATATAGAAAAGAGGTCAAAACAAGAAGCAGTTCAAGGGAATTTGTGCTTTCCAAGTGTCACATAATGTCATCATATACTACATAGTAAAATATTATTGGCCAGGCACGGTGGCTCATGTCTGTAATCCCAGCACTTTGGGAGGCCCAGGCGGGCAGATCACGAGGTCAGGAGATCGAGATCATCCTGGCTAACACGGTGGAACCCCGTCTCTACAAAAAATACAAAAAATTAGCCGGGTGTGGTGGCAGGCGCCTGTAGTCCCAGCTACTAGGGAGGCTGAGGCAGGAGAATGGCCTGAACGAGGGAGGCGGAGCTTGCAGTGAGCTGAGATCACGCCACTGCACTCCAGCCTGGGCAGAGCGAGACTCCGTCTCAAAAAAAAAAAAAAAAAAAAAATTGCATTTTAGTTTGTGCTTGATTTCAATTTGATGAAAACTAATTTAATAGTTTATAGTAAGTTAATAGTAATAGTAAATGTAATATAAGAAATACTCTATCAAAGATTCAGGCTTATTTATCTAAAAATAAATTCAGAAGCATTGCTTAGAAAAATCAGGTGGTTTATGGTGTAGTCTCCATAATGAGTCCAACAAATGGTGCTATTTATTAGAACATACTGTTATTCAATGTTATTCAGCACCTCTGTGGCCCACTGAGATCTACTACATGGCTTACAGTAAAACTCATGATCGAAACTTTGTGCTTTGCTTCTTATTCTCCAACTCTTCATATCTAATGGCAGTAAATTATATTTAAAAATTGTTTTTATAATGAATTTAGTATCTGTATAGCCATATATTTTTCAAAATATAATGGTAGACTCATCTTTTGTTTTTATTTCTTGGAATCTATAATGAGGCATCAACAAACATACCTGACAAGAAATACAGGTTTGCGCAAAACAAATTCCATCACAAGAATGAATAAAATTCTCATTAGAAAAGTTAAAGGATCCCTAGGCCTGCTGACTGAAACACACTAACAAAGACAAACGTAAACAAAGAACGGGCAGTGAGAAATTTGGCGATTTAGTCACCAAATACAGAAAAAAATAAGATAAACATGGGCAACTGTTTTCAGCAGTCGTCTGTGGTAGGTTACATCATTGTGGAGCAGATATTCACTCCCTTTCCTTCCTACATGGGGGGAGTGTTCTTTCCCATCCCTTCTTTTGTCCTGGACATTTTCCATGAGAAGAGCATGTCTTTGGCAGCCATCCCCTTGTCAGATTGAGTTCTGATTGGGAAGACTGGTGGAATCGAGCTGAATCCAGTCTGCAACCTGGAGGAAAATCATTAGGGTCATCTGCAGGTATGATACTGAAAAATAAATTTTAATCAGTATATATTACAGAAATTTTAGCTTACCTTTTGTAGCACTGCTGCAGCTAAAGATAACTAATTCAACGTCTAAAACTATGGCTAAGACACTAGAAGAGATAACATCTTAACTAAAAGAGCTAAAATATTCTGCTCTTATTGGCAATTGCTTATTTTATGCAAAGATGGATACATCAAATCATCTTATCTTAATATCAGAAAATATTTAATAATTTTCTTTGTTCTAGTCACGTTTTTAAGGAGTCTACTGATATAACGTGGCTACTCATGTGGTGGAAAACAATGGTAAATGTGTTATCCTAAAATCAAAATATACACTGTTACCTGCAAATTTTTTTTTTTTAATTTGGAAGGAATAAAAAAAAATTCAGTCTCATATTCTTGGCAAAATTTTCTGCTCAACATGTGAATTTATTCTTAACTTGAAGACCATATCAGATTTCAGGGCGTGCAGGACTGAAAATCAAACTTGAGAATGTGTTAAGTTTTCCAAGGCAACTAATGATCAACTGTACTTGATTCCAGTTTTAGCTATGGGCCAAGAGAAAATAGCTTATTTTTCTATACCATAGAAGCATAAATTATTATAGAAAACAACTCTGTAAATTGAGAAATTCTGATATGTCAGTGAAGTGTTAAATGTTGTATATATATTATTACTAGTATTTTCTTATTTTCGATCTACAAATATGTAAATTTTTGTTTAATAACGTTTTAAAAAGGTTTGATTCACTAATCAAATTTATGACTTAATCTGAACCAGGGCATGTAAACAAATAAACAAAAAGGGTAGTTGGAAGGAGCCTTACAAAAGATTTGGATAAAAGAAAATATCTCTGCAGAATTTCATTTGCTGTTCTGCTAAATTTAAGGCCATCTGTGTGTCTCTGTGTGTGTGTGTGTGTGTGTGTGTGTGTGTGTGTGTGTGTGTGTAGTTTCCTCAAAATTTGACAGAAGGCCCAATGTAATCTTATAAATTAAGAGCTGTACAATATTGAGCTCAACAAAGTGGCTATTGTGAGCCTGAACAGAAGCTCTGTATTTTTGAATCTGTGGTTTTTTTTTAACACTCAATTTTGGTTTGGGTTTTGGGGGATAAGAAAATCATAGGAACTAGTCCTCTATTTTTCTTGTTTCGCAAAACAGGACTGCCTGACATCTACCTACCTGCAATTGGCTTCTTCTTCAAGTCTCCACGGTCTTGTCCAGAACCACATTATGACATCCTCATTTGAAAAAGGGTTTGGGTGTAGAATAGAATCCATGATCAATCATGCTCTATTCTAAATTGCTATATATTCAAAATAATGTTATATCTAAATGTGGATTTATTTGATTATTTTATTCTCATAGGTCCATTATCTCAGATTTGGCTACAATATTTTGAGAATGAGAAAGAGACTTTCAGATCAGGAATATCCAGAAAAATAAATGAGTTTATGAGAATCATTTTTCAGTGGTCTCTGCGAAATTAAGAGTCTGCCTACAATTATTTAAGAGAGAAAATAAAGTGCGTTAAATAAATTAGTGAACACACAATTTATGTCAAATTCTTCCAAAGCTCTCAAAAGTTTAGATCTTTACACAATTTTGAACATTGGCTATAAACAATATCATTCAGGACTGGTTAAATCTATGTAAGACTAAGGTAGGATCTGTTATCAACAAATATATTGTATATCAGCTCTAATTTAGTGAATTTTGTTCAAGGATGAAATTAAATACAATGATTAAATAATTAAAATAAAGATAATAAGCAATCTGTTATGGGTTATTCAATATATATGTTATTAATGTGAAGACTGACTTTTGTTTTATAATTTTTATAGAAAATTTGTTTTAAAGGAGATTATATAAACATAGTAGATGATGTTTTATGAGAGACATGGTGTTATGTTTTGTGGTCATGTCATTGAACTATAATTGAATACATTACATTTTTTAAAATTTTTCATTTTTGAGGGTATATAATATACATAAGTTGTGGGGCATGTAAATTATTTTGATTCAGGCATACAATGCATAACAATCATAGCAAGGTAAATGGGTTATCTATCACCTCAAATATTTATCCTTTTAAAGTGTTCCAAACAATACAATTATACATTTTAGTTACTTTGAAATGCACAATAAATTATTGTTGACTATAATCACATGTGGTGTTATCAAATACTTATTAATTCTAGCTATGTATTTGTACCCATTACCCATTCCTATTATCCCTGACCCTTCCCAGCCTCTGCTAACCGTCAACAAAGTAAAGCTATACCCCCCAAAATGGGAGAAAATTTTCGCAAAATATCATCTGTTGAGGGATTAATAAGAATATTTAAGGATCTCAGAGAACTCTATAGGAAAAAAAACCAATAATCCAGATAATTCTGAAAATAAGTCATACAAATGCCAAATAGGTATACAAAAAGGTACTCAACATCATTGATAGTTAGAAAATGCACATCAAAACCGCAGAAAGGTCGGGCGCAGTGGCTCATGCCTGTAATCCCAGCAGTTTGGGAGGCCGAGGCGGGTGGATCATGAGGTCAGGAGATCGAGACCATCCTGGCTAACATGGTGAAACCCCATCTCTACTAAAAATATATTTTAAAAAATTAGCTGGGCGTGGTAGCGGGAGCCTGTAGTCCCAGCTACTCGGGAGGCTGAGGCAGGAGAATGGCGTGAACCCAGGAGGCAGAGCTTGCAGTGAGTCGAGATCGCGCCACTGCACTCCAGCCTGGGCAATAGAGCGAGACTTCGTTTCCAAAAAAAAAAAAAAACTACAGCAAGATATTATCTCATTCCAGTTAAAATTACTTTTGTCCAAAAGACAGGCATTAACAAATGCTGACAAGGATGTGGAGAAAAGGGAAGCCTTCTATACAGTTGTAAGAATGTAAATTAGTACAACAACTAAGAAGAACAGTTTGGAGGCTCCTCAAATAAGTAAGAATAGGTCTATCATATGATCCAACAATCCTACTACTAGGAATATACACAAAAGAAAAGAAATTAATATATCAAAGAGATTTCTGCACTCCCATGTCTATTGCAGCACTATTCATTCACAAGAGTCAAGATTTGGAAGTAACCTAAGTGTCAGTCGACAGAATGGATAAAGATAATGGAGTACATACACACGATGGAGTACTATTCAGCCATTAAAAATGAGATCTTGTTATTTGCAACAATATGGATGACAAACACAAACTTTACATGTTCTCATTCATTTGTAGGAGCTAAAATTTAAAACAATTGAATAAATTACTTATTATAATGGAATAAAAACATTAATATAAAACTTTAAAAAAATGAGTTAACATAATAATTGTACATCTTTATGAGGTAATATAAGTTTACATGTATATATTGTGTAGTCATCAAACCATGGTAATTAGCATATCCATCACCTTCAACAATTATTGTGCCTTTGTTGGCTTCTCAGCCTATTGACTAAGAACAAGTGGCCAGTTGCAGTGGCTCATGCCTGTAATCCCAGCACTTTAGGAAGCCTAGGCAGGCAGATCACGAGGTCAGGAGATCGAGACCATCCTGGCTAACATGGTGAAACCTCGTCCCTACTAAAAATACAAAAAAAAATTAGCTGGGCGTGGTGGCGGGCACCTGTAGTCCCATCTACTTGGGAGGCTGAGGCAGGAGAATTGCTTGAACCAGGGAGGCAGAGCTTGCAGTGAGTGGAGATCACACCACTGCACTCCAGCCTGGGGGACAGAGCGAGACTCTGTCTCAAAAAAAATAAAAAAATAAAAATAATAATAATAAAAAGAACAAGTGTAGTATCTGTTATTAGTTTAATACAAAACTCTTTAAATATAAAATTGTAGAATTATTAAAATTTTATATAGCAGACATTTTTGCTTGTGGAGGGTGTTTGGTTGACAAAGATGACCTGCAAACTAATTGTTAGCTCTGTTCTTGTAAAGTATTTGCATTGCTTTTTCTACTTCTAAAAGAGGCAAATATTTATGCTTTCTCATAATTCATGGTAAGTGGGTCTTTCTGCTCTTTCCCAAATCATCAGTGATGACACAGAAAATAATCACATCACCCCCATACTGTCCATCAGCTTTTGAAAATTTGGCATACCTAAATTTTATTTATTGAAAATATAGATTTAGCAATTATTATAATGTCTAGCTTTACATAGTAAGCCTTTTCCAGATTTTGTTATATTTAACATTATAATTTTAACGTCTAAATAAGATTTTACTAATTTTATGTTCTTGTTTCTATATTCTTATATTTTAAAAAGAGTAGTAATGTACAAATTTGAACTAATTTTTTTTTTTGCACTTTATTTAGGATAAATCTGTAGGAGAAGTTGTATTTGGTTTAAAGTATGAACACAGTTATAGCTCATTTTTAAATAACTTTTTTTAGTCAGATGGGAATATATCCATTTACATTACTATGTGCAGTTTTAGATGTATTTGGAAAATACCAAACACTGAAATAGACAGTTCTAATTTTCCCTGTATGACATTTTTTCTAAATAAAAGTGTGTATGAAAATTGGTTTTAATATCAATTTAAATATCATTCTAAATTGCTGAGTGGACCAAGTGAATCATTTAGAATGGAAATAATCCTAAATTCTTAAGATATGCTGCATATTTTCTTTTTTCTTCATAGATTTGCTGTTTGCAAGTTAAAGTTAAATAAAAGATAAAATCATGTCGAGGGAGTTTAGGCATGAACAAATTATAACTAAGTGTATTTATAATATTTCACCTTTTCCCAGAGGTGGTCGGAGCAAATGAGGAATGGTTTCTAATTAATTGGGTTGTGGATTTATCTATTTACAAATAGGAATTTAAGCTAATACTTAACGCTGCAGGTGCAGTAGCATAATTGTAACACTCAGCCAAATGATCACTTGGACAAAAGAAGGACAGCTTTGACCATCAGTTTCTGCAGCTGATAGAGTAGAGCCCTGCCATTTAATCCCCAGCTGGGCTTATTATAGAAAAATCACAGCAATGATTTTGTTAGTCTTCTATTAAGAGAGTGTTTATGGTTCAAATAATTTGCAGAATGTAATACATGTGCTTGAAACTTGCTAAAGAATTGGTTAGCACTTTTTGGGGTGGATTTCTATGTTAAAATTTGAAGGGATTTGGCCTGCAGTATATCAGGCATATACTTATGTGACAAATGCTGCATCCTTCATGAGGCATGTAAGTAATTGGAGTAATATGACAATTTTGGGGTTTTTAAAAAATTCATCAAAATAGTCTTAGCCAGAGCAATCAGACAAGAGAAAGAAATAAAGGGCATCCAAATCAGTAAACAAGAAGTAAAACTGTCACTGTTTGCTGATGACCTGATTATATAACCAGAAAATCCTAGACTCATCCAAAAAAGATCCTAGAACTGATAAATGAGTTCAGTAAAGTTTCAGGATACAAATAACATACACAAATCAGTAGTGCTATACCCCAACAGCGAACACGCTAAGGACCAACTCAAGAACCCAACCCATTTTACAATAGCTGCAAAAATAAAAAATAAAATACTTAGGAATATACTTAACTAAGGAAGTGAAAGACCTCTTCAAGGAAGACTCCCAAATGCTGCTGAAAGAAATCATAGATGACACAAACAAATGGAAACACATCCCATGCTCAGGGATCATAGCATTTTCACAATCTGTATTGTGAAAATGACGATACTGCCAAAGGCAATCTACAAATTCAGTGCAATTCCCATCCAAATACCAAAATCATTGTTCAAAGAACTAGAAAAAACAATCCTAAAATTCATATGAAACCATTAAAGAGCCTGCATAGCCAAAGCAAGACTAAATGACACAAACAAATGGAAACACATCCCATGCTCAGGGATCATCGCATTTTCACAATCTGTATTGTGAAAATGACCATACTGCCAAAGGCAATCTACAAATTCAGTGCAATTCCCATCCAAATACCAAAATCATTGTTCAAAGAACTAGAAAAAACAATCCTAAAATTCATATGAAACCATTAAAGAGCCTGCATAGCCAAAGCAAGACTAGCAAAGAGAGCAAATCTGGAGGCGTTGCATTACCTGATTTCAAACTCTACTGTAAGGCCATAGTCATCAAAGCAGCATGGTACTGGTACAAAAATAGGCATATGGACCAATGGAACAGAATAGAGAACCCAGAAGTAAAGCCAAATACTTAGAGACAATTGATCTTCAACAAAGCAAACAAAAACATCAAGTCGGGGAAAAACACCCTTTTTGACAAATGGTGCAGGGATAATTAGCAAACCACATGTAGAAGAATGAAACAGGATCGACGTCTCTCACCTTATACAAAAATCAACTGAAGATGCATCACAGACTTTAAAAACTGAAACCATAACAATTCTAGAAGTAAACATTGAAAAAAAAACCCTTCTAGACATTTGCTTAGGCAAAGACTTCATGACAAAGAATGCAAAAGCAGGCTGGCCACAGTGGCTCATGCTTGTAATCCCAGCACTTTGGGAAACCAAGGTGGGCAGATCACCTAAGATCAGAAGTTTGAGACCAGTCTGACTAATATGGTGAAACCATGTCTGTACTAAAAATACAAAAGTTAGCCAGGCTGTGGTGGCATGTGCCTATAATCCCAGCTACTCAGAAGGCTGAGGCGAGAGAATCACTTGAACCCAGGAGGTGGAGGATGCAGTGAGCCAAGATTGTGCCACTGCACTCCAGCCTGGGTGACAGAGGGAGATCCTTTCTCTAAATAAATAAATAAAACCCAAAAGCAAATGCAACAAAAACAAAGATAAATAGATGGGACTTAATTAAACTAAAAAGCTTTTGTACAGCAAAATAAATAATCAGCAGAGAAAACAGACATTCCACAGAGTAGGAGAAAATCTTTGTAATCTATACATTGGACAAATAACTAATATGCAGAATCTACAAGGAACTCAAACAAATCAGCAAGGACAAAACAAACAAACCCATCAAAGTTGGGCTATGTATCTCTTCCTTACGCCTTATATAAAAATTAACTCAAGTTGGATTAAAGACTAAAACGTAAGACCTAAAACCATAAAAGCCCTAGAAGAAAAACTAGGCAATACCATCCAGGACATAGGGATGGGCAAAGACTTCATGACTAAAACACCAAAAGCAGTGGCAACAAAAGTCAAAATAGACAAATGGGATCTAATTAAACTAAAGAGCTTCTGCACAGCAAAAGAAAATATCAGAATTAACAGGCAACCTACAGAATGGGAGAAAATTTTTGCAATTGATCCATCTGACAAAAGGCTACTATCCAGAATTTACAAAGAACTTAAACACATTTACAAGAAAAAAAACAACCCCATCAAAAAATGAGCAAAGGATATGAAGAGAACTTCTCAAAAGAAGACATTTATGCAGCTAACAAACTTATGAAAACATGCTCATCCTCACTGGTCACTAGAGAAATGCAAATCAAAACCACATTGAGATACCATCTCATGCCAGTTAGAATGGTGATCTTTAGAAAGGAAACAACAGATGCTGGAGAGGATGTGGAGAAATAGGAACAGTTTTACACTGTTGGTGGGCGTGTAAATTAGTCCAATTATTGTGGAAGACAGTGTGGCGATTCCTCAAAGATCTAGAACCAGAATTACCATTTGACCCAGCAATCCCATTACTGGGTATACACCCAAAGGATTATAAGTCATTCTACTATAAAGACACATGCACAGGTATGTTTATTAAAGCACTGTTCACTATAGCAGTCTTGGAACCATCCCAAATGCCCATCAATGGTAGACTGGATAATGGAAATGTGGCACATATACACCATGGAATACTATGCAGCCATAAAAAAGGGTGAGTTCATGTCCTTTACAGGGCCATGGATGAAACTGGAAACTGTCATTCTCAGCAAAGTAACACTAGAAGAGAAAACCAAACACCGCATATTCTCACTCATAAGTGGGAGTTGAACAATGAGAACACATGGACACAGGGAGAGGAACATCACACACTGGGGCCTGTCGGGGGGTGGGGGGCTGGGGGAGGATAGCATTAGAAGAAATACCTAATGTAAATGATGAATTGATGGGTGTATCAAACCAACATGGCACATGTATACCTATGTAACCTGCACATTGTGCACATGTACACCTATGTAACCTGCACATTGTGCACATGTACCCTAGAACTTAAAGTATAATAAAAAAAAGTTTTGGCTAGGGACATGAATAGACAATTCTCAAAAGAAGATGTAAAATGGCTAACAAACATATTTTTAAAAAGTCCAGCATCACTAATTATCAGGGAAATGCAAATCAAACCCACAATGTGATACCACCTCACTCCTTCAAGAATGGCCATAATCAAAAAATCAAAAAAGAATAGATGTTGTCTTAGATGTGGTGAAAAGGAAACACTTTCACACTGTTGGTGGGAATGTAAACTAGTACAACCACTATGGAAAACACTGTGGCCATTTCTTAAAGAACTGAAAGTAGATCTACCATTTGATATAGCAGTCTCACTCCTGGGTATCTACCCAGAGGAAAAGTCATTATACGAAAAAGATATTTGCCCAGGCATGTTTATAGCAGTACATTTCTCAGTTGTAAAAATATGGAACCATCCCAAATGCCCATCATTCAACGAGTAGATAAAGAAAATGTGGTATACGTGTGTGTGTGTGTGTGTGTGTGTGTGTGTACATATGTATCTCAGATGTATGAGAAATTATTCCTTTATCTTAACAAAAATTATTGTGTATTATTTGTATGTGCAGTTTTCAACTAATGAGAAACAATTCTGTATAAAGGAAAAAATGTGACACTTGGATGTAGAAAACTTGCTTTTATTCACCTTCAGTTTTACCACTTAAGAAACTGTTGTAAACTGATTCATGTTTCTTGAATGAAACTCCAACATTCAAAGAAATTTTTGACTGAAGCTTCTAAAATAATAAATACTTTTGTGAAATAACATTAAAAAGTTGGTTTCATTTCATGTCTTTTTATGTTTTCAGAGATCATGAGACTGAAGTATTTTTTTATTTTTCTAATGTTACTTTTAATTGACAAATAATAATTGTACATATTCATGGGATACATAATGATGTTTCAATCCAAATAATGTATAGTGATCAGGTCAGGATAATTAGCCTATCTGTCTTTCAAATACTTATCAGTTCCTCATGTTGGGAACATTCAATATCCCTCTAGCTATTTGGGACTGCATAATATATTACTGTTAACTGTAGTCATCCTATAGTGGTTTAAACATTAGCTATCATTCTTCCTATGTTGCTATAATTTTAGGTCTTATAACAAATTTCTCCCTATCCTTGCCTTCTCCCTACCCTTTCCACCTCCAGTATCCTCTGTTCTAATGGTCACTTCTGTGAGATCAACCATTTTTAGCTTCCACATATGAGTCTGATCATGCAGTGTTTAATTTTCTGTTCCTGGCTTATTTCACTAGACATAATGTCCTCCAGTTCTATCTATGTGGCTGCAAATTTCAGAATATCTTCTAAATATAAAAATTTTATTTAAAAGTAATATGTTTTCCTGGCAAATCTTTTACACAGAATTTGAGAGTTTTTTTTGCTGCACTTTTATGCTGCAAATTATGTTCAATATAATATAATGAACTTTTATATTTTATAATTAATTAATTCAAAATTGTCCCATATCTTTGGGTGATTTTTTTGGACAGGTGCAATTTTTATGAATAAAATAAATGGCATCCAAACATAAGATGAATGTTTTAACAAATGTAGTCATCTATGTAACTAGCTCTTCAGTCACCATATGACATGTTCTATTACTTCAGAAAGTTTCCTTCTGCAGGCTTAAAACCAGCTATCCTATAATCATCATATATACTACATTATCATCTGTATCTTTTGTCCGTTCTTCAACTTCAAATAAATAGAATCATACTATATAAACCCTTTAGTTTTGGATTCTGTTTTGGCATATGTTTTTGATGTGTATCCATTAGTGTAGTTTGTTTTTTTGCTGAGTAATACCCCCCTGTGTAAATGTGTCACAATTTAGACATCTAGTCTTCCACTTAAGCATATTTAGATTGTTTCCAGTTTTCAGCTTTTATGACTAAATCTTCTAAAATTGTTTTTCCCTAAATGTATATTTTAATTTGTCTCAGGAGTAGAATTTCTGAGTCATAAAGCGGTCATATGTATAAATTTTAGGTGCCTCATAGCTCTTCAAATAGTCATCCCATTTTATACATCCAGGCAATATATGAGAGTTCTTGGTGCTCCACATCTTAGCTAGGATTTGATGTCAACCAGTCTCTTTAATTTAGATATTCTAGTACATACAAAATAATACCTCAGTGTAACCTCTGTTTGTATTTCCCTTGATTAACTGATGCTGAGCACATCTTCATGTGCTTATTGACCATTAATTAGTCTTATTTGTTAAATGTCTCAAATATTTTATACAGTTTTACATTGTGTTATTCATTTTTTAAAAAATTCATTTTAGGTTATATGTATGTGTGTGTCAAAGTGTGTGTACATCTATTTGATATATGTATGTCTATATATTCTGGATACCATCTCTGTTTCATGCATTGCATATATATTTGCCTATTTAGTGGTTTATCTTTTCATTTTCTTTTGGTATCTTTTCATTAGAAATGTTATTTATTTTGAGTAAGTAACATTTAATATATTCTGTAACATTTAATGAATCATTTTATGTTATGTTTAGTATTAAATTTCTGAAAACATTCTATGTATTCTACTAGAATTGTCATAATTTTATCTTTTATATACATTGATATTTTTATGTCAAATATGTAGGTATGTGATATTATGCACATGGTTTTAATTCAGTTAATTGTTCTTCCAGATGTTTGTACCATTCCAACATCATTTAAATCATTAAATGAAAAGCCTTTCCTTACTAGCTAGCCAGCTTTGAAAATCCATTCATAGGGTTTGTGTTAATATATTTTTGTTCTTTTTTTTCCTTTCTACTGATCTCTTTATATTAATACCTACTGTGGCTTTATATGAAGTCATGGAATAATACGTAGTAAGCCCTCTAACACTGTTCTGTTACTGTTGTTATTGTTTTCTCAGGGTACTTTGAAATATTCGAGATTTTATTATTTTTTAGTAGCCTAGATTTCAAGATTGTTTTGACGATCAATTTTTGAATCAATTGTCAATATTTTTAGTAATAAAATGATGATTTTTGATTGGAAATACATTAAATCTATAAGCCAAATTGGAGATTATTGATATATTAACAAAAATGAGTTTTCCAGTCCATGAATGTATGCACATTATAAAATTCATTCTTAAGTATGTCATTTTTTAAGTTTTAGTTTCAGCAGTATATGTTTGTTACATAGGTAAACTCCTGTCATGGGGGTTAGTTGTACAGGTTATTTTATCATCCAGGCATAAAGCCCAGTACCCAGTAGTTATCTTTTCTGCTCCTCTCCCTCCTGTCACCCTCCACTCTCAAGTAGACCCCAGTTTCTGTTGTTCTCTTCTTTGCATTAATGACTTCTCATCATTTAGATTGCACTTGTAAGTGAGAACAGGACGTATGTGGTTTTCTACTCCTGTGTTAGTTTGCTAAGGATAACCACCTCCATCTCCATCCATGTTCCCACAAAAGACATGATCTCCTTTTTTATGGCTGCATATTATTCCATGGTATATATGTACCACATTTTCTTTATCCAATCTGTCATTGATGGACATTTAGGTTGTTTCCACATCATTGCCGTTGTAAATACTGCTGCAGTGAATATTCGTGTGTATGTCTTTATGGTAGAATGATTTATATTCCTCTGGGTATATTTCCAAGTAATGGGATGGTTGGGTCAAATGGTAATTCTGCTTTTAGCTTTTTGAGGAATTGCCATATTGCCTTTCACAACGGTTGAACTAATTTATACTCCCAAGAGTGTATAAGTTGTTCCTTTTTCTCTGCAACCTCGACATCACCTGTTATTTATGACTTTTATATAATAGCCATTCTGCTGGTCTGAGATGGTATCTCATTATGATTTTGATTTGCATTTCTCTAATGCTCAGTGATATTGAGCTTGGCTGCATATATGTCTTCTTTTAAAAATATCTGTTCATGTCCTTTGCCTAATTTATAACGGGGTTGTTTGTTTTTCTCTTGTAAATTTGTTTAAGTTCCTTATAGATTCTAGGTATTAAACCTTTTTTCAGAGGCGTGGCTTGCAAATATTTTCTCCCATTCTATAGGTTGTCTGTTTATTCTGTTGATAGTTTCCCTTGCTGTGCAGAAGCTCTTAACTTTAATTAGATCCGACTTGTCAATTTTTGCTTTGGTCGCAATTGCTTTTGATGTTATTGTCGTGAAATCTTTGCTAGTTCTTAGGTCCAGGATGATATTGCCCAAGTTGTCTTCCAGGGCTTTTATAATTTTGGATTTTACATTTAAGTCTTAATATATTTATTAAATTTGTTAGGGTTTCAGGATACAAGGACAATATAGCAGCAAACAATGTAAAAGTAAAATCTGAAAAATAATAGAAAACAGTTTAATTGAACACTTTACCATTATGTAATGCCCTTCTTTGTCTTTCCTGATCTTTGTTGGTTTGAAGTTCAAAAAAGACAAACTTAATGGTACAATAGGTATTGTAGATTTCAGGACTTTCTGTATAAAATATTTTGTATATATGAATAGATCATTTTTTATTTCCAGTCTTTAAACATTTTCTTAACATTTTCTTCTATTGCTTCACTTCACTCGCTAGGACCATCAGGACAGTGTTGAACAGAAATTGTCAGACTGATCATCACAACTTTTTCTAGATTTTAGAAGGAAATTTTTCTTTATTTCAACATAAAGCAGCATGTTAATGCCAAGTTTTAATATGTGTTATCAGATTGAAATTTTTTTGTATATTTCTACATTACCAAGAATTTTTAGCAAGAGTTTTTGTTGAGTTTTAATTTAAAAATCATTTGTTAATTTCATCTGATTTTTTTATTTCTCTTTTTACCTTAAGAGATTAAACTGACTACAGATTGAATATAAACAAACAAACAAACAAACAAAAACTCTAAAATGCTGTGGATCAACACCACTTAGTAATTTGTATACTTGGATTCAATTTGCTGAAATTTTGTTAGACATTTTTGCGTCGATATTTATGAGGGATGTTGATCTGTAAAAGTATTAAAATGCCTTTGACAGATTTTGATAGCAGTGTTATTCTGGCCTAATAAATCAAACTGAGGTATGATCCTTCCTTTTCTATTTCTTAATAGCATTTTTAAAATTGGTGGTTTTTTCCTTCCTTAGTGAAATTTACCAGCAAAGTAACAGGCCTTATATTTCTCTTGTGGAAATATTTTAATTTCAAATTAATGGTATTTTGTTCTTGTAGGGTGGTAATTTTCTCTGTGTTTGGTCTTAATGGACTCTTAGCTGATCACCCAGTTACTCAGCGAGGTCTCTTCACTCTGGAAGAGCTGGAACTCCAGTGTGTTTTAGTGCAGCATGACCACGGGTATTACCGTTCAACATTTAGGCTTTATCAGTGATAACTATTTGTCCTCATGGAGTTTTTGCCGCTGGGCCTACACAGTTTAGGCTTCAGCTTAGAACACATAATGAATTCTTATGCAGATTTCTGCCCACCTTTGACCTTTCATGATTTCCTCTTCTTGGGTAAGCTGCCTTATTAATCTGATACACTTCAGCAGTCCAGAACTACACTCTTTCCCTTCTCTGCTCTTGGAGATGACTCTTTTGTCTGAGATTCACTTTGCTGTGCTGAAAAAGAAAAGTGCTTCAAGGAAGATACCAAGGAAAATCACAGGGCTCATTTATGTATTTCTCTTCTTTCAAGGACTACAGCTTTGTGTTGCCTATGTTCAATTTCTGAAAATAATTAGAGCATATATACTCTGTGTGAGAAGGCAAATCCAGACAGTTAGTTTGTATGACTAGAAGCAGAAGTCTACATGGAGAATTTTACTTAACTGTGTTATAGTTTCTTTAATTATTTCAAGAGTATGTTTAATGTTCCACAGATCTCATTCTATAAATCTTTATCATCTTAGAGCTCTGATACTATTTAGAATTACTATTCCTTCAAATAAGAGATTAGAAACAGGGTTATATTTGGGGTAGGTTGACTTACTTTTCTGGGAACCAAAGCATATTAAATTGACCAGTTTTAACACACTTCTATGTATGCACAAAGATATATATTTACATTCTGCAAAATCATTCTTTCCTTTTTGAATTTGAAAAGGATCTTTGGTATACAGATATTCAATAGCCAGCCTGAAGATTCATTTGAATTCATTTAATGTTTAGATTCACTACATGAAATGATCCAGAAGAGAGTACTCAAATATAAGTATCTATAACGATGGAAATATACATCTCCACTGCCCAAGATGGTAGTCATGAGTCAATATTGATCATGTGAGACGTGGCAAGTGTTACTCAGGGTCTCAATATTTAAATGTATTAAGCTTTAATTAATGTAAATTTGAATTTAGCAAAACATGTATAGCTTGTGGTTACTGTTTTATTCAGTGCCAATATAGAACATTTCCATGATTACAGAAAGTTATCTTAGAATACTCAGTTCTGGACTATTTTATCTGGCTAAATTAAATGTTAAAATATTACAAATTCATCTTCAGGCTGGCTGTTGAATATTTTTATAGCAAAAGTCATTTATAAATTTAAAACTCAAATAATTATCTTTTTCAATATGTAAAATATGTCTTTACATATTCTACTCCCTTCTTACATACATATTCTGATGTAACATAGGTATTCTCTTATTCATGCACACTGAAATGACAACATAAATAATTTTACTAAGTGTCACCATATAAAAAACTTTGAACAAAATCAGATTATATCACTGTGGATATTTCTATTTTGAACTAACTTAGATGATAATTTTAATCTATATCCTAGATGAACTTTAAATCAATAAAATCTCTCAATGGTGTTATAAATCTCAAGCCATTAGCCACTGATTATCCCATTTTTATTCTTTTCATATTAATTTTATTGCCATGTATGAATGCTGTAGCATCCATGTTTAAATACTAGATAACAAAATGCACTGGCATCAGATACAATAAGGATGAAATGAGATATAATTAGGACTCTGGTAACACACATAAAATTGGAAAGATACCCTGAAATTCAAGCCAAGAAGATATTTATCCAGCTTATTTTATTTTGAGACAGAGTCTTGCTCTCTCACTCAGGCTGGAGTGCAGTGGACCATTCTAGGCTCGCTCCAACCTCTGTCTCCCAAATTGAAGTAATTCTCGTGCCTCAATCTCCCGAGTAGCTGGGATTACAGGCATGTGTCACCAAGCCTGGCTGATTTTTGTAGTTTTAGTAGAGACGGGGTTTCACCATGATGGCCAGGCTGGTCTTGAACTCCTGGCCTCAAGTGACTGGAACACCTCGGCCTCCTAAAGTGCTGGGATTACAGACGAGAGCCACTGAACAGCTTTGATCCAACTTATTTGGATGAATGAGTTACATATTTTACATTAAATCTGTTATTGTGATAATTCTTCATGTTATTTTCCATGTATAGATTTATATATAATGTAATTTTAATTTTTTTTCACCGGAGAGTATAAACAACAATTATTTTATAAACAGGATAATAAAAATAAGACAAAAATTGTTGAAATGTCTTCATTTGACTACTAACTTTTTACATGTTTGTTACTTTGAAGCTGTTATCAATACTTGTGATGTATTACAATTAAGTAAAGATTTAAAGATGCCATTTTTAACTTATTATGACACAAAGTCTATAAATTCTTATATTTTGAGATTTGTATTTAAATAACTTGTGAAATTTAATTTTAAAATAAAATTTCTTCTATGGATTGGTCTTCAATCGAGGCATAAAAAGGAATATAACAGTGTGGCACTATAACTTCTATATTGAATTTCTATATTATTTAACACAATTATAATTTTGCTAATGAATTGTAATGTTTTTAAAAAGCTAGGTGAATTTTATTAAATTCATTACATGGCGATAACACAGAGAAAACATTTTGGGGATTCTTTTAAAATGGTATGTACAAAAGCTTAAAAGTTGTTATGTAGTGGCAGAGATAAAAAAGTAAAACAAAAAAAAGCTTAAAAGTTTGCTTTACTATTTATAGGCTCATAAGTGTAAGTGTGCCAGAAAATGAAAAAGAAAGGAGAGAAATTATAAATAACTGTGTGGAAAACACAGATAAAGCATAAAGATAGAATATAAAGATAGAAGCATTTTAATATGAGGCAGTGATGGCTTTTTGAAGAATCCCAACTAAGGACCTACTTTTAGTTAATAAATAATATGTTTCTAATCCCTATATTGTCCACAGCAACCTTTTTAGGACATGGAGCAGTGACTATGAGTGCCAGAAGGCAAGAGTAGAAGCAATTGTAAAATCATGAACACTAGTTTGTAAAATCCTCACTGAGATATAATATCTGTTTGCCTCTACCTTAGAATTATTAATGTCTTGAGGGCTGGGACTATGTCTGTTTCCCTCATACACAGCACTAATCCTGGATGGTCAGTCTAGATGCTTAAGAAATATCTGTTGAATTGACTGACCTGAACAATGGTAATAAAAAGTGGCAGAAAGTTTACTGTTAGAATTTAAGTACAAGACTGGTGGTAACAAAATCAAAAACAAAAACCAACAAACAAAAGCTCAACAACAGCAGTAGCTAACTCAACAGAAACAATTGGACAAAAGCTGCACCACTAGTTGTGATAAAAGAATCAAGACTGTTAGTGATAATGGCAGATTATCACCGCACTGTGATACTGTTGGCTGCACTGTGTATTAAAACATCCATAGTAATTTAATGTCAGTGGAGTGAGTGGCACCAGATGTGATCAGTGCAAATGGAGGCATTGGCCACAGTACAGTTGCATTAAAAATAATCTAAACAGGACCAGCATCAAGGGTCATATAACAGTGAAGCACTAGACTAGAAGAGAGGGTATTAAAGACTCAAGTGATGTTGGATTGGAGACATCCTAGATGTCATGGTTTAAAGGCACAAGGCAAATTTTGAAGAAGGAAGTAGTAGGGGGAAGACACTGAATCAGAAGATATATTTAGGTAATATTATTAAATATAAAGTTATATTTATAAGATGTAATATGTAATATATTATGTTTATATATTAAATCAATATATGATGCATATTATATATATTAACATTTCATATAATATAATGTATATGTGATATAACATAAATATATTATAATATATGTATAGTATATGTTTGCCTGTATCTTAGAATTATAAATTTCCTCCCAGCATAAGAAAATAATTTACAGAAAAGTCTTTGCATTTTCCATACACATTAGAGAAGTTGAACTCCCTTAGCCAGTGTGATGCTAATTAGGTTCCCATAGATAATGCATATATTCTAAAATTATGTTTAAGAAACATCTTTTGGCCAGACGCAGTGGCTCATGCCTGTAATCCCAGCACTTCGGGAGGCCAAGGCGGGTGGATCACCTGAGGTCGGGAGTTCGAGACCAGCCTGACCAACATGGAGAAACCCCATCTCTACTAAAAATACAAAATTAGCTGGGCGTGGTGGCACATGCCTGTAATCCCAGCTACTCGGGAGGCTGAGGCAGGAGAATCGCTTGAACCCGGGAGGTGGAGGTTGTGGTGAGCCGAGATGGCAGCATTGTGCTCCAGCCTGGGCTACAAAAGCAAAACTCCATCTAAAAAAAAAAAAAAAAAGAAACACCTTTCATTTATTCCAAGATGTTGAAAAGAAACTTAAGCCTTTCTTTGTGAATTCATCTATTTGCTCATGTTATGTTTGTTATTATTTTTTACCGACTTTACTTTTTAGAGGTGTTTTAGGTCACAGCAAAATTGAGAGAAAGGTACAGAGATTTCTTATATACCGTCTAACCCCACCTCCCACACATATGCATAGCCTCCACTATTATGCATATGCATCACCAAAGTGGCACATTAGCTGCAATTGATAAACTTACATTGACACATAATAGTTACTACAAGTCCATAATTTACATTAGGGTTCACTCTTTGTGTTGTATATCATATGGGTTTGGACAAATGTATAATGATGTGCATGTACCATTACAGTCTCAGATACTTTCACTGCCCTGAAAGTCCTCTGTGCTCTGCCTATTCATTTCTTTTCCAGTCTAATCCCTGGCAACCACCGATCTTTCCACTGTCTCTGTAGTTTTGCCTTTTCCAGAATGTGATATAGTTGGAATCATAACGTATACGGCCTTTTCAGATTATCTTATTTCACTTAGTAATATGCATTTAAGCTTCCTCTGTGTCTTTCATGGCTTGATAGTTCATTTGTTTTTAGTGCTGAATGATATTTTATTGTCTGAATATACCACAGTTAACTTATGTATTCACCTCCTGAAGGGGATTTGGATATTTTTGATTGATGCGTAAGCTGTACATATTTGGGGGGTTACATTGTTAAATGTGTAGAATATGTTCAAAATAATAAGGTCAATGCCAATAATATTTTGAGGATCTAAGTAATGGGATAGACAGAACATAGCATCGTGTGTGTGTGTGTGCGCGTGTGTGTGTGCATGTATTTATGTAGCCTAAAACTAGTAGAATCGAGGTCATGCAATTATTATAAGTTATTTGTAGAAACGTGCAAGTGATAATGTTAAAAGTTAAAATTATCTAAATATACATGTATATCATCCATAGAGAAGAATATTAACATCTCCTTTTTTGCAAAGATCTTACAGTTCAAAGGTACCACCGTTAAGAGTCTTGAACTATTGCTACCACCAAAATTAATTGCCTATTCATTTCTGTTGCATTAAATGTCTCCTGTTAACATTAACCTGATTCTGTCACCAACATTTTACATATTTATTTAAATACACCTGAGGAAATATGCTGAATGTAATTTAGGGTCATGTGGCATAGGATATTCATTTATTTATTTTTCCCCCATAGTAAATCCTAAAGAAATAATTACTGGGTGGGTTATGTTTAAACTAAGTATAATAAATGTGCAAATTTCAAATGTTATGAAAGCTGAAAGCAAAGCTTCTATATTGTGGTAATAGCTCTAATGTGCCAGAATGACACATGGAATATTGTGACAGAGTATAGAGCTGGCAGGTAATACAATTTCTCAAAGAATTTAGGTTACAAAGCCCTCTGCAAATCACGTATAAGTACTTAGTTCGGAATAATATTTATTCTGAATCAATATTTAAGCGATAAAATAAAACATTAATACACAAAGAGAGGTTAGGTAGTATTTTCACGTGAACAGTTAATGATCTTGGTACCCTCATGGCTTGGAGAAACGTCAAGCCCCAGAAATGTAATTATTTAATAATGACAAAGAAACTTTTAAAAATATGTTTTATTAAAAAAATCACAAGTTGAGTTACAGAAAGTTTAATGGATAATTAGACCCCATAACCTTTTCTGATATAGCCTACCTTAGGCATATACTCAAGTCTTTTGGAGAAAAGATTATAAACAAAAAGGCAAGTAATTTTTTCAACAGTTGCTCTTATTTTCCACCACCCTAAGCCCTTGGTCTGCATGGAAAGGAGCTCATGTTTAGTTGCTGTTTGCTCTTTTCTTGGCTTTTCCTAGCAAAATAAGCTGTAATTTATGAAATCATTATAAAGTAATACAAATCTAAGAAATCATGATAGTTTGATCAGATCATTAGCTGAAGTATCAGAAGATAATTTATATCCCTGATATGGCCTCATATGCTTAAAAAGAAGAGAACCTGAATTATATGAATCTGGAGGTTAATTATTGGTTTCTGGGTGCATCACAAGGAAAGATTTGCTGAGGGTGAGAGGATATTGAGTAGTGACACTTTGATAGTGACACTGTGGATATTCAACATGTTCTTCAATGTTAAGTAGAAAGTGTATTTTAACAACTTAAGGGTTTTTTGTTAACTTTTATTTTAGATTAATTTAAGTGAATATCCAAAAATGTTATTTCCCAATTCATCAACAGTAACTTAAGTATTTGGTAAAAGGAAATAACAGTAGAAAGATACTTGAATTGGCTATCAGAAGTCCTAGGTGCAAGTTAGTTGGCTCAGCTAACTCATACACACTTTACTGAATTCACACTCCCAAAGTGCCTATATATAATTTCAGTAACTCTAGGTCTTCCGTGGCTTCATGGTCTGTGGCAAAACAAAAATTGCAGGGACAATATAAATTTGGTAAATAGTATGTGAAAGGTTATATAGCCCCAAACTAGTTTATTAAACTAGTGTAAATCAGAATAGAGAAGAAATAGAGGATGAGAGAAAGTGAAGACAATTCTTGATTTAAAATATTATATTAATCTTACATTAGAAATTTCCCATCCTCCAGATTTTCCTCCACAGCTGTACTGCTTATACTCTTAATAGGATTCAGAACAGTTTTGTTTGTTTGTTGTTTGTTTTTTATTAGGGAATGTTTAACCCAGATATGAACTCAACTCACCCTATCATTTGAGATTAAATGGAATTTGGATTTAACTCCCATCCCACATGCATTGGGTCTTATCAACAAATCTTTCAATCTTGCAGGAGTCTGGGGTATACTTATATTTCCCCTATTTACCTCTGACTTTGGATTCAAGAATAAGGAGACATAGAGCTTACTTGAACTTAACCTATCAGACACAACCCACTTAGCTCAACTTACACGTAGCCCTCAAGTAACACATTCAAGTAATCTGTGTTTGTTGTCATTTTCTAAGTTTTGGTGCCATTTCTTGCCACAGCAAAAAGTAAGAGAAAGTGAAACATTAAAAGCAGTGGAAATGCAGAAGTGCTTCTACTGGATATTTGTCTGGAAATATGTATAAATAATCAGAAAATCTAGATAGGGCTAAACAATTCATGGATAAAATCCAGAGAAATATTTGCTTTAGTACTCGGGTGTGTGTGAACATTAAAACCTAAAATGAAAGCAGTCCTCCAGTTGAGACAAACAACAGCAACAACAAAGAAAACCCCTCTGAGTACAGAGAGGAAGTTTCTAGATCTTTCTTCTAGACATTGCCTTGCCTACTGAGCATCATGACCCAAGCCAATCAGTGCACACTGATTGGTTAATGAAATACACTCAATAATTTTGTTTGTAATCTGAGAAGAATACCATATACATATAAAATGTTATAATCTCTCTTTTCTATTCTGTGAAATTGGGATAATATTATTAGCCTCATGGCTTTTGTAATGATCCAATAAGTTAATATTCCTATAACAGAATAAAATGTTAAAACATTTGTAATTGCTTTTTTTTGAAGCAAAGTAGAACCATCAGTTCCTCACTCCCCATCTGCTTCTGCATCTCTTTCATCTCAACTAATGGCTATTCCTTCGTTCAAATTTCTCATGCCAAAATGGTGGCTGTCATCCTGGACTATTTTTTTTCTAGTCCACCTCTTGTCACAAGTCTATTGTCCTAACTCCACTTTCAATATATTCTCAGAATCACATCACTTCTTACAACTTCATAGCCACCAATCTGTTCTAAGCCACTGGCATCCCTCACCTAGGTTAACAAAATAGCCTCCTAACTGTTCTCCCTACTCCTTCCTTTACCCTCCTTTGTCTACTCTCAAGGAAACAATCAAAGTCACTCCAGTTCTTTTCTGGAAATTTTCCTGCCATCAGTGTCCTATCTCTTTAAGTTAACAGCCAGAGTTTTGACCACGTTCTCCATGTTTTGATCTGGCCTCTGTAACTTGTCTGACTTCATTTCCTACTTTTCTTCATCTCTTTCACTCCACTCACTGCCATAGGCTTCACTGCTTCTTAAACAAGCTAGGCATGCTCTCAGCTGAGAGCCCTTTGCAAACGCTGTTCACTTTGTCTGAAAGGCTGTTGCCGGCATATAGTCCCAAGACCTCTTCCCTTTCTTTATTTTCCTCCGAAGTCCCCTTCCCAGTGAGGCCTTTCTGAAACACCATACCTAAAAATTATTCACCGCCCACACACACATATGCATAGACTGCAAGCTCCTTTCAGTTTTTATTTTTCTACTATGCACTTATCACTATCTACCAAAGAATATCAGTGTTCCTCAGAGAAACATAACCAGTAAGATAAATAGGTAGATAGATGATTGATTGATTGATAGATGGATAGATAGATAGATGATAGACAGATGATAGAGAAAGAGATAAATGTTTTAACGTCTCCTCCATATCTATTATTTATTTTAAGAAATTTTCTCACGTGATTGTGAGAGGTGGCAAGTCTGAAATCCACAGAGCAGACTGAGAGGCTGAAAACTCAGACAGGAATTGACGTTGTAATCTTGAGTCTGAAATGTAAAGGGCAGTCCGGCAGGCTGTATGTTCAATCATGATTTCAGTTGATTACAAGGTAATCAACTGATTGGATGAGACCCATGTAATTTTCTTAAATTCAACTGATTGTAGATGTTAATCACATCTATAAAATAACTTCACAGAAAAAAAATCTTAACTAGTGTTTGAGCTAATAACTGGGCACCATAGCCTAGTCATAGTGACACATAAAATTTAACCATCGTACATAGTATATATTTTTCTTTTTTCAAACTCATATTTATTTTCTGTGTCTCTCATTAAAAATCTATGTTCCATGAAGACAGGGGTTGTTGTCCGATTGTTTACTAAAGTTTTCTCACTGACCAGAACAGTGCCTGAGCACTCAGTAAATATTTGTTGACCTTATTAATGCACTTGGGTTGGATTGTTGAGAGATGCTTAAAACTGATTTGGAGACCTTTGGCCCATCACCCACATCAAAATTGTAAGAGGTTCAAGAGTCTAAAATAGAAGGGAGTGTCTTTGGTTGGGTTGGGGGGTAGTTTATAGTGTGCTGTGCAGCTGACTCTATTAGAAAGGATAAATCTCTGGTTAGCACAGCAGCCCAGTTGCTGAGAAGCAAGTTGTGAGCAGTGGCAGTGGAAGAGACTCCAGGAAATAGAAATCAGAGGTTGTGAGGGGAAGGGAAATCTAAACAAAATCAAAAACAGAAACAAAACCCTCGAAAGTGCCTATGGAAGAAAAGAATCAACTCCAATTGAGAGACGAGAAAGAAAGAAATCAGCTAGTTGATTTGCCAAGGGGAAGGTCCTTGGCAGAACTTCTCTTCTAACAAAAGGAAAGGAGCAGCGTAAAAGATCAAGCTGCAAGCATAGATAAGGGAAGCAAGACCCAGCACCAAAGAGTGCCTTCTGTGTGATCAGCAAGTTTTATATACATACGGGGACCCCAGTGAGCACATTCTTATCTTTTTTTGGATATACTCAGATAAGGAGGCTTACACAGGAGGGCTTGCTTGGAACATGCCTGCAGCTGCACAGATAAGGAGAGTTACACTGGGACAGGCACATCCACAAGGGAAGATTCTGCCCGCTGCCCCCTAACACATGTGCAGTAAGGGAAATTGAGCAACATGGAGTAACTTAGGCTAAGATCCCCCATGTGCATTGGAAGGACTGGGTGGGGGCTGTCAGGAATTTGCACCTTATGCAGATAACATACCCAGTCCTAACCGGGTTTTCTTGCCTTATGTAGATAAAGAATCCCCTCCCCACTAGCTCGTTTATAAAATTCTTGTATTTCACTGTAGGATGGCTACCCTTTTACGGGACCCCTCTCTATCTCAGAGAGCTTTCTCTCTTTCTTTCACTTATTAAACTTCTGTTCCAACTTCACCCTTGGTGTGTCCCTGTTCCTTGATTTCCTTGGTCTCAAGACCAAGAGCTTTGGGTAGTAGGCACCCCAGAAAACAAGGCCTGTTTCACAATCACACACCTTGTCCTGATACCAGATGACAGTAACACTTGCCAACAACAAATTCTCCTTGCCGGTAATTACCTGTTCCCTAGCTCAAATCCTGGAAGGTTAGGGAAACTCATAAATGTTTGGATAAAGAGGAAGTATAGCTAGGATAGGGTTCAGAAATTAGCCATATCGTGGCCGGGTGTGGTGGCTCACGCCTGTAATCCCAGCGCTTTGGGAGGCCGAGGCAGGTGAATAACAAGGTCAGGAGTTCGAGATCAGCCTGACCAACATGGTGGAACCCCGTCTCTACTAAAAATACAAAAATTAGCTGGGCGTGGTGGTGGGCGCCTGTAATCCCAGCTACTCGGGAGGCTGAGGCAGGAGAATCGCTTGAACCCAGGAGGTGGAAGTTGCAGTGAGCCGAGATCGTGCCACTGCCCTCCAGCCTGGGTGACAGAGCTAGACTCCATCTCAAAAAAAAAAAAAAAAAAGGAATTGGCCATATTTACTCTTTCATCCTCCATCCCTAAGTCTGAAGTAATATCTAGCTGGAGGAGATAAGAAGTTCTATATTATGTAAGAATTTTAATTATTTTATTTTACATTAGAATTGATATTTTAATTACTGACATGGATTGTTTGGGACTTAAAATACCTGGAGGAATGTTTATTTGTCAAGAGTGATTGAGAA
The DNA here is from genome assembly GCF_000001405.40 of Homo sapiens. Taxonomy (NCBI): domain Eukaryota; kingdom Metazoa; phylum Chordata; class Mammalia; order Primates; family Hominidae; genus Homo; species Homo sapiens. The sequence continues at coordinate 24,273,830 of NC_000021.9, forward strand.
TGTTTTTACACCAGCCAAAATGTTCATCTAATGGCTTTGTAGAAGTAATGAATCTTCAGGCTTGGTTTAAGGGGGTAGTGACAAAAAAGAAAAGTTGTTTAATGCTAACACCGTCTTAAATTTAGTTCATTTAGGAGAAGAAAACACATGTAAAGGCCGTAGGGTAGTGTTAAGCAGATATGAAGAATTTAGTAACTCTTAACTATTTTTCTCAGTACCATTAGGAATGGATGTTGACTTTTATTTGATGTATAACCTTATGTCAAATGTCCGTTACTGAAAATAAACTAGACAGAAAGCACAGATCCATGAAACCTGTCTTTATATATTTATATTCCATCATCTCTGACCCATAACAGATGCTCAGCTATTTTTTGAGAGGATGATAATAAGAGCAAACATGACTAGCTGCCAAAGTGAATGAAACAACCATAGGCATTCTAGAATCTCAAAAAGATGGAATTGGCTAGAACATGAGAGAGGATTTAGGGAGTAGGTAGGGCTAACTGATCATTAAAGAATTAGTAAACTGTGGCTAGAAAGAATGAGTTTAGTGGAGTAGGGTGAAGATGAGGAAGAGAGAGCAGGTAATATGAAAGAACACAGGCACAAAAGTTGTACTGTTTGCCATAGGCAGAGAACTTTGATACATCTTACTCTGAATTTCTTGTAATCAAATTAGCTGTTCAGTGAATAGGGCTTTCATGTGTTTGCAATGGTCACTTTTTTTTTAATAGCATAATGCTCTTATGTCCAATAATGGTCACTACTTCTGGTCATCACAGTCCATTTCTCTCTCTCTCTCTCTCTCTGTTTTTTTTTTTCTCTTTTTTGTTTTTTTTTTTCAGACAAGTTCTTGCTCTGTCACCCAGGCAGGAGTGTAGGAGTGCAGTGGTGTGATCATGGCTGACTGCAGCCTTGACCTCCTGGCCTTAAGCAATCCCCCCACCCCAGCCTCCCAAGTAGTGGGGAGTATAGGTGCACAATATCACACCTGTCTACTTTTTTTATTTTTATTTTTTATAGAGATGGGGGTCTTGCCTTGTTGCTCAGGTTTGTCTCAGACTCTTGGGTTCAAGTGGTCCTCCTGCCTCAGCCTCCCAAAGTGCTGGGATTATGGGCATGGGACACTATGCCCAGCCTCATAGTCCATTTTGATTATAATTGATCTGAGAAGTTTAGTTATGTAGCAAATGCACATATTTTTTAATGTCAAATGTTTTGATGTGCTAAGAGAGCTATTTAATTTTAATTTTAACATCAAATATCTTAAAGTTGGCTAAAAATTAAAGATGGTTTAACTCAAAACATTTTAAATATAAAAGGAGTTTTGTAATTGGAGTTACAGAAAGAATATTTAAATGTCACTAGTCTAGAAACTGGAAACAAAGGTAAGGACCAGTTTTGGACCATCAAAAGATAATTTAATTAGCAAGACTCTCTGATTTTCAGGTTGTTGCTTATGTTAAATGCAACTATGTGGTGGTATATCATGGTGTATATATTTCTGGTGGAGGTGTATAACTAATCATAGTAGTTTTACTCAAGAAACGTGTAACATTTGCAGTTGAGAAGCAAAACACATACACATTATAAAGCACAAAGCACATAAGCCCATTTATCAAATAAAAAGTTGTTTGGATATTTCTGGTTAAAATCATTTTCTTTATAAATGCTAATTATTAGAGAATTTCTCTTGCAGACCCATTAGAAACTAGAGATATTTGTTTGACATCATGAAGGTTATCTTTCCCAAAACTTAAACTAAATTGTTAATGTAGATTGAAATGATTTGAACAAATACATTTATTTGCTTATGGATGAACAGCTATTAAGACTCTTATTTTTCATAAGTTGCTAAGTATGTATAATATGTTAAAAAATCCTGATGGAATATTTTGAATACATTGTGTTCTGGTAATTTTACCTAAATTGTGCTTGAAGAGAATCTGTTACTTTAGTCATGTCAGCTAAAAGTAATCTTATCTTACTTTGTCAGGGAAAAAAAGGACTTCCTCAAATCAGAATGCCTAAGATATCGAACCTGCAGAGAAGTGCCCCCACATTTGTATTTTTTTTAATTAAAGATGTAAATTATGAATATGCAAATATAACCCTGAATCACAATACATTGAAACATGGACACATTCTTAGGTCTGCATATTTAACATTAAGATTGTGAGGTATTCCCAATTATTCAGGTTCATTTGCATATAATCTGCTTTTTAGAACTGATTTAAACAAAGACATCACAGGATGAAATAAAGCAACTTGCTTCATAAGAAAAAGTCATATTGCTGCAGAATATCTTGACAGAGGGCATGGCTGACATTTTTAATTTCTAGATGCTTGCATCTTCTGTAATTATCTTTCAGTAACTATATTCAGAAATGAAGCTGGTTTAATCACCAGCTTCATTGATGGTACAAATGACAGTATGTTATCAGTAGTATATTTCCAAACCCACTCTGCAGTTGTATCAGCATGGAATGCAAATAAACTGTACCAGGTATATTAAAAGCTGTGAGTTATTTTCTGTAACTCATGCTTGTTTGTTCTACTGATCAGCAGGCAGATGCTGCAGCCTAGTTATCAGGAACAAGTCCCAGCTGAGAGCACATTCCTTTTGTCTGTGCAGAATCTAATAATTATCTTCATGAGTATTGCTTAAGAGAAGGAGGAGCATCTGCTCTGTTGGTCATTAAGACAACAGACTTGGTGAAACAGTTGTGATCATCCAAATCTACACTAAATTAACATCATTAGAATTGAGTTAATTTACTTATGCTTACAGAATGATGATTCTACAAACTATAGAACTTGCATTGATTACTAACCCATTGCAAGTTCTTAAATAACATTTATTTGTTGAAATAAAGTTAATAAAAAATCCAAACTTCTTAATGGGGAATATTCTAGAATTGACTACAATGACCAAAAGCAAAGTTATTTGAATTCTTAGAAATTGGCATTTGCTGATGCTAATTATTTTCAGGATTTTAGGTGTGTGAGACAAGTTCTGGGTGGTTGAAGAGAGATAATTATTTTAAAGATACCTAGATTTGAGTCACAAGCAAGATTTTGAATGTTGGTGAATTCGCCATTTTGATAATATTAAATGAATTGGGATTATGTGTCTTAGCCATTTTGATAATATTAAATGAATTGGGATTATGTATCTTGTTAAAAATGCAAAAGAGTGAAGACTTTCTGTATATCAAAAAGTTTATTTTATGTCTATTAGCTGTACAGCTAAGATCCAACTAAATTGCACATTACATTTTAAGATTTCAGATCACTACTCCCCAGAGATTCTGAATCAATAGGTCAGAGAGGAATCCAGAGATCTGAATTTTTCAGCTCAGATGATTATAAGGCTACATTAGTCCCAGATCTGCAATTTGGAATAATCAGCAGAAATCTCTCTCTTTTTCCTTGGCTCTCCCTTCTTCACTCTCCCTTCTTCCTTTCTTCCCTGCCTCCCTCCCTCTCTCCCCACTCCCTCCCTCTCCCCTCCCTCTCTCCCCCCTCTCTCCCCCTTCTTCCACCCTCCCTCCCTCCCAGTCTCCCTTCTTCCCTTCAGAATAAACTTCCATACAACTTTCTAGCAGATATCTGTAATGATCTTATTGGTTAAAACTTCTTTAAAGTCTGTGACTAACTCAATCACTGAAAATGATTATGAATCCTAATTATTGGTTTAAACTGATCAGGTTTGATAACTAGAGCTGAGGATGAGCAACCATGCCTAAGTCCTGTATTAAAGTGTGAACATCCATAAAAAAAAAAAAAAATGAGCTCTGAATGAAGCTAAAAAGAATATCTCAAAAGTAAGCCATACAAATTTTCTGCTAGTGTTTCTTATTTTACCAAATTTTTTTTGTGGGTATATTCTGTTTACCCCTGGTTAGGCATAATACATTAAAAAAAGAGTAGCTTTCTGATTTGTTTCTTTGAATAGGTAGAACAAATTTGTTTGGAACATAAATGAGACATTTTGAATTTTTCTATATTCCTTCTGTTCATTCTATAATATAAAAAGCATATTTAGAAAATATAAATATATTAATAAAGAAAAGATTTAGTAAATATGAGCAATATTTATTTATCATCAGTGATCAAATAAGAAAAAAGATGAGTTATGTGTTTGGGAATTTTAGACTGTCCTTAATATTTAAACTTGCATTTGCATTTTTTGTTTTTTGCTTTAATAGCGTAAATTCAAAATGTTCCTTTTTAAAATTACCAATTACTGTGCAGGAAATATAAATAATAAAAAAAGATAAATTATTCAAGATAAGATAATCAGGTTTCTGCTTTTTATGTTTTCCTTTGTGTGTGTGTGCCTCCCATTTCCTTGTTTGTCACTGTTTTCCATACACCACTTATCTCAAAAGAAAGAAGCCACTAGTTGGTCAAATTGCTTTATACCTTCCTCTACTGTATCTGCACATATTTCATACTGCATACTGCACGAAGCAAGCATGCTAGGAATAGAAAATGAAGACACTTCAAGATGTTATGCTTTCTCAGCAGGTATCTGATTGGTGGAATGTTTATTTAGATGTATATATGTTTGTTCCTACTCGTTAACCAAGGTGATCGCAATAAGAAACTGAAGTCATTTCAAGGTGATAAATGACACTGTCATCCAAAAAGCACGTCTCATTTTTTTGTCTTTTTTTTTAGTTTAATGCATATTACTAGGTCACATTGATTATGTAGCTTAGCATGGGATATTTATATTGCTTTTCCTTAAAATTGATACATTGCTCATGGTGATGATAAATAGATCCTTGTAATCATATTATGGCAGATTGGCACAGGAAAACATTGAATTAATTTAATCATTTAGGCATTGTATTCAGGTAGCAACAAAAAGCTGCCTTACATGAATTATAAATGTAATGTTTTCTCAAGTACAAGAAATTCAGAGTAGAGAGTTCCAGATTAGAGGGCCAGGATGCCATCAAAGAGAGTGCTAACTCTTTAACATCATGCTTGTTCTTAATTTTAATATAACTCTCATTTTCATGCTGTTTAGATGGCCGCAAAAACTCCAGCCATCACATGGGTGTTTCAGGCAGGAAGAAGGGCATGAGCAAAAGGAGAAGTATTCTGGATGGCTGAGCCCATGTGCATTTCTTTCTGACTTCTGTCTTCAATTTATTGGCCAAAATGTGATATATGATAAGAGAAGATGAGATAACAATTATTATTTAAAAGCGGGCCTTCCTAACTTTACAAGCAAAAGCAGAATTTTGTGCTAAGAAAGAAGAAAATACATTTGGTGAGCATTTAGCAGTCTTGCTGCATTTATCAGTGAAAGAGAAACTTGTCTTGATAATCAGCTTACTCTGAATAAAAAAAAGATAACATAAGTGGGGAAAATAAGGTTCAAAATTCAAGGTATCTCTAAGTGGGAAATGGCCTGGAGAGAGGAGAAAAGGTTAAGAAGTATGTCTAACTTTCCGTTTAGGGTTGCCAAAATCACATCTGCTTTCACTGGATCAACTAATATTCCTATTCTAATAACTGTCAGAATTATGTGTATATATATATACTTTTTTTTCATTCTCCTCCATTTGTTGTTCAGAGGATGTAGACAGTTGACTCCCTGGTGTCATCTAATTAATATTCAACATTTGCAAAACTGGACTTTATTTCTTCCCTTCTTGCCTTCTGTCTGCCTTTTTTCTTTTCAACTTTGAAGTTCTGAGGTACATGTGCAGGATGTGTAGGTTTGTTACACAGGTAAAAGTGTGCCATAGTGGTTGCTACACAGATCAGCCCATCACCTGGGTATTAAAACCAGCATCCATTAGCTATTCTGATGCTCTCCCTCCCCCTGCCCCCGCAAAATGCCCCAGTGTGTGCTGTTGCCCTCCATGTGTCCATGTATTCTCATCCTTCAGTTCCCACTTACAAGTGACAACATGCAGTGTTTGGTTTTCTGTTCCTGTGTTAATTTGCCGAGGATAACGGATTCCAGCTCTGCCCATGTCCCTGCAAAGGACACGATCTCATTCCTTTTTATGACTGCATAGTATTCCATGGTGTATATGTACCACATTTTCTTTGTTTAATCTATCATTGGTAGGCATTTGGGTTGATTCCATGTCTGTCTACCTCTTAATTTCAGGAACGTTCTGCTACTCAGTCTTAAAACTCCACAGTTGGTGTTGGTTTCATTTTCTTTCTTACTTCTCATACCCAGTTCTTTTTAAACTCCTGTGGTTTCTACCTCCAAAATTCCTTCTGTCACTCATTCTTCTCTTGTTACTACCACTATCCTGAGTGAGGTCCTGCAATGTGCATTACCCAGCGAACTATTTTCTAACTTGCAATTATACCAATTTCTTAATGACAGACATGGAAAGAATTACAATTGCTAATAAAATTTTTTAAACTCACAGTATCTTTCAAGCCTCCCAATAATATCACTCTAAAATATTTTCCATCTCTAATGTATATTATTCCTCTATGCTGACCTTCAGTCCAGCCATACTTACTTGTTTTCCAAATATCTCCTCTTTCTCCAACATCAAGACTTTTTGCTCACAGTTTACACTTCTGCCTCGTCATCTCTCACTACTCTTTCCACCTGTTGACATTTTATTCATTCATCAAGTTCAAACTCAACATCGCTTTTTCCATAAGAGCTTTGATGATTTTTGCAACTTGCTAAGGTTTCTCCTTTCTTTTGGCCTCCACAACATTTTATTTTTCCTTTTTAAAGCTATTCAACGTATTTGAATTTTAATATAAGTGATTAGGTAGTCTTAGATCTCATCAGCTAGATTACATTTAACAGAAAAGAGGGATAACTACATATTCTTTTTATGCTCAGCACTATATATATATATATATATATATATGTTTATGTATATGCCCAGAATTGTGTACACTTCGGTCGCGTGAATCATAACTAAGGCATTCAAGACAAAGCCCTGACTCTTACCAGAGTCTAACCTCTGGTTATCACTCAATGTGGCAGTTTAAGTGAAGAAGGACTTACGAAAATAAGACCAGACAGGAAGGGCAGCACTCAGCAGAATATCTCTGTGTTCAGGTCTCCAAAGATACATGTGATATCACTAATCAACATGATATTTACCTCATGAAATTATACTAAATATTAGATAATGACTGTGAAATTATTACTGGAACATTAGTGTTTTAAAAATATTTCTAATTGTAAACATAGGTGGAGTTAGGTTGCCAGGACACTGTAATAGCATTTGTTGATAAATGTAAACCCAGAATTTTAAAATAAGAAAATTATGCATATAGCAATTGTTACAAATTATATTTACTCTTATTTTAAGTGGTAACTGGCTGGAGAAACAGAGATATGTATGCTTTTTAAAATTCCTCTTTGAGGTCAGTAGGAAGACAGATTGAATCTCTATTAGAAAGCAGCAAATTTTCAGCCGGGCACAGTGGCTCACATCTGTAATCCCAGCACTTTGGGAGGCCGAGGCGGGCAGATCACTAGGTCAGGAGATTGAAACCATCCTGGCTAACACAGTGAAACCCCCATCTTTACTAAATATAGAAAAAAATTAGCCGGGCATGGTGGTGGGCACTTGTAGTCCCAGCTACTCGGGAGGCTGAGGCAGGAGAATGGCGTGAACCCAGGAGGCGGAGCTTGCAGTGAGCCGAGATCATGTCACTGCACTCCAGCCTGGGTGACAGAGCGAGTCTCAGTCTCAAAAAAAAAAAAAAACAGCAAATTTTCTGGGGTGATTGTGGCCTTCACTAGTCACTGGGGAATAAATGTTGAAAGCATTTAAAACTAAAAAGAAGGTATTTTCTATACCTCTTATTAATATAATTGACTTATATCCCTCTATACCCCAAAACAGAATAATTATACTTATTATATATGTACGCAGGTGATTATTTAAACATTTTCTACTTAATGCAAGACACTACTTCTCTTAGTGCCTAGCAATTCCATTACTATTAAGCCTATTACTAAAGCCACCTGGGAGTTATAGTTAGTTATCTATATCTAAAAACATAAACTTCAGATTCATATATTGAACTCCTATACAACATTTTCATTTGTACCATTTTAAAGTTAGCATGTTCAAATGTTGACATCATTCTATTCTACCCCTTGTTTCCCCATCTCAGTTAATAAAAATGTCACTCTTCTAAAAGCTCAAAGTCAAAATCCTTGACTTCATTTCACACTCTACTCTCAATCCATTTGCAATTTTTTTTTTTTTTTACCTTCAAAAGATATCCAGAATTGGTCATTTACTTCTATTTCTTCTGCTAAGCCTAGTCTAAAAAGTATAATCCCTTCCCTGGATTACTGAAACATTCCCCTAAATGGTTTTACTGGTGTTTCATTTGCCATAATTCAATCTATTCTCAAAAGAGAAGTCACTGATATCCATTAAAAATAATAGTCATGGCCCCTCTCGACTTCACTCTAATGTCTCCCTAGCCATCTAGAATAACAGCAAAATTCTATATATGGGCTTACCCAATCCTGTCTGTTCTAGTGCTCATGTACCTAACTTGAATTTGTATCCACTAAGTCCATCCCAAAGACTGGCCTTGAACTCTTGCAACCAGTGATGTCCTAGAATTCCATATGAGTGTTAATGATTACATTTGCAGGAACTTTAAAAATCTATTATTAAATCAGGCCAGTATTAAATATTAAATTATATAAAACAAAATTTTAAAAATATATATTGAAAAACATATGTAATATATGTCTAAAACTCATCATTTACTATTTTACTCTTCACTATATTCTGGAGGTTATTCACGTCTATCATGTCTGTATACACACTATTGTATTTACATGGTAAATATATAAATAAAATATAGTTGTCCCAACCACAATCGTACAACGGTGTGCTACTGTACATTTGTTTCCAGCTCTGTATTCAGTGATTTCATGTTGGTAAGTTGAAACTAACTATGGTCAGAGTATTTTCAACACAAAGATTCAGAGAGCAATATAAATCAGGGGTCTTTCTTTAACCCCAACCACAACACTTATTATTAAAAACCTTCATCAGTGCATAGAGCACACCATTAATTTGCATTTGTCTTTGTCTAGAAAGCTCTTCTTTTGGATAGTTCCATAGATGCCTTTCACGTATACACTACATTTCTTCTCAAATATACTTTCTCTGACACATTTTCCAAACATCCTATTATAAATAACATCTCACCCTTGCTCCTTTGTGGCCTCTTTTTCTTCATGGCCCTTATTTGTGATCTAATATCTAATATATTTATAATAAAATATTTTTATTATGTATATATTCCTTCATTTCCCCATGCTTATGTAGACTTCAAGCGAGCCAAGAATTTTGGATGTATGCTCTAGCACTTAGGATGGAACTTACAATTATACTTAAAAGATGCTTAATTATTTTTCAATTTGGTGCTTTCTAAAAGTTTATCTTCTGATCTGTTGTTTTTTTCAGCAGGTATTCATATTGTCTGAAAATTAAGCCTATATTAGTGAATAAAAAAGTTTCAATAAATACTGACGAAAGAAAGAATATGCTAACCATGTTCTTTTGACTTAATAAAAATATTAGAAATTAATAACTAAATCATATATATTTGAAGACCAAATTTCCAGTTATAAAATATCCTACATAAAAACAAATCACAGTATAAATTAAGAAATATTTAGGACATGAGGTTAAAGTAATATATAAGATGTATTACTACAACTAAATAAGCTTTTATTTTAAATGTTGGGGAAAGGAGATAAAATCATAAAGTTAGAAATAAAAATTTAAAAGGTAAGAAAAACAAATACATAGACAAAATTAGAAATTAATAAAACCAAAAATTTGGTTCTTTGAAAAATATATGACTTTTAAAAGATCTTTGAAATAAATGAATAAGAAAATAACGTAAGATAAACAAAATATAGAATGATGAAACATAAATGACCGTAAGCACCATAAAAATAATATTTAAAATTAAGTGGATACAGTATTAATGAAAGTATTTTACTTTTATATACATATATACAGTATTAGTAAAAATAAAAGCATAAATATTAGCAAACTATAATATTCTATTGAAATATTGTATAGTGATCAGTGATGTGGTTTGGCTCTGTGTCCCTTCCCAAATCTCACCTTGAATTATAATCCCCAGGTGTCAAGGCAGGGAACTGGTAGGAGGTGATTTGATCATGGGGGAAGTTTCCCCCATGCTGTTCTCATGGCAGTGAGAGCGTTCTTATGAGATCTGATGGTTTTAAAAGTGGCAGTTTCCCTTATGTGCTCTCTCTCACCTGCCACCATGTCAGACTTGCTGTGCTTCCCCTTCACCTTCTGCCATAATTGTAAGTTTCCTGAGGCCTCCCTAGTCATGTGGAACTGTGAATCAATTAAACCTACTTTGTTTATAAATTGTCCAGTCTCAGGTAGTATCTTTATAGCAGTGTGAGAATGAACTAATACAGTAAGATTGATAAAAACTATCCTCTCTTTGCAAAGAAGCAATATTTAGGTAATACTTGTTTAGTTTGAAAATTTCTTAATGATCAGAATATACATAGATGTATTCTGTACACATCTACAGAATCTACGTGAATCTTGAATGACAGTCTGAGTGTATTACAATACAGAGATTTTAAACAATCTGCCTCAAAGGTGAGTATTTGAAAAAATGTTAAACTGTTTCAGTTTTCTTCTCCTTCTAAGTTACTATTACGGACTATTATTCATAGTTCGGAGGTGTGGAAATAAGCAAAGCCCATCCACATGAGAACAGGGGCTGTTTATTCAAAGCTTGCTGTAGCAAGGGAGTCAGCCACCATCACTTGCATTTGGCCACCCCTCAGAGGCAGGCAGGGAAGTCAGAAAGTTTCAGAGTGAGAGAAGGTAAGGCTCCAGGTATGCTCATACTGGAGGCTGTTGGAATGTGAAAGCTGGAGGCAGGCTGACTGGAAGTAGACCATCCTATGCAATTGGCTTGAGGAGCATATTTGGGATTCTTCATTTCGTTATGAATTGGGAGTGAAACTAGAAAGTATAGAAGGTGGAAATACAGGCCAGGAGCGGCGGCTTATGCCTGTAATCCGAGCACTTTGGGAGGCCAGAGCAGGTGGATCACCTGAGGTCAAGAGTTCATGACTGGCCTGACTAACATGGTGAAACCCCGTCTGTACTAAATACAAAAAAATTAGCCAGGCTTGGTGGCACATGCCTGTAATCCGAGCTACTTGGGAGGCTGAGACAGGAGAATCCCTTGTACCTGGGAGGTGGAGGTTGTGGTGAGCCGAGATGGCGCCATTGCACTCCAGCCTGGGCAACAAGAGCAAAACTCCATCTCAAAAAAAATAAAAAAAAAAAGAAGGTGGCAATGTAGATTAATTCTGACCCTTGGTTGATTGCTTCAGAGGTTGCAGTTTGGCTTCCTGGACTGGTTACTATAGAATTTGTGAGTCAGAGTTCTATTGTGACATTTAGTCTGGCCTAATTTGAACTGATTTACATCTGTTTTCTATTATTTTTATTATTATTATTTGTAAAGATAAAATATAATTTGTAAAGATAATAATAATAAGACCAGCTGTATTAGCCAAGCTGGTCTTGAACTCCTGGCCACAAGAAGTCCTTCTGCCTTGGCCTCCCAAAGCTCTGGGACTATAGGCATGAGCCCCCTTGCGGAGCAGATTTAAAGCTGTTCTCATCAACCACTTCAACAGTCAGAACATGAGCAATGAGGGGGCCCTTTAATTTGAACAACCAGAGCACCTCAGTTAGGTAGATAAAAATCACAAATATTATTTTGGTGTTAGTGACAAAAGAATGTAGGAAAAAAATATGTTTCAGTGGGAACTATGCATTTTCCAGAGGATACTCTCTCCAAATCATCTGGTTCTAGTATTTGACTGCCTTTGAGCTGATTTTCAACTATACCTTTTCTACATCCAGCACACCCTGCTGGGTTATCTGATACTAATTCTGTTTTTGAGCTACTTTACAACTCTGTATAAATATGCCCAATCTTTTCATTCTCTCTGTGCCCACTTATAATATCGAACTTCTTCCCTCACTGAATGAGTTAAATAAAATCTTTAATGCTTGTTCATTTTTATATCTGTATGAGTCATGACTTTATCTTTTATTTCTGAAAATCATCTTTAAACAAAATCTTTGACTTTTATGAAGTTACTTAGATCTGTATTTTTTTCAGATTAAATGACACAGAAATACGCAATAAAAGGACAACTTAAATACACTGAATGTATACCGTGTCTCAAACAAACCAGACCACTTAGAATTAAGAACTGCAGTTGTAAAATGCTGATGAAGGCCAGTAGCACTTAACTCAACTAAAACAGTGTGGCTGATTTTATTGGCTTAAGGTTTCGATATGAATTGGGTGCCCTGAGCTTCAGACTTGGATTTATTTACTGAAATTAAGCCTGAAAACGTAATGAAAAAAGCTGGCTGTAATCACAAAGGACACATCACATCATGACAATTGCCACTCATAAATTATTCAAACTATGATTTAATATGCTACTAAATCGTTCGGCAGTATAAGTACTGGAAAGTAATACCTTTAGCACAATTTACTTTTAATATTTTATAGTTGTACTTCCAGAAATACAGGGGCCATTTCCACAAATAAAAGGCCAAATGTTTTTCGGCATACAATACTCTGTTACAATGCCTAATCTCAACAGAAACAGTCATCCTATTAAAAGTTATCTTTTAGTATAATATCTATTCATAATAAAAGATATTTGATGCATTGTGAAAATCTTCTCTTTAGTTTTTTAGGAGGTTATTTTGTTAGTAATTTCATAAATAAGGGGAAAAACATTTAAAGCCTTGTCTCAAGACATCTGATTGAATCTTTGGAAAGTCTTCCAAATTAGAAAAGATTTTATCAAATGACTGCATAGTGTTTTTTATTTTTGTTTATATACTTTTAGTATTTTTCTTAGTCTGTTCAGACTAATAGAATAATGTAGATTGCATGGTTCCACAACACACATTTATTTATCACAGTTCTGGGGGCTGAAAAGTCCAAGATCAAGACAGTGGCAGATTCTGGATCTGGTGAGGGTTCCCTTTTTGTCTCTTAGATGGCGGTCTTCTCATTGTGTCCTCACATTTTAAAAAAACAGAAAGTTCTCTGCACCGCCCTGTATAAGGGTACTAATCCCATTCATGAGGGCTCTATCCTAGTGATTTAATTACCTCCTAAAGGGTGCACATCCTAATACCACCACATTAGATATTTTTAAATTTTTAAATTTTTAATTTTGATAGTTACATAGTAGGTATATATATTTATGGGATACATGTAATGTTTCGATACAGGCATACAATGTGTAATAATCACATCGAGGTAACTGGAGTAACCATCACCCCAAGCACTTATCATTTCTTTGTTTTAGAAACATTTCAATTCCACTCTTTTAGATATTTTATAATAATAGAGTTAGATAGAATAAATAATATGTATTTGCTAGCACAACAGGATGACTATAGTAAAAAATAATTTATCATAGATAGCTCTTATTATTTTGAGATACTTCCCATCAATACCTAATTTATTGAGAGTTTTTAGCATGAAGGGTTGTTGAATTTTGTCAAAGGCCTTTTCTGCATCTATTGAGATAATCATGTGGTTTTTGTCGTTGGTTCTGTTTATATGCTGGATTACGTTTACTGATTTTCGTATGTTGAACCAGCCTTGCATACCAGGGTTGAAGCCCACTTGATCATGGTGGATAAGCTTTTTGATGTGTTGCTGGATTCAGTTTGCCAGTATTTTATTGAGGATTTTTGCATCAATGTTCATCAAGGATATTGGTCTAAAATTCTCTTTTTTTTGTTGTGTCTCTGCCAGGCTTTGGTATCAGGATGATGCTGGCCTCATAAACTTAAAGTATAATAATAATAATAATAATAATAATCATCATCATCATCATCATAAAAAGAAAAAAAGCAAGAGGCGGAAGGTCACTTGGCAAAAAAAAAAAATCATATATTTCAACATGTAAATTTTGGGAAAACACAAACGTTCAGTACATTACAGTATTCCTGAGGGTATGTGATTTATTCGGTAATTTATTTATTCATAATGATTCAGATAAAAATAATCTTGTTATTATCTCTTCAAAAGTCTTCTCCAACATTGCAGTGAAAATAATGTCACTATTGGTAATCATGTTTTGTTATGCTTTATTACTAAATTGAATGTTTCTTTGTTACCCATGGTACTGGCATTTTTTTCATGTTAATATGAGCTATTTACTGCTCATTGGGTTTTTCTTTGATAAATTGAATGAATTCAGTTGCTTTTCAAAATTCTGTAGACTGTGAGTTTTAAGCATTTTCACGAAATGTAAAAGTACAGCTACAAATTATTACTGCTTATTTGAATAACGTTAGTTTGCATTATATAGAAATGCTTAAATACTTCTACAAAATCAGTGTCTAATCATTAGCTTTCTGCTAACAGAAATAAATAGAACAAGTGGAAACTTAAGGTCAAGTTCTTAAAATCCTAATACATATCTGATGGGTTAAAGATTTAAAGTTGAAGCAACAATATTTATTTACATAATAAACATAACTGAAGTTATAGTTTAGATTTTTATACATTTTCTATGAAATATAATATAATAAACTTCATGTTTGTAAATATTATGAAATAAATTATACATATTACAATTTCTAGAAACACAATGAAATTATTTCCTATATATTTATGTATAATGATCCATACCTCCAATTTCTAGAAAATTAATTTAGAATAACTTTTTATTTCTTTCATTTTTCTCCAGTTTTGAAGACCCTGAAGTCTATGATGATATCTTTGTCTCTTTACCAATATTCAAAACAAAAATGGAGTTGACAAAACCCATTTATGGCTTACATTAGTCAACTCTAGCTGCCATAACAAAATACCATAGACCAGGTGGCTTAAATAACAAAGACGTATTTTCTTACAGTCCTGAAGCCTGAAAGTCCAAGATCAAGGTGCCAGTATGGTCCTATTTTGGTGAAAGTTCTCTTCCTGGCTTGCAGATCATCATCATCTTACTGTGTCATCACATGCTATGGAGAGAAACAAAAAGGGGAAACACTCTGGTGTCTCATATTAGGGCACTAATCCCATCATAAGGGCCTCACTCTCATGAAGCTCATCTAATCCTAATTACCTCTCAAAGGCTCTGTCTCCTTAGAATATTGCAGTGGTGATTAGGATGTTAACATGAATTTTAGGGGAACACTACCATTCAGTACATAACAGACCTCTAAAGCTTCAGGATCTCTTTCTGTATTTTAATGCCTTATAAAGGTAAAGAATTAGGAATAACCCATTAGTTTCAGGAGCTTACTTAATCTCAATCCTGTTTAAATCACTACTAAACATATCTTATACTTGATGGATCTAAGACCCTGCTTGTAATTATACAGCGTCCCTCCTTTTCTCCTGAGGACTCACTCTTATTTTGAGGAATCTCAACTTAAACTTTGTTTCAATTTGTCCTGATAATTTTTATTCTTTACTTTTGATAACATATATATTTTCAAAACTAAAGACAACCTTCTATTTTACCCTTTAAATACAATTTAAAATGAGTACAATTTAAACTTTGAAGAGAGATTTACACACATATTCCAAATTTTAAAATGTCAAAAATTATAACTTGTTACATTTTGAATATCAGAACTGGATCTTTGGGGGTTTTTTAAAATAAAATAAACATTGGTTACTGAAAGCAAAACTGTTGCTATAATTGAAAGTTGTTGAAGAAATAAAGGCTTCCATTCTTTTTCCTAAATAGGGCCTATTTATTTTCATTTTGTCTTTTTAGAGCTGTGCTTGCAAATGGCAAGCAAAATGAAAGATTGAAGCAATTATCCACATCATTCAGATCAAATATGCTCTCATTAAATAAGAGCAGATGGTGTGGATAAAAATTGTAGCTTAAAGGCTATGTTCCTCATATAAGGCACATGAAAATAGATTGTTTCTTCTGTGCATTTATTTTAGAAGTCTACACCTTCCCTTACAGACGAGTTTATTTAAAATGTTAAATGGAAGCATTAGTTATAACTTACATTTAATTAGTTTAAATTAATATGTTCATTAATTTAGATTTTACTACCCTTTTGTAAACTTGGTGAGTGTAGTTTCTGTTATAATAAAAATAATAAGAATATAATAAAAATTTAAAAACTACACCCACCAAATTTACAAAAGGGTAGTAAAATGAGTATATACTCTTACACCATTAATTAGAATATAAATGTTTTATCTGGGCTTCTGGCATCCGCTGCTGGAAGCTGCGAGTCCCTCAATGCCCTCCACCTTCCTCAGAAATATATAGATGCCTGGAAGAAGGATACACCAAGGCACCAATAGATGTCAGAGTTTATTGTTTCCAGAGTAACTGCAAACCACTTCCCCAAGAAAAAGTGCTCAGGTTAGATCCCAAGTGAAACAACAGTGAATAGGGGCAGGAGGCTCTGGTTTTTATTGTGGTTAGGTGCTGCAGCCGGGGTGGTTTTCCTGCCTGGCTTGCTTGCCAATCAGCTTCAGGTATGATGCCAAACGTCATGAGGTGTGGGGAAGGGCTTGAATGCTGTCAGAAGTCAAACATCAAAAATGGTGTCAGATTTGTTTTTTTTTAATTTTAGATTTAGTGGATACATGTGCAAACTCGTTACATGGATATAGTGTGATGCTGAGGTTTGGGTTTCAGTTGAGCTCATCACCCAAATGGTGAAAATAGTATCAGATTCCTTTTAAACACTTGCTTCTCTCTCTCCCTGCCTGCCTTTCAAGTCTGCAGTGTCTGTTGCTCCTCCGTTTAGGTCCGTGTGTACCCAATGATTAGCTTCTACTTACCCATTTTTAAGAGAACATGCAGTATTTGGTTTTCTATTTCTGTTAATTCACTTAAGGTTTCTGGGGGACACTTTGGAGATAGACATCAAGAACTTGTGTAATGTTTACACTTTTTAGATATTCTTAATTTTGGAAATGATTCTAATAAAATAATCGTAGACATTCACAAAGATATTCATACAGAAGTTTATTGTGATATTGTAATATTACATGACAGACTTGAAAAAAGTTTCAAATATATCAAATTATACAATTAAATATGAAAATAACATATTTTATATAAATTATTAGTTTACATGCTTAATAAATTGAATACCATCCAAATATTTAACAATAAATATCTTATAAGGATACTTTTAACCAAAGACAGAACTCAAATTACAATCATGAATTAAATGAGAATATAAAACTTTTTATGGAATATGATGTCCCTCTATGCAAATATATGTATATGTATTATTTTGGAAGGAAATGTACTATATTACTAGTGGTTATTCCACTTGGTTTGACTATGAATGCTTTTCATCTTCTATGTATTTAACATTATTTTCTAAATAAATTATAAATATTTATTACATACATAGAAGGAAATATTATTATTTTTTATTTTCAGAAATATATCAGAGAATATCTTTTGAATTAATCATAGTCTGATAATTTCTCATAGCATATTTGGGGAAAAATTTACAGTAATCCCAAAGATACCTGCTTATTAGAAATACGCATGTAGAGTGAGAGCCTTATTTAAGATTAGAATCAAAGTACATTTGAGACGATCTTCTTTTAATTTAAATTTAAAACTCAATGTTGGTTGCCTAAAAATTACTAGAGCATGATTATATCAAGCTTCTAAGCTTCTGAATCGGAATTCCTTATTAAACAGAAAAATAGCTGACAATGTGAAAGTAACACTTGGAGGCTCTGCTGGAATAGTTCTTCCTCTTTAAAAAATTTAAACTGAAGAATGTAGTCAATAAAAAGTAAATGACTACTGAAAAATAAAATATGCAGTTTAAATTATGTGTTTCCTGAATGCTCAATTTCTAATTATTACTATGAGTCCTGGCACCAAGGTCCTGGTTTTTGCTTTATTATCTTGCTTAGTGTGTGTGCTCACCAGGACGTATCATTCTGAATACAAGACACATGGGTTTTCTTTTCTTTCCTTTATTCCTTGCTTTCTCTCTCTATTTCCTATTTTATGATAATGCTTTGCAGGAAAGATGATTTGTGAAGTGGTTGTAATCATTTTATAAACATATATAAGTTATAAAACCAAGATCATCTGGCAGCATAAAACAATTTTTAAAAACTGCACAGATTTTTGAAACTTGCATTATCTTATCAGGATGGGTGTTCCCTGGACTAATAGTTTAATTATATTGAGTCTCAATTTCCTCATATATAAGATGAGAGCTATATTTGTCATACTTTTAGAAGTTTTGTGTATCACTTGACTGGTTGGGTTCTTAGCAATGTTTAGGACAATTATTAGGCATTTAAGTTATAATGAGTTATAAGTTACAATATAATGGATTTTTATTTATATAACAAATATTTGCTGAGAACCTATCTTATGTCAGGCTCTCTTCCAGTTCCCAGGGATGTAGCAGTGAAGAACACAGATGATGCCCATTGACTGCACACACTATGCAAATACTTTAACATGTTATTAATATTATTATGCTATCATTAACATTATTAAGGTAGTTATGAGAGTAAGTAGAATATTATCTTAGATGTTTAGGGAGTATTTCCTAGGTTCAGCTAGAACTCATTGATGTAATACATTTAAACTACTACTAAAAATATATGCCAAATGATTTCATATATTTGCATGAGATAAAATGAAATGACTTCTTTACAGCTCTCAAGAACATAATAATAACATTTTCCATTTCCTGATTCTCAGTGTAAACCTGTTAACTGGAATTAAAAATGCATTGTGGTCTGAGAATTTTCTTAAAGAAGACATACTGAGTTCAATAAGTTTCCTTAGAGTAACTGCAATAGAGAGTTTTATAGCTGTATTTCTCATGATGTGCTTGAAATAAATCAGTGGCACAATGGTAAAGGGTGTGTAAGATTGAGATAAATCTAGAAAGGCCCCTAAAAGTGGAAGTATATAACTATCTCATCGACTCAATAGAGACACTCAAACCATCGGGATGTATGCTATACTCCACTTGTGAACATGTTTTTGTTTTTTTTTTTAATTTGATGGCACACAAATATAATTTCACATAAATATTTATATTCTCAGCTTTCTACAAAAAAAATTGGAAGATATGGCAACATTTAGCCTACACTGATGCACAACGACCACATCCAATATATGAACAACTACTTTTCCCCTTAAATAATGCGTAAGTCCTCAAATTCACTTACTACCTACTGTTGTATGTTCTGTATTCCAGCCCAACCACAGTGGGTCTTGAAGTTTGAAGTCATTCACCATATATAAGTATATACTTTTATATATGTAATGGAATGTTTTTGCTTTGTTTCATTCAAAAAACTTTCCTTAATGTTATTTCTTCAACTGTTGTAAGAGATGTATTTGGAGATTATATTTTCTACATATATATTTTTATATATGTAATATATAATATATATGATGATATAAATACATAATGTATTTATGTAATCAAAATGAACCATATAAATTTATGGTCAGGTGTGCTGTTTGATATCATTTCTGGAAATCTGAAAAGAGTGCCTGAACTTAATATTGCTAACAAGGTATCTTTATTGGTTCTAACAATAGAGTAAAAAATGTAGACAATGCCAAAGTCTTCATGGAGTTTACATTCCAGCGACTAAGGCAGTAGATAAGAAGAATAAATAAATTATATAATTTTAGATGAGAAATACAAAGACATTAAAGGAGAAAAAGAGGAAAGAGAATGAATAAATTTGGGTGCTGATTATTTTAGAGTAGATCAGACAATTCCTCTATGAAGACACAGTATTTGAGGAGAGAGATGGTAGGTTTTTATATTTATTATTAGTAATTTTATTCTGATGTACACAGGAGACATTCCGAATCAGATTTCTAATTAATTAATTACATTACATTGAAAATAAGCATGCTGCATCCTAACCTCCTTGCTTCAGTCCTTTCCTCTTCAGATCATTCACTGAAAACTCAGAGAGGTTGGAAGCTGGTTTTCAAGTAGTGGTAGACTCCATAGGTGAAAGATGAGCAAAAATAATTTTCTCTGTGTATAAAATGGAAGAGGTAGCCGTCTCACTCCCTTCATGAAAGATTTCTTCTTTAGTCTAATCCTTAGTTATGTAAATAAAATATCTCCAGGAACCAAGTATCAGTATAGGTCTTGGATTTTACAATCTAGAAGTGTCTCCAAGTACTTAAGTAGATAGCTCCCTAGATTCCCAGACACCTGTGGCTTAACCTAGAACCTAGTCCAGGCTGCAAACTCTTGACCCCCTCAGAGACATTACACTGTTTTTATTATCCATTTGGATTAGATAAAATCACTAGAAAAATTGCTACACAGCTAATCCTCACGGTATGTGACAAGTCATAAGAGGCTTTCTCTCCTCTCTCTCTCTCTCTCCCCACATATATACAAGAACATTTAAAATTCAAGGAAGTTTCATTTCCCCACAAAACATGAATACATGAGCATGCATGAGGAAATAAGCCACGTGGCAAATCTTGTGGGAGAAGGTCTTGAGCAGAATCTCCTTCTGGGCAGTTGGGGCCTGCATTAGAAGACTGAGTGCTTCAACCAAGTGACCCTGTATTAGACCATTCTTTCATTGCTGTAAAGAAATACCTGAGACTGGGAAATTTATAAGAAAAGAAGTTTAATTTGCTCAGGGTGCTGAAGACTGTACAGGAAGCATGGCAGCCTGTGCTCCTGGAGAGGACATAGGGAGCTGTTACTCATGGTGAAAGGTAAAGTGGGAGCAGGCGCTTCACATGTTGAAAGCAGGGGCAGGAGAGATGGGAAATGCCCACACCTTTAAATGACCAGATCTCGTGAGAACTCACTATCATGAGGAGAGTACCAAGGGGATGGTACTGAACCATTCATGAGAAGTGCATCACCATGATTTAATCACCTTCCCTCAGGCCCCACCTCCAACACTGCAGAGTACAATTCAACATGAGATTTGGGTGGAGACACAGATTCAAACCATCAGACCCTGAAACACGGTGATATTTTTATCTTTTCCTTAAGTTATTTTCTAATCTTGTCATAATTAACTGTCTTAACCACAACCATTTATACCTTTTACTCAATAAATTAGCATGTGAGTTCTGTATTCAAGATCTTGGGGGCTGGGTGCAGTGGCTCACGCCTGTAATCTCAGCACTTGGGGAGGCCGAGGTGGGTGGATCATGAGGTCAAGAGATGGAGACCATTCTGGCCAACTTGGTGAAACCCCGTCTCTACTTAAAAAATACAAAAATTAGCTGGGCGTCGCAGCGCATGCCTGTAGTCCCAGCTACTTGGGAGGCTGAGGCAGGAGAATCACTTGAACTCGGGAGGTGGAGGTTGCAGTGAGCTGAGATCGTGCCACTGCACTCCAACCTGGTAACACAGTGTGACTGTCTCAAAAATAAAAATAAAAATAAGATCTTGGGGACCTCTCTGGTAATCCCACTGAGGGTCTGGATCTGGAATTGCATCTGCCTCCTTAAGATAAATAGGATGGCCTTGGTTATGAGCAGCTATTTCATCTACATATTCATGGAGAGTAAAAAAACAAAAACAAAAACAAAACAAAACAAAAAAAACTTTGTCTCTTCTTTATGGTACAGCAATTAAATAATAATATCTGTAAGTCATACCAAGTTAAATCAAAGAACATAATCAACCTAACAAACTCCTCTATAAACTTTCCTGGATCCTCCAAAAACTGGACAAACTTTCTCTTTGCATAAAGTCAAATCAGACACAGATGGATGGAAGAGTGTCCCCTCTGCCCACCTCCAAAATTGGAGCTTAGCCTGGGAGGGTTCTTTGCTTCACTCAGGAAAGAATTTATGAGTGAGCTGTTGGTGGAAGAAAGCAGGTATACTGAAGCACTGGAATACACACACTGACTGCTCCTTGTAGAGCAGGGCAAATCCGTAGGTGGTGTGACCAGAGTAGCAGCATACAAGCTGTTGGCTAGCAGTGTTTACACTCATTTTTAATTATATGCAAATAAAGGAGCAAGTTATTCAGATATCTCTAGAAAAGAAGCAGTAACTTCTGGGTGTTGCTGTGGCATTTGTAAACTGTCATAGCATTGGTGGGAGCGTCTTACGTGCAGTGAAAGCAACTAGAGTTTGCCTTCCGTGCCATTTTGCTGGTTCGAGTTTCTTTTTTCCATTCTGTCGGGACCAGGATATAAGTCCTGCCAATCTCCTGCTCTGTTTCCATTAGCTCTTTCCCATTCTTTTTTCTTTTTTTTTTTTTTTTTTTTTGAGACAGAGAGTCTTGCTCTGTCGCCCAGGGTAAGATAAGCTCTCCACTCACTTCAACCTCCACTTTCCAGGTTCAAGCAATTCTCCTGCCTCAGCCTCCTGAGTAGTTGGGACTACAGGCGTGTGCCAACATACCCAGCTAATTTTTGTATTTTCAGTAGAGATGGGGTTTCACCATGTTGGCCAGGCTGGTCTCAAACTCCTGACCTCAAGTCATCCACCCGCCTCAGCCTCCCAAAGTGCTGGGATTATAGGCATGAGCCACCAGATCCAGCCTCTTTCCATCATTTAAATATTCTTCCTGCTTTTGTTCCAGCAGAATTGAATTCAGCCTCTTTCTCTTATTGAAATTGTTTTGAATCAAGTCTTCCTTGCCTGTTTCACTTATCAGCTGCAATTTTCTTTGAAAAGCAAACAAAATGACAAATGCAGTTGCAAATATATTCTCAAAATCTGATTCAAATGGGCATGTTTTAAAGTATATATTAACCAAGGCACTTTCATGACCAGCCAGATATATTGGAAGCATGCAGTCTCCAGAAGCACAAGAAGGCCTTTGGCAAATCCTCAGGGTGCTTTTGTAGGAAGCTACTTTGCTCAGTGTTCTAAAGCATGATCTTATGGTGAAAAATGGTAAGAAGCAAATGCAGGTTGTTAGTTTGGAGGACCACTGGGATTTTGAAAAGATATTTACTTTATGTTTTGTAATGATCAAAATGTTAATACTGATAATATTAATAACAATAACAGCTAAAGTTTACCTGCACTAATTACATATAACCCTCACAACTTGTTGTGAAGAAATTTTTTTTTTAGATTTTTTTTCTTGTTTTATTGTTATACTTTAAGTTCTGGGGTACATGTGCAGAACGTGCAGGTTTGTTACATAGGTATACATGTGCCATGGTGGTTTGCTGCACCCATCAACCCGTGATCTACATTAGGTATTTCTCCTAATGCTATCCCTCCCCTACCCCCACCACCTGCCGACAAGCCCCAGTGTGATTTTTTAACTATTTTACTGATGTGGAAAGTGAAACTTAGGGAGATTAAAAGCAAAGCAATAATTTAAGTCGCTATTTCCATAAAAACATGTTTCTGAGTTGGAGCATAGATCTTCCAGTAATACCCTCTGCTCTTTTATTTGTGAAATCACTTTCCAATAAGGTATTATGGACTATATTCAATAACACAACAACGTTGACCCAGATCAATTTCTGAAATTCAGTCAGGTGTATGACATTGGCTCAAAACTCCTTAGCAAGCCATGAACGAGCATGTGTGATCATGAGTTACATAGTTTGTTTGATAAGGGAATTATAATTTCACAAGAACAACTGTTGCCTTCTACAAGCCAGCCTGCAGAAGATTCCTTGTGCACTTCACAGAAGGTAGCTGGGTAAATGTACATTGTTCTAACTTTTTAAATTATAATTTTTCTCTTGGTTTCCTAAAGAATAATAAAAATGTTAAAAGCTAAAGCACTTATTAGATGCTTAAAAATTAATAAAGAATGCATAGGTACAATTGAATTACTATATATTGCAAGATTATAAATATTCCTGGATTATAATATAAAATAGCATTAATATCTGTATTTTACATAAGAGGAAATTAGGCGGCTGTGGTCACTTAGCTAATAGATGTAGGATTTAGGATCCAGATCCGTGTATATTTAATTTTAATTTAATGCTTTACTTAATGCCACTACTGAAGGAAAGATTATTTGAAAAGTATAGAAAACAGTCCCGGCAATTGTTGGTGAATTAAATTTATAAGATGAAGGAAAAATATGGCATTGATCAAAAATTTTTTCTAAAAAGAATGGGAATACAGATGTCAGAGGGGAATCAAATTTTACCCAGCACTTTATGAAACTCCCATAGGCAAAAGTTTAAATAGACAAGAGATTTGATTCCACAATTCTAATACTTAGAGTTTAAAACACAGTATACAATATAGCTGTGAATAAAGATTTAGGAAAGTTCATGCATTTCAGTATAAATTGTGATGAACACCACCAAAAAAAATCTCCAAAATACAACAGAAAAAGGATGAGATCAACAAGAACCACTATTGTGCAATGTATGCTTTCTTTCTCAAAATATAATGCTTTATTCAGAAGAGATACATTTTTTCCTACCATGTCGTATGAATATTTTCACAATCCTTAATAAATTTAAAGAAATATAAAAAATAAAAACTAGGAAATAATACAGCTTAAATTATGTCCTTTTGATTTTGAAAGTCTTTCCCCTTGAGCTATAGATTTTTAAACCTCGAATAGAACAGATGCAAAATGTTATATTAAATATTAACTGTTTTATTCCAACCATTTTTTAATTCTTGGATTGCCATCTCTTTCTTTATGGAAATAAATATGTTTAAAATCTATTTTAAATATTGAAGTAACTTGCTTATAAACAACAGTAGAAACAAATTATTTCCTTCCTTCAATTCAGCATTTATGAATAAAATGTAAGGTTCGTAAACACTGTGAGTGCATGTGAAACGTTAGGGAATTTCACCAGCTTGTAGAAACAAATAAGTGATTGATCTAAGTGTCAAAAATAATCTGCAGCCGAAAAGATGTCAAAGTACTCTTCCCTTGACTGCATTTTCTTTCTCCAAGCTTACATTTAATAAGCTTCCAACAGAACGTAAAGAAGAGCCAAGAAAATCTGCAGTTTTTGTGTTCCTAAGCATTTGTAAGGGAAAAAGAAGAGGATTCAACTCAAAATCAAAAGTCTAATACTTACTCTGAAACTACCATCAAAGCATATGCTGAAATTATCTTCATATCTAATTATTTCAAGGCATTTATATTGGGAAAAAAGGAAAATAAATCAGATACACATCAAGGATTGTTCTGAATTCACATTTACCAGAAGTATTTTAATAATGACCCTGACAACCAGCATGTATTGAACCAAAACTGAAACACAAACCAAAGTCATCCTTTTAAGCGTCAAACTAGAGTACCTTATTGTGTGTGTATGTATATATAATTTATATTTATGTTATACAATATATTTTATATTTCTTGATACAATATACATCAATGACTGTAAACCTTCTGAATTCTGCGCAATTTTGCTAACTCAGTGGACATATGTCACTATATGGAGATATCTTTCATTGACACACCTTTGGGGGATAAGACACTATTGGTATCTGTTGGGCAGATGCAAGGGATGCTTTTAAATATTCTAGGACAGGACAGCCACTGAAGATAAAATATTACCTTGTCCACAATGTCAATAATGCCACATTAGAAGATCCTGATATTTATTATATATTATATATGTTGAATATTTAATCTAAATTCATATGTATATATTCCATGTATAATTATTTAATTTATAATAGAAATATATATATTGCATAATAAACTGTATGGGGCTTCACTAAGATACTGTGTTTCATTTTATGTAGGTGTTGTGGGACTCTGTTTGCATATTATAAACTGAGAACCTAGTAAGATTATGGAAGAGCCTCCTGTTTCTCCACCATAAAACTTGCTCTGGTATAACTGGAACTTAAACTAGATGAATGCTTTTAGAGGGAGTCAAGCAGTCCAGACATACTCCTGCAGTTTCTAGATTGTGAAGATCTAATAGACTCAATAAGTAATTGAAAATGAGGATGAACAAAATATTGGGAATATTGTGAAGAATGGTCAACATAAATTAAAAATCAAAATAGTAAAGATTCAACTTGGAGAGGTCAATGGTAAGAAAGGCAGGGAAATTGGGGAAATAGAAGAGAAATCATGAGAAAAGTCTAAGGTAATGACATAAAGTAAAATAATAAAAATAATTCTTGTCTTTTAGATTGGCATTTTTGGAAAGGAAGTAATCACTGTGAATATTTGTATATTTGAAAAAAAATGAACAATGTATGTAACTTTGGGGCATAAATAAATAATACCAAATAAAGTAGAGTTTGTGTAGCTATGCCATCATTCAATCAATAGTCATAAACACTCAGTTTAGCACCCTTCTAAGGATTATAGGCGTGAGCCACCATAATGGGCCCAGTTTGTTATTTTGAAATATCACTTTTATACATGATACGTGGATACAATTCCATTATAGTAGCTGATTGTCAAACTAATTTGATCAATAGGATTTCCACAACAACATTATCTACTGTATTACTGTATCTTATATAGGGCTATTTTCATAAAATGGGGACAATGGAACTACTTAGATAATCCAGGTAATTAGTAATGTCTCTTAATAGACTGTATATAAAGAAATGTGTTTTCACCTATTAATGAAGACTGAAACTACAGAAGTTGAATAAAATAGGTTTACAATATTAAAGTGAACATTTCCATTGCATTTTTATAATGGTAATAGGTAAAATTGTCCAACATAATACAAGTGGTATTTAGACTTTTTACATGAATATGTTTCAATGTTAGAATGTAAAGCATGGTAGAGTAAATCTGTGGGCCTGTGAATATAGATCACAGGTTACAATTCATGTTATTTTCACCAGTGATAAGCTAAGGGTAAGCATCTACAAACAGTAAATACTAGGATGAAATAAGATTTCCTATTGTTCTTTCTTCTGTTGAAGAGCTTTAAAAAGGGAAATTATAGGCTAGTTACACTTCCAGTTGGATGAGTCTACCCACCTGGGCAGGATAGCAACTAGTCCATATTGTGTGATTCTTTGGGATTTAATTTTAGAGAAAAAGAGAGCTAGTTTCACTAAGCTTTCTCCCATCATATTGTGGCACAGATATTAGAGTGTACTTAGGCATACCTGAGCTTTCAGCCAAGTTGATGGCTGGGGTGGCAGGGAAAGAAAGTAATATGACTCCGTGGAAAATTTCCCTATATGAGAAATATTACCTGTACATTTTTATTATGACATGTATCATAATGTTTGGGATATAATAATACCAACATAATTATTACTAACTACCTCAAAAAAACGAATATTTTAATTACTGTTTAGAAACAATGCAACACCGGAAGCCCTTTCTTTCTATATCCCCATTCCAGTCACACAAAAGTTAACATTGTCCTGAATTATATGTTAAGCATGTTCTTCTCTTTCTTACATTTTAAACATGAATGTTTGTGTTGTTAAAATATATATTATATATGTTTGTTTTAGGACTGTATATAAATGGAAACATATAGTATTTATTTTTTTGACTCGATACGTTTGTTCATTATTATCTACAGAGAAAAATCCATGTTCAATTATACTTTCATTTTCTGAGCTATATAGTATTCCATTCCAACATAACAGATCCAATCGTTCTGCTATGAATAAACATAATACATTAGTTCATAGTGCTTAGAGTTCTTGAATGAATATGCTAAGGAGAAACATTTCTGAATGTAGGATAATGGCATGTTTACCATTAATAACATTTTGGTTTCCATGGTTTTCTCTTTGTATTTTACGAAGTGATTGAGAGTGTCTGTTACTGCATTACCTCACTATCATGTGGTAGCGTTAGACCTGTAATTTTTTTCACTTTTGTAGATTATGTAATGGAATTTCACTGACTTTACTTGAATTTCTCTATTACTGATTTAAGTTGAGCTTATATTTATTTGATTATATCAGATGTAAAAGTGCCTATTCATACTATTTATACTTTTTTAAAATGTGAGTAGTCTTTTTTTATTTGTAGGATATTTTATTTTATTCTCAATGTCAATTATCTTTTGGTCATATTTTATGCAACTATCTTCTTCCTGATATAGCTTGAAATTTTATTTTCTTTTATTTTCTTTGATACATATACTCTTAATTTAAATGCATAATTACAAATATATAAAATTACTATGTTTATATGACCATGTTTGTACATATTATAAATATAGCCAGTTTTCACAACTTGTGGCTTCAGTATTGTGAATTCACTTATTAAAACTTATTTGTAACCCTAAAATTAAATGTTTCTTCATTGTCATTTGCAGACATTTTCAGATCAGTGAAAAATTTGAGATGTTCAATGTGTACATTCCCACCAGAGTTTGAACTACGTGACTGTCTGTCTGCCTTCCTGTTCCAACTTATATTGTAAAAAAGTGTTTTGCTCATGTTCTAGTTAGTGGCAGTATTTTTACAGTGTTATGCCTTTTGTTGCTGATTTCTCTGTTTAACATGACCCAAACATAAATAAGAAGTATGTCTAGTGTTCCCAAAGGCAAGAAAGCTGTGTGTGCCTTATGGAGAAAATATGTTACATAAGCTTGATTCAGGCATGATAAGTTGTTGGTCATGAGTTTGATGTTAATAACTCAACAATATATATTAGATAAGGTGTCTTTAAAGAGAAACATACATAAGTTATGTATTAATCAGTTGATGAAAACTTTGTGATTAGAGGCTCACAGAAAACTAACTCTGTATTTCTCCTAAGAGAAGTGGCTCAATGTTTGCTAATCCAATGTTCATGGCAACTTCAAAGAATGTGTATACCACAAATAATGAGAATAGACTCTCTCTCTCTCTCTCTCCTCTGTCTCTCCTCCCATGTATGTGTGTGTCTGTGTGTGTGTGTGTGTGTGTGTGTGTGTGTATCCTTTTGAATATATTTGTATGTATATATGCAAAAAACAAAGCAAATGCAGTGGGATCTTGGGACCTACTTAGCTGGCCAAAAACCTGAGTGTGTCTATATTTTGTACACTTGTATTCCATTTATAGCATAAGAGTGAGTAGCAGCACACTGATTAGTAAGATCAATTTCAGAATATTGCTAGAAATGATGATCTCTTTTATGTCTTTTTAAGTATGAAAATGCCTGCACTCTCAAGCTAACAATAGTTATTATTAGAAAAACTCCTAATTGTTTTGAGAACATTGTATTCAGCATTACATTTCAAAGTATATCAAGTCTTGCTGATATCATGCCTAAAAAACACCAAAAGAAATCACTTTCTAAAATATGGTACATGAAAGCTACTTACCATGAACTTTCTTTTCATTTATCAAAGTCATGTCCTTTTCTAGACATAAGCAGCTGGCAGTATTGTTTCCCCAGGAGCATACAAGCAGAACACCATCTGAAGCCAGATGAAAACTAAAGGTACTTATCCAAGTGGAAAATATGGCAAGTTTGTACATTATTCATGACACCAATTAGCTCTTGAATCAACAAATATGGTAAAATGTTTTTAAAGCTAGAGAGCTATAGAGGCCATGTACATACACATAAAACCAAATGGAAACCTTACAAGATTGATCTGCATAATTTAGTCCAAAATAGTTATTTTATTTGAAATATCAGTGACTAAATAAAACAGAAGTTACAGTAGCATCATTTTTCTGTAAGTCGTAATATTTTTTGTTTGAATGAATAAACTAAATATATAATCAATGAAGAATTCCTCTTTTAAGTATTTAGGGTTTTGTTGTTGTTGTTTTCTCATGGAAAAAATTCAATTAGACAATCCAGATGAGGAAACTGATTCTTAGAAGAAGTTTGATCAAATCATCTATTGGAAAGTGTAGTGCTGAAATTAAAAATTATTTCTGCCAGAATACAAAATTTGCATTCATCTCTCTAAATCAGGATACCCAAGAATTGATTGAAATGCAAGATTTGCAGTAGATTACTTTAGCTTTCCTTATAAAGCAAATTACTCTCAAATTAAATATGTTTGATACAGTGTTGCAAAAATTCCATCTTGGGGCACTTCAATTTTCAAAACATAATATTCTTTCAGTCTAAAGAATATTAGCATAAGATTTAACACTGCCATTCACTTATTTAAATTTACCTATTTAATCAGATATATTTAATCAAGTTACATATGAATACTTAATTAAACTTGTTTTGGTTAACATTCTGGCTTAGAGAGGAGTTGGATTTCTATATATTGTGTTTATGCAAACATAAAATGATTATGTTCATATCTAGAGTAGCTGCTAATTTACTGGCACCTATTTTACATTCACAATTTTTTAAGGTTTAAATATCTAAAACAAAAAACATTTGAAAATTAATATTTTGGTTATTTTAATACAGAATATTCAATCATTAAATTAAGCCTGAGAAGAATAACTAATACTCAGGATTTTTATTATGTATTTAATATATATGTAATGAGCAGGAGAAGAGAGAGCCTAAGAGAGACAATAAATAAATAATAAATAATATAATTTTTAATGATTTTTTCTTTATATTTTCTTCAATACCCCAAATCTTCTCACACAAACTTGAATTACATTTTTGTAGAAAAGTTTAAATTCTTAAAATATTTTAACTTTATGATGAATAATAACAAATTCATTTTATTTCTGTCTGCCATACACACATACACAAACACAAAGATATGGAAAAAGCTAAAATACCTTTGCCTTAGTCCATCTGTGCTACTATAACAAAACTCCATAATCTGGGTAGCTTATAAACAACAGAAATTTATTTGTTATAATTCTGGAGGCTGGGAAGTCCAAGATAAGGCATCTGCTGATGAAGTGTCTCGTTGAGGATCCATTTCCGGATTCATAGAAGGTGTCCTCTAGCTGTGTCCTCATATAGTGAAAGGGACAAGGTAGTTCTCTGGTTCCTCATTTATAAGGATACTAATTCTATTCATGAGGGTTACATCCTCATTACCAAATCATGTCCCCCAAATCTCCATCTTCTAATACATCACCTTGGGGGTTAGGATTCCAACCCATAAATTTAGAGGGGTCACAAACATTCAGATCAAAGTATTTCTTAATAAGGCACATACCATTTCCTGATTGGAGAGCTGTTTTTCATAAGAAAATCAATGTTTCCCCAGGAAGAGGAAGTGGCTAGAACATATGCAATAGGTTCAAGGCCAAAAAACAAAAGTATTATTCATGGTCACTGATTGGAGATTCAGTAGTTGCCCTGCATGTATGCATAAGGATCAAGCACTTTATTGGAAACAAATTTATTTTTGATGCTTTGGTAAAACTGTCAATAGGAAGGTTGGGTTTTCCTGACAATTATTTTATGGTTAGTAATTTTTTATATAACACATAGTATTGAAGGATACTTACATATTTTCAGTACAAAAGTGTGAACAGATTGAATTCCAGCTTTGTTCATACTGTCCCTTCTACCAAGGAAATACAGAGATGGAAAAGAAAAACCTAGTGATCAAAAGCAGAGGGCTACCTGGAAGAGTAACAGCACAAAGAAAGAAGAATAGTGAGGCTGGATCGCCAGCAAAGGCCTGAGTGGGGAAGCCACACCTTAGTTTGATGAGCTTCCTCCAAAAGAAGTATATGAAGATGCTACTGAGTATGCTGGTTACATTTATCTTCTCAGTGCAGCACATCGCTATCAGTTTCTCACCTGCCAGAACAGGTGTCCTCTAGGAAGAGTTGTTTTATATACATTCATTTTACATAACTTTCTCACTAAAACTTGAATTACATTTTTGTAGAAAAGTTTATATTCTTAAAATATTTTAACTCTGTGATGAATCATAACAAATTCTTTTTTTCTATCTCACATATACATATACACAAACACAAATATATGGAAAAAGCAAAAAGAACCCTTGCCTTAGTCCACCTGGGCTGCTAAAACAAAACCCGATAATCTGGGTAGCTTATAAACAACAGAAATTTACTTGTTATAGTTCTGGAGTCTGGTAAGTCAGTAGTCAGTTTACTTCTCCAGGTCCTCTTTAACACAGTTTTTCTTCATGCTGAGTGACAGGGACAACTAATACTTGATTTGAAGAATATTTAGCAAGATAGAAAAATCAAATATTGATCTCTAAACTTCGTAGGTTGCTGTGGGACTATAATTTTCAGAAACAGCAGTCTCATATAATACAGGACTTGAGGAAAACTTTGCTTTATTATCTAGAATAACTTGGATACTTCTCTGCTGTCAAAGAGAAATAACCCCTAGGAAATGTTTCCCATCTTAGTGGAAATTATAATATGTTGAATATCTCTCGGTCGTACCTGGAAACTTGACATTGCTAAGAGCTTGTCTTCTAAAGCAAAAGAAGTTGCATTCCACTGGTATTCACCTGTAATAAATATGAAATGCACTGAGTATTACCTGGCAAGATGGAGAGTTAGATCACATGTCCAAATCTCTTCTCTTTTAATGTACTTAAATTAATAAAATTGCTGAACAAAGAGATGAAAATTTTATCCAGACTAAAACTGGAAAAGGACTTTCTGATATCCTACAGATTATGAAATATCTATGAAAATCTGGAACAAGCTCATAGAGGATACCAGGAGCTAACAAATGACTCTCTGGAAGTGGAGTGCCACGTTCTTAACAGCACATAGAAGAGATTTTGAAGGACTCCCGTATTAATACTTTGAAAATCACAGAGCAGCCCCGATTGAAGGAGAAGAAGTCAGTCATCCAAATTATTTTTTAATTTTTTTGTTTTGACTTGATATCCTGTAAAAAAAGCAAATGGTATGAAGACAAGCTTGCTTTATAGCTGAGGAGTGAGGTGATGGTATGCATGAGGGCATGTGTCTTACTGTCAGAGAAAAATAGCCTTGGGATACCCCACAAATACAAAGACAGTAAGTACTGTGGGCCACTCTACATCAGTTTCTCACCAATGTAGTTGTTTAGTATAGAATAGGAACTACACTCATATCTGTGGTTAATCCATAATGAAAAATGTAAGTCCTGGAAAAAGGCAAAGCCAGCCCACTACATCAGATGTTACAAATTTAGAAATTAAGCACACACATTTCTGTGACTTAATTATCTTCAGTCAAATTTTCCCTTCCTTTTCAGGCAACTGATAAGTTGGTTTCACAATGGACTGTACCACCATCCAGGGACATGGTCACATTTAATTTCTCAAAGCTGAAGGAAATATGATGGTGAGCTGATAAATTCAGTGACTATTGTTGAACAAATTGCAGAGCTTGATAGAATTGTCTTAAAAAGTTAATTTTATCAATCAAAGTAACTAAGCAAAAATTCCTAAGTATGTTACCAAAAAAAAAAAATTACTGTGTAGAGGCTTAAAATGACATGGTGTCTGATAGCTCAACACTTATCTGTTTTTTGATTTTATTTTAATTATTACCGTAAGAATTTATAGATAGCAGATATATAATAAAAATTTTTGCGATCAGAGAGTCTTTGGAATAAAATGATCCTAAGGATAGTGTCCAGTAGAGGATCCAGAATGAAACTAGGCAGAATGAATAATAGTGAGAGATGGAGAGGCAGGAGAGAGAGAGAGAGTAAGATATAGAGGGATGAGAGAGAGAGAAAGAGAGAAACAGAGAGAAGAAATGAATGAGCACATAAGTATAGATGAAAATAGATAAATCTCAGTAAGCAAATTGTGTAAAAAGAACAGGAATGAGATCCTGAGCATTTTCCTGGAATAGCTCAGCATGTCTGTGGAAAATTTTTCTTTTTTTTTTTTTTTTTTTTTTTATTCAAGGTAGCAGCTTTGCAGGTAAGAGGATGGCTAGATTCTAAGACTTACTGCTGTACTGGAGGCCATTCCAGTGGCCTGAGTGTATCACCATATTTCTTCATCCTGGAATGTTGGTAATAGACAAGATAGCCAGGACAGGATAATCTTTCTTCCTCTGGAAGAGCCATTGTCTTCGTTCTTTCAGTGTTGCTGTCAAGGAAAACTGGAGTCTGAGTAAATGCTAAAGAAAAGAGATCTATTTGGCTCACAGTTAGGCAGGTTATACAAGAGGCATGACACCAGCATCTGCTTCTGGGGAAGGCTGCAGGCAGTCCTCACTCATGACAGAAGGCAAAGAGGAGCAGGCATGTGCACAGAGCACGCGGTGAGAGAGAAAGCAAGAGAGCAAGGCGGTGAGAGCAGGTACCAAGCTCTTTATAGCAACCAGCTCTTACAGGAATTAATACAGCAAGAGGGCTCATTACTGTGAGGATAGCAACAAGCTATTCATGAAGTATCTACCTCCATGATCCAAACACTTCCCTTTAGGCCCCACCTAAAACATTGAGGATCAGATTTCAACATAAGGTCTGGAGGAGTCAAATAATCCAAACTATAGCAATTCTACCCCTGGCCCTCTAAATTTTATACCCTTCTTATACATACAATATAGTCATTCTATCCCATAGTCTTCAAAACTCTTAACTTGTTCCAGCATCAACTCAAATGTCCAATATTCAAAGTTTCATCTGAGACTCAAGGCAAACTCTTTATATCTGTGACCCTGTAAAATCAATAACAATGTTTTTACTTCCAAGATACAATGGTTGTGTAAGCATTAAATAAACATTTCTATCTCAAAAGGGAGAAATAGGCCAAAATAAAGGAGTAACAGGCTCCATACAAGTCTGAAACCCAGCAAAGCAGACATTAAACCTTAAAACTCCAAAATAATCTCCTTTGATTTCATATCCCACATCCTGGGTACATGGTGTGAAGGGTCAACTCAAAAGGCCTCAGGCAGTTGTGTCCCCATGGCTTTGTTGGGCACAGCCCACATGGGTGCTGTCTTGGGTTTGAGTTGAATGCCTGCTGCTTTTCCAGGCTGATGGTGCATGCTGCTGGTCGGTCTACACAGCCCTGCTCCCACAGTTCCACTAAGCAGTGCCCCAGTGGGGACTCTCTGAGGGTGCTCCAACTGCACACTTCTACTCAGTATGAACTTAGTAAATTCTCTCTGCAAGGACTCAGCCCCTGTAGCAGAATTGTGCATGGTTACCCAGGCTTTGGGATATATCCTCTGAAATCTAAGTGGAAGTGGCCAAGCCTCCTCCACTCTTGCATTCTGAGTGACTGCAGACTTAACACCATATGGACACTGCCAAGGCTTTCAGTTTATACTTTAGAGCCGAGGACCAAGCAGTATCTGGGGCCATTGAGCAGTGGTTGGAGGTAGAGCAGTCAGGATGCAGGGAGCAGCATCCCAAGGTGGTACAGGGCAGTGATGCTCCAGTCCCAGACCTTGAAACAATTTTGTCCTCCCCAGGTATCTGGGCCTGTGATGGAAGGAGCAGCTTTGAAAATTTCCGCAATGCCTTTGGGGCCTTTTCCCCATTATCTTGGCTTTTAGCACCTGACTCCCATTTAGTCATGCTAATCCTTTTAACAAGTGGTTGCTCTGCAGCACCATTGGATTCCTCCCTTAAAAATGCTCTTTCCTTCTCTATTACATGCCCAGGATGCACATTTTCCAAATGTTTAGGCTTTGCTTTATTTTTTAATTATAAATTACAACTTTAGGCCATTCCTTTGCTCCTATATCTGACACTCTTTGAAGGATTTTCTGCTTAGAAATTTCTTCCGCTAGATACTTTAGGTCATGACTTTTAAGCTTGGCCTTCCATGAAGAACTAGAGCATGAAAACAATGCAACCAAGTTCTTTTCTATGGTTAACAAGGGTAACCTTTGCTCTAGTTTCCAATCAGTTCCATGTGAGATCCTGTCAGCTTGGTCTTTACGGTCTGTATTTCTACCAGCATTTTGGTCACCATCACTTAACCAATCTCTAAGAAGTTCCAAACTTTCTCTAATCTTCTTGTCTTTTTTCAGACCTCCAAATCCTTCTATCCTTTGCCCAGTTCCAAAACCACTTCCACAGTTTCTGGTATTTTTATAGCAACATCCCACTCTTTATACCAATTTTCTGTCTTAGTCCTTTTAATGTTGCTACAAAGGAATATCTGAGGCTGGGTAATTTGTAAGAAGAGAGGTTTGTTTTTCTCACAGTTATTCAGGCCATACAAGAGGCATAGCACCAGCATCTGCTTCTAGTGAGAGCCTCAGGCTGCCTTTACTCACAGCAGAAGGTGAAGGGAACCAGCATGTGCAGAGATCACATGGATGGACAGGAAGCAAGAGAGCAATGGGGGAGGTGCCAAGCTCTTTTTAACAACCGGTCTCACAGAACTAATAGAACAAGAACTTACTCTTTACTGAGGATGGCACCAAAACCATTCATGGGAGGTCCACCCCGATGAACCAAACATCCCCCATTAGGCACCACCTTCAACAATGAGGATCAGATTTCAACAAAAGGTATGGAGAGGTCAAACAAAGTAAACTATAGCAGTAAAGTTGTTGTTGTTGTTGCTGCTTTTTTTGTTTGTTTGTTTGACACGGAGTCTTGCTCTGTCGCCCAGGCTGGAGTGCAGTGGTGCTATCTCGGCTCACTTGCAAGCTCTGCCTCCCGGGTTCACGCCATTCTCCTGCCTCAGCCTCCCGAGTATCTGGGACTACAGGCGCCCGCCACCACGGCCCGGCTAACTTATTGTATTTTTGTAGTAAAGACTAATTTTTTTTTTTTTGTATTTTTAGTAGAGACGGGGTTTCACCATGTTAGCCAGGATGGTCTCATACTCCTGACATCATGATCCGCCAGCCTCGGCCTCCCAAAGTGCTGGGATTACAGGCAGCAGTAAAGTTTTAATAAGTGCATGGTTCACCCAATTTCTCATCTTTTCAGTTCACATAGTTCAAGTATTGCCAATAAAAATAATTTTCGCCATATTTTTACAATGCCTGTAGTGTGCTTTTGAACAAATAATGATTTCCTCTAAGGAGATAGATAGCAAAGGCATAAAACAAGAATGTGGAATTTATAAGCCACTCATCACGTAGGGAAGGCACAGACTCCAGGATACAGAAACAATTGCATCTGACCCTGCTAATTGACTGAGTTAAGGGCACCCAAACCTTGCTTTTTAAAACAAAACAGTGAAAATGTGCTGCAGAGGAGATAGATGACTCCTTAGGGAGGAGGCAAAAGACATGCTTCTCTGTGAGCTTTAAAGTGTTCATTATAAAAAGCAGAGATACTTATCCCTGTAATTCCCCCAGGAAAGGAACTGGGGAGTAAAGATGAAGATTGTAGGCATGAGCTCAATTCAGGGAACATTTCCATTTCAGTGAGCATCTGCTGACAGTAAATCCAGTGATAACTGTCATGCAGTGTGGATGTCTTACTTCTTTCTAGTAAGCCTGATGAGAGCACCGTATACCTCCTGGCATAATTGTTCTTGTTCCATCTGAGCTTAATGGGGATTTAAACATTCACAGGAGAAGTTAAAGGCAAAGAAAAATGTGACGGTATAAAAAGGAAAACTATTTTTAATGAGCTTATTTTCTTCTATGTAACTCATCCTTATTTTCTGATTTCATAATGTTATATGGAACATTTTTGATATTATGAAAGAAAAACCAAATGATCTCATTTTATTTTATTTATAATTGTATTATTGATCTCTTGTTATGATGGAGACCCTTTATATGTGTACTGCAATAAATGGAAGAGCTTAAGAAGCAATGGATACAATAATGATGTCAGTTTGGCTGCCAGGAACTTGGTGGATAAAATCTGCTAAGAGACACATGAGATTATTTACGTCAATGAGTGTGTGATAATAAAAGGCAATTCAACCTCATAGATTTACAATTTAGACATAACTAAATATGGTAGTAACACTATATTTACTTCTTAATTCACTTATTATACTTGTTTCTCTTGACCAAAACAAAGGTAAACTCTACAGAATAGTTTAATTACACTTAACGTAAGAAATTAATATCAATTTTTATGACTGGGAGACTCACAAATTAGTATAACTACAATAGAAAAGCACTATAACTCACACAACAGTTAGATTCCCTGTGCATGAGATGTCTTTGACCTGCCCAGAAAGGCTTCTACACATGGAATTCGCATGAACCTTATTATAATACCAGCATCCCAACACTAGCCAACATTAAACCCTATGATTATATTATTATATGTAAGTGGCAATATGCTGCCAGAAACTGTAATATCTCCATGATCTGTAAAGGAGCTGCTCTATCTCAACCACAGCATGAAACTATTTCTGTTTTTACACTAATAGTAGTTCAAGTTTATTAATTCTAGCAACCAAAACATATAACATCAAAAATCTTGAAATAGCTGGGCACGATGGCTCACGCTTGTAATCCTAGCATTTTGGGAAGCCAAGGAAGGAGGATCTCTTGAGCCCAGGAATTCCACACCAGGCTAGGTAAAATAGCAAGATCGTGTCACTACAAAAAATTTAAAAATTACCTGGGTGTGGTAGTCTGCACCTATAGTCTAAGCTATTCGGGAGGCTGAGGTGGGAGGATGGCTTGAGTCCAAAGTCCAGGAAGTCGAGGCTGCAGTGAGCTGTATCATGCCACTACACTGTAGGCTGAGTGATGGAGCGAGACCCTATCTCCAAAAAAAGAGAAAGAAAAATCTCAAAATAGGTATTTTTTTAAAGTATTTTATTTGTGCAAACTGGATATGTCTTTCAGAGTGCAATGTCTGTGTTAATATTCCTTGCCAGTAGCCACAATCATTGATATATTTTACTTTGTTGCTACTCTGTTGAACAGAATTATAAAAAGCTTACAACTGATTCGACTTGTGGATATTTACCAGGACTTAAATCCAAACGCCTGTCTCTGGTAAACATGTGTAAACAAATTGCTTTATTAACTAAAAAAAGGTCAAGTCCTGTGTTTGACTAATTTAGTGTTGAAATTTCTCACATTAATCAAAATATAAGCTTGGTAAGGAATATGCTATCCTAACTGGCTAACTCTATGCTATATGTTTCAAATTAACTGTCTGCCATGTCAGATTATCCTAAACATGAAAGAAATACATATGTGACCCAAAGTTTGCGAACCTTTGGTGAGATTTGTTTAAATATCCAATTTAGTTTTAAAATCTTATGTATATTAAATTGAAAATGATGACTTTCAATATTTTACCCATCTAGTTGTATATCCTCTCTCAATTTTTCTTAATATGCCTGAGAAGAAAAGTGAGGTTAAAGAAATTTAGTGAATGCTATTAGAGACTTGAATTGCTTCTATTATTTTAAAATAATATTTTCTACACACCTGTGCCTTACCAATTAGTTTATTCAAAATACAAAATGTCATTTCTTCCCTTGGAATTTTGTTCACCTAACAAACGCTGTGTCTGCATTGTGTCTAGCTAC
This sequence comes from Homo sapiens, assembly GCF_000001405.40. Lineage (NCBI taxonomy): Eukaryota > Metazoa > Chordata > Mammalia > Primates > Hominidae > Homo > Homo sapiens. The sequence goes on from NC_000021.9 coordinate 24,313,103, forward strand.
TTGTCTTAGGTAGCAGAGATAGACATAAAGTAAGACACAATTCCAGAATTTGAGAACATTAGTATAATTGGGGACTCGGTTCATAAGAGGAAAACATAAAGCTATGTATAAAGAAAGACTGCAACATCTGCAACATCACATGGACTAGAAATATCACAGAGGCTACTTGGACCAAGAAAAAAGAACGGAACGAAAAAGTACCTGAGAGAGAAGAGATGTCATAAAGACTTAAGAATAGGTGAAGAAAAGGAAGTAAAAAGCATAAATATTAGAAAGAGTAAAATAAAATTGTCTTTGTTTACAGATGTCATGGTGGTTTATATAGAAAATGGCAAAGAATTGACAAAATACTGCTGGAACTAGTAAGTAATTATGGCAATGTTGTAAGATACAAGATTAATATTTAAAGGTCAATTGCTGTCTTATATACTGAAGATGAAAATACGGAAATTTGAAATAAAAAACAAAATATCACTTATGTTAGCACCAATAAAATAAAATACTTAAGGTATCTATCTGAAAATAAGTATCTATAAAATCTATGTGAGAAAAACTGCAAAATACTGATGAAAGAAATCAAAGCAGACCTAAATAAGTGGAGAGATATTCCAGGTTCATGGGTAAAAAGACTAACTATCAGATATGTTCGGTTTTTTCCAAATTTATCTGTATATTCAAGGCAATTCGAATCAAAATCCCAGCAAATTATTTTGTGGATGTCAACAAATGGTTCTAAACTTTTTATAGAAAGGTAGAAGACCCAAAGTAGCCAGTTCAATATTGAAGAATAACAGAGTTGGAGAACTAACTAACGCAACTTGATCTCCAGACTTAATATAAAGCTACAGTATCAAGACAGTGGTATCAGTGAAAGAATAGACAAACAGAATAAATGCTATATTAAAAAAATTGAAAAAATGTTCAATGGAACACAGTAGAGATCCCAGAAATAGGCTCACATAAATATAGTCAACTAATCTTTGGCAAAAATGCACAGATAATTCTATAGAGAAAGGATTGTCTTCTAAATAAATGGTGCTGGACAGCCTGACTTCCACATGCAAAAAATAAATAAATAAATAAATAAATAAATAAATAAATCTAGACACAAACATTACACTTGTCACAAAAGTTAGTCCAAAATGGTTCATAGTCCTAAGGTAAAATGCAAAACTATAAAACTCCTAAAAGGTAACATAATGAAAAAATAAAGGTGACCATAGATTTGGTGGATTTTTAGATTACAACTCCAAAAGCAAAATCCATTAAAAAAAATCAACAAGAATTCCTTAAAATTAAAAAAAAAAAGTTTTTCCAAAGACACTATCAAGAGAATGAAATGACCAGCAGCAGACTGGAATAAAATATTTGCAAAACATATACTAGATCAACGACTGACATACAAATATACAAAGAACTGTTAAAACTCAACAATAAGAAAACAAACAATCCAAATTTTTAAAAATGGCAAAAGATCTGGATGGACAACCTCACCAAAGGAGGTATACAATGCCAAATAAAAATATAAAGAGACACTTGATGTCATCTGTCATCAGGTAGTTGCCAATTAAAAAACTACGTGAGATACAACCACACACCTTTTAGAATGAATAAAATGAAAACACTGACAACACCAAATGCTTGTGAGGATGAGGAGCAAAGGGAACTCCTATTAATTGATTGTGGGAATGCAAAATAATGCAGACATATTGGAAGACAGTTTGACAGTTTCTTCCAAAAATAACATTTGCTTACTTCAGCAAGCACACTTCTGGTACCTACCAAAAGGAGTTGAAAACATGTCAACACAAAAACCTGCATACAAATGTTCATACCATTTGTATTTATAATTGGCAAAACTTGGAAACAACCATGATGTCCTTCAATAGGTGAATGGATAAGGAAACTGTGGTATACCCATAAAATGAAATATTATTCAGCACTAAGAAATGAGCTGTCAGCCCAGCGCGGTGGCTCATGCCTATAATCCCAGCACTTTGGGAGGCCAAGGCGGGCAGATCATGAGGTCAGGAGATTGAGACCATCCTGGCTAACACGGTGAAACCCCATCTCTATTAAAAAAATACAAAAAGTTAGCCGGGCGTGGTGGCGGGCACCTGTAGTCCAAGATACTTGGGAGGCTGAGGCAGGATAATGGCGTGAACCCAGGAGAAGGAGCTTGCAGTGAGCCGAGATCACACCACTGCACTCCAGCCTGGGCTACAGAGGGAGACTCCATCTCAAAAAAAAAAAAAAAAAATGAACTGTCGTACTATGAAAGACGTTGACTTTATTAATAATAATTTATCAATGTGATTCAACAATTTTAACCAATGTACTAAACTAAAACAAGATGTTAGTAACGAAAACTGTGCAATGGGTGGAAATGAGGAATACAAGAATTCTGTGAACTTTTCTATTATGTTTTCTGTAAATATAAAACTGTTCTAAAAATAAAGTCTACCCATTAAAGACAAAAAAAAAGAAGAAAAAAAGAAAAGAAAAAGAAGAGAACAGGTGAGCCAGACTTTCAGAATGTGGAGACCTGGCAAGTATGTATTTCCCTCTTTACAAAGCAGCAACAAGGCAAGGAAATTCTTCCTATTCATAATTTTTATTCAATTCACAGAAAGCTGAAGTTGCTGGGGACAATTAACCCTAAGTATAAGACACGTGACTCCAAAATGAGATGAGAGAAAACTTAGCTTACTTGCAGCAGATGCCATTTGAGCAATGGTGAAAAGAAGTTAGCTGGATTTTAATTGCTCAAGCTACAAGCTACATGTGGAGTAGCAAGAAAATATGAACCTCTGAGGGCAGAGGACACAAGGGCAATTTGCACTTATTCACAGATTCTTTTCTATTGATGTTTCTAGAACTCTAAAAAAAAGATTAGGGGCATGATGATACTGGCTTAAATGAGAGGCTGCTTCAAGAAGGTCAGAAAGCCAACCCAAGATCCTTTCCCCCTCCTCTCCTATGGGACAAAAATCTTTTTTTTTTTTTTTTTTTTTTGAGATGGAGTTTTGCTCCTGTTGCCCAGGCTGGAGTGCAATGGCGCGATCTCAGCTCACTGCAACCTCTGCCTTCTGGGTTCAATCTATTCTGCCTGGAAAATCTTAAACCACTAGGTGAAAGACAACTACCTTGTCACCTGTGGGGCACTGGTGAAAACCTATTGCAAGTGGAGAAGGTGACCAAGAGAAAACAAACAAACAAACAAACAAACCCCTCTGACTTCATGGGAGTGGCAGGAATAAGTCCTGGGCCCTGACCTGCACCTGAGTGCCAGACAGGATCCCCGAGAAGGCTCTACACCCATGACTCAGGGAAGCAGTGCTTGCTTAAGACTGAGATTTAATCAGAGTCATAGAGAAGCCACCATCATACTATGCCCCTGATACCAAGCTAATGACTGTTGAGTAACAAGTAATAATGTCCTAATGTTATAGTCTAGTAAATAATCATCAGGATGTGTAATGCAGAAAATATAAATGAATGGATTTCCCAAGATGGAAAATGTGAGGTGTTTTTGTGGCTTTTATGTGGAGATATTGCCTTGTATTTGAGAGGTCTAATCACTAGTCTCACTGCTATTAATAACCAGTGCTGACATGCTGGTACAATCTGCCTCCAAATCTCCATGGACAGGCACATGGTTACAAAGCAAGATGATTAGTAGCATTATTAATAGAATTTCAGTGTATTTCATGCTATGTGCACATACAGGGACTTGAGCAACACATAAATGAGAATTATTGTAGAAGCCTGTTGGGATTAAACCTTACAGCATAGGAGAAAAAAGGAAGAAGGGTTTTAAAACAATGACAAGCTAAGAAACACATGGATAAAACCTGGAAACCTGAACACAGGAAGAATTTTCATCCTAATGAGAACATACCAGATATATTTTTATAATAAAAACTCTCCATTTTTAAAGTAAGGAAAGTGAGAGGGTACGTTAAAGGGAAAAAAGCATAATTGTCAAGTCCTTTTGTATATTCAAACTTTATAAATCAAAAGAAACTCTTAAAATTGTCTAGCCCCTTCTCTCAAATGACAACAATGGAGAGATATCAGGTTGATCTAAAATCTCCCTGTGATACAGGGCAGGGAAGCCACAAAATCGTGGCTTAGCCAGGGAAAGTTCTTGGCTTTGCCCAGGAAAGCTTTCAAGAGTGAGCAGGTGGTGGAAGAAAACAGCTTCACTGGGGCAGCAGCATTACAGCACAGTGACTGCTCCTGCAGAGCAGGCTGCCCCGTAGGTGGTGTGTGGAGAGCAGCAGCTCAAGCTCAGTGCTGCAGCCAAACTCTATCTACCTTTAATTACGTGTAAATTAAGAGATGAGTTATTCAGAAATTATAGAAAAGGGGTGGTAATTTCTGGATTGTTGCCATGGAAATGGGCTGTAACTTCTGGGTGTTTTTATGGCAATGGTAAACTGTCCGAATGAAGGGGGACATATTTTAGGAAGAGGTAATTTCTGTGCCTCTTCCCTGTTTCAGCCAGTCTTCAGTCTGGTCCAGAGTCAAGTCCTGCCTCCTACCTCACCTTCACTTAATAAGTATTAGGAAACAATGACATATTTTCCTTACTATGTAAAGGCAAATTATAATATTTAAATACAGAGCAGAGCTGAGAAATAGAGCAAATAAATATATAAATTTTGTAAAAATATAGCACCTTCTGATAATCTTATAGTAAAGGAAAATGTAATAAAAATTAGCACCTATGAGCAGAAAATTTTACAGTATAATTGCAGCATTAGACTGGATAATTATATAGATATAAATGTAATATTTGAATTAAATATGCATATAAATGACCACATTTTTATTTGGAAAATGCTACAGAAGTGTTTTGAATGTAAAATTCTAAGGATTATAGCCCTGCTTAATTCAGTCAGAGAATTCAAAACAGAGGGAAATATAGTTTATTTATTAATTTTTAAATTTTTTGTTCATTATTTTGTGAGAAACACCTTAATACATGATAAGAATAGAAAAAGAATGTCTATCTTCCATATCACAGAATAAGAAAATATCAAGCAAAATAATATATTATCTATATGGCTAGCAGAAGAAAGTAAAACGATAAAAGACATTAAATGGTGCAGAGATGTTAATAGATTCAACTAGTCCAAACTTCATATTTTAAAGGCAAGAGCATTTACATTGTGTCAAAAAAGTTATAAATATTTATTTCTTATACACTATTTAAATAACCTAATATAAACAAAATGCTGGAAACAAAGAATGACCAAATATATGTCACTCAAAAGTGAAACAAATGTTTATCAAAATGAGGAAAAAATATAGGATATAATTTATTAGTAATAAAAACATGAACTGAAGCAAAAGGAGTAATCTACTTTATCTGCAAGTTATAGGTACTATTTAAATGAGAAACATTTATTTATAAGCACAAATATATGTAGCATCAAAATATGTAAATCAGGAAAGTTTATAATTAGGAAGTATTGATAAAAACAAATGATATAATATTTTAGAGCATGTGCGAATTATATAGTTAAGAAAAACAACAAACATTATGGGGTTTGACCTAAGGTAACTTAAAAACCACTTAGTGGAATAGCTTTTTTGAAAAGCAGATGGATCCACTGATATATAATTTTAAAATAATTTTTAAATAGTTGGATAGCCATCAAATTCATTTAGGAGGCTTGTATTAGATTTTTAATCTTGACAAATATTCCAGAAATTTTAAAAAAGTAATAATAAAGTAAATTATCTCATGTTAGTATATGTAAAAATCCTAACGAAATTAAGTGGTTGTTATAGACTGAATACCTATCTTGTGTTCACCCAAAATTCATATGATGAATTCTAATGCTCCAGTGTGTTGGCATTAGAAGATGGGTCCTTTGGGAGATAATTAGGTCAAGAGGGTGGAACCCTCATGAATAAGATTAATACTCATAAAAGGAACCCCCAAAATGCGGTCTTGCTTTTGCTGCCACATGAGGGTAAATCGGCAGATTGTAACCCAGAAGAGAACCCTCACCAAAACATGACCACTCTGACACCTTGATCTTGGTCTTCCAGCCTCCAGAACTATGAATAATAAATTTCTGTTGTTTATAAGCCACCAGTCTATGCTATTCTGTTATAGCAGCCCAAACTAAGATATGTGATGCAAAGATTACTCTGGCAAAACTGATTGAGGTTTAACTAATGAATTATTCATTAGTAAAGGAGTACTAATAATGCCCAGATAGATGAACATTTAAATAACATTGAAAGTAATGCTGAAATGTAACATAAAATCTTAGTATTCAAGTGTCTACATAAAATTTAACCTTAGCTAAAAGTAGAAATATACTAAGAAAAAGATGAAGTAAAAATTAAAATTAAAATATCTATTATTTTCTCTTAGTAGAGATTTTGCTCATTCATTTTAATTATTGCTCAATTCAAATTATTTTTAAAATACTTATATGTAAAATAGTAAAGAGAATAACAATATGTTCAAAACTAAAAGCAACACACTGTGGGTGAATTAAGCAGCAAAACCATCCACATATGAAAGGTAGTCTTTGATATATCCCTGGACTCCATGTACTGTTTATGGTTTGTACATTTTTGTTTGCCAGTAAAGCGCCTGGGCAGTATTAGACAAGAACAACCAGGAGTTCAGTTATTTTACTGTACACAACAAAATGCTAATAATGCCAGGACTCTGCAAAGGCAATTCTTGCTAAAAGGTCATTGTCAGCAAGCATCGTTGAACTTCTGTTGATCTTCATTCCAGAGATTAATTGTGCTTGATTGCATATAATATTATTTTCATTGGAACAACTGATGTTGACTGAGAGAGTGAGGTCTGATCTCCCTGGGATTACTCAAAGGATTTTGGAACACAGCATTTATTCTTGTCTTCCTTTAATCTAGTGACCTTGTTGACATGATCTGTTAGGGTAGTTGTTTCAATAATTCTATATTTATTCTGTTATTTTGAAAATGTTTCTTCTCTGTTTTTTAATTCAATTCACAGAAAAACTCAGAAATCATGATATTTATTACATGTTTCCTCCTCATATTTTCAAATTTAAAAAAAAGCAGAAAACAAGAGCAATAGCAACAAAAAAACACCGCTTGAGTCAAACTTTCCTACTAAAGTATCATTCTCGTTTTATGATTTAAGTAGTTTAGATAAAATAAACACGAGCATTTGATGTATTGTAGTCAATATGCTTAATGCCATTTTCTTTCTCAGAAAGTTGTAGAGTAGGTTTTCAAGGAGAACTTTTAAAGTCTCTATTTTAATTTTTTTGTTCTAAAAAACCTGTAAATAAAACTGAATAAATAAATAAATAAAATTATGTCTGTTTTTGCATAATATTTTTTCTATTGTTAAGATGCTCTAGACTGAATTACGTATCCTGAAATTCTATTTTGAAATTTTAGCCCCCAACAATTTGGATATAAGGCTTTTATGATGTTATAAAAGTGCCCCCCTAATCTAACAGGACTAGTGGCTTTATAAAAGGTGGAAGAAAGAGAGTTATCTTTCTTTCTCCATGATCATGTACCAGGAAGGTAGCCATTTGCAAGCCAGAAGGGGAGTTCTTGCCAGAACTCAACTATACTAGCATCCTGACCTCGGACTTCCAGCCTGCAGAACTGTGAGAAAATACATTTCTATTGTTTAAGTCACCCTTTCTATGGTATGTTTTTATGACAACCTGAATAAGATGTAAGAGATTAACAAAACATTTTTTACTCTTATCATCTGTGGTACAGAGACATGTAATTAAAAGACATTGCAATGGAATATATTGTTTAATTAGATAGCATATAACTGGAAAGTATACATTATTGGAAGGTATTACCAGAAAGCAACTTGGTACTTAATTTGTTCAAAATTCAAATATAAAATCTATTTTCCTGTTGTTGTCTGTGGAGAAGAATCATACCATACAAATGTTTCTCAGGAAAAATATATACTGTACTCTTTTTAAAAGATTATTTGTTTCTGAAGCCTACTTCTAAACTTCCCAACTCTTTGGGGTTTCTTTCTGTACTGTTTTGCAGTTGTTTTCATGATACATTATGTACCTATTTCTAAAACTATTGATAGGAGTTTCCAGAGATCAGGGAGTTGTAGGTATTAATACATTTCCCACCTCTCTTGGTGCCCAGTTCAGGACTCGTTATCTCATGGGTGCTTGGTCCATACTGCTGATGTCTGTAATAACTCAACATGAAAATTAATGTTTCATTCTCTTTTCCTGATTTTCCATGAGAAATGGCCTCAAAAGTCCTGAGCTAATTGTTTCTACGTTCTAACTTGTAATGTATTTGGAATGTTGAGTTTAGAGTAAGTCTTCCTCTGATTACCTCATGTGAACACTTAAATCTTTTTTGGGTTGTTCCAAATGAGTCTTCAAATATGAACCTTTTCAATTATTTATTAAAAATCATCTTGCTTCCCATAATATATTGATTTTTAATAAATAATTGAAAAGGTTCATATTTGAAGACTTATTTGGAACATATACATATATATTATTTTGTTCTCTTTTTGTCAGTTATATACAATTTCTGTCATTTTGGAATTTTTGCCATTTTGGAAGCTCACTGGGTATACTTACACTGGTCCTGATCATAAGTCATGTGTAATGTCAGTGAAAGCACCCACTATAATAACAAAAAAAAAGACAAGAATCCTTCTGTGGAGTATCTCTAAGCAGCATTCACTGACTTAATAGAATGCCAGAAATGCAAAATCCTTAAATTGTTAAAATAAGACTTGGCGATTTGTCTTTTCCCCATTAGGCTTAATGCATTTTGGAAGTCGATGATTAGAATGAGGAAGGGAACTCACACTGTAATAGCTAAGCCTGATGAATAAACTCACATGATCATCATTAATATCAAGCCACTGGTGACTGAGACTTCTGTACATGCATAATTATTATTCTTGGCTGGGAGAAGGTAGAGAAGGCTGTAGGAGCTACCTCCTCATTTGATTGTCACATTCCCTGAAATGCCTTAGCCTGTAAATCACACTTTCTTCTAGACAAGAACACCTTTTAAATCCACCAATCATTTTTTTTTTTACTTTAGATTTCTAGTCTGTATTTCATTAGGCATATTTCCCACACTTTTTGTAGATTTTGTGAGACTTGTTTAAAAGACTTTACTAAGGAGAAAAGTCTTATTCTGGAAGAATCATTTACTTTCCTTGTTCTATTTATAGCACACAGGATTTGACAAACAGGTACTTTTTAATTCCATCCCTAAGGTTGAATTTCCCTTTATGTTTCATGAATAAGGGAACTCAATAGAAGAAAGCAACTTACCCGTTGTAGAAATGGCATGAAAATAACAAATGGAATCACCCTCCCACATTTCCATTTACTTTTACTCTTCTAAAATAAAGTTTCTTAACACTCAATGTTGACATTGAGTTTTTCTTCTGGGAGGCTGTCCTGAGCATTGTAGGATGGTTAGAAGTATCCCTGGCCTCTACCTACTAGATTCTAGTAGCATCCCCATGCTCCCAGTGGTGACTGTCAAGAATGCTTTCAGACATTCCCCACTGCTGTTATTGCAGCATCTGTTAAAAACCACATATTTGTGCCAAATAGATTAAACTATCTTCTTCCCAGTAAACATACTCTTCCTCGAGGACATTGTCTTTCAAAGTCCAGTCTCTATTGTTACAAATAATATTTAAGTGATCATGAGAACTATTTCTGGTATTTTATTTTATTTTTTACTATGTCTGTGTGAGTGTGTGTTTTGCTTGTTTTACTTGTTTTTTTGGTTTAGTTTTATTTTGGGGTTGGCCTAGATACAGAAGAGATAAATACATATTAACAATGCAAACTCAATAAATTCTCAGTGACAAATTTCACACTATGCTTGATTATATTGTTAATATTTTCACTGAGACTAAAGGCCATTAATATGAATGGCTAGAGCATTGTTGAAGGAGACAGTGAGTTTAAAATTTTGTTTTAAACAACTGACCAGCATTCCTTCCTGACCATGGAAGATAAGCAGTAAGGGTTTTTGTGTCCTTGGCTTCACTTTTTGATAACACATTACCTCTGAACACATTAAACAAGTGCAGGAAAATGGCCTCATTAAACATGACTTGCTATTTACCAACCATAAGTGCACACACATACAAACACAAACACACACACTCACACATACACCAAGCATAGGCCTAGAGAAATAGGTCTGGTTATAAAAGTATGACAGTGATTCTTATCAATTCTCTTTGCAAATCTACACTCACATTGTTCTTACTAACATTCCCACACATTTGGCTGGTATTTATTTCTTATCAAAACGATCAAACAACCTTCTATGATTTTGGGGGTTTAGATAAGAAAATACAGCTTATATTTGTTCCATCAGGAAAAGATTTAATTGAGGAAAAGAGTGGAACACACAATCACTGATGGAAAAGGGATCCTAAAGCCAACAATGACGTCCTCAGAGTGCAACACTAAAAGGGTGATACTTAACAATTATTCTAGAAGGTGCTGCAAAACTCAGATATGTCTAGGCATTTACTCCTGACTATCTCAGCATGCAACACTAGCATAGATAACTCTTAAGATGCTTGACAAGTCATTGAATTGATTTTCACATAAATTATTTGCTCATGCGTACACACATAACAGCCTCCCTAGAATAATGGTCTCTCTCACTCTTTTATCTTCTAAATCTTGAGTGAATGCCTCTAATGGTAGAGTCTTACCAGGAAGCATATAAGAAAGGTGATCTGGGAAATTGAGACATCAACTTTTCCTATGAGATTCAGAAGAGAATTTAGAAGGAGATGTTAATGCTGAGTTTAGGACAGACTCTATAGTGAAGTTGTCCCTATTGTCAAATCATGATCCACCAATTTTAAACCTCTGAATAAGAATAAAAATCAATCTTGCTGCTCTATCTAGTATGAGAACACTATTTATTAGTCAATTAAAACATGCTCATCTCTCTAGAGAGAAAACATAGTTACTGAAATCTCTTATTCATCTCTAGGCTATGATCATTCCTTTTATAGCTGAATCCTAAATCTCATTAGGTATCCTGTGACTCAAATAGTAAATTATAGACTTTTGTAAACGGAATTCACTCTGAAACCAGGTCTCAACAATTATTTGAGAGGTGATTCCAAAAAGTCTTGGTAAATAGAGACAGGGAAGAAAGAAGAGCTGGTTGATCCTGTGTTATTAAGCTGACCATTGTGGTAGGCAACTGGAATTCAGTCCCACTGAGAATCTTCTGAACAACCACATAGCATGTGCCTCAGAATTATCCCTTTGGAGGAGAGAAAACAGAAATATTTATTCAGTGACACCTGTCCTACACTAGTTGACAGCTATTTCCAGAGAGTGTTAGTTAACTCTTAGCAAATTCCAGTAACATTGTGTGCTGGGGTGGGGATGGGGGAGAGCCCTGGAAGAAAAGTGAGAGAATGAGAGGAGCTTGAAGTGAAGCACTATTGGTGCGCACTAGGACCCCCTCTCTCAGCTGGAGATGAAGTCAGAGGTGGGCTGAGGATGCAGAGCACAGGACCCTAAAAGCCTCTGCTACTGCTGATCCCCTGTACTACTGCCCTGTCAGGCTCCACATTAATTCCATTTTCTCACTCTTCAGTGGAGCTGCCAGTAACAATCTGTAAAGCAGACTTATGGGTTAGTGAAATAGGAACCTGCTGCAGTGGATCCTGAAAATCAGTATGTATCAACAGGACAGAAAATATGTGAAAAATCAGCTTTCTACCATGTGGTTGGCTGATCACCTTGAGTAATCCTACCATCTCTCAGGCTCAATGTCAGATTCTGTTGCTGACACAGTGGGCATTCAGCAGTGGCATTCCAAATGTATGCTCCTTAAAAGATAACAGCAGACTATTGGATCCATGCCTAGCCTCTATCTTGGCCACTAAGTCTACCCTATTAGTGAACCATTTCACAAGCAGTTGTGTGAACTTATTTTAACATATTTTGAAGGGCATGTATGCTGATGATTAATAACCTTAGTTTTTGTTTGAGAAATTTTTTATGTCTTTTTCATTTCTGAAAGATAATTTCACTAGATATGGAATTTTAGGGTTTTTTTGGTTTATTTCAACAGTTTAAATATATATATATATATATATATATATATATATATTTTTTTTTTTTTTTTTTTTTTTTTTAGACAGAGTCTTACTCTGTTGCACAGGCTGGAGTGCAGTGGTACAATCTCAGCTCACTGCAGCCTCCACTTCCCAGATTCAAGTGATTCTCCTGCCCCAGCCTCCTGAGTAGCTGGGACTACATGTGCCCACCACCACACAAGGCTAATTTTTGTATTTTTTAGTAGAGATGGGGTTTCACCAAGTTGGTCAGGCTGGTCTTGAACTCCTGACCTGTGATCCACCCACCTCAGCCTCCCAGAGTACTGGGATTATAGGCGTGAACCACCGTGCCCGGCCCAATACAGCATTTTTACTGTACCTTTTCTATATTTCAATATGTTTAGATACACAAATACGTACCATTGTGTTACAATTGCTTACAGTGTTCCATACAGTAACAAACTACATCGGTTTGTAATGTAGAAATCATAGTGTATGACATATAGCCTAGGTGTGTAATAGGCTATGTCATCGAGATTTGTGTAAGTATACTCTTTGATGTTTGCACAATGATGAAATCACCTAACCATGCGTTTATCAGAACTCATCCCTGACCCTAAGTGACGCATGACTGTATTATGAAGAACAAAATTAAATTTGAATTTTCAAAATTAGTTGGAAAGATCAGGGATGATATATTGAAAAGTATTGAAAATTAAATTTACAGCTCAGAATTTTAATGCCTTGTTAATATTTTTGAAGGTCTGCTTCAAAAAATCAAAAAATATTTCAAAAAAATTATATATTCATAAGATTAATATGTTTCTATAACTGCAGGACAGCATTCTTGTTTCTTTATTAAAGGAAAATTATTTTAAATTATTACTAACATGGACACATTCTATGTAAGTTGAATGTACAGTAATTTTATACAGTTAAATGTATTTTGCTATCCAGATAGATAATTTCATAACTTGGTATTTTATTTCCTATATTGTATAGATTAATTATATAGTATACATAATTTTTTTTGCTTTAACCCTGCAATAATTGAGCAACTCATAATAAAAGAAATTGTGAATTATTTGATGTAGAATTTTACAAGAAATATCTAAAAACGTTGGGTATTAATGTTATTAATTATAAACTGATAAATTATGTTTTATATATAGATATTAGAGATAACAAATTACAACTTTTAGACACTCTAAATAATACTGGGGAAAATATACCATTAAAGTAAGAAAATACTGAATTTCATTCCAATTAGGATCATGTACTACCTTTTGGCATTTTCCACTGTACCCTAATGTCAAGAGACCTAATATTTCAAGGATGTATTCAACAAATATACTGATGCTATAATATTATTTAGCAGAGATTTCTTAGATTGCTATGTGGATTAGAAAATTTAATGTATATTTTAAAACACCTGTGTGTCACATGTAAGAAGACCTCCATTTATTTTAGCTCATAGAGATAACTATATACATTATATATGCATTATAGATCACACATATGCCATACACACATGCACACACACATACACACACACTCTAACAAAGCCTAAAACATGTAGCAAAATTTATAAATATGTTGGACTAAAATGTCTATATGTCATTGCAATTAAGGAATTGAGACAGTCTTCTACTTTTTCTTAGGAAAAAGAAAAGATATTTATTAGGAATTATGCATATCATGATTTTGTTGATTATTAGTCAGGATAAATGAAGGGATTAAACAAATTCATTTTATTTTCATGTTTTGCAGAATGTTTATGTTGGTGAATTAGTGGATGAAATAGACCTCTATTCAGCAAATAATCTTATGTATCTTCTATTTTTAAAAATTATTTATCATTTTTGTTGATACATAATTGTGCATATTTATGGGGAACATACAATATTTTGATGCATACATATGATGTGTAATGATCAAATCAGACTGTTTGGAATATCCATTACCTCAAACATTTATCATTTTTTTTGCGTTGAGAACAGCTAGATTCTTCTAGCTATTTTGAAAAATACAATAAATAATTGTTAACTATGGTCACGCTACTGTGCTATCAGACACTAGAACTTATTCTATCTGTTTAACTGCATGTTTGTGCCCATTATCCAAACTTTTTTATCCTGCCCCCCACCCTCTTTCCCCCACTGTGGTAACTATCATTCTACCTTTTACCTCTGAGATCAACGTTTATAGCTCTCAATATGAGTCAGAACATGTAATGTTTGTCTTTTCTGTGCCTGCCTTTTTTCACTTAACACAATCACCTTCAGTTCCATTCAGGTTGCTGCACATGACAGGATTTCATTCATTTTTATGGCCAAATCATATTCCATTGTATTTATACACAACATTTTCTTTATCCATTCATCCACTGGTGGACACTTAGGTTGATTCCATCTTGGGTTTTGTGAATAGTGCTGCAATAAACGTAGGGGTGCAGGCATCCCTTTGATGTACCGATATTCCTTCCTTTAAATAAATACCCACTACTGGGATTGCTGGATCATATGGTAGGTCCATTTTTAGTCTTCTGAGAATCTTCCATACTGTTTTTAATAATGTGTGGAGGAAATTCTTAAATAAAGAAACCTCAAGCTGGGCATGATGTTGCATGCCTGTAATTCCAGGTACTGTGGCCAGAGGATCTCTTGAAGAGCCCAGGAGTTTGAGTCCAACCTGGCAATATAGTGAGTTTCTGTTTTTTTTTTTTTTTGTATTTGGATTTTTTAAATTTTTTTTTGTTATACTTTAAGTTCTAGGGTACATGTGCACAACGTGCAGGTTTGTTACATATGTATACATGTGCCATGTTGGTGTGCTGCACCCATTAACTCGTCATTTACATTAGGTGTATCTCCTAATGCTATCCCTCCCCTCCCCCGCACAACAGGCCCCGGTGAGTGATGTTCCCCTTCCTATGTCCAGGTGTTCTCATTGTTCAATTCCGACCTATGAGTGACAACATGCGGTGTTTGGTTTTTTGTCCTTGCAATAGTTTGCTGAGAATGATGGTTTCCAGCTTCAACCATGTCCCTACAAAGGACATGAGCTCATCCTTTTTTATGGCTGCATAGTATTCCATGGTGTATATGTGCCACATTTTCTTAATCCAGTCTATCATTGATGAACATTTGGGTTGGTTCCAAGTCTTTGCTATTGTGAATAGTGCCGCAATAAACATATGTGTGCATGTGTCTTTATAGCAGCATGATTTATAATCCTTGGATATATACCCAGTAATGGGATGGCTGGGTCAAATGGTATTTCTAGTTCTAGATCCTTAAGGAATCGCCACACTGTCTTCCACAATGGTTGAACTAGTTTACAGTCCTACCAACAGTGTAAAAGTGTTCCTATTTCTCCATATCCTCTCCAGCACCTGTTGTTTCCTGACTTTTTAATGATCTCCATTCTAATTGGTGTGAGATGGTATTTCATTGTGGTTTTGATTTGCATTTCTCTGATGGCCAGTGATGATGAGCTTCTTCATGTGTCTTTTGGCTGCATAAATGTCTTCTTTTGAAGTGTCTGTTCGTATCCTTCGCCCGCTTTTTGATGGGGTTGTTTGTTTTTTTCTTGTAAATTTGTTTAAGTTCATTGTAGATTCTGGATATTAGCCCTTTGTCAGATGAGTAGATTACAAAAATTTTCTCCCATTCTGTAGGTTGCCTGTTCACTCTGATGGTAGTTTCTTTTGCTGTGCAGAAGTTCTTTAGTTTAATTAGATCCCATTTGTCAATGTTGGCTTTTGTTGCCATTGCTTTTGGTGTTTTAGACATGAAGTCCTTGCCCATGCCTATGTCCTGAATGGTATTGCCTAGGTTTTCTTCTAGGGTTTTTATGGTTTTGGGTCTAACATTTAAGTCTTTAATCCATCTTGAATTAATTTTTCTTTCTATTTCTAAAAAAAAATTTAAAAATCTTATTCAAAATTTCAGGAGTTGACTTCAATTCCAGAAGTTTGGATAGCTTTAAGACTGACATATTAACAAGATTATTGCCCCCCTAGTGGTTCCAAATTTGCCTGGGAGTAGTTTGATAGTGATGCACCATTTCAGAAAGGATGAGGGAAGTGTATTAGAAAGGAGATTTCTAGTGGTGAGTTTGGATTTTTTCTCACATGCAAAACAATGAAACTTTAGTAAAATTTGTAAAAGCAAAAAATAGAAAGACTCTGACTTTTTTCAGTGATGTGCCTCTACCTAATTAGCTCAATTGCATCATTTTTTATTCCCCAGGAAATAATTGTTCTGGACATTTCCTCTCCAACCACTCTAAGATCTTTCATTTCACTATGTAATTCTTGTTTCAATAACATATATTAATATGTTAATAATATTTCTGCAATTTTTAATCTCTTATGATAATGTCATAGATCAAAACAGCTCATGCAATATTACTTGTTACTGATTGCCTTGGGTATTTTAATAGTGTCTTAACACTTGAAATAAAACAAAAATTAGGATATCTTTAATCACATGCCCACTCCTTTTCTCTTTTCATCTCCATGCCTCTCTTTTCTCATCTTATTATTATATTCTTATCCAGTCAGTACAACTTCAGATCTTGTGCTGCTCATCACCACATCCACTCAGAAATACAAAGTATTGATATGTTCTCATTAAAGTCTCAGTCCTGTTTAACTCATCAGTGTAAGCATATAGTTGTGTCTCGGACTGGTTGTCACACCACACACTGTGTTATAAACAGGCACAGAAGGTGCTCAGTCTTTGCCCATTAACCTTGGGAATGGCTATTTGTTGCATCCAAGAAGGCTCTATGTATGTCTACACTTTGTTTGATAGGGTGATTGTAAGAGGATTACAAGTTACATAAGCAGGCAGAATAATCTCCTAATTAGAGATAGGGCTAGAAATCAATTCCTCTTTGTACAACATAATGACAATGCCTTTTAAACATTTAAAGGTTCTTTCTGAGCAGTAGATCTTGTCACTATTGCTCATTAACTTCTCAGCCAATGTTATGTGGGTCATGGTAGCTTTGTGTACATTGCAAATATTACAAGTCAGTCACATTTAAATTTACTGTCTATTTTAAGATTTGAAAATGTTGCTTGATTCTAGTCAAAGAAAGCAATACATAACATTTGCAACAAAAGAGCTTATGGAAAAAAAGACATCATTAACCTGTGAGATCTATGTTAGTCAGAGTTTCATCTCTATTTACATACAGATGCAGTGTACACACATACACACAGATACTCTTCCTCTGTTTATTAAAACTTTCATGTAATAGTGGCTGGCACAATAACATAAAATTATTCCTATGAAATAACATACTTTTATTTATTTTTCCTGATTTTTAAAAATGAACAAAACAAGTTGTTAGTCCATTTCTATAGAATTAGCTTCCCAAATGAAGAATTCATTCAAAATTGTTTGAAGGACTTGAATAATTATTGATTCACTGAACACAATGACATATAATATCTATGCACAAATGCAAGTTTCACACATAGGCAATGGGAAAACCATTAGTTTTAAAAATGTTTCTGTATTTTCTCCACAGAGCTAGAGATTGTATTACTTTCATTCATTCTTCATTTTCTTTCAAATAAACATTATACCATGTGGTTAGCTGGAAATGTACTTAAAATGTCTATAAAGCCTGAGACAAATTTCATTTCAGAAATAAAAGCATATATGGAGGAAATAGGATGGGATTATTTGGGAAGTAACTCATTGAATCACTAATTAACTCTACATAGAAACACTGATGTTAGAAAAAGGAAGAAGGAAAGAAAGAAATATGTTCGTGAGATCTATTGTAGAGTTTCCTTTGTAATTAAAGAATCAATTAACAAATATAAAATACAATATCTTTGAACTTATTAATAATTAACTTTCTGGCCCACAGATTTAATAGTTAAGTTTTTCTAATAATGGCAGGTGGAAGATAAATGAATAACAATCTTAGTTCTTTGCTGGAGTTCAATACAATAGTCAGATATACCACACATGTATAAGTATAATCACATGCATATTTGCAAGTTTACCCAATAATATACAATTATATATGTTTGACTCTATGTGTCAGTATTTATATAACTTCTAGCACCATAGAACTGTGCATTTTCATAAAGATACAGTTTTCTTCTGGAAACAAATCCTAGTATTTTAATTTTGGCTATCATATTAAAAATTAAACAATACAGAGGCAATAATTCTCAAGATGTTTTAGTTCCTGTATAAGCGATCATCTTCACTTTATATGTTTGGGATAGCAAAGATAAAATTTTCATGAATGCTATATATCTTACACTTCTTTCTTCTTTATACTTGCTCTGCAAAAAGGCAAACTTTTCTATAAAGGCACCAGATATTCTATAAATGTGACAGATATTTGAATTACTAAATAAATTGCATACCCAATAAAATTAGTCTATATATACACCCTCAATAACTATGAAACAAAATTTGAAATAGACCTTCTTTTACCCTGATTTAATTTATTTATTCGTTTAATTTTTGGTCTTCCAGAATATTGGGTACATTCTTAAAACAGGTGGAATGGGGAATGGAGACAAGTATCAGGAGGGCGGATCACAAAGTCAGAAGTTCAAGACCAGCCTGGCCAATATGGTGAAATCTCCATCTCTACTAAAAATACACACACACACACACAAAATTAGCTGGGTGTGGTGGCGGGTGCCTGTAATCCCAGCTACTTGGGAGGCTGAGGCAGGAGAATTGCTTGAACCTGGGAGGCGGAGGTTGCACTGAGCCAAGATCACGCCACTGCACTCCAGTCTGGGCGACACAGTGAGCCTCCGTCTCAGAAAGAAAGGGTTAATGTCTTATTAAGAAATAACTGCATGACTTTCTCATTTTAGCCTTTGTAAAAAGAAAGCTGAACATTCATTAGAATGAAGGACTGTAAAGAATGCTGTCAGTTTTAGCCCTCAAGACATATTTTGAAGGTATTTGTAAGAAAATGGGAAAAGCATCTCTCTCCTTCTTTATCTGAATACTGCTGAGTTAAACATCATGTGGGTTGTATGTACTGTTACAAGAACCTAGACACTTGGTAGGGCACTGAAGAGCTTTGGGAAACCCTCACAAGTCCTCAGGAATTTGGGAAGAATAGAGACTTCTGTCTGCTTTTCACCTGCTTCTCAAAAACGTACACAGCAGGAGATCCTAATTTTGATTATGTTCCCTGATGAAGCTGTGCTCAGAGAGCACAAAACCAGTGAAGTGATGTTTTTACTTTCTTCTCCTGCCTTCTCTCTCCTCCTCTGAGCCTGAAGTGTCCATAGCCAGCAGGATCGAAAGGTGACGGGGTGGAAGATGAGTAATGAGAACATCTCATTGCCCAACTCCCCGTCCAAATTGTGCACCAGGCCTGACCTGCAGGATGGGAGAACTTAGAATCGAGTGCAAATTAGTTTTGGTTTAGATTGGATTGGTCTTTCATACTGAACATGAAGCCAAACCTAAGCTAAAAGGTTACAGAAAACTATTTATTATGTAAGATATGTACACCAAGGATGGAAAATGGAATTCTGACAAAACATTTGTAAAGACCATGGTGGGATAAAAATGGTAAAAAGCATAATTATCAGATTGTTTATTAGTGATCCCCACACATTAAGTAAATTGCCTCTGCCTAAAAGTAGTTAGGTTTCAGGAAAACTCTTCTACTCAGAATACAGAGAGGCAAGAGCAGAGACTCAACGCTGTTCGTGTGAAGAATATGGGACTTTTCCCCAACAGCAATCATTTACCTATCACTTTTTTCTCGTTGCCAAAAATCTAATAATTGAATATTGTTTGGGGAAAGTATTTCATAGAAAATCTTCATGAAGACACAAATGTAGATGTGTACACTACTATTACTATGTAGTCCTAAATTATTAACTATGACAGGTGCCTTAAAATTACTAGCTTTCTCCAAAAAAATACTTTACACTGTCAAGGAAGGTTTTTGAATAACAAGTTCTATAAATCTGAAAACCAAAGACAATTATCATTACATCACGGAATGCCAGATGTAATAGGCTAATCAGAAGAAGGCTGATCCTCCTAAGAAATTTCCAGTTCCTCCCAATTAAGCCACACACCTAGATGAACATATGTGATGTAGAGTGGCTGAAGGAGGGGAGATTTTTAGAAAAGAAAAAACTGGGCAACAATATTTAAGGTTAATAAAGATTTGATTATATTCTATTATATTTTATATTTGTAGTGACTCATATGAGCATAAAAACACATATAAAAAATTGATTGACTTGGCCGGGCACGGTAGCTCACACCTGTAATCTGAGCACTTTGGGAGGCCGAGGCAGGCTCAGATCATGAGGTCAAGAGATCGAAACCATCTTGGCTAACATGTTGAAACCCCGTCTCTACTAAAAATACAAAAAAAAAATTAACTGGGCATGGTGGCAGGCGCCTGTGGTCCCAGCTACTCAGGAGACTGAGGCAGGAGAATGGCATGGACCCAGGAGGCGGAGCTTGCAGTGAGCCGAGTTCGTGCCACTGCATTCCAGCCTGGGTGACAGAGCAAGACTCCGTCTCAGAAAAAAAAAAAATTGATTGACTTAATAGACACATACAATTCAAATGCCTATGAAATAAGAGAAAGGAATTTCCTTAATCTATTGAACATTAAAACAAATGAACCAAAAGCATAAAAACATCATACTCAGTGGTATGGTGCCAATTGCTATGAATTCAGTTCCACCCTGAACTAAATAGCAACCAGTACATAATTATCAGAAAATTTAAAATGACACATAATTTGCAGAAAAGACAAAAAGGTTGCCAACATTTTAAGATAATATACCAAAATATCTATATTTTTATTCATTTATTAAAGTAAAAAAGTTTGTCAATGTGCAGAAATCAAAGGCACATTATAGATTAGCAATGTAGCTATGTACTTTTAAGAATATTCCATTTAAACTATCATCAAAGTATGACATCTATAGGAATAAATACAACTAAAGTTGTCTAAAATCTTAACGGTAAAAATTTTAAGACTTCGAAGAAATTTATAAGATATATTTTTAATAACAATGATACCTATAAATTTAATTTAATGTTCAGAATACGTAAGAATTACAATGAGCCACTAAGAAAAAACATTTGCAAAAAAAGAGCAAAATATATCAACTAGAATTTCATTCGTGAAGAAGCATGTTATTATGTAGAAGAATACAAATTAAATTGCAGAGATACAATTTTATAATCATCACCAAAAGGATGGAGAAGTAGAAGAGAAGGAGGAAGAGGAAGAGGAAGAGGAGGGCAGGAAGATGAGGAAGAGAAGGAAGAGAAGGTAGAAAATAAAAGAAAAAAAGGATATTACCAGTATTTGTTATCATGAAGAAGTATTACTCAGTAGAACCACTTATAACTGGTTGGCATCACCTATTAAAGTATAACATGACTGAGTGCATCCTACAACCGAGAAAATGTCTTGCTAAGTATATATTCTAGAGAAACTCATCTTCATTTATAAAGAAGGGTTTTTTTAATTAAAAATATTCAAGTTTCAACCTTGCATCAGAAACTGATCAAGATATTAAAAATGCAACAGTGAGCAAAATGCAGTTCTCTGGTTTCTTGGAGTTTTAATTCCATTGGGAGAAATAAATATTAACATACCTATATAAAATACTTCAGACCAGGCACAGTGGTTCATGCCTGTAATCCCAGCACTTCGGGAGGCCGAGGCGGGCAGATCACGAGGTCAGGAGTTTGAGACCAGCCTGACCAACATGGTGAAACCTCGTCTCTACTAAAAATACAAAAATTAGCTGTGCGTGGTGGTGGGTGCCTGTAATCCCAGCTACTCGAGAGGCCGAGGCAGGAGAATCGCTTAAACCCGGAGATGGAGGTTGCAGTGAGCGAAGATCGTGCCACTGCACTCCAGCCTGGGTGACAGAGCCAGACTCTGTTTCAAACAAACAACCCAAAAAACCCACAAAATACTTCAGATGTTGATAAGAAAAGGAAAACAGTCAGGGCAGGCAATAAGTAGTGGAAATTGACCTGAGACATTTTCCCCAGAAATGACAATTTGGGAAAAAGGTTTAAATGAGGTAAAGGAGACAGCTCTGCATATTTGAGGATGAGGATTTCAGGCATAGGAAACAGCATGTGCAAAGAACAGGCGACATGAATGCCTGAAAATTTTGAGGAACAGCATGTCCGGAATTTTGACAGTAGCTGGTTTTTCTGAAAGAAAAATATGAAAACATCTCTCATTTACATTACTAGTGAAATGAATAAATTATGCTACATTTGTGAAAAATAATATTCTTTTTTTTTAATCATACTTTAAGTTTTAGGGTACATGTGCACAATGTGCAGGTTTGTTACATATGTATACATGTGCCATGTTGGTGTGCTGCACCCATTAACTCATCATTTAATATTAGGTATATCTCCTAATGCTGTCCCTCCCCCCTCCCCCCACCCCACAACAGGCCCCGGTGTGTGATGTTCCCCTTCCTGTGTCCATGGGTTCTCATTGTTCAATTCCCACCTATCAGTGAGAACATACAGTGTTCAGGTTTTGTCCTTGCGATAGTTTGCTGAGAATGATGGTTTCCAGCTTCATCCATGTCCCTACAAAGGACATCAACTCATCATTTTTTATGGCTGCATAGTATTCCATGGTGTATATGTGCCACATTTTCTTAATCCAGTCTATCATTGTTGGACATTTGGCTAGGTTCCAAGTCTTTGCTATCGTGAGTAGTGCTGCAATAAACATATGTGTGCATGTGTCTTTATAGCAGCATGATTTATAATCCTTTGGGTATATACCCAGTAATGGGATGGCTGGGTCAAATGGTATTTCTAGTTCTAGATCCCTGAGGAATTGCCACACTGTCTTCCACAATGGTTGAACTAGTTTACAGTCCACCAACAGTGTAAAAGTATTCCTATTTCTCCACATCCTCTCCAGCACCTGTTGTTTCCTGACTTTTTAATGATTGCCATTCTAACTGGTGTGAGATGGTATCTCATTGTGGTTTTGATTTGCATGATCAGGAATGTAATGTTCTGATTCCATTTTTTAAATCTGACAGCTGACAGCTTTTAATTCCCACTCTTTTCTCTTCTCTGCTTTCTATAACTATGAAAACAAATAAGAAAACCTGATTACTTTCTTCTTTGGTGCCAATTAGAATCTCTGTCCTATGCAGACACCAGATCAGCCATGGGAACCCTCACTGTGCTCTCATACTCCAACCACAACAACAGACAATGCCAATTCTTGTCTTTCAACCCAGTTTTAGACCTTGCTCTTTCGACCCAGTTTTAGACCTGCTTGTTAGCTCTCTTGCTCTTCTAGAAAGCCTTATTATTTGAGCGTAAACATTTACATACCCTGTTGGCATATGTGTGGCACCTCAGCAACTGCGGTGGATTTTATATGGGGAATCCCATCTTGCCTCCATATAGAGACCACAAGACAACTGCCACAAAGCAGTGTGTGCAGGTGATGATGATCAGTACTGATAGGGTGTTTGTCTTATCTTGCTTTGGCTTCCTAAATGGTGTGTAACCTTCTGTCTGCATACTTTTTTTTTTTCTCTTTTAAGTTGGAGTCTCGCTCTCTCACCCATGCTGGAGTGCAATGGTGCAATCTTGGCTCACTGCAACCATCGCCTCCCGGGTTCAAGCGATTCTCATGTCTCAGCCTCCTGAGTAGCTGGGACTACAGCCATGTGCCAACACTCCCGGCTAATCTTTGTATTTTTAGTAGAGATGGGGTTTCACCATGTTGGCCAGGCTGGTGTTGAACTCCTAGCCTCAGGTGATCTGCCCACCTTGGCCACCCAAAGTGCTGGGATTACAGGCGTGAGCCACCGTGCCTGTCTCCTGCATAATCTTTGAGTTGTGTTGCTGCCTACAGGCAAAGTTGCACTTTGAGTTGAGCTTCTTTGTGCTGCATTTGCTGAGTTCTGCCATGCTTCTGTTATAGACTTAACTGACCAATATCAGAAGTATCCTTACTGGCATCTGAAGAAAGGATTAAGAAATTGGGACCTTCCTTAAAGGGGCCTTGGCTCCTGCATCATAACCTGCATTTATCTGTATTTCAGATTAAGGCATGTGTCTTGATTCTGTCTAGTTTTTTCAGCCTTCTATAAAAAATACCAAAAACTGAGAAGGTTATAAACAAAAGAAATTTCCTTCTCATAGTTCTGAAGTCTGGGAAGTTCATGAACAAGTTGCTGGCAGATTCAATGCCTGGTGAGGGCCTGCTTTCTCGTTCACTGATGGTCATCTTCACCTTGCGTTCTCACATGATGGACAGGGCTAGCTAGCTCTCTGGGGCCTCTTTTATGTGGGCACTACTACCATTCATGAGAGCACTGCCCTCACAATCTAATCATCTCTCAAATGCCATCATCTCCTAATGTTATCACCTTGGGAATTAATATTTTAGCAGATGAATTTTGGGAGAACACATATATTCAGACAATAACATCACTATATGTAGTAAGCTTAGGATAAAGATTTGCCCGGGGACTGTCGGTTTTATGTCTTAATCAGGCTATGATTTCCATCCTATAGAGCACTTCTGGGAAAGACTGATGCCGTGTGCAATATATGGGTTCACCAGGTGGCCACTCCTGTGGAGAAAGAATAGTCACTATTTGGTATATTGGGCCCACATTCATAAAAGCAAAGGGCTCACTAGTACCTCACAAATGCCTTTGCTGCTGTTGTTGCCTGTGTCCCTTCATTAAAGAAGGTAGTGATTCTTGGAGCTACAGGAAAAAAGTCCAAGACACCTCCCTGGCACAGGCAAGGTATTAATTTTAAACTGTGTTAAGCCCAAGTCCTTAATCTCAATAAAGCTACCATCACCACGGAAGAGGCCTCTAACTAACTCCTGTGAGGCTTATTTGAAATTCTAGGCAAAAGGTAGTGTATAAATATAAGAAAGGTAGAGGAAACTCAGTCAAACCCCTATTGCATATCCAGTAACCATCAAAAAACAAAAACAATGAAAAACTTGAATAAAGAAGACAAACAAATAAAAACTAAATCAGACATCTGCAATTTGACACAATTAGAAATCCAGAATTTACTAAAATAATTTATGTAAGAAGAAAAATAAAAGGACTTTGATGATTTTTGTACTGCTACAAGAAAGGAAACTTGATTAACTTTAGCAGATGCTAAAATGTACCAATCAGAAAAATTTAATGACCTTTATCAACACTAGGTCTCAAATTACAGTTACATCTGGGAATCGAAATAATTTTAAACAAGATATCCTGTTTAATCTAGGGGGAATTACCAATGAAAACAGAAGAAAACAAGTACACCTCACCAGAGCTACTGCACTGCCCAAGTTCCCCATAGTCATAGCGCCCATTGCCCTAAAATATTCCATCAAAGACAGAAACTCTTACCATACAAGCCAAAACTTAAATATTCATAAACAGTAACTAAATAAAATTAGTTAGTAATGAAATTAAGTTAAATTAAATTGCATTTAAATCTCTAGTCCTTAAAATGCTATTGACATAATGAGACTTATTCCGTCCCCACCAGTTAAAATAGTTAATACCGCTTAGTATAAATAAAAACATGACCTTTAAGAATAGAACTCGGCCTCTCTAGCATATCCCATATGCAAGAAATGTTGGCCTCCTCCTCTCCCCATTCCTTTGCCAGATGCCATGGTGCTGGATGAAGTTATCCCTCTCCCAGACCCCTTGGCTACCTGGGCAGCTCCTTGTGATCAACTGAGTAAATAGCACAGAGCATTTCTAAATTGTATAGATGGCAGCACCACGTTACATATGATGAAGTCCCCAGGAGCGTTCTTGCCATCTACCTTTCAATCATGATATCACAGATCAAAGACACACAAAAAGTCAGCACAAATGGCCTGGCTTTGGGCATTCATTCCTAGCACTGGATGCCCTGGCCAACAACAGCCCCATCTGCACATTTTTACAGATTATTGAGCTATTGCCACTATTCTGGTCATCTGATCCAGCATATGGCCAAAGCAACAATTCTTTATCCAAGGTTTCTCTATTTGTGGTAAAGAACATATGGGGTAAACAATATAAACCACAGTTCTCTATGTCTCTGTACATAGTAAAGCCACAATACAAGTTCTTATCAAGGCATTTATACCCTTTGGATTTCAAGATAGCTTTCATAGTGGCCAAGGTACATCTCACTTCTCAAAAATGCGCAGTGCTGGGATCCTGGACAAAGCATTCAGTGAAACTAAACTTTCTTACTGGCCTAGGCTACAGCTCTCATAGAATGTCAGGCATATAGCTTACAAAGACAAATTTTAATGTTTCAAGTCCCACTCCTCCTTCTTCGCCTGTATCTAAGCAAGACAAAAATAGAGCCCAGCTGCTTCCTCCTTTGGTACCAGCAAGAAGTTTAAATAATGCAAGTCACTGGCCCAAACAGGAACTCTCACCCTGGCCCCACCTCTAATCATAATACTAATAATTAAAGCCAGTTTCTACTCTTTTCTCTCTCAAGTCATTTTCAGACCTTCAGGGAAGCCTCACTTGCTCTTTCCCAAAAAACTCATTTTAAGTGTAGTAAAACTTTCCATGCTATTTTGGGGAATGTGTATATATATAAATTATGAATTAATGCAATTAAAATTAATATAAATTCAAAAAAGTGGTCACATGGGCAGTGAGGACTGCATATTATCAGAAAATGGCATGCAGAAGATATTGAGAACGTTGGAAATGTTGTATTTCTTAATCCATGGTGCTCACATTTGTAACCATCATTTTTTCCTTTAAGCTTTCTCATAGGTTTTAACATTTATATTCAATTGCAGAATACCAAATAGAGTAATATAATCAATAGTGTAGTTATTGAAAAATAGAAATGAAAAACTGAGTTTGAAGCAAAGGCAGGTATCAAACATTTGAAAAAAAGTTTTAAATATTTAAACCGGTAGCGATTTTTCATAAAAATTAAGTCTCTACCGTAATAAAAATAATAACTAATGGAAAATTGTTATCATGTGATCTAAAATTATTTCTCATCTTATTTTTATCTTATGGCAATATTAACTTAGGCACTGAAAAATTCAAAAACTAAAGCAAACCAAAATATGTTCATGTACTTGGGAGAACAATTTAAATCAAATACTAGTGGCCTGTTTTTTTATTGTAATCAATTCAGATGATAATTTTTATATACTTCAAATTTATGGTTAAATGTCACTAACATATTATGGATTTAATATCTTTAAAAATTCGTTTTAAAGTCAGAGGTCATAGGTAATATTCCTGTTGTTAAATAATATCTATGACCCTCAGTTTTCCCACAGATAAAAGAAGGATAATAGAACTGTTGAAAGAGGGTTGCTATAAGGAATAAAAGAGGTAATAAAACTGAAAATGACATTCGCAGGGTCTAACTTACATAAGATACTCAATAATTTTTGGCATAATTTAAGAATCCTCTGAGAATAAGAAAATATTTCACTTCTCAATGAAACATTAGAAGAATGGCTTTTGTCTCTTGAACACCGACATAAAATCATACTGCTAATTAATTGGCCATCGAGACTAATCAGAAGGAACAGTATGATAAGTTTGGTCAGTGAATGCTCAGGAAGCAATCACATCAGAATGATAAATGCATCTATAGTTCTCGGGAACATAAATTTATTTTCAGGAGTGGCTCAGTGACAAAGGATTGACTCCTAGTTCTGATAAAATTGTTAACTCAAGTTACCATACTATTTTTATTTAAGAAATACTGATTTCAGCCCTCTTGATACACTGATTTTTCCAATGTCATTGCTGATTCATGTTTAATTATACTACCCCTCCCTTTTTTTTTTTTTGGACCTTTCCATATCCATTTATATGATTTGCCTGATTTCTATAAAACAGATCAGGATATGAAGAAGAAAACAATAAAAAAATCATGTCTAGCAAGAACAGAGGTCACCTCCAATGGAGACACTTCAGGAATTGCTCGGGAAAGAACATCAAGTGGTCAAACAGGAGGATATATGTGGTTCAAGCTACAGAAACAGCAACAGGCTGAGCAGCCAACATAAGGTAAGAACTGATTCCAGGATGGGTGACTCTGCTATGTGTTGCCTGATCCGGATACATTTTAAATTGAACTCCATCATTTTTTGAGGCCCTCTGGGAAACGTATCCATTGAAAACAGTCGACACCAGGGTCTACTTGAATGGGGCTGGGGGAGGTGGGATGAGGGAGAGGAGCAGAAAAGACAACTACTGGGTACTGGGCTTAATAACTGGGTGATGAAATAATATGTACAACAAATCTCATGACACATATTTTCCCATTTAACAAACCTGCACATGCACCTCCAAACCAAAAATAAAAATAAAAATAAATGAATAACAACACCACAAAGACCAGCAGGATTCCAGCCTGATACTGTAATGTATTTTGGATTCTTAACTCGATCCTAAAATAGGAAATTTGTGCATTGCTAGTGACAGAAAGAATATTATTTGCAAGATTTATTGGCAACTTTGCATTTATTCTCGAAGGCAGTGGTTCCCAACCTTTTTGGCACCAGGGACCAGTTTCATGGAAGACAATTTTTCACAGATGGGGGAAGGTGGGAGGATGGTTTTGGTATTATTCAAGCTATTACATTTATCATTAAATTCTCATAAGGACAACACAGCCTAGATCCCTCCCATGCACAGTTCACAGTGGGGTTGGCATTCCTATGAGAACCTAATGCTACGGCTGATCTGACAGGAGGCAGAGCTCAGGTGGCCATGCTTGCTTGCCCCTGGCTCACTTTCTGTTGTGCAGCCAGTGCCTCAAATGCCATGGGCCAGTATAAACACAGAAGATGGGAACACCTGCTCTAAGGCCTAACTTAGAATATTTTTTGTAATTTCTATCCCTCTAGTATAGCCACAATTCCCAAATGGGCTTTCAAAAGCGTGTAAAAAAATATTATTTGGAAGTTTTAATGGGGAAAAATAACTGAATACAGATGAATCTGCAAAAGAAAAACTATGAATGTTATGGAACCTCCTTTATTAAATCTATCTATCTATCTATGTATCTATCTATCAACTGTCTATCATCTGTCTATTTATCATCTATCTATCTCAGCTGTCTTTCACTTGGATGATGCTAATTATTGTTTATTTAGCTATTTTCCAGTTCTACTTGTGAAAAGAAATAGGAAGAGACAATACTAATCTAGAATAGTCTATGAAAGTTAACTTTAGATGAAAGTACACTTACAATAAATGCTTTAAGTCAAAAGGAACTAATAAATTGCCCATCTTTAAAAAGTGTCTAATATCACGGGACAATTCCATGAAAATTTCTCTGAAAATTTGTTAAGATCTTTACATTTGTTTCAGTGCAATGCCCAGTGTTATGAGAGAGATTACTAATAAACTAGATATAAAGAGGGAAACAGCCTAATGCCTCTAAAAATGATAGTGCTACTATACATACATTTTAATGTCTTCTTTTTGTGTACGAAATGAGTATTTGTTTTAGTGAGAAATAAAGTTATTAAATGCTGGAACTGGCCTCTGGAAAATTTGGCTGCTGAAGTCTCTTATTGTTCATTTTCATCTAATCAGCGATTTTGAATTATTTTATCTATGAGTAGGATGATTAACTCACATATTTCGATGAAGTTATATAATGCAATGCATTTATATATGATATTGATTTAAATAGCTATAATTGATAATTGCAAAATAAACATTGGTGATAACTTCAGGTCTTGCTTTATATCAAAATATATAGTTTATTAGGTACATAGTATTTGTCTGAATCAAAATATAATTAATCGTACATAATTGAAAACTTTAAACTCTTTTTTCTAAAGGATATAACTTAACCAAAAATTCAGATTTTGAATGATGTTATTGGACAATACAAAAATTAAGGTTTCTGTAACTCATGAGTAGCAAAATTAGTGACTCTGGGCATGTCTAATTCTAGCAAATATCTTCTCTCTACACAATAAAGAACGATTAAAGCAACAAGAGAAAAGAAATGTACCAAAATGGTTCTAAAATTACTGATTATAATTAAATCAACTCTGTCATCATTTTCTGTGACAAAAAGCTTGAAGTTACGCACATTGCCTCACTTAGCATAGTGTTTCCATTCGTATTCAGATTTATGTATGCTTAAGCATGATATCTGTGTTAGGTAATAACATATGGTTATTTAGCCATGCCATGCAAATTACAAATGAATGCATATTTTAAATAAAGATTGGTGTTAGCTGCAATGCCTTAGCAAATTAATGTTTTCTCTTTAGTAATTAAATACACAAAGCATGTTTCTTTTAGCCTCCAGGTTTTCTTATTATTGGCCATTTTATGACATTTTCAAAGTAGTCTACCAAATAGAAAAGATCCGTGCTGCCCTTTATAAAACAATACAGAGAAATGTTTATACTTTCAAGCCTGAAAAAGTGACTTGAAATTAATAACTTTTTTTCTAAAAGAAGTCAATAGATTATAAGTCATGGAAGTTAATATAATTTATTTTTGGAATTTGTTGTCAGTGAGACTACTAATGCACTACTCTGCCATCTCCCTAACCCTCCCCAATCAATAATACTTTTTAAAAGATATGTGGTTTAATATCCATATGCTTAAAATATATGCTTTAAATACAAATTTCTTAAGGAATTGGAGCTTTGTGTGACACTGATGCAAGATGTTATCTTTGCTTCAAAGAGTCAGACTTTATGGCAGTTCCCTGTAGTGTGCACAATTTGTGAGTGTGTGTGTGTGTGCGTGCGTGTGTGCGTGTGTGTGTGTTAAGAACACTTAATATGAGATCTACCCTCTTAGCAAATTTTCTAGGGACATAATACAATATTGTTAACTATAGCATAGTGTGATACAGCAGTTCTCTAGAATATACTAATCTCGCATAACTAAAACTTTGTACCTGTTGATTAATAACTTCCCATTTTCCCTTCTTCCAGCTCCTGGCAAACACTATTCTGTTTCTGTTTCTAGGAGTTTCACTGTTGTAAATATCCAATATAAGAGAAATCCTGAAGTATTTTCCTTCTATGACTGGCTTAATTCACTTAGTACAATGTCGTCCAGGTTCATCTACATCATCACATATGGCAGGATTTCCTTCTTTTGTGACAAACAATATTATATTGTATACACATACGACATTTTCTTTATCCAATCATCCACTGATAGACATTTAGGTTGCTTCCACATCTTGTTTACTACGAATGATGCTGCAGTGAACCTAAGTGTGCAGAGAGTTCTTCCAGAACCCAATTTCATTTTTTTCGATATATACTTGGTAGTGGAATTGCTGGATCATATGGTAATTCTATTTTTAATTTTTTGAGAAACCTCTGTAGCATTTTTCATAGTGATTGCACCATTTTACCTTCCCACTGACAATGTATATAAGTATTACAATTTCTCAATATCCTCAGCAATAAATTGTTTTTTTAAATTGTTGTTTGTTTTTAATATTGGTCATTCTAACAGGTGTGAGGTGACATCTCATTATGGTTTTGATTTGCAATTCTCTGATGATTAGTGATGTTGAGCACGTTTTCATACACCTGTTTGCCATTGGTATGCCTTTTTTTGAAAAACATCTATTGAAATCCTTTGCTCATTTTTTGAGGGTTTTCTTTGCCATTGATTTGAAGTTCTTTATATATTTTGGATATTAGCGCCTTATCATATGTGTGAATTGTAAGCATTTTCATTCATCCAGCAGGTTGCCTTTTCACTCTGTTGATTGTTTCTTTTGCTGTGAAGAAGCATTTTAGTTTCATGTAGTCTCACTTTTTGCATTTGTTGCTTGTGCTTTTATTGTCATGTATAAGAAACCATTGCCAAGACCAGTGTCATGAAGCTTTCTCCCTCTTCTAGGAGTTTTACAGCTCAGGTTTTATGTTTAAGTCTTTAAATCATTGTGAGCTGATTTTTGTATACAATATACACCGAGTATATTTTTATTCTTTTTCATGTCAATATCCAGTTTTCTGAACACCATTTGTTGAAGAACCTATTCTTTCTTCACTGTGTCTTTTTGGCATCCTTGTAGATCAGTTCACCATATATAAGCATGGGTTTATTACTGGGCTCTTTATTTTTTTTCTATTGGTCAATGTGTACACAGCTATGTGAGTACCATATTGTTTTGATTAATGTAGGTTTGTAATATATTTGAAATCAAGAAGTGTGATGCCTTCAAATGTGTTCTTTCTCAAGACTGACTTGACTATTCTGGCTCTATTGTGGTTTATACAAATTTTAGAATTTTTTTTTCTACTTATGTAAAACATTTCATTGGAATTTTGATTGCATTGAATCTATAGATGACTTTGGGTAATTTAACAATATTAGCTCTCTCTTCTGACCCATGAACATGGAATTTTTTCAATTTATTTGTGTCTTCACTAATTTCCTTTGGCAGTGTTTTATAGTTGTCAGTGTACAAGTCTTTTACTTCCCTGGTTAAGTTTTTTCCTAAGTGTATTATTCTTTTTGATGCTATACAAAATGGGATTGTTTTCTCAATTTTCTGTTCAAAGAGTTTGCTGTTACTGTATAGAAATGCAACTGATTTTTGTATATTGATTTTGTATCTTACAACTTCATTGAATT
Source organism: Homo sapiens (assembly GCF_000001405.40). Lineage (NCBI taxonomy): Eukaryota > Metazoa > Chordata > Mammalia > Primates > Hominidae > Homo > Homo sapiens. The sequence continues at coordinate 24,345,865 of NC_000021.9, forward strand.
TGTTTATTAATTCCAGCAGTTTTCTGTGGGTGCAGTCTTTAGGGTTTTCTACATATAAGTTCATGTTGCCTGCAAACAGAGATAATTTTACTTCTTCCTTTCTGATTTGGCTGCCGTTAATTTATTTTTCTTGTCTAATTGTTCTGGTTAGAACTTTCACTATTACTTTGAATAGAAAAAGATAGAGTAGGCACCCTTGCCTTGTTAGTGACTTTGGAAGAAAAGTTTTCAGTTTTTCACCGTGAGGTGGGATTGATGATAGCTGTAGGCTTTCCATAAATGAACTTTATTATATTGAGCTAAATTCTTTTTGTAACTAGCTTGTTGAGGGTTTTTGTCATTAAAAGGAGTTAATATTTTTCAAAAGCTTTTTTCTTTATTTCTTGAGATGACCATTTAATTTTTACCATTTATTCTGTAAATTAGATATATTACATTATTTGATTTGCATATGTGGGACGACCTTTGCATCCAAGAAATAAATCCCATGTGGTCATGGCATGCAATCGTTTTAATATGCTGCTGAATTTGTTTGCCAATATTTTGTTAAGAATTTTGAAATCTATGTTCATTGAGGTTATTGGCCTGTAGTTGTTTTTTTTCTTCTGATTGTATATTTATTTGTCTTTTGTATTTGGTTAATATTTGCCTCATAAAAGGCACTTGTAATTGCTCCCCCTTCTTCTATATATATTTTGTGTAACAGTTTGAAAAAGATTGTTATTAATTCTTTAAATGTTTGTTATAATTCATATAATTCATCAGTGAAGGCATATGGCCCTGGGACTTTCTATTATGAGAGGTTTTTTATTTCTAATATGTAATTTCGCTAATAATTATAGGTCTGCTGATGGTTTTCATCTCTTCATGATATAGTCTTAGTAGTTTGTATCTCTCTAAGGATTTGTCTGTTAGTTTTCACTTATCCAATTTGTAGGCATATAGCTGTTCATAGAAGTCTCTCGTGATCCTTTTTATTTCGGTGGGATCAGTTGTAATGTCTCTTTTTTTCATTAGTAATTGTATTTATTTGTTCTTTTTTTCCTTGTTAGCCTAAGCTTTGTCAATTTTGAAGATCTTTTCAAAAAATCAAATTTTTATTCTGTAGAGCTTTTCCTAAGGTTTTCTATTGTCTATTTTGTTTATTTTTACACTAATACTTTTTTTTTATTATACTAAATTTGCATTTGGTTTGTTATTTTTTCTAGTTTCTTAAGGTGTAAACTTTTTTATTTGAGATTTTTCTCCTTATTTAATGTTGGTGTTTAGCATAATAAGCTTCCTTCTTAGTACTAAGGAATTAGAATACTTAGCACTCTGAGTATTAAGGGATTTATTGTTGTATCTTATAAACTTTTATATATTGTATTTTTAATTTTCTTCTCAAGAATCTTTTTTTTTCTTCTCGCTCTGTCACCCAGGCTGGAGTGCTGTGGTGCGATCTTGGCTCACTGCAACCTCTGCCTCCCAGCTTCAAGCTATTCTCCTGCCTCAGCCTCCCAAGTAGCTGTAACTACAGGCGTATGCCAGCACGCCCAGCTAATTTTGTGTATTTTCAGTAGAGACAGGGTTTCACTGTGTTAGCCAGGTTGGTCTCTATCTCCTGACCTCGTGATCCACCTGCCTCGGCCTCCTATAGATGACTTTAGATCTATAGATGACTATAGTGCTGGGATTACAGGCCTGAACCACCACGCCCAGCCTCTTCTCAATAATTTTTTAGGTCCATTTTAATTTCTTACTTGGCTCATTGGGTCAATATTGTGTTGTTTAATTTCTACATATTTGTGTAATTTCTAGTTTTCTTTTTGTTATTCATTTCTAGTTTTATTACATTGTGGTAAAAAGATATTTGGTATGATTTTAATCTTCTTAATATTGTTATATTTCATGCCCTAACATATGATCTATTCTAGAGAATGTTCTGTGTACACTTGAGAAGAATGTATATTCTGTTGCTGTTGGGTGAAATGTTGTCTGCGTGTCTGTTAGGCCTATTTGGGCTCTAGTGTTGTTTAAGTCCCCTGATTTCTTATCAGTTTTCTGCCTGGATGTTGTATCCATTAATGAAAGTAGTAATATTTAAGTTTCCTACTATTATTGCATTGCTGTATATTTCTTTCTTAGGTTCTTCTATATAAAGCAATCTTTATATATTTAGGTGCTTTGAACTTTGACACATACATACTTCCTGATGAATGAATATCTTTATCATTATATAATGAACTTCTTTGCTTCTTGTGACACTTTTTGACCTAAGCCTATTTTTTCTGATGTAAGTCTGGCAATGCTAACTCTCTTTTGGTTGCCGTTGGCATAGAATATGAAATGTTATTTTCCATTGGTTTACTTTCAGCCTATGTGTGTCCTTAAATCTAAAGCGAGTCTATATGAACAGCATATACTAGTTTATCTAGTTACTCTATGTTTTTTGATTAAAGAGTGTAATCCATTTACACTTAACCATTTTCCCCTTTGCCCTGAGAATACTTGCCGGAGACATTTGTAACTACAGTATTTACCTTGAAATAACTTTGCCACAAAATATCTCACTTTTATTACTATTTTTTCATCCTTCTAGTATATTAACTTCGGAAAAACATTATTCTATTTATAGCATTCTGTTTTTAGTAGTGCTATTTCCATTTACAAAATATAGTAATTCTTGATTGTTGAAAATGTCAAATATTAGAAAATGTAGTGTTAAAAGCAAAATTTCAGCCAAATTAAATTTTAAAAAGTTTAATTGAGCAATGAACTATTCATGAATAGGGCAGCCTCCCTGAACCAGAATAGGGTCAGAGACTCCAGTGCAGCCATGTGGTGGGAGAAGATTTATGGAAAGAAAAAAGGAAATTGACATAGAGAAAATGGAAGTGAGGTACAGAAGCAGCTGGGTTGGTTACAGCTGAACCTTTGCCTTATTTGAACATGGTTCAAACAGTTGGCCACATTTGATTGGCCAAAACTTGGTGATTGGCACAAGAGTAGACGATAGTCTGTTTATACTTTCATTTAGTCTAGAGTTTGCGATGTACAGAGAAACGTTTAGGCCAAACTTAAAATATGTAAGGAGGGCAGGGCGCAGTGGCTCACACCTCTAATCCCAGCACTTTGGGAGCGCAAGTCGGGCGGATCACGAGGTCAGGAGATGGCGGCCATCGTGGCTAACACGGTGAAACCCCATCTCTACTAAAAATATAAAAAAAATAGCGTGCGCCTGTAGTCCCAGCTACTCAGGAAGCTGAGGCAGGAGAATCGCTTGAACCTGGGAGGCAGAAGTTGCAGTGAGCAGAGATGGTGCCACTGCATTCCAGCCTGGGCGACAGAACGAGACTCTGTCTCAAAAAAAAAAAAAAAAAGGAAGGAGACAGCTTTAAACTAAACTTGATTTAACAGTAGCATTCCTAAACGTGAGGTTAACATCATTCTCAAAGAGTTGACCAAGGATTCATTTGATAAATTCGGTTTTTCGGAAATAGATGATTCTGGTGATTCAGACAATTCTGATATTAGTTCTGTTTAGAAATAACTCCAAGAACAGTTTTTATATTTTGTTCTTACATTTAAAACCAGTCAGGTTGTTTCAGCCTCAAAGAGGATACTTATGTAAAATTAAATGAGCGCCGACAGAAGCTGCATTTTTTTTTCTAAACAGGAAAAGGGTTAAAAAATTAGGGAAGGATTTATTACTGCCATTTTGTTAATTATTTTCTGTCTTTTTTGTAGTTCTTTATCCTTCTTTTCTCTTATGCTATCTTTCTTTGTGATTAGTTGATTTTTTATGGTGATTTGCTTTGATTCTTTTTTTCTCTTGTGTATCTTCCATACACACACACTGTCTTTGTGTGTACAAGAGTTTTAACTCTTATTTTCTTTAATAATTGAGAGATGTAATATACTACTATGTATGTGAGAGTTTTAAAAAATCATATATATTCGTGGGGATTTATTAGACTTGCAGTAACCACGAACTGATGAACTGATTTGTTTCTTTACACAACATAGATTTAGTGGTTACTAAGTGATATAGCTGAAGTTTAGACAAATTAAGTAACTTACCTAACGTGACTTAAGTTACATGTGGCATTGAAGAGTTCTCTGTAGACTCTTGACCCTGAGAGCCAGATTGCTGGCATACAGGATCTTCACCACAATTGCCAACATTGAAACCTAACACAATAGCCTCCCGTTTGTCTACAGAGGGTATCTTCCAAGGCCCCCGTTGGATATCTGAAATTGCAGAGAATACCGAACCCAAAATATACTCTACTTTTTATACATACATACCTAAAATACAATTTAATTTATAAATTAGTCACAGTAAGAGATTAAAAACAATAATAATAAAGTGAGTTATTATAACAGTATGTAAGCCTTACCATTCTTGGGGCCACTATTAAGTAAAATAATGGTTACTTGAATAAAAGCACTGCAATATCTCAATCACCATCCAATAATTGAGATGGCTACTAAGTAACTAATGGGCAGGTAGCATATGAAACAAGGATACTTTGAACAAAGGGCTACTTTATGTTCCAGGATGGATGGAGTGGGATGTTGAGAGATGTCATCATGCTACTCAGAAGGGCAGGCAATTTAAAACATATGAATTATTATTTCTAGAATTTTTTATTTAATATTTTCATACTGTAATTGACTGTGGGTAACCAAGAAAGGTAAAACTGTGGATAAGGAGGCACTACTCTAATAAGGATAAAACTCACATTTGTCCTTTGAAATGTAAATACTCTTCAAGAGACATTCAACATTGAAACTTATATGACTTTAGAACTCAATGAAGAAATTTAGAGATTTCTAGTATAAAAAGACTAAGCTTTAAAGAAAAACAACTCTTTTAGATTTAGCTGAAAACAGCTTATAATGAATATACAATTGAAATAATTATTGTTGTAAAAGTAAATATGCTTAAATATGTCTTTCTGTTTGGGATATTTTTATCATGTTAAAGTACCACATCAACACACTACTTTTTTAAAGAAAGAAATAGAGAACTTTTAGATTGCAAAAGTGTACGTAGAAAATAAGTAAGTAGTGAAATTTTGAAATATTTACCATCAACAAACACTATCAAAGCTAGAAGTGTGCAGTTGTTTTCAATTCTGAATAAATTTCATAAAATAAATAATACTAAACATTACTCACTTTTTCAACTTAAAAAAAAAATCTTTTCAGTGATTTTCTGGTTTTCAAGCATCAGTAAAAGAAAGAGCATCAGGCTGAATCCTGATGTGAACCTGACTCAGTGGGTAGAACATCTGTCTTCTCTGAGAGCTTGTCAGTTTGGGTAAATGATTGATTATGCTACTCAGAGTCAAGGATAGACAACACCACAGCACTAACTGACAACAGCCATGAGTCCATAGCAAGATTTGCTCATCATATTCACTCAAATTTCTGGTCTCGGGCTAAAATACGCATGACATTTATTAACTGATAAGTTTGAACTATTTTATCTAAAATTAAATGATGTTTTTATTTTTGAATAAATGAATATTCATGCTCTTTATTGAAATGAACACATTGAGATGTTCATTACTGTATTAGTCTGTTCTCACACTGCTATGAAGAAATACCAGAGACTGGTTAATTTATAAAAGAAAGAGGGTTAGTTGGCTCACAATTTTGTTTGGCTGGGGTGGCCTCAGGAAACATAATCATGGTGGAAGACAAAGGATAAGCAGGCACCTTCTTCACAGGGCGGCAGGACGGAGTGAGTGCAACCAGGGGAAATTCCAGAGAACCATCAGAATTCATAAGACTCACGCATTATCATGAGAACAACATAGAGGAAACTGCCCCTGTGATTCGATTACCTCCACTTGGTCCCGCCATGACACGTGGAGATTATGGGGATTACATTTCAAGAGGAGATTTTAGTGGGAACAAATGATATGGATTGGGGAGCGAATTCATATCAGTTACTAATAGATGCAAAGTGATCCAATATTACAACCTCAATAAAGTAGGTTTAAAATTTTTTAATCCTTATAATAAAATTATTAAAAAAGAATTCTGGAGAATTCTTGATGGAAATCATCAATATTCCTAGAGAAAAATTCTACAAACTTCAGATGAATCTGAATGGTCATCCTTAAAGGTCACCCATCTTTCTGTTTGTTTTCATCTAAAAGACATCATACTTTCAATACTGCAAAACTACTTGTTTAAGTAGCTTTATTTTGGATAAGTATTCACTTCATATATTTTATGAATTTGTGACAAAGCTAATCTAATAAAATATGGGTATTTGTTTTTGTATCTTTGAAAATTTCACTCATTGTCTTCTTGGTCTGACCACTGGGGCAAATAATATTTTCAATATAAAACATAAATAAATATAAATACATATTTATATTGTAGATAGTATACAACATGACTATTTTATTACATAGAAAATATATATTTATATTGTATTGCCAATATATATTTAACATATATAAAATATAAAATATACAATAAACAACATACAGTAAGTTCCCACATATTGTTGTAGAGAGGTTCTTGGAAACTGTGATGCTAAGCAAAATGACATAAAAGGAAACCCATTTTACCATAGGTTAATTGATATAAATAAGAGTTGAGTTCCTATAACATATTTCTGGTCACAAAAACATCACCAAACTTCTAAATGAAAACCAAAACATTTTAATATTTAATATTTATTGCAATATTAAACATTGAGATAAATGTAAGCTATACATACATTTAAGAAAGATTAATAAAAACAAGATCACTACTTAGCCAATGATTCCAGTTCAGTGTCATGTGTGGCAGGAACCTACCTCAGCAGCTCAGTGCCAAGGCTGGAATCAACCTTGGACAGGATGGCATTCCCTCTCGGCATGCACTCAAACACACACCCACACTCACTCAGATGGGACCAAAGAGACACACCAGTTCACTCATGTGCACATCTTTGGAACGTGGGAGGAAACTGGAGTACCCAGAGAATATCCACATAGACATGGGGAGAACATGTGAACTCCACACAAAGACTAGGGAATTGTTTTTTTTCTCATCAACATGATAACAAAGTGACATCGAATGAAATGAAGTTATTCAATGACATACTGTGTATAAATAAAGTGATCTATGTGGTGCTTAATGAGTTAATTTTAAAATTATTTTATTGAAGTTACAATAATTTATGTAAAAGGGTGGGGAAAATAACAATTTAATCCCTCAAATTTGACATTACTCTTGGATTTGTTTTTTATGTGTAACACTTTCTCCCATCTACTCCATTCAGATCACTTCCAACTCAGATGATTGAATTTAAAAAAATAAGCCTTAACTTTCCAGAGGCACTTATTGAATATCTGCTCTTTATTCATGTATACTTGGCTCACAGAACATTGCCTATTACATGGCAGGTGCTCAATGTATATTTGTTGAATAGATTGAATGAAATAAGTTTCTTGTATGCTGAAGAGTCTTATCAAAGATACTTGAGGTCTTTCATCTAAGGTGGAGTAGTTGAATTCTCAGGTAGATATTGCATAGTAATTGGAAACGTGACACATAAAATGGAGTAACTGAACTGAAACTAAAATATGTCTTATCAGGGCAATTCCGTGAGACTTTGAAAGCATTTTTAAGGCTGCAGTTTTGGTGAAAATATACATAAAGATAAATCAAAAGGAAAGCTACCTTGGACAGTATTTTTAAGGCATTAAAAGTCAGTTTGTGGATGGGCCCAGTGGCTCACGCCTGTAATACTAGCATTTTGGGAGGCCGAGGCGAGGGGATGGCTTGAGCTCAGGAGTTCGAGACCAGCCTGGACAGCATGGTGAAACCATGTCTCTACAAAACATACAAAAATTAGCCTGGCATGGTGGTGCATGCCTGCAGTCCCAGCTACTTGGAGGGCTGAGGTGGGAGGATCCCTTGAGCCCAGGCGGCTGAGGCTGCGGTGAGGCATGATTGCACCACTGCACTCCAGCCTAGGCTGCAAAGCGTGACCCTGTCTCAGAAAAAACAAAAACAAACAAAAGAAAACAAAACAACAACAACAACAAAAATTTATTTGCAATGTACTGCAGTTAAAATATACATATAGCTAGAATTGAAGGTTCTCACTTTTAGCTTCTATGTTTGATCTATTTATTTCATAGTGCTGCTGGCACAGCATTTTACTGTGTCACATAAATTAACTTTAAGCAATCTGTAAAACTTTTATTAATGATTCCAACAAGACTATACAAATCCTTTTGCTAATGAGGTCAAGGTATGCTTCAAACTCCAGGCAAAACAGCTGTCTTCTAACAGAGACAGTCTCATGCCTTTGCAGTGTATATCAGTTTATCAACTGGCTGTTTGACAAATACATCGCTTTGGTTACAAACATGAGAGCAAGATAGAGAATTGGGAAGATAATAGGTTAAAAACTGGATAAAAATTTCAGTTTCTTTCCCTGAAGTATCAGCTTCGTAGAAACAAGAAAATATCTACTATGCTTTCATATTCTATTAGATTTTCTAGTCACTCTATTCAGTTGTGTCCAGATTAATTTATGTCTTGAAATACTCTATTAATTGACAAATATTTATGATTCAGATTTAGCAAGACATTATCCTGTCAGCAGGTAGAAGGATGTGTAGGAAAATATAGAGGCTATCTTAAAAAGTCAGGTTTGATTATAAACAGATTTGTCCTTTAACTTTCTCCATTCACTTTTTCACTCGGTTAGGTTTCATATTTTGCTTAGGCATAATGAAGTATTATCTATCATCTAGGCCTACATGAAAACATTCTTTAAATTTAATTTAACTATTTTTCCTATCTGGCTTTAGAGTTTCTTTTTCAAATTCCTCTGCCTACTTCATGAGAAATTTGTATCCAAAAGTGAAATTATTTTTAATATATTTTAAATAATTTATGCTTTAATCTTGTGTAAATAAAAATATTGACCCCAAGCTTAACTGCATACTTATTGGGATCATGGTTACCAATTATAGACTGAAGTGTTTATTTAACCTTCTAGAAGGAACTGTAAATCTGCCATTAATAGAGAATGCTTCATGAGCTAGCAAATTAGAAAGCACCTATATTTAAAAGATTGTAGGAAGTGGAAATTGCCTTTAATATTTAATTTTTGAATTACTTAGGAAGGCTGATCATTAACACAAACTAAATTATTTGAAGTGACTATTTAATTGGGAATATGTCAATAGAGATTTAATATATCTAGCAAACATTACATAATTTCAAACAAAATGCTCCATTACTTAATTTGACATGTATACAGTAGGTACCAGACATAGTGCCAAGTACTAAACACAACAGAGAATTAGGTGAATTGGATTCTTACATGCAAAAATACTCCAAGGACTTTCATTCTATTTACTGGTTGATTTGTCTTTGCAAAATAACAAAACGATTTAAAACCTAAACAGAAACAAAATATCTTAATATTAAAGCTTTCTTCAGAAACATTATTAAATTTCAACTGAGAACTATTAAATGTTAATGGTGTTTTGTTATTTTTATTGTCTAGAAAAAGGAAGTAAAATGTTACAAATAATTCTGGTAATAAACAGTCATCAGTGGCTACTGCAATATTGATAATTTTTTGCTATATAATTTTTCTTTTTTAAAAAATAGACCTGAAAACTGACCAAGTAAGAATTTTTTTTAATTCTTCTGTAGGAGTCTATATCATTTACTACATAAGGAAATTCTTAAGATGTCAAGTTGTCTTTTCCAATCAATGTACCTGTAAGTCTATAATCACCTAGTAATTGTTTTCACATATGTTTGATATACAATGAATTACCCACATAATTTCCCAGACATTATCACTCAGCCCTAACTTTTCTCTTGGGTTCAGGGATATTAAAACAGTGGAGTGGAGAGTGGGATAAAATTCAATGAAAGAACCCAATAGTGGTGACTAAGTAAAATCAGGTGGAGAGAAAATTGATGGGGATGAAAGACAGTGTGACAAACGCTCTTCTCCTATTTCAGTGCTATCTCAACATTTCTCTGGTTTCTTTGCTAACACTATGTTCTTTTCAAGATTCTAAATTTTTATGTGTAGATGTTTTTTAAAACTATGTTTTATGTTAACTTTCAAGTTAGCTTTGGAGATACATGTGAAGATTTGTTATACAGGTAAACTCCTATCACGACGGTTTGTTGCACTGATTATTTCATCACCAGGTGTTAAGCCTGGTACCCAATAGTTACTTTTTCTGCTCCTCTCCCTCCTACCAACCTCCAGTCCCAACTAGACACTAGTGTCTGTTGTTCCCCTTTTTGTGTTCCTGAGTTCTCATCATTCAGCTCCCACTTATAAGTGAGAACATGTGATATTTGGTTTTCTGTTTCTGCGTTAGTTCATCCATCCATGTTCCCACAAAAGACATGATCTCATTCTTTTTTATAGATGCATAGTATTCCATGGTGTATATGTACTATGTTTTGTTTATCCGATCTGTCATTGATGGGCGTTTAGGTTGATTCTATGTGTTTGCTATAGTCAATAGTGCTGCAATGAACATATGCATGCATGTGCCCTTAGAGTAAAACAATTTATATTCCTTTGGGTATGTAACCAGTAGTGGGATTTCTGGGTCAAATGGCAGTTCCGCTTTTAGCTCTTTGAGGAATCACCATACTGCTTTCTGCAATGGTTGAACTAATTTACACTCCCCCGACAGTGTGTAATTCCCTTTTCTCCACAACGTCACCAGCATCGGTTATTTTTTGACATTTTAATAATTGCCATTCTGAGTGGTGCGAGATGGTATCTTGTTGTGGTTTTAATTTACATTTCTCTAATGCTCATGATATTGAGCTTTTTTATATGCTTGCTAGCTGCATGTATGTCTTCTTTTGAAAGCATCTGTGCATGTCCTTTGCCCATTTTTTAATGAAGTTGTTTGTTCCTCTCTTGTAAATTTCTTTAACTTCCTTATAGATGCTGAATATTAGACCTTTGTCAGATGCATAGTTTGCAAAAATTTTCCCACGTTCAGTAGGTTGTCTGTTTACTTTGTGATTAGTTTCTTCTGTGGTGCAGAAGCTCTTTAGTTTAATTAGGTCACATTTGTCAATTTTTGCTTTTGTTGGGATTACTTCTGGTGTCTTTGTCATGAACTGTTGGCCCGTTCTTATGTCCAGGATGGTATTGCCTAGGTTGTCTTCCAGGATTTTTATAGTTTTGACTTTTACATTTAAGTCTTTGATCCATCTTGAGTTGATTTTTGCATGTGATGTAAAGAAGGGGTTCAGTTTCAATCTTCTGCATATGGCTAGCCAGCACCATTTATTGAACAGGGAGTCTATTTTTATTTTTATTTTTGCTTGTTTTCATCAGCTTTGTCAGAGATCAGATGGTCTTACATGTGCAGCCTTATTTGTGGGCTCTCTTTGCTGTTCCATACGTCTATGTGCCTTTTATTGTACTAGTATCATACTGTTTTGGTTGTGGTAGCCCTGTAGTATTGTTTTTAAGTCTGGTAATGTGGTCCCTTCAACTCTGTTCTTTTTGCCTAGGATTGCATTGGCTATTTGGGCTCTGTTTTGGTTCCATATGAACCTTAAAATAATTTTTCTAGTTCTATGAAGAATGTAATTTGTAGTATAATAGGAATAGCATTGAATTAGTAAATTGCTTTGGGCAGTAAGGCCATTTTAATATTAATTCTTCCTGCCCACGAGCATGAGATGTTTTTCCATTTTAACCTATGCAAAACATAGCAGCTTTAGACTATGTAAAACATAGCAGCTTTAGATTCACAGCAAAATAGAAAGGAAGGCACAGAGATTTCCCGTATACCCTCCACCCGACACATGACTAGCCCCCCTTATCAACATCCCTTACTAGAGAGTACGCGTGTTGCAATAGATGAACCTAGATTGACAAGTCGCATTCACCCAAAGTCCATGTTTTACCTTAAAATTCAGTTTTGGTGATATATTTGTGTATGCATATATATATGTGTGCGTGTATATATATATATATGTATATATATGTTTTTGTGTGTATATATATGGATTTTAAGACCCCTACTAACCTTTAAACCACAATAAAATATTTTATCAAAATGTTAAAAGTATTTGCTTTTTAGAAATAGAGTTGAATTTCATTATTTATAGTATTAATGTAGTATTAGAGATGGGAGCATTAATAAATAATAACAGTAGTAGTAATATTATGTATGATGTATTAAGTGTTCATTCTGGCCAAAAAATGTGCTAAATTCTGCATTTATTATTACTTTACATCTAATCACAATGCTAGGTGACAATTATTAAGATGAAAACCAATATATATTTAAAGACATGGATGTACAATGACCACTAAGGAGACAGGTTTAACCAGAGAGAGATTCTGCATTGAGTAGAAATATGAGGCTTTGGATGGGCATGAATTTCAGAATATGCTTGAGATTCAAAAGGCCAGTTGACTGACTAAAGTCTTATAGATAACTTTTAATGGGAGACTTACTATTGGAATTTTGACCTGTTATTAACTATTGACATTTCCAAAATTTCTGATAGTGAAATGGCTATTTTTGGTTTGAAGCCTGTCATTACAACTTATTGTTCACTAATCTGACTCTGGAACTTATTTTAAGCCCCCTTGTCTCAGTTTTATCATCTGTAACATTTTCCTAATAATAATATATTGCTCATGGGATAATTTTAAGAATAAAATCAGTGAAGATTTTTTGTATATGAATTTATTTGCAATTGTGTCTCATAGAATCCCTCAGAATATTAACCACTTACTGTTCCAAGACTAAAGGATCCAAAGTAAAAATTGCTTTAATTAAGTCCATGGCTAATCAATATGCAGGATTATTCAGCAGTTATTTGCCCATAATGGTCAAATAACTGCACTTGTTTATATAGATTTCTTAGAGCTTATTGTACACATTCTTGAAAGTAGTAGGAATAGAAATACAATCAATTCATTTGAATTTTCAGTTTTGGTGGTAAATTGAAGTGACATGCAAGTAAAAATAACAAACAATGTAAGTAGAATTTTTTATCCACTCTTCTAACTAGATGTAGATTCATTATTTCGGCGGCAAATATATTACCCAGGAAAGGTGATGCTACAAAAAAGCAGTTGTTACTCTTGTCAAATTATCAGTTATTGATGTGCGAACTAAAATACCCAAAAGAAAGAGGATGAGAAGCATATGGTTTAACCTCAGGCAACAGACCTGTATGACTTGCTGTGAATTTTTACCACTTTATTCCAGATAATTCCCCCAAATGATACATATGATATTTCACATGAGTAAGGGAAACGGCAGTGTTAGGAGAGGGTGATAGCTGCTTTGTCTTCCTTATACAGCTTTTTCCATTTAGCATTTATTCTATATTAAGACAGGTGAAACTTTTATGGAAAGAAATTACAGGCTCTTTTCAGAATCCCCCAAAATAAAATGGCACATTTTTCCCTCAGAGTAAAGAGTTCTCCAGCAATTGTCTCATTAATTTAACCAAAAATCGGTCTACCATTCTAGGTAGTCAGGGTACTAAATTAAAAATATAAGGTATTCAATAACATTTAAATGGTAGTTATACATCTTCTAATCATATATGGCTTTTCTATGACAAGAAAATTATATAATTTTAATTTTCAGTGTTTCAGTAGATCGACGGTACTTTTGAAGTTTCAGTTGAGGATAAAATCACACAACATCTACATGAGGATTTGGGATTGGAGCATAATTTTTTGCTGAGTATGTGCAGAGTTCCCAGGAAGGGAAATGCCTAAGATATAAGTAAAATTCAAATTTAATATGCCTTTCATAAAAGGTGATTGGGACAAGCTGTTAAATAATAGATTTGCAACTCTTTCACTTCAACTCAACAAATATTAAGTTTGAGTTTCAAACTTGGCTAATTAGGTGAGTCTTTTGGGAAGGGAAAATGGGATTACTCATCGGGGACCTCTGCTTGGGAAGGGAGGCCAACCGGTTCTGAACTTTACTCTGTTTTATGAACATTATTGAAATGTAAGTTCACAGTTTCAACCTTAATTATATCCAGAGGGTCCAGAACCACATTTTTTTCAAGTTCATTTATCTTGAGCAACCAGCACTGTTTGATTTTTTGCAGTTGCCAACTCTCTCCTGCGGATGGCTCAGATGCAATGTATGTGATAAATCAATACAGAATAGGTTACCTTTTCTCAAAGAATTTGCCATTGAATTGTGAAACTAAAACTATGAGAAAGTAAATAAAAATGTAAATGCAAAGTACAATATGAATCTGTATTAAGTGGTATTGTATAGCACAGAGGGAGAATAGGTCAAGGCTAATGAGGAATGATTTCTTCGAAGGAGGAGGTGGGTGAAAACTGGGCGAGCATTCCAGATAGATATATCATGGACAGCTGGCAATATGTCAATCACCAGAGCCTTTTGGTACTCATTTTTTCAAATAATCCTGCATCCCAGTTTTACTATTCAAATAATTGATGTCAAAGTGTTATGTCATTTCATTAAAACTCATTTTATTAATTATTTAATTGATTAATCTCTCCTTTGCATTGTATTAAAAATAGCACACATTTAATAAAATACATTTAAACTAATGCATATTTTATAAAATTTTTATTTTTTATAGATTTTATTATGAAAACATTGAATATAAATTTTGGTTTATATGTTACAATATTGAATATCTAAGCATGATGTAATTTACTACATGTTTTAGTTATTTCATTTGTATCATACATGCCTTTTGGTCATGTTGTACATAATACAAAAATGTTTACCCTATATATTTTTAGGCTAAAGTAACAAACAATATCATTTGCAATGTGTGTTACTAGAAACAACATTAATTTTGCTTCTAGATGTAGAATATTTAAATTAATATTAATGTTATAAAATCTTATGTCTGAAATGTGGATTGAGATAGGATCTGGATTTTAAATATGAAAAAAATGGGAGGAGATAATTTTAATGACAGTCAGATTTGTGATAGAAAGAACATCATTAATAGTTAATAGTACAGCATTATTTTTCCCCTAAGTTGAGATATTGCTTTAAAAAATATAATTCTAACACATTGGGTTTGTTTTTAATTTGCAGGGAGTACATGTGCAGGTTTGTTGCCTGGGTAAATTGCATGTCATGGGGGTTTGGTGTACAGATTATTTCATCACCCAGGTAATGAGTAAAGTACCCAATAGGTAATTTTTCATTCATTACCCTCCTCTCACTCTCTGTTCTCAAGTAGGCCAAGGTGTCTATTGTTCTATTATTTGTGTTCATATCTACTCAATGTTTAGCTCTCACTTATAAGTGAGAACATGTGACATTTTATTTCCTGTTCCTGTGTTTATTTGCTTAAGATAATGGCCCCCAGCTCCATGCATGTCACTGCAAAGGACATGATTTCCTTTTTTTTTTGGTATGGATGGATAGTATTTCATGGTGTATATGTACCATATTTTCTTTATCCATTCCACCATTGATGAGTATCTAGGTTGATTTTGTGTCTTTGCTATTATGAAAAGTATTGTGATAAACATAAGTATGCATGTGTTTTTATAATAGAACAAGTTATACTCTTTTGTATATATACTCAGTAATGAGATTGCTGGATTGAATGGTAGTTCTGTTTTAAGTTCTTTGAGAAATCTCCAAACTGCTTTCCACAGCAGCTGAAGTAATTGACATTCCAACCAACAGTGTATATGTGTTTCCTTTCCTCTACAGCATCACCAGCACCTGCTTTTTGTTTGTTTTTTTTTTGTTGTTTTTTGTTTTTTTACTTTTTAATAATAGCCATTCTTACTGCTGTGAGATGGTATCTCATTGTGGTTTGAATTTGCACTTCTCTAATTGGTGATGTTGAGCATTTTTCATATGCCTGTTGGCTGCTTGTATATCTTCTTTTGAACAGTGTCTGTTCATGTCCTTTGTCAATTTTTAATGGGTGTCACGAAGTAGAGTGTAGTGAATCAAAAATCCTAAGTCTGATTTCTACTTTCCCTTGACTTTAACTTTGGTCCATTAAAGTTCAGTTTTCTCATTTAAAAAATTGATTTCAAAAACTCAATATTCCTTTGAGAATCTAATAATAAGAGCTGAAAAAAGTTACTTAAAACATTAAATGGCTATAAATATTATTGTCAGTATAACAAATATGAACTTATGATAAACTTCACAGTATATTACTAAATTGTGAAACTTTCCAAGAATCTTGACAGTTTGTTTTGTGAGAAAATTTGGGAGTTTAGCTAATTCAAGGATCTACTAAGAGCACTCAAATTAGAGTTAAATTTTTTTTTCTTTATACATTTGCTCCTTTTGGAACACTTGTCTTTTTATATAACCATGTTGTAAGACCTGTCTCTCTCATCCAGCTGAAAAATTTTGAGTTTATGGCCTTAATTGCTTACTGGTTTTAGGACATAATGGAACATTATGGCAAAAGACTTCACTCTTCAAGGTTAACAAGAGTCAGTTTAAATAAACTGTCCATATATACTTTGAGGAATAATTTTTGACTGTGAAGACATCAATAAAATTTTGCTTCAATTATAATTAAAATTTTTAAAAATTGCACTACTGTTCAGAATGTTTTCCTTAATTTTTAATTATTTTTGTCAAAAATGTAGAAAGCAAAAATTCTGTGACACTAACTGTATTAGGTGCTGAGGTTATAAAATTGATTGTCTAGGCTCTAAACCTTTCATCAAAGAGAGAAAAATATGACATAAATAACATATTAAGTATACACGTGAATGTGTGTGTATAAAAGTCCAAACTGAGACTAGAGATACATTGTAAGAAGGATAATTGATACTAAAATCTGAAGATTGAGTTGCAAGCCTTTTGGATGTTAGAAACACATTCCAGATAGAGGGGAAAATAGTATGTATAAAGGAATTGAACAGAGTAAAGTCATTTGGTTCTCCAGGAACTGAAAAGAAAGACAAGCATGGTTCAAGTGCATAGAGAAAATGGGGGAGTGGCAAAAAAGATAAGTTGGAGAGATAGTTGTTGCACAAGTCCTCCAGTTGCACAGGTTTGTGAATGGTTTGATATTTTATCATATTTTAATCAATGTGAAATGGGAAATTATAGTTAACGACAAATTTTATTTTACATATATACTCCTTTTTAATGATTCCCATTTCCCATGTGTAGGGAATACATGAGTGTTCTTAAACGACAAACTCTTTAACTTCGTGGAATTTACATTTTTGTGGGTTGGGAGAGCAAAAAATAATAGTAAAGAATAAATATGGCATTCTTAATATTTTCACTGCTGATGAGAATTATGAAGAATGATACAGCAGGAAAAAGTAGTGAAAGGAATTAAAACGTGCTATTTCCTCCTTTATAGGCTTGTCAGGGAAGCTCTGAAGGTGAGGAACAGAACGTGATGAGGTCAGAGAGATGTGTGAGTGGTAGGTCCTGGATGAGCATATAAGCCATCTTATAAACTTTGGCTTTTAATCGCTTGAGGTTAGGTGAGAGCAGTTGGTAGGGAATACCATGTGTCTATTTTAAATATGTTTGAAGCTATTATAGTATTAGAAAAGAATAGAAGGAAAAATAAAAGATGTCTCCTAAAACTGTGTATTTGATATGTTTACTGAGAAAAGGAAGTCTAAGCAAATAAGAGGTATGAGAAGAAATAAACTATTATTTTTTATTTATTTATTTTGAGACGGAACCTCGCTCGGTCATCCAGGCTGGAGTGCAGTGGTACGATCTTGGCTCACTGCAACCTCCACCTCTGAGGTTCAAGCGATTCTCCTGCCTCAGTCTCCCAATTAGCTGGGACTACAGGTGCCCGTCACCACACCTGGTTAATTTTTTGTATTTTTAGTAGAGACGAGATTCCATCATGTTGGCCAGGCTGTTCTCGAACTCATGGCCTCATGTGATCCACCCGCGTTGGCCTCCCAGAGTGCTGGAATTACAGGCATGAGCCACCATGCCCAGTGGAAATACATCATTTTTATGGCAATTTTAAATTAGATATGTAAGCAGAGGTTTCCAATTGGCATTTGCATATGTCCATCTGTAGTTCCAGGAAAGGTTTTTTTGGTAGGCACTATAGTTTTGGGCAACCCTGGAATATACATATTTTTTAAAAGAGGACTTCTTAAGTTCCCATGAATCTGCAGTATTTAAATTTAGAAGGCTAAAATATAATCTATTTGGATTTTTAAACATTTTTGTTAAATCATAATATACACACAGGAAAATGCACAAATCTTGATGAATTTTGACAAGTTCAATGTAACCATGAAACTATCACCCAAATCTAGAGACAGAACAGTATAAGGTCCCAAAGGATCCTTTGTGCTCTTTTCTATTGACTATAGCTTCCAAAGTGCAACCACTATTCTAATATCAATGAGCATAAATTGTTTGTACTCCATATAAACTAAATCACAATAATGTACTTTTATCCTGGATTTCTTTGGTCAACACTTTGTTTGTGAGATTTCTCCATATTGCTATAAAAATGTATATAGTTCGAATTTTGAAATTAAATTATTTTTTACAAGGCTAGAATTTTACTTTATTTTTAGAGAAGATAATGTGGAAGGTTTAACTCAATCAAACGTTTTATAAATGTTTTATAACTGGTAAGTGGAAGTACTTACCTGATTTTTTTTGAGCAAAGTAAATCTTCCAAGTTTATATACCTGCACAAATGTCCACTTTACTTATTGTTTGATATATAGATATTCTGCAACACAAAATAAACTAAACCTAAAAACATATACACACATGCATGGAGGTAAACATGGATCATGTGTGTGCATGTATGCATGTATGCATGTATGTAAAATGTAATTGCGTAGCCAATTGGAAAATTAATTTAAATTTATAGAGATAATACAGGAAATAAAATGACTACTTTTTTTGTACTGCCAATTGCTTTATCCATAATGATTGCCAACAGTAAAATTTAAACATTTTCTAAAACTCATTCTCCCAGCTTTTTGGAAGATTCTTTTAGTTCATTCATAATTTTTTGATTGTGGTAGCTGTGTATCAAACTTTGAATTTAAAAGCTAGAAATGTTTATTTTCCCTGAAATAGAACACATTTGTCACCACTAAGAATTTCATTTGCTTTACTTTATTCTCATAGAAAATGTATGGAATAAATAAGACATCCCAGCATGCAGAGATCTGAAATAAAATTCCAGTGCACCAATAAAATAAATGTGTTTATTGTACATGATTCTAATAATAAATATTGTGTTAGTGTTTACTGAGCACAGACTAGGTCAGTGTATATCTCTCTTTCATCAAATGAACACAAAGATCTTGTGAAGATAGTGTTATTGTTTTCATTTTATATATTGATTTATAATTTAAAAAGCTTAAATAATTTGTCCAAACTCATCGAAAATCTTGAGTAAAAAAGATTTCTGTCAGGCTTTCTAGAACTCTGAACATATAAATACAGTAAAGAGGAAGCAGAAAATACAATTGCAAATAGAACTACACACCAGCCAGTATTAGCTAAACATTAAACATTAGTTTAGTTTTAATTTTGAAGCAAATTTATTAATATACATAAATAATTCTCCAGATATTTATGTCTTTTCTCTATAAGCTAAATTTTGGGATCTATTCTGTATGTTTGTATGTCTGCATTTGTATGCTTATTCTTGTCTCCCCTGCCGCCCTTTCCATCTCTCTTTCTACATGGATAGGTAGATAGATAAGCAGACAGATAGCTAGACCCATTATAACATTATATTAGCAGTTAAAGGAGAGGAGATTTTAAAAAGCTTATGAAAGAGTAATTAATAATGAACCCCTGGCTATGCCAGGAAATCTAGTGACAAATTGGCTATGTAGAAAGAACAGGTAACAAGCCATTATTGATGCTGATTAGTTGTCACAAAGAAATAAACATGAAGCTTAGTCATTGATAAGTCCATTAAAAGGTAAGTGTTTGTAAGAAATATGAAAACGCTTTACAGACTAAATATATTGGAAGAAAAATTGGAGAAAAATGAGCGAGTCTTTAGAGAAAAGAATAGGGGTGGAGCTGCCTGTACAACTGAAATTGCACTGACCATGAAAACCATTAATAGAAAATTGGACAAGGAAAATTTAGGAGATGGAAGAAACGATTATTTTTAATAAATGATTTCAAAATTGTTATACCATTTAAAAAATGTTTGAGATACTAATTTGAAATTTCTAGTCCAAAGACCCGAAAGAGTTAATATATGTAGGGAAGTCACTAATGCATTTTCGGGAAGGTCCTTTAAAAAAAATTAAAACTTTAATAACACAACTGCAGTTGAAATCACATTTACATCTGAGATAAAGAAAATAGTAATGTTATGGCTGATTTGAAATAATGCAGACTAATCGTAAAATAATAGCTATAACAATAATGGAATTAAACGAGTAATTCATTTTACAGATTAATCTCTGTGGGTTACATTAGCTAAAGACAAACATTTATTTGCAAGTTTTTTTTCTAATATCAGTGTAATGAAGAACTAAATTGTACAAGACTATACAAAAATATTTAAGACATCTTTTTTTGTATATAGATCACTGTGAAAGCTTTCCCATCTTTCATTGCTATTTTCTTGATTACTATTAATTTTTATAATTCACAACTTTTACTTTACTATTCTTCAATATGGTACTTCATTGCAATTGGCTACCTAAGTAAACTTTATACATATGAAACAAAACCAAACAAAATGATAAGGTTGTGGGCCATGAATTTTTTATTATTTTGTCTGGATTAATTCAAGGTACGCCTCAGTAGCACTTTCTTATTCAAGACACTGAGGGTAGAAAATAATTGTTATTTCCAATACCTAATTCCAACATAAACTGGCAGGCAGGAATAAAGTTAAGTCTTCTGATTGAGAGGGAACAAGTTAGTAATAGTGTTTGCTCAATTCCTTATAAATGAGGATTACTGTTTTAACAAAAATCTTGGCTGGGCGCGGTGGCTCACGCCTGTTATCCCAGCAATTTGGGAGGCCGAGGCAGGCAGATCACGAGGTCAGGAGATCCAGACCATCCTGGCTAACATGGTGAAAACCCATCTCTACTAAAAATACAAAAATACAAAAAATTAGCTGGGTGTGGTGGCAGGCGCCTGTAGTCCCAGCCACTCGGGAGGCTGAGGCAGGAGAATGGAGTGAACCCGGGAGGTGGAGCTTGCAGTGAGCTGAGATTGCACCACTGCACTCCAGCCTGGGCACCAGAGCGAGATTCCGTCTCAAAAAAAAAAAAAAAAAAAAAAAAAAAAAAAAAAAAAAAAAAAAAAACTTTGCCTCTAGAGAAAACATTCTACTTCATTTTTTTTTTGTCGACCTAATGTAGCTAATCATCTCAAATGTGAGCTGTTAGGTGAGAAGTTTTACATATTAAAAATCAAGTATTTTTCAATCAGTTGATAATCACTTTCCTGCTCTCTGTAGGTGACTATTGATTCATTGGTTTGAAATAATATGAGACAGTTGACAGACAGTAATAGTAATGTAAGCAATTCTCCTCAAGTAAAAAGAGCTTTGTAAATATGAGATTGTTTCTCTCCATTTCAGTATAAGATATTTAATTCCTCATAGTCTTATTAATTGCACTGTTAATCTTTTGATATAACTTCTTTTAAAAAATTAAAACAATAAAAAATAGAATTCTATTACTACTACTAATAAATCAGAAAGCTTTAAATTACTATAAATATATACTGTAGTATGCAAAAGTATATACGTGCTATACGTTTCTCATGCTTTTACTGAGAAATAGTCCTTTATAAAAATAAATAGAAGGGTATTTCATTCCTTTAATAATTTATTGTCGTAACTTCAATGGTTATATCTTAGCTGCAACAAGATGGAATGACAAAGGTCTATTAATGTAATACAATAAGGAAATCATGTGTGGCCTTTGTCACAGAATACCAAACACATGTCATTCAGGCCAAATTTGAATAACGTGTTACCTAGCAAAGTGGTATGCTTTGCTTTGCTTTATTCTAGTGCTGTGCTTTATTCTTTTTCAGAATTTGTTTCAAAAACCCATTGCCTGACCTTAATCCAACCTCTATCCTTGAGTCCCAACAGCCTGCTCTCTCAGGAAACTTTGTGCACACACTGAACTGCTTGCTATTCTTATTCACATTCTAAGACACTTTCCAAGGAGAGGGATTATTTTCATCTTCAAGTCAAGATGTGTCTTTGAAATCCAGAAGACTTGAGGAAGTATTGGAGACAATGCAGTTTTCCAAGAGGAAAGTTAATGGAATGAGGAGTGGCTTATAAACATGAGAAAGTAAAATGACTAAGTTCTCAAGAATGAGAGCAAGTTAGCAGGGTCAACTTTATTCTAAATGAATATTTTATATTATTTCAGTAGTGGAAATCTTTTAGACAGTGAGTGTCAGTATAGAGTGAAGTAATGAACATCTCATCAACAGTGAAATAATATGAGGAATTTTAGAAAGCACAAAAAGTATAAAATTTACTATAAATCATTTAAAATACATATAAAATACATATAAAAATCATAAGTCCAAAATTTCAATTTGAAAAATGATCAAATGTTGGTTGGAAAAAATTTTATTAATTGTTTAATAATCTTAATTTTTTTAATTTTTAATTGTTTTATTGGAGTTATAAAACAATCATATGTCATTTTGTAATAATAGTGTACTATATGGCTGTCCTAGTCCATTTACTGTTGCTTACAACAGACTCCCTATAACTAGGTAATTTATAAAGGACAGGAACTTATTTCTTACACTGGTGGGGGCTGAGAAGTCCAAGATCCCAGGACTGCTTATGGTGATGGTCTTATTTTTCCAGGACTTGTAGGTCAATAAGTCTGAAACGACTAACGTTGAATTTTGGTTGAAATCACTAGAGCATAATGAAGACTTTCAACTGAAGGGTTGCCTGCATCACCCTCTTTAACTTTAGATGACAGATTTTTGCACTCTTCTCAGGTACTCAGTTATGTTGTGTGGCTAATATTTAATAAGAAAGTTAATGGCATTTGGAATCTCATATCAGGGCTCTAATGCCAACAGCTGTAGCTATTATTCCTTTCACCCATGTGTATATGATCGGCACTCTACTATGGGAAGCTCCTGAAGAACTGCCTAAGAACAAGGTACTTATTCTCTGTATCCCTAGCAAACATCCCAAGTATGGAAATGGAAAGCACTCAACCAATTTATAAATAAAAGAATAAATGAATGAATGATATGGATCTTATTACAGATTTCATTAGTTTCATGAATATCATACCTATAATGATACCTAGCAATAGACTTCCTAGAATAGTACATTTTAAATTCAGATTATAAGTAATGAACATTAACTTTTAAGTTGTGTTGATTAAACATAAGCAATTATAATAATATTTTGTGAAAATTTGCAGAATACATTTTAAATTCAGATTAAAATTAATAAATATAACTCTATTAGTTGTATTGATTAAACACAAACTAATATAATACGACTTTACAAAAGGCGTCATAAAAGTACTTATCACATTTAACATGTAAATTTCTTCTGCTGTTTATAGCCATGCCAAGTAATGTATGTTTGACACTTCATATGACACTTCAAAATTGCACTTTGTAATGCAATATTTTGACATATAACTGCAAATAAAGACTAAATGACTGCAAGAGAAAAAAAGTGACAGATACTCCAGCCTGCTTTATTCAGCCATGTTAGCAACAGCTAACCCTGAAACTTTTAAATGATGATAGAGTAGAAATAAAACAGAATTCTGGTCCCCATATAAGAAATGAGAGATTAAGAAGGGAAATATCACATTGATTTGAAAAATACCATTTTAAAAGTATTTGATGGTTTGTTTATTTCTGATTATGAAAAAAAAAGGCTTGGTTTAAGATAATGGAATATAAAGAACATTGCTGCTTTCCTCTCTCAAAAAACACCTTCAGATACCAAGAAGACACACAAAAAAATGCAAATTAATAGTTCACAAAATAAGGAAATATTTTTAACCTAAAGCTGCAACATATGATGAAGAGCTGCCAAATAACATAAGGCTTCAAGAAGTGTTGCAAAAGATGGCCAAGGAGACGTCTGCAGCTGCAGGCCTCAGGGATAACTCAGTTTTGCAATAGCTATGATTTCTTGCTTTAAGTAATAGTAAGGAGAACTGCTGTCTGATGTATGAAACTTTCTCTGTCTGGTTTGCAACCATAAAGAAGTGGTGGAAATGTGTGTTGGAAAGAGAGATAACCTAGGTGTCATGGTTAATACTGTCAATTTGATTGGATTGAAGGATGCAAAGTATTATTCCTGAGTGTATCTGTAAGGGTGTTGCCAAAGGAGATTAACATTTGAGTCAGTGCATTGGGAAAGCAGACCCACGCTCAGTCTGGGTGGGCACAATCTAATCAGCAGTCAGCATAGCCAGAATAAAATGCAGGCAGAAGAACGTGGAGCAATTAGACTGGCTAAGCCTCCCTGCCTACATCTTTCTCCCGTGCTGGAGGCTCCCTGCCCTCAAACATCAGACTCCAAGTTCTTCAGCTTTGTGAATGGACTAGCTTCCTTGATCCTCAGTTTGCAGATGGCCTATTGTAAGACCTTGTGATCATGTGAGTTAATACTCTTCAATAAATTCCTCTTTATATATACATCAATCCTATTAGTTCTGTCCTTCTAGAGAACTGTAATACGCTAGGTACACCATGTTTGTTACAAACATTCTGCCTGTGAGAAGCCGTTTATCTGCTAATCTCTGTTAGATGAGGAAGGGTGAAGAAAACAATAAATTACAGATCCCAATGGGAAATCGATAGATTTGGCTACATAAAAATTGGTATTTACGATTTTTTAAAAAAATCTCCCAAATAGTTACAAATAATACTCTAGAAAGTAATTGTAATGAATGCAAAACACATTCACACATCCTTAATATAAAAGCTGTAGAAAATATTAAATATTTTACCCTTAAATAGATGTAAGTCAAAACGTGAATATTTTGCAGAAAAATTCATCAAATTAATAACTGTCTATAATATCAACAATAAACACAAAAATGAAATTTGCCTTTTTATTAAACAATTTTAGAAACATTAATAAAGTAAACATATTATTTGCTGGTGAGTGGATCATATAATAGACACTTCTATAGCTCTCAGATATATTATTGTATATGCAATGAGAAAACATCAATATAACATTTCTGGATGAAAATGTAGCAATGCAAATAATTATCTAACGTTTAATAAATTGATATAGCATAGAGCATCATAACAGACAGTGTTTAGAAGAAAAACCATAAAATTACTAAAAGAAAATGTAAAAGCACCATCTAGCATGGTAGCTCATTCCTGTAATCCCAGTGCTTTTGGAGATGGAAGCCAGAGAATCACTTGAGGCCAGGTGTTTGAGACCAGCCTGGGCAACATAGTGAGACTTCATTTCTACACAAAATTGTAAAATTAACCAGGTGTGGTGACACACACTTGTATTCTTAGCTATTCAGGAGGCTGAGGCAGAAGGATTGCTTGAGCCTAGAAGTTCAAGGCTGCAAGGAGCTATGATTGCACCACTGCACTCCAACCCAGGTGACACAGCAAGACCTTGTCTCTAAAAATAAAAAAAAAAAATTAAAAAGTTAGAAGCAGAGCACACATTAGGCAGTCTCTGTGTTAGCTGATGACTGATGTAACATGGGACATTCCTTCGATGTATATATACTTAAGGCAAGGTATATACTGCCCTCGCCCCTCCTCTACCACTCAGAGGTGAACTCTCTCCTAAAATTCCCTCCATTCAGTATATTGGTGATCAGTCACAAAGTAAAGAAAAAGAGGGAAATTTGCATGTTTTATTATCTCTGGAGGTAGAGTTTGATGGCAAATATTGACAAATTAGGTGAGAAAGGCAAAGATCAGTAAAGAAACCAGTAAAAATTTCCAAAACTGGAATTTCCTCTTGGGTCACTAGTGTCAATCATAAAGAAAGGAAAGGACAAAATAAGTAGTTCAATAATGCACTGAGGTAGCATATTTTAAACATTTGAATCATTTTTATAAAGTAAAACATGCCATTTAACCTAACTATGACACTACTTTTACATTTTGAGGTACTTTCATAGAATGACATCTGTTGTTTCTGAACACTGGATGCACTTTATCTGAAGTAACTTAACATTAAATGCATCAGTACTGATTGATTGTTTAAATCATTGTTATTAGTAATCTAATTATTTGACCTCAATTACCTTTGTTATTTAGGCATGAGTGATATTTGATAAGGGATGCAAAAAGTTAACAGTTTTTGAACCAAAAACTATCTTTAGGAAACTTCCAGAAATGTAGACAAATATTGAGATTTAAGAAAATGCTGTTTAAATAATAATAAAAACTAAATGATCTCACCGACTTGTTAGCATGGCCATTATAAAAAAGTTAGAAAATCATAAGCATTTGTGAGGACGTAGAGAAATTAGAACCTTCTTCCACTCTTGTTGAGAATGTCAAATGATGCAGTGACTATGAAACACAATATAGAGGTTCCTCAAAACATTAAAAATAGAACTACCGTATCAGCCAGCAATCCCGCTTATGGGTATTTATCCAAAATAATTGAAATCAGAATCTCAAAGAGATATTTGCACTCACGTATTTATTGCAGCTTGATTCACAATAGCCAAAAAGTAGAAACAATCAAAGTATCTACCAACAGATGAGTGAATCAAAAATAATGTGAGATATATATATATATACACACACACAATGGTCTATTATTCACCCATGAAAACAAGAAAGTCCTATAATATGCTGCAACACGGATGAACTTTGAAAACATCACGCAATGTGAGTTAATCATTTCACATATCTGAGATGACTAAAGTAGTCAAACTCATGAAAGCAGGGGATAGAGTGGTGGTTGCCAGGGCTGGGGGAAGGGAGTAAAGGGGAGTTTCTGTTCAATTCTTATAAAGTTTGATAAAGTTACACAAGATGAAAAAATTCTAGAGATCTGCTGTACGACACTGTGCTTATAGTTAACGACACTATGCTAAAAATGTGTACATGTGTTAAGAGTGTAGAGCTCATGATTGCCTTTTGTTTTTGTTTTTGAGACAGTATCAGTCTGTCACCCAGACTAGAGTGTTGGTTTGTGATCTGGTGTGATCGTAGCTCACTGAAGCCTTGATCTCCCAGGCTAAAGTGAACCTCCCATCTCAGGCTCCCAAGTAGCTGGGACTGTAAGTGTGTGCTACCATGCCTGGTTATTTAAAAAAAAAAAATTTTTGTAGAGACACATTCTCACTATATTGTGCAGGCTGGTCTCAAACTCCTGGACTCCAGCAATCCTCTTGCCTCAGCCTCCCAAAGTGCTGAAATTACAATTGTGAGCTATTGTGTCTAGCCAAAGTTTTGCTTTTTTTTTCCCCCCAGGATAAAGAAAGGTGAATGAGAATGGGAAAATAAATTGCATTTTGTTAACAGGATGGACTATTATATAGACATAAATTCCATGTATTGGAAAAAATTTTTGTCACAGAAAAAATGACATTATAGTAAATGAAATTAATAATAAAAATCATACCTATAGTATTACAGGTTTCTTTGTTGGCTTTCTGTCTTGATGACCTGCCTAGTACTATCAGTAGAGTATTATAGTCCCCCACTCCAACTGTGTTGCTGTCTCTCATTTCTTAGGCCTGGTACTAATTGTTTTATAAATTTGGGAGCTCCAGAGCTAGGTGCATATATATTTAGGACTGTGATAATTTCCTGTTGTATTAGTCCTTTTATCATTATATAATGTCCCTCCTTGTCTTTTTTAACTGGTGTTGTTTCAAAGTTTTGTTTTGTTTTTTCTGATACTGGTGTCCATTTGCATGGAATATCTTTTACCACTCATTTACCTTAAGTTTATTTGCGTCCTTATGTGTCAGGTGAGTCTCTTGAAGACAGCAGATAGTTGGTTGGTGAATTTTTATCCATTCTGCCATTTCGTATCTTTTAAGTGGAGTATTTAGGCCATTTACAGTCAACATTAGTATGCAGATGTAAGGTACTATTCTATTCATCATGCTAGTTGTTTCCTAAATACCTTTTTTTTTCCACTGTGTTGTTATTTTATAGGTCCTGTGATATTTATGCTTTACACTTATTCTATTTTGGTGTATTTTTAGATTTGTTTCAAAATTTAGAGCTCTTTTTAGCAGTTCCTGTAGTACTGGCTAAGTGGTAAATTCTCTTAGCATTTGTTTGCTTGAAAAACACTACCTTTTCTTCATTCATGAAGCCAGTTTCCCTGTATACAAAATTCTTGGCTGATAACTGTTTTGTTTAAGGAGGCTAAGGACAGGACCCCAATTCCTTCTAGCTTCTAGCATTTCTGTTGAGAAACCTGCTGTTAATCTGATAGGTTTTCCTTTATGTTACCTGATACTTTTGCCTCACAGTGCTTAAGATTCTTTTCTTCATCTTGACTTCAGATGACCTGATGACTGTGTGCCTAGGCAATGATCTTTTGGGGATGAATTTCCCAGGTGTTCTTTGAGCTTCTTGTATTTGGATGTCTAGATCTCTAGCAAGGCTATGGATGTTTTCCTTGATTATTCTCTCAAATATGTTTTCCAAACTTTTAGATTTCTTTTCTTCCTCAAGAACACCAATTTTTATTAGTTGTGGTCATTTAACATAATTTCAAAATGTCTTAGAGGCTTTGCTCATTTTTTTAATATTCTTTTTTGTCTATTCTGGTTTGTGTTAATTTGAAAGCCTTCTTTTTGAGCTCTGGAGTTCTTACTTCTACTTGTTCTATTCTATTGCTGAGACTTTTCAGTGCATTTTGCAATTCTCTAAGTGTGTCCTTCATTTCCAGAAGTTGTGATTGTTTTTTATTTCTGCTATCTATTTCACTGAAGGTTTTTCCATTCATATACTGTGTCTTTTTTTTTTTAATTCTTTAAGTTGGTCTTCACCTTTCTCTGGTGCCTTATTGATTGGCTTAATCGCTTACCTTTCAATATTTTTTCTGGCAATTTAGATACCTTGTCTTGGTTTGGATCTATTGCTGTTGAGCTAGTGTGATCTTTGGGGGGCATTAAAGAACCTTGTTTCATCATATTACCAGAATTGATTTTCTGGTTCCTTCTCACTGGGGTAGACTATGTCAGAGGGAAAATCTGGGACTCAAGTTCTGCTGTTCAGACTCTTTTGTGCCATGGGTGCTTTCTTGATGTGATGCTTTCTCCTTTCCCCTATGGATGGGGCTTCGTGAGAGCCAAACCACAGTGATTGTTATTTCTCTTCTGGATCTAGCCGCCCTGCAGAGCTACTGGGCTCCAGGCTTGTACTAAGTGAGTGTCTGCAAAGAGTCTTGTGATGTGATATGTCTTCAGGTCTCTCAGCTATGAATACCAGCACCTGCTTTCATGGAAGTAGCAGGAGAGTGAAGCAGACCCTGTGAGGGTCCTTGGTTTTATTTTTGTTAAGTGTGCTGCTTTTGTGTTGGTTGGCCTCCAGCCAGAAGGTGGCGCTTTTGAGAGTGCATCAGCTGCTGTGGTATGAGGAGGATCACGTGGTGGATAGGGACCTAGAGCTCCCAAGAGATTATGACATTTGTCATCAGCTACCAGGGCAGATAGAGAAAAACCATCAGGTAGAGGCACGGTTAGGTGTGTCTGAAGTCAGATTTTCCTTGGGTGATGCTCACTGTGGCTGCTGTGGGGTATAGGGGTGTGGTTCCCAGGCCAATGAAGTCATATTCTCAGGAGCATTATGGCTGCCTCTGTTGCATCACACAGGACGCTAGGGAAGTGGGGAAAAGCTGACAGCCACATGTCTCACCCGGCTGCCGTGCTGCCCACAGCCAGAAAGGCTGGTCTTACTCCTATTGTGCCCCCACAACAGAACCAAGTTTATTTCCAAGCAGCTGGTAAGCAGGGCTGAGAACGTGCTCCAGGCTACAAGCCTCCCAGCTGAGAATGCAAGCCAACTCACAGTTTCTCAGGCATCCCATGGAGCCTGCAGAGGCAATCCGCATCCTTCAAAGGGTTTGTGGATTCTTTCTGCTTTCCTGGTATGTTCCTGTGTAGTTCTTGAAGTGAAAGTTCACAGTGTGGGTCTGCACACCTTACTCTGTCTGAGTGTGAGCTGCCAGTTAGTCCTGCCTCCTATCCCCCATTTTTCCTCGTCCTTTTAATTCAATACTTTTTAAATAATGTGCTTAAACTCATCTAGGTTTCTACTGGAGGGTATTCCTGAGCAATGAAAAGTAAAATGTTTTAGTGTAGATTGTGCATTTAAGATGATTTATAACTCCAGATGCAATAAAAATATTTTGCATATGAATAGTAGATTTTAGAAATAAGGTTGTCTTTAAGATACACTTCAGTTGTTGGCTTTTTTCATTAACAGTATTTAAGCCAGCAATAAATACATTCCTTAAGTCATTAATGCCCTGGAGTTTGACAAAGAAATAACCTAAATTTGGGAGAGTATGACATCTTATTGAGATTGATAAATGTTAACCAACAATGTGCTTCCTTTTGACAGCTGTGACCTTCTTTTTCGCCGACTTCGAATCATAACTAATGGGAAGGCCTTAGTAAGCTGAAATAATGAAAGCTGATTTATTTGGCCTTGGTCTAGGTTAGATACTAAATATCCAGGCAAGAGATCCCAGGGGCAAGGCATAAACTAAAAATTAAAATGTGAAATCAAATGGCAGAAAAGAATCCAGACAGTGTTCATAAAGAGACTGTTTTTATATAATCATAGGACTAGAAAAATGTAATTTGGAATATTAGTTTTATGCTTATATTTTCTCAATCATGTAATTTTTTTATTGCTCTTAGTTTTCTGTAAAGTCTGTTTGCATCAATATAATTCAATTATTTAAAACATTTAATGCATAATTATTATTATAAAAATAATTTAAAGATAGAGGTAAATGGAAAACCGAGGAATGTGTGTGGCAACTACCTTTAGAATGTAAGTATACAACCTTCAGGGGGAGCTAAACCACCAATGAAACAAAATTCTGCCTGATCATATATCACAGACATAAAAAAGATACATCATAAAAATCCATGTGCCAATAATGGCTTTGTATTACCATTTAAACCTTATAATTACCTAAATGGAAACATGTTTTATTTCTGAAGCTGAAAAGACAATTTTCCATTTAATAACCATTTATTCTCAGTCCATGGTACACAATAATGCTTGCATGATTTGGAAACCGAATTAATCAGTTTTTCAGTTCCAGTATAATTAAAGGTGTTCATATCTGCTTTCAGTACACAAAGGGTCATTAAACTAGAGAAAAAGGGATAAATATTAACCTCACAGATTACTTTTATAGGTTCGGTGCCACTGTGAACCACCTCTATATTATAAGTGTTCATTATACCATTTCTTTTCAATGAATCCATTCAATACATTAAGATGTAAATAATGAACTGATACCTAAATTAACAACAAAACATTAACTCCCATTTTCCTCACTCTCGCCTTGCATTAGTCCCTCAGCTGCTGATGGATCTATGGATAGTCTCAGACACACATCTGCTTCTCTGACACAAAGGATTATGATGAGGAAATAAAAACACCTTAATATAGCCAAAATCATACAATAATATTATTAAGAAATAAAATTAAACCAAATTTAATAAACCAATAAACTTCAAAATAAAACCTCATTGACCCTTAAGTATTAAAAGGTGATTTATTCAATTACCCATAGTATGTTATTAACATAGCTATGACTTCTTTGTATTTGTTAGAAATTTTATATTAAGAAATATATACAGTAGTTCCCAGTAGAAATTTATATAAAATACTCTATTTTACATATGTAATGAAATCTAAGATTTAAAAGAGATTCTTTACTCTGGGGAAAATAATGGTGGATTAATTAATTTGGTACTCTTTTAGGGCCTTTCTAAATTAAAACTCCACATTACAATTTCCAATGCAGCCCACAAACTTAAATTTATGAAGAAATTTAACAAATCTACTAAGAAATAAATTCAAAATCTGTAAAATATGCAATTTTAATGTTATTTAAAACTTTTATTGCAAATATTCCTGTTATTAGCAAAGTAGAATCAATGTAATTCAGCCTATTAAGAGAGTAAATTAAAAATCCACTTCATACCCATTAGGATGGCTATCATATATTTAAAAAACAAAACAAACGGGTATTTGTGAAGAGAGAGAAACTAGAACTTTCTGCCTTACTGGTGGGAAAGTAAAATAGTGCTGCTGTGGAAAATAGTATAACAATTTAAAACTAAACATAAAATTACCCTATGACTCTGCAATTCTACATTTGAGTACATACACAAAATAATTGAAACAGCAATTCAGACAGCTTATTTTGCATCCATGTTTATAGAATCCAAATGTCCTTTGATGAATGAATGGATAAACAAAATTTGGCATTTATACACAATGCAATGTTACTCAGCTTTAAAAAGAAATGAAATTCAAACACATGCTATAACATAATGAACCTTGAATATATCATGCTAAGTAAAAAATAATAATAACCAGACACGACAGGACAAATATTGTATGATTCCACTTAATGAGGTGCCTGCAGTAGTCAAATTCATAAAGATGAAAAGTAGAACAGTGGTTACCAGGGCCTGGGAGAATCAATAATGGGGAGTTATTGATTAGGGGATACAGTTTCAGTTGAGGAAAAAGTTCTGAAGATTTATAAGGGTGGTTGAACAACAATGTGAATACGTTTAATGGCACTGACTTGTACATTTAAAAATAGTTACAAGGATAAATTTTATGTTTTCAAAATTTAAAAAAAAGATCTTAATTGATGCAGAAAAATTATCTGGCAAATCCAATATCTATTTCTCAAGTGTAATTGTATGCCTTTCAAAAATAATTCTGTGACTTTGTTGAAGGCTACGAGCCTACTGTGTGTGCCTAATTTACTTTTCATCTACTTGGGAATACCACTTAACTTCAAGTTTCACCTTGGCTGGGCGCGGTGGCTCATGCCTGTAATCCCAGCACTTTGGGAGGCTGAGGCGGGTAGATCACGAGGTCAGGAGGTCGAGACCATCCTGGCCAACATGGTGAAACTCTGTCTCTACTAAAATACAAAAAATTAGCCGGGCATGGTGGTGCGCGCCTCTAGTCCCAGCTACTCGGGAGACTGAGGCAGGGGAATCTCTTGAACCCAGGAGGCAGAGATTGCAGTGAGCCGAGATTGCGCCACTGTACTCCAGCCTCGCGACAGAGCAAGACTGTTGGGTCACGCCTGTAATCCCAGCACTTTGGGAGGCCGAGGTGGGTGGATCACCTGAGGTCAGGAGTTCGAGACCAGCCTCAACATGGAGAAACTCCGTCTCTACTAAAAATACAAAAAAATTAGCCGGGCATGGTAGTGCATGCCTGTAATCCCAGATACTTGGGAGGCTGAGGCAGGAGAATTGCTTCAACCTGGGAGGCGGAAGTTGCGTTGAGCTGAGATCGTGCCATTGCACTCCAGCCTCCAGCCTGGGCAACAAGAGCGAAACTCCGTCTCAAAAAAAAAAAAAAAAAAGATTCACCTCAATTACAATTACCTTCTGGACCCTTCTCCCTTAACCTTTTTCTGTGACAAGATGAAGATTCAATTGCTTTACTTTTATTGTTGATTTACTGACTGCTTTATCAAAAATTTATCAAGAATATTGTATTTGATCAAACGCTTTCTGCATGTGTTATTTTTAAACGTGCTAATAAATTGAACTACCTCGATCAATTTATATACCTCATTATATTTTCTTGATTATGTTTAGTAGTTTTATTATTATTATTATTATTATTGTACTTTAAATTCTGGGATATATGTGCTGAGCGTGCAGGTTTGTTACATAGTTATACATATGCCCGGGTGGATTGCTGCAACTATCAACCAGGTTTGCAATTAGGTTTTAATCCCCGCATGCATTAGGTATTTGTCCTAATGCTCTCCATCCCTTTTCCCCCACACCCTGCAACAGGCCTCAGTGTGTGATGTTCCCCTCCCTATGTCTATGTGTTCTCATTGTTCAACTCCCACTTATGAGTGAGAACATGCGGTATTTGGTTTTCTGATCCTGTGTTAGTTTGCTGAGAATGATGGTTTCCAGCTTCATCCATGTCCCTGCAAAGGACATGAACTCATTCTTTTTTATGGCTGCATAGTATTCCATGGTGTATATATGCCACATTTTCTTTATCCATTCTATTATTGCTGGGCATTTGGGTTGGTTCCAAGTCTTTGCTGTTGTAAATATTGCTGCAATAAACATACATGTGCATGTGTCTTTATAGTAGAATGATTTACAATCCTTTGGGTATATACCCAGTAATGGGATTGCTGGGTCAAATGGTATCTCTGGTTCTAGATCCTTGAGGAATCACCACACTGTCTTCCACAATGGTTGAACTAATTTACACTCCCACCAACAGTGTAAAAGAGTTCCTATTTCTCCACATCCTCACGGGCATCTGTTGTTTCCTGCTTTTTTAATGATCGCCATTCTAATTGGTGTGAGGCAGTATCTCATTGTGGTTTTGATTTGGATTTCTCTAATGACCAGTGAAGATGAGCTATTTTTCATATGTTTATTGGCCGCATAAATGTCTTCTTTAGAGAAGTGTCTGTTCATAACCTTCACCCACTTTTTGATAGGGTTGTTTTTACACTTTTTCTTGTAAATTTGTCTAAGTTCCTCGTTAGTCTTGTGGATGCTTATTAATTTTATAGATCTTTTCAAAGAAAGATTTTAGTTTCATTAGTTCTTTCAATTGTTTTATTTTATTTTTTTCAATTTTAACCCTCTCTACCCTGAGTTTCATCATCTTCTTATGTCTGTTTACTTGGATTTTCTCTACTTTTCTATTTCTACTTTCTAAGGTGGCAACAGAGGTCACTGAGATGAGGCTTTTATTTTTGAATATGGATATTTTGTATTATAGCATTCTTGTAATTTCAGGATTAATCCATTTTACAAATTTTGATGTTTTACTTTTATTATAAATCAAACTTTTTTATTTTGTTTTTTAATTTTTTTATTTGGCACTTCTAAATGTTGGTGAATTTTCTGGATATCTTTGTGTCATAGATTTATAATTAATTTCATAAGAGACAGTCTTTTTTATGACTTGAATTTTAGCACAGAATAGAGTCTTATGTTTGTAAATGTTCCATGTATGCTTAAAAAAAGTGTACTTTGCTGGTTTTTGGAGTGTTTATAAATGTCAATTAGGTCAAGTTTGTTGGTACTCTAATTCAGGCTTATGCATTTTCTATATGTTCTGTTAATTACTGAGAGAAAATTCTTGAAGTCTTGATGATGTAAATTTCACTATTCCTTCTTGCAATTTTATCATTTTTTAATTCCTGTACTTTGAAGCTCTGGTAATATTTCAATATTTGAATATTGAACATCTTTTTCAGAATATAATGTCTCCCCCTAGCCCTAGTGATATTCTTTGTTCTGAAATTGATTTTGTATGGTAGTACCATAGGTACTCTAATTTAATTTTTGTTAGTATTGCCATGGTATATGTGCTTCACTAACATTTTACTTATAAAAAATTTGTTTCTTTATATTGAAAATGGGATTCTTGCAGTTAGCAAACAGTTTAATCTGGGTGTTTATTCGAAAATGACAATCTGGTTTGTATTGGAATGTGTCCACTCCATATATTTCATGTGATTGTTGATATGCTTTTGTTTAACTGACCATTTGATATATTTTCCATTTGAACCATCTATTATTTGTTCCTCTCTCCCTTTTTTCACCTCGTTTTGCATCGAGTAATTAGCTGATACCTTTTTATCTCTTCTGTTCCCTTATTAGCTGTAAATGTGGTACATTGACTGATTTAGGGCTTATACTACACATCTTGAAGTTGTCACACTTTCTTCATGTGGCATTAGGAAGTCTCATGGTCTGTAATGAGGCTTTGTTTTTCAAGTACTATGAGGTCTCAGGAAATTTTGCTCTGCTCTTCTGGCTTTGTAACCCATTGTCTTATACCACCTCATAAGCCTTTAATTGAGGGCTCTAGTTCACTGCAAGTGCCTTGCATGAGAGGAAAACTTCTGCTGGTCTCTGTTTCCTCACAGTTTTCTACTGTTTAGGAAGATCCCTAATCCTTAGGACGTGTCTATATTTAGTAAAATCCTCCAGGGGTTGGGGGAATCGTCAGGGATTATCAGTTTATCAAGGAAGAACCTTTCTTCTCTATAATTTTAGTTTATGCAGTCCCTGCTTCTTCTTCAGGTGTTCAATACCATATAAAACACAATGATTGCAATTTATTTGGGATTTTTTATTGTTGGAATGGAACTATTGGCCTACCATGATATAGCTATCTTACCTAATAAAGATTAATTTTAAAACAAATGAATAGGAATTGTTATTTTCAAAATAATATTGGGTTAATATTTTAAAATAAAATCACACTGGCTGGGCGTGGTGGCTCACACCCACAATCCCAGGAATTGGGAGGCCACGGCAGGTGTATCACCTGAGGTCAGGAGTTCCAGACCATCCTGGCCAACATGGTGAAACCCCATCTCTGCTAAAAATATAAAAATTTGCGAAGCATAGTGACACGTGCCTGTAGTCCTAGCTACTGGGTAGGTTGAGGCAGGAGAAGCTCTTGAACCGAGGAGGCAGAGGTTGCAGTGAGCTGAGATTGTGCCATTGCACTCCAGCCTGTGAGACAAGAGCAAAACTCTGTCTCAAAAATAAAAAAAAAAAAAAATAAATAAATGAAATCTCTCAAAGTCTTTTAATAAAAACTGATGAATTCAGTTAATTAACATAACTTTTGAATATTATTAATACATTTGAATGCCTATCAATATCTTTTATTAAATGTGATTTGCTTTCCTGATTTTCATCTTGTCTTTTCTTTCTGATTGATTCTTTTATATTTTATTTTTGACTCAACAGTTTCAGTATATGAAATCTCCTTGTATTTTTGTACTTAAAATATTATTTTATCTAAATATTTTATTAATATTTTAAAATTTAAACTATATTTATCTGCCTTCTTGAACAATACAGATATTTCAGAACACTTTAACTCTGATTGTTTCTCTATAACTTATATGTTACTATATTAATCTGTTCTCACACTGCTAATAAAGACATACCCAAGACTGGATAATTTATAAAAGAAAGAGGTTTAATTGGCTAACAGTTCCACATGGCTGGGTAGGCCTCACAATCATGGCTGAAAGCAAATGAGGAGCAAAGTCACATCTTACATGGCAGCAGGCAAAGAGAGCGTGCACAGGAGAATTCACCTTTATAAAACCATCAGATGTCATGAGACTTATTCACCATCACAAGAACAGCACGGGAAAGACCCACCCCCATGATTTAATTACCTCGCACCAGGTTCCTCCCATGACACATGGTAATTATGGGAACTACAATTCAAGATGAGACTTGGGTAGGGACACAGCCAGACCATATCATTCCACCTGTGGTCCCCCCCAAATCTCATGTCCTCACATTTCAAAACCAATCATACCTTCCCAACACTTCCCTAAAGTTTTAACTCACTTCAGCATTAAGTCAAAAGTCCGTAGTCCATCTAAGTTACTTTCCTCCAGTATTATGGTTTTGTCGTTTTTCAACTTCTTGAATTATTAGTATTTGTGCACATATATATATATATATATATATAGACAGAGAGAGAGAGAAAATATATATATACAGATATATATATATATATATACAGATATATATATACAGATATATATATATATATATAGAGAGAGCACACTCTGTATTTACCATTAATTTTCTCACTCTTCTTGCATTTCAGATAGATTCTGGAATTTTTTTCTTCTTTTTGTATTATATTCTATTAATAAAGGCATTTGTATATAAGCTATGTGTTTTTTACTAAAAATATTTTATTTAACATTTATTATACTTTATTGAAGCAAAATTCTAGATTGACACTTTATTTTATTTCAATATTTTGAAGATATTATCCCATCATCTTCAGGCATTCATTGTTGTTGAGAAATATACTGACACTATATTTCTACAGAAGGTTTTGGCCTTCGTTGATAATATGCAAATCTATATCTGATGTAAAATTGTTTCGGTCTTAGTCATTTGGGGCAGGTTTAACAAATTACCATAAACTAGGTGTCTTATAAACTGCAGAAACTCATTTCTCACAGTTCTGTGAGGGCTGGAAGTTTTAGATCAGGGTCCAGCACAATTGGGTTCTGCTGAGGGCTCTTTTTTAGACTGCAGAGAGCTGAAGTCTTTTTGTACCTTCACATGGCAGATAAGAGCCACCTAGCTCTCTACACTCTTCTCATAAAGGCATCAATGCCATTTATGATGTCTCTATCCTCATGACCTCATTACATTTTAAAGGCTTCACCTCCAAATATCATCACATTGGGATTAAGGTTCAATGTATGAATTTGGGGTAAGCAAATTCAGTGCATTGCACTTTTTCTCTTTGAAAGTGTTCTGACATTTCACTACCTAGAGTGAAGATGTTTTTTATACCTCTTCTCTAGAAAAATAATTCCGATTCATTAATGTTGTAATCATTTTTGTGAATATTGTCATTATCTCCTTTCATAAATTTCCTTTTTCTTGTGACTTTAACTAATATCATGGTAGAGCTTCATATTTGATTTATTTCTCAAAACTATCTTCAGTAGTTTTCACTTACTTGCCTCTTTCTTCTTCATTCTGTTTAAATCTTACAGACAAATCTACTTCCTTGACTTTATCTTCAACTATGATTTATCTTCTCTACAATCTATCCATTGAAAGTTTCGTTTCAACAGCTTTATTCAGTCTATTCTTTCACAAATTTATTCAGCCATTCTTACTCCTTTCTAATCTTTTCTGAATCTTACTATGATGGTTAATTTTATGTGTCAACCTGGCTGAGCCACAAGACGCCCAGATATCTGCTTAAACATTATTTTTGGGTTTACCTATGAAGGTGTTTCTGGAAGAGATTAGCATTTGAATTGCTGGATTGAGTAAAGCATATTGCCCTCCTTGATGTGGAAGGGGGTGTCATTATCCAATTAATCAAAGGCCTGAATAGAACAAATGGTGGAAGAAGGTTGGATTCTCTTTCTGCCTTACTACTTAATCTGGCGGAAATTATTCTGCCCTTGGTGCTCCTGGTTCTAAGGCCCTCAGATTTGAACTGGAATCTACACCACTGCCTCTCTGGCCCTCAGTCCTTTGTACCACAGTAGGAGTCTTCATGGGTTTCCAGTTTATAGACATTGCATTATGGAACTTTCCGCTTTCATAATTATGTGAGTCAATAATCTTGTAATACCTCTCCTCTATAAGTATAAAATATGCTATGGGCTCTATTAGGAGAAGTCTAATATAGATTTTGGTGCCAAAAGTGGGGTGTTGCTGTAACAAATACCTAAAAATGTGGAAGCAGCTTTGGAACCAGGTAATGAAAAGATGCTGAAAGAGTTTTGAAGTGCATGCTAGAAGAGGCTGAGATTGTCATAAAAGGATTTTTAAGGTTATTTTGGTAAAGGCTCAGAAAAAAAGGAGGAAGGTGGGAAAGAAAGTCTCCATATTCTTGGCAAAGACAAAAGTAATATAAACAGAATTTTGATAGAAATATGGATGGTAAAGCCCATTCTGATGAGGACTCAGATGGAAATCAAAAACATGTTACTGGATAATAGAGAAAAGGTCATCCTTGTTATAAAGTGACATTGTTCTTATTTTAGTGTTTTAGGAATGGTAGAACTTGTAACATGTAATTGGATACTTAGCTGAAGAGATTTCTAATCAAAGTGCTAAAGTAGTAGACTTGGTTCCTCCTAACTTCTTATAGAAAAACACAAGAAGAGAAAATAACTTGAAGACAGATTAATCAAAAGGAACTAGAGATTAAAGACATGGCAAATTCTTATTCTATGAATATTGCAATAAATAAGAAAGCATGTTTGGGAAAGAACACTGAGGGTGAGTTCAATTTACCCTTTGATAAAGAGATAAATACATGTGCAAACCATGGACTTAATCAGCTACCGTAGCAGGAAAATTGCCAATTCCAACTGAAGGGGAAAGAGAAAGGAATGAAGAAAGGTCAGACTTCTTAGGTTTCATAGGCTGGGACCATAGAGCTCTTTGGCTGTCAACACTGCTATACTCTTCAAGACAAGGGAAGGATGACCCAGAAAATATTTGGAGATCATAAGGCTGTCTCCTTAGGTTCAAAATTAGGCTCAAAATAGTGGGGAAGATTACCTCAGGAAACTTACAATCATGGTGGAAGGTGAAGGGGAAGCAAGCCCATCTTAATGGTGGAAACAGGAGAAAGAGAAAGGGGAAGTGCTACACACTTTTAAACAACCAGATCTCATGAGAACTCTATCATAAGACAATACTTGAGGGATGGGGCTTAACCATTAGGAACCACCCTCATAATCCAATCACCTCCCACTAGACCCCACCTCTAACGCTGGGAATTACAACTCAACATGAGATTTGGGTGGGGACATAGAGCCAAACCCTATCATCTCTCTTACTGGATCCCAATGTTTACTGGTGGACACTAATAAATTATTTACTGCAAAGCTCAGTTTGGTAAAGGGGGTTGGTGTTTGTAATTAACTCACATGGACTACAAAAAACTGTGGAACATAAAAGCTTAATCTTTGAATAAGACTGCAAGTCATAGTATTTCACTCTTATTTCAGGTGTCAATTGTTTTAGAATAAATTGCACGAAAATGTAGCGACATAACAATCATTTTACCATATCTCACAATTTTGTGAGTCCAGTAGTAACAATTAACCTCTGCTCTACACAATGTCATTTGGACTACAACATTCAAGATGACTTCTTTTCTCATATGTCTAGTATCTTAGAGTAGCTGAAATGCCTGGGGGATAAATGGATGGAATGATTCAATTTGGCCCATAGGTCTAGGACCTCATTTCTCACTCTCTGCTTGTTTCTTCCCCAGTTGGTCTCTCAGGTGGCTTTTTAAGCATTTTGCAGCAGGCCGGCTGGGTTCCACAAGATAAAAAGTGGAGCTTGCTACACTGTTACAATGTCTGAGCTCAGATATCCCAAGTCATGATTTCTGATACAACTATTGGTCAAAACCACTCTCAAGGATGGTATATGTTGAACAGGAGGAAAAAATAAGCTCTATCTCTTGACATGAATTAAGTGTGCACTCAGGAAGAAGATATACTATTGAGAAAATTCTTTTTTTAAGTTTTATTTTAAGTTCCTGAGTACAAGTGCAGGTTTGTCACATACATAAACTTCTTTCATGGGTATTTGTTATACAGATTATTTCATCACCCGGGTGTTAAGCCTAGTACCCATTAATTTGGGTTTAACTGGAAAAATCTCAAACAAATTTTCTAACTTGTTTCCAAATTTCTTTTTACTTGTTTTGATTACTTGAAAATCGGAAAGTTATTTGGCTTAATGTCATTAAAAAATATTTCCCTGTGCTTAACTGTGTTGCATACCTATCTCATCTTTTGAGAATTTGGCATAGAAGCCAAACATTTTTAAATTAAAAACTAAAATCTAAAAGATATGTATGTGTGTGTGTGTGTGTGTGTGTGTGTGTGTGTGTGTGTATAATTATAGCTGTTCCTATTTCGTTTGGATTTAAAAAAATACAATAATAAAATTTGACTGTTATTAACATTTTAATAATTTAAAATCTAGAAAATTGAAAGCAAGCTTTTGAAAAGTTAAAAACATTTCAGTTGTTTCAGTAAAGAGAAATTACATTTTCCTTTACATGTTTACTCAATATGTATTTTTCCTTCTATTACATTTTTATAATGCTCTTTTAAAATATTGCTTTTAATGTTCTTATAATCATACAAAGATACATTTACACAGATATCTTTTGCCCTTCAAGCATTTTCTTTCAAGATAAAGTCATTTTAGTAAGCTTAGCTAAATTAATGAGCCAGAAGCATTAGGGCAACTGACCAACTCAAGTATTCTTATTGCTTTATTCAGTAGAAGTAGTTCCTATGATTTTGTGCTTAATTCACTCCATTTCACTGGTTCCCAAACCATGAAAACATTAATTTTATTCAATACTTTTCTTGGCATACTGACTGAATAACTTTCCAAGGAATGAGACATATGGCTGACTTATATCTGATCTAAGAAGATTCTGTCTTACTGGAACATAATTTTATAAAATTACCAATAAGTTTGTATGTCTAGAAAAAATACAAAGATATGCCTATTATGTACAACATCAAGGCCGTTAAATCTTTATATCTCTTAAACTCAATGACAAAGAGAATATTAACAACATTCTTTTGTCTTTTGCAAGTAAAGCAATTTTAGGTAAGTTTTTAAAATAATGGCTTAGAGAAGACTTAATTATTGTAAGTAAAATTATTCTTGTTACTCATGAAATTTAACAAATATGAAATCTCATTTAATGCCCTTTGGAAAAGTTCGGTCCTCCACCATGTTTTGTGACGTCTATCTTACTTTATGTTGAAAGTTTTTAGGTTGTTGGTTTGTGGATTCCTTATTACAATCTTTAATATTAAAATATTTTGAAATATGATAGAGTGAGAAAGAGAAGCCAGATAGTATCAAGGTGTCCAGCAGAGCAAGCACTAGAGTTGACCATCAGTGGAATCCAGAGACAGCGTAAACTTGGCAGATGGAAAAAATTATTTCTGTTCACTAATTTCTAATTGAAATTACCATTTCTACATGAAGATATGCAGCAGATTATAAAACTATGAGGATTAACTTCAGGTTGAATATTCCTCATTTGAAATGCTTGGTATCACAGATATTTCAAATTTTAAAAATTTTAAACGATTTTGGAATAATACACAAAATGAGATATCTTAATGATGGGAATCAAATCTAAATACAAAATTCATTTATGTTTCATATTCACCTTATTTATATACATGGC
The DNA here is from genome assembly GCF_000001405.40 of Homo sapiens. Lineage (NCBI taxonomy): Eukaryota > Metazoa > Chordata > Mammalia > Primates > Hominidae > Homo > Homo sapiens. The sequence continues at coordinate 24,388,818 of NC_000021.9, forward strand.
CTGAAGGTAATTTTATACAATCTTTTAAATGATTTTGAATATGAAACAAAGCTGTGACTGTGTTTTGACTGTGACTTGTCACATGAGGTCAGGTGTGAAATATTCTACTTTTGGTGTCATGTTGGTGCTCAATAAATTTTAAATTTTGATGCATTTTGTATGTCATATTTTTGGATGAGGCATAATCAACTTGTATTACTTGTCACCAATATAAATCACATATTTTTCATATAAGCCAACAGTTGTTCCAGATATCTCAAATAATATACTGGCTACCACTTTGAAGTTATAAAGGTTTTAGAATTGCTGCCATTATTTCTTATTAATGTATTAATGAATAAATACATGTATTAATATATTATCAATTGAATGTGTAAGTATAGATTTCTTATAAAATGCATTTAATTTCATGAATTCGCAAATCTGCTCTAAGAAACAGGTACATGAATAAACAATGATTAAGAATTCCTCTGATTCTCTCAGGATAGTGTGGTTGTTATCTGATGTTTATGAATCCTTTCTCCATCTTCCATTTCAGATTTCTCACTGTAGCTGGTACAAATACCTTTCCTAGTGAAATTACTCAGATTTTAACTTTTGAATTGCCTTGCCCTTGACAAACCATATTTGCTAAAATTGTTCTTTAATATGATCTGGCATAACAACACACCTTCTGTCAAATGTATAAGCAAAATGTATGATGTGCATTTTCAAAATATATCCTGACAATAAGTCTATTCATTCTGTATTTTCCAGCATGGTGTACAGCCTATCAACTCTAATGATTACGGTATCTACTATAAATTGTCATTATCCATGACTCACTAGGCATTAAGGTTTTTCATATCATCCCTGCTTCTCACCACCTTTAAGTGATATTTCTTTGGACCAAGACATTATCTTCTTTTCCCTCATTATTGCAATGGAAGTCAAGCTGTTCTTACTACTTCTAGCACTGTCTCTCCTCCAGGTACTTCATCACACTCAGAGATTTGCTTCTTCTGCATGAATTAAATTATGCCAGTACTTTGCTGAGAATACTTCAATATATACCCAAACCGTTCACAATGAATAGTCAGTATGCCAACAATCTTTACTTATGACCTTACACAATCTTATTTTATGACTTCTTTTTGGGCAGTCTTAATTGGGTTTTCTGCCTATGGTCTCACAAAGGTAAAATCAAGGTGTTGGTCAGGCTGGGCTTTTGGCCAGAGGCCCTGGGAGGAATTTGTTTTAAGCTTATTCAGGTAGTTGGCAGAATTTGGTTTCTTGTGGATGTAGGAAGGAAGACTTCATTTCCTTGTTCACTGTCAGAGAGGACTCACCGTATCTTCTAGAGAACTCCTTCCTCTTTAAATGAGCACTGCAACATTAAATTCTCCTCATGCTTGGATGGCTTTGACTTCCTTATCTTCTACCAGCTAAGGAAAAAACAAACCAAACAAACAGGAAAAAAACCCTCTTTTGAAAGACCAGAGATTAATTATGCTTATTAAATTCATTTCTATTCTGAAAGTTTATCAAGCAAAGTCAACTGATTAGTAAACTTGATTACATCATCAAAATACCTCTTGCATTTAAATTAATATAGTCATGGACTAGATAGCTCATCATAATCACAGTCCTAGCTAGGAATTAGTCATGGAAACATTAAGTTGGCCATTTTAGAATTTTCCTTATGACAAGTGTAGAATACTTGGGAATGAGGATGTATTCATTTTCTACTGCTATATCAAAATATTACCATAAATTCAACAGCTTAAAACAATGCACATTTATTATCCTGCCATTTCCAAGGACTCCAGCAGCCTTGTCTGGATTATTTGTAAGGCTTCCATCAATATGTCCACCTGGGTTGGATTCTACTCTTGAAATTTGACTAAAGAAGGCTATGTTTCATGTTTATGTTATTGATTGTAGAATTGAACTCCTTAGGGTTAGCAGTAGCCTCTTATTTTCTTGCCGGCTATTGACAGGAGGCCACCCTCAACTTGTAGAGGCCAGTCTCAGTTTCTTGCCTCTTGTTCCCCCAAACATAGCTGTTTGATTCATCAAGCCAACAGGGAAGGGTCTCCTTACATAATGGGCATTATAATATTATATAATGTAATCATGTACATATAATCTCCACATCTCATTATTTTTGCCTTATTGTATTAGTTAGAAGTAAGTCATGGGTTCTGCCATGAAAGAAGAGGATATTATGCAAAGGAGTAAATACTAGGAGAGACCATGAAGGGGACAACTTAAGAGTGTTTTCATGGCAGAGAAATTTTGGAAAGCAAGAGTAGGAGTGGAGAGAAACATGTGTTTGGAGGGGGAGAGAGAAGGAGAGGTGAGAGAGAGGTCCATGTTGTTGTGGGTGGGTGAAGAACTAATGGCATTTAAGTTGAATTCAAGTATGTGTAAACTGATAGTACTTCTTTATTTTATGGTAAAATGCTTGGTCTTTTATTCTGTATTTTTTCAAGTAATTATTGGTTTCTCTTGCTAGCACTTCCACTGATTAGGAATCATAGTTTCATATCAATAAAATATTTTTTAAAAGTGACTGAACATTGATAGCAATATATTATTATTCTTAGATAGAAATAGAAAATGAATCAAAAAGTACTGGATTAAATTGCCATAAAAGGTTAAGAATAGAGGTCATTTTCTTATCAAATTAAGTGTTTCCATATTCCTTTATTCAAGAAATCATTTTAAAAATGTAATGTATGGAAATGTAAACCTTTCCATAAGTAAAAAAGAATATATATAGTTATTTATAACATATAATATATATTTATAATATATATTATATGTTATTTATTTTCTTCCTTCTGCCATAATATATATTATTATGAATATAATATATATGGCAGAAGGAAGAAAATATGTTCATAATATATTATGAATATATGTTTTATATATTATATCTTTTATATATTATATTTATAATATATTGTATATTTTATATAAAATATATATTGTATATTTTATATAAAATATATATTGTATATTTTATATAAAATATATATTGTATATTTTATATAAAATATATATTGTATATTTTATATAAAATATACTATATATATATTTTTTTTTTTTTTTTTTTTTTTTTTTTTGAGACGGAGTCTCGCTCTGTCGCCCAGGCCGGACTGCGGACTGCAGTGGCGCAATCTCGGCTCACTGCAAGCTCCGCCTCCCGGGTTCACGCCATTCTCCTGCCTCAGCCTCCCGAGTAGCTGGGACTACAGGCGCCCGCCACCGCGCCCGGCTAATTTTTTGTATTTTTAGTAGAGACGGGGTTTCACCTTGTTAGCCAGGATGGTCTCGATCTCCTGACCTCATGATCCACCCGCCTCGGCCTCCCAAAGTGCTGGGATTACAGGCGTGAGCCACCGCGCCCGGCCTATATATATTTTATATAAAATATACTATATATATTTTATATAAAATATACTATATATTTTATAATATATAATAATATATGTAATATATAAATAATATAATATATGTTATATATATTATATATAATATATATAAAATATATACTCATAATATATTATGAACATATTTTCTTCCTTCTGCCATATATATTATATTCATAATAATATATATTATGGAAGAAGGAAGAAAGAAAATATAAAAGTATGTTCAATCAAAGCATGCAATACTTTGGTTGAATGTGAAAAAAACAGTAAAATCAAAAGAAAGAGATTTTGAGTGGGAATTTTTTAAATTATATAGGTTTTTACATGTTACATTAAGGATATTATATCCTGAATTAGTTGGGAGGTTACTTTCTAAAAGGTATCTAAAATTATTTTTAATTAAAAACTCATAGTGTTGATAATATAAAATAATTAGCTTTGGATGATAGAACATAGGAAAATCAGGAGTTTACTAAAATAGATCAAACTATATAATGAACATATATATCAGTTCAAAATATCAGTAATGATAAGGTAGGGGAAATGCCTTCTGGGATTTTTAGGAGGTGTTGATAGAATGTGTCATACAATTTAAAAAGAAGATGAGTCATTGATTTGGAACTACATGAATTAAGCAAATTGTGCTGAAAATACATTAAAAGGGAATTTAGGAGAATTCATTTGTTAAAGATTGAGGAGCCAGGCAAAATATTTAGGTTTGGATATTTTGTGTTTGATATTTGAAAAGCATCAGCATGCAGAAGACCTGCAAAGCCATATGAATGAGTATCATATTCTATGGAAGAATTTATATGCAATGACAACTTTTAGAATTCCACTGAAAGCTACTGAGAAGTAAATATCAAAAATGAGGAGAAGAAGGAGATAATGGAGTATAAGAGACCAAGGCAGAGAACAAGGAGATAGTGGAGTATAAAAGACCAAGGCAGTTTCAGGAAGGAAGCTGTCAATATGTCATATATGGATGTCAGAAGAAAAAAAAATCAAGCACTGTAAGTATAAAAATATTTATTGAATTTTACACTTGGGAATAAATATTTTTAAAATGAGTTTTGGAAAATTTTTGAAGCTAGAATTCATTTTCTTGTAGTTTAACAGTATTGTGAGTGGTCTACCTTTAGTTTAAGATTAGGTGAGTAGGGCCATATAATTAAACAATTAAATATTGAGAAGTGATTAGGTAGAAAGAGAAGAAAATACAATATATTTCGGGGGTGTTCAATGGGGTATATAAGCCTAAGAAATTAACAACAGGTGTCTTAGTCCCAGTGTCTTAGACCATTTGTGCTGCTATAATAGAATGTAACAAACTGGATCATTTATAATGAAGACAAATATATTGGCTCATGATTCTGGAAGCTGAGAAGTCCAATATCAAGGCACGTGAAATTTTGGTGTGGGGGAAGGGACCAGTCTGTATTCTCAAGTTGGTGCCTTGTGTGCTGCATCCTCAGGAAGGAGAGACCATTGTTTCTCACGTGGCAGAAGAGTCAAGAGAGGGAGCCTGCTCATAAAAGCCCTTTGATTAGGGCATTAACTCCACCCATGAGGGTGGAGCCATCATGGCCTAATCAGTTTTTAAAAAAACTCAGCTCCCAATATCTATACATTGGCAATTAAATTTCAACATGTGTTTCAGTGAGGACAGACATTCAAATCATAGGAACAGATGAAGGCAAAAAAGACCAAGGAACAGATTTTATTTCAATATTTTGCTTAAATCTGCCCTAAAGCCTTGCTATTCAAAATGTGGACTGCAGAATAGCAGCATCAGCATCTCCTCAGAATCCCAGGACTTATCACATACGTTCTGAATAGGAATCAACAGGTTAACAGTATGTCCAGGTGAAATTTGCATTACTCTTAACTATCCGGATGTACGCAGGTCTGAACACTTTAAAGAAAAAGCATGTTCTGTCAACAGCTTATGACAACTTATATTGCTGCTCACTTAGTCAATTTCATAATCCAAGCTAATTCAATGTCAAACAACTTGTACAGTAAGGTAACTAGTTTAAAAAATATATTTGTAAAGAGTACCTACTGGATTTAACTGATGTGAAATAAACTTGATTGTCGTTGTTGAGTAAACAGTCTTTAGTTATCTTATTATTTACATCTTAAAACTCCAGTTGTTCTCAATAGAGGAAACTAAAGACCCAGAAAGAGATATATAATTAAAAGCTGTCACCAAAGTGTGCATTTAGCATACCGTAAAGCAAAATTCTTCTTTAACTAATGGGAGGTTGAATAAGAGGTTCTGGTTCCTCTGCAACTAAAACTATTACACATCTGAGAATACCTAAAGCATATTCCTTAAAGACTTCAAGATCCCAATACGTCAATAAGCTACTATTAAATTGGAATCATATGAAAACTAACATAAACCCAGAAAGGATGCCATATTGTTGCACTATTGTCTTGATTCTCCAGTACTGAAATATGAATTACATTTACAATTAAAATAAATAAAAGATATTTATACCATCTGAAATAAAACTAATATTTTTCTATGTGAACTAAGAACATAAATGTTTAAGATAATGTTCTATTCAAACAGGCAATCATGAAATGGAATAGTTAATTGTCAATAACTGTATAAGAAACATACCTTAATAATTGTATACAACAAGATTTTATAATATAAAAATTTAAACATACAAATTATGTGAAAAAAAGATTTTAAAAGGTTTATAACATTTCCTCAACTTTTTCTAAGGAAACAATTATAATAACAAATGATACTATATTCATTTTAACTCCAGTCTTTTACTCACTTATACTAATATTTTCTGACCATGTATTTTGGAACAGGCAATATGCTATGCAGCTGGGATACAATAGTAACATGAGAATCACTGCCTCCCACGAGCTTGACATTCAGAGAAGATATAACTAAAGTGATGAATTTTTGTTCAACTTAAGGTAGCAGAATTACATGGAGGAAAGTGAATATCGATTTAGAATTAACGATCACTCTCCATTATCAGATAAGAATAATTTAATTGAAATGGTTACTAATACTATTTTTTTAGGAAATAAACTTTTTTTATATACATTAGAGTGATTGAAAACTAGTTACTAATCATGAAATCTGTACCCCCCAAAAAATCCTGTAGCAATGCTCTCAAAACTTTAATGTCCACTGGTTGAAATAAAGATTCTGATTTGCTGGATCTATGGCGAGGTCAAAGATGACAAATTTCAAGCAAGTTATACCAATGTTGCTGGATTTTTCTTTTAATTGATTGGCAAAGTTGTATAACTGCTGAGTCACTGTTTCTGTTTCCTTCTTGGAGCCACTTTTCCCAAAAAATGAATGTTCTTGTTAGATTCTTTAAAAAAATAGTTGGATGTCTCTGTACAGTGAATATGTTAACTGTGGTTAAGACTTTGCCTGTGGCTTTTGAGGGCTTCATTTGCTCTGGTCTTTTACTTAAGCAGAATGAACTTTGCAACTTTCCTCACCAGGAAGCTGCTTTGTCAGTGCCTGAGGTTAGTACTGTGTGAGCAGGTGTACACAATTCCTGTATTGGAAGAAAAAGCAGTGCTTTGGAGCAAGAAAACTAAAATTGTCCGAGTCTTTTACACTTTGTTACTGGAACACTTGCCACAGTTAAAGAAATATCAGATATCCTGACAAAAGAAATAGCAAATGCCCTGACATTTTATTTATGTTCAGAGTAATTTATTTTTATAAGAACCACGTCTGGAAGAAAGATAAAATGTAGCTAAAACGTTTACAATCAAAGCACACTGAAATAGAGAGTGCTATTGTATTGATGAAATACCCCTTATCAGAGCAGACTCACAGTTTTGTAAATATGACTATATTGTTAAAGATAAAGGAAGTACTTTTACTTCAGGCAGCCCACTGACTGAAATACACAATGCAAAAATAAGTTACTATTGTATGCTAAAAAGACTCTTTTACATATTCTTAAACTCCATTCAAAATAAAATCAGCACCAGAAGAATGTTAGACCGGAATAAAAAGAACCAATTGAAATCTGAGCTCTTTTGTTTAGTATTCCTGAGATGTCATATATGACATACAATTTCTGAGTATCTGCACCTTTAAAAAATTAAAGATAAACTTTTTATGTCGTTTCCCTTTGAGACGATGAAGAGTAAATAAAAAATAAAAGTAAAATGTTTTATAAATTGCAAATTATGATGTAAATGCACAGCATCATTACTATGTGATGTTTGCCTAGCTTATTTCACTTAACATAATTACTATAACATTTGAAACGGGGGAAACAATGACTTACTTCAACACTAGCTAATAGCAAAATGCTACATCAGGATGGATCCTAAATGTAATTGATCCACTATAAAGAGGAATTTTTTAATGTGCATATGTTGCCTTCTGGAATGACATATTTTACAATAAAAATGAAATGTTAAGCCAAATTAAGATTTTCCCTTCAAATTCATTTATTTTATTGCAGTATTTTGACACTTTCTATCAATGCCTTAGCAATAAATTAATATTTTCTATTACCTTGTAATTATATTATTACAATGGAATCTAATTCTTTGCAAGATCTCTGAAAGAATAAAGAAGCTTTATCATTTAAAATCTTTTTTTAGAAAAATTATGTTAATAAATAAGACCTATATATCTTCAACCTTACTATTATGTATTTGACTTGTACTTTTAGACAAAATGGAATAAATCTTTATTAATAAATTCTGCTTTTTATTTCATGGATGTTTACTTAATCTAAAAAAAAAAATCTTCCCTAAGCCTATTAGATAGGCTGGGCAAAATACGACAAACAATTTTTCAAAGCTTGCAATAAAGGAAAGCCCAGAAAATAAAAAACAAAAACAAAAAAAATGGTTGGTAGGCATAAAATAAAATGTAGATTCTCCTAAAAATGTTTGTCAATGACAGAGTCTTAACAGCAGCCCAGTATAAGGGATACAAGGCCTTGTAACCTCATAAAGTAAGAAGCTGAAACAGTAGCACCTCAGAATTTGTGACCACAAGAGATACACACTCAATGAAAAGGTAAACTTTACAAAGTCCAACCTGGACTACAAGGAAAAGATAAGTTCTTTATTAGTTTTAGCTCCAGGTAGTGGAAACTATCCTCTCAAGAGGACAGGATACTTTAGCCATGTTCTTAATTATATTTGGGATTTGAATTTTTATTGTAACCTTATAAGACAACAAATACCTTTAAAGTGTTTTCGAGTTGGTAGTAACTGGGGCACCTGGCAGCAGCAAACACAAATTCTCTCTAAAGGAAATGCCTATTAGCCTAAGCCCTAAGAATTACTACTGATTAAGATCATTCAAATATACGTTTACAAACCTAAATTTCAACATATAATAAATAAATTATCATAAGTTAGTTTTAATAAAACAAAATTAGACAACTAAGTATTTCAGATATGTAAATTTTTATATATATACACTATAAAATACATGTAATTTTTTAATGAAAGAATTGAAAATATGAGCAAGGAATATGAAATGAGAAAATATCAGAAGACAGTTTTAAAATTAACTAATAAGAACTTGTAGAAATGAAAAATGTATTCACTGAATTTAAAAGTTCAATGGATGGTTTAATCTGAAGATTAGACACAGCCAAGAGATGAGAAATGAGTTGGAAGATATAACTGAGCATGCGTGTTAAGACATGAAAGGCAAGGAATGAAAATTCTGAAAGCTGGGAAGAGTTGAGAGGCATAGATTATGGACCAAATGAGAAGGTTTAGTATGAATCCAACTGGCATTCTGAAAAGAGACAATGCAGAAATGGAAGAGGGAAGAAACAAGATTTAACAAAAAAAGGCTGTGAATTTCCCCAAATTGATAAAAAGCATGCATCTGTATTTTCAGGAATCATACTGAAACCAAGAAAATAAATTTAAAAAAATTTTCACCTGGAGAAATTATACTGAAAATTTAGAACACTAAAGGAGATAAAGAAAATATTAAAAGAAAAAAGGCAGGCTACTTGTAAGAAGCAAAGATTAAGTGAATACACTAAATGATACTACGAAACATCTTCAGAAATGAATGGGGATTATAAAGAAAATTATCAGGATATTCATCAGTATTGGTCAAGGATCTATGAGAATGTGATTTGGAAGAGCTAAAATGGCTAATCTCTTCCTTAAATAGTTTGATGAATTGTTGGTTTTCATGTAGTAATTTGTTATATTTAAATATGGAATAAAACATTAAAAAATCTAAAATACTGTAATTCTAATAAAAATGTTGTAAGTCAATTGATTAGGAAAAGAGTATACTTGGATAGAGACTTAAAGGAGTTAGTATTTGATCCTCAAAATTAGTATCAACTCTCAATTCCTGAGGCTTTACAATTTGTTAAGCCTTCTTCAAAGGGGCATAAATGTATTAACTCCATTAGACCTTACACTAACTCAATGGAGTATATAATTTTGTTTTTCCATCGTACTGATGAGGAAAATAAAACACAAAGCAATTGTCCATAATTAGGTTTGACTTTTGGCCAAGTATTTGCTTAGAAAGCTATCTTTTAGAACATCAGGAAATCAATCTGTCAGAGCTAGAGAACACTTAAACTATGAGCACCCAAAATTACAGCTTTATAATTGTAAGAATTAAAATATGCTCTATTTCTTCTAAAATATTTTTCCATAAATGTTTTAATATGCAAAAAGCTATTCTAAATGCTATAATTTTCATTTATCATGACCTCAAAACCTTGAATTTATATTCCTAAACCCAGGTCTATGCAGAGTTTTTGATTTATACTATACTTTACAAAATATATTTTATTCTGACATCCTTGTAAAGCTATTTGATTGTGATGCAGTTTTTAAAATTATGATATAATTAGCTTTGTACATTTATACCTTCAGCACATGACTCAGGATTTTCTGCATATGGTAAGAAAAATTGTATTATATTGAATAGCAATAACTTCATGAATAAATATTCAAGTAAGTGAATTCCTTCATATAAATTAGAAATGGTAAAGCTTGATAAGATTACTTTCAGTTAATGCATATTCTTATTCCTTCTGTAATTCTATGAATACCAATACCTGAGTAACTATCTTCAATGAAAATCAACCCAGAATATGAGTAACATGGGAAATGATCTGTTCCTAGTTAATCACCCTTAAATAAGATACTTTTTACCGTTTGTAAATATGAGGGTAAATACATACATTTATAAGAAAATTCCTAGCTTAGACTATGTCACATTTTCAAGTTACATCTTTATATAACATTCTCATCTCTTGTAGAGTATGCTCACTAAACAAACTATGTCAAATGAGACAATGCATGCTGTGGAAACAAAAGTGACTTAATCTTGGATGCTAATCCTTCTTGTTCACTTCGGATTAACTCCAGTTTCACAAATGCCTCCAGATTTCTACTTGATGTGCTGTCCTTAGCATAAGAACATGTCAATCTTGATACAAATCATCAGCATACGGCATTCTTAGCTGTCCTGGAGGGTTGCCTTTAATTGTCGTGCACAGAGCATATACTGTTTGCAGTGGTATATAAGCCCTGAGGCTGGGGAGTAACAGTTTGGGGATCTACCTGTCTTGCTGCCACCTGAGACCATGCTTCTATCAGTAAGTTACCCCAGTAAACAAACTGGATTTCTCTGCCTCCTTCTTTGGTTTGTCACATCTTTCTGCATTTGGAGGTTGTTATGTAAAGATGACCCTTTCACAGAACACATGTGACAATATATAAAAGTATACATTACTTCATCAGTATCAAATATTATTCTGTTACTACTACTTTTATTAAGCTACAGCTTTCCTTCTTTTTACAGAGTGGCAGAGGCAATATATAATTATATAACAAATTATAATAGAAGTTGTGCTATTCTTCAGTCTTTGAGGCAATGTTGTGTTCAAATCATGTTTTGCATAGAAGATATACTACATTTCAAACTAGTGTGACATCATTTCATCAAGAGCATTTCATCTCTTCACTGAAATTTGAAATAAAGATTATGGATGCCACCAACATTTTTAATTATCTCCTATTTCTTACTTTAAAAAAACAACAAAAGAATAATCATATGAAGGAAGATGGGCCACAGCTCATTATTTTCAGTTTAAAAAGTGAGAAATGATGAAAATTAGAAATCTTTATAGAATTTAGAATAAAGAATATAAGAGTTTGATAGTTATTAGTTAACTGGGATAGTAAAGAAATACGAGTAACACTATGGCATTTATAACTTAGATGAAATGAACTAATTATTTAAAAGACACAAGTTTCCAAAACTCACAAAAGAGGAAACAGATCATCTAAGTAGGCCTATTTTACAGCATTTGAATCAGTAATTAACGATTTTACAAAGAGAAAGCACAAGGTGCTGAAGAGTTCACCAGTAAATTCTACCAAACATTAAAAACAATAAATACTACCAATTCTCCACAAACTCTTCCATAAAATAGAAGCAGAAAGAATACTTCCTAGTTATCCTAATGTCAAAATCAGATAAAAACATTACAGGAAAGAGAAACTATATATCATCATCTCTCGTGAATGTAGATACAATAATGTTCAACAGAAATATTTCAGTACAGTTCAACATTATAAAATCTATCAAAATAATTCATCCTATCAACAAGCTAAAAAGCAAAAATCATATATCATTTGATGTATGAAATAAAAGACACTTATCAAAATGCAATGCCCTGTCATGATAAAATTGTTCAAACTAGGACAAAGGGGGACTTTGTCAACTCTATAAAGAATATCTACAAACAACTTGCTGCTAACATCATGCTGAATGGCAGGACACTTGACCTTGTAGGATTTGGAACAAGGAAGCGATGTTCTCTTACCACTTTTATTTGACATCCTATTGGAAGTCTTAGCTAATGCAACAAGACAAGAAAAAGATGCAAACGATAAGGGGGGAAGCAGTCTTTGTTTGCAGATGATATGATTATCTATGTAGAAAATTCCAAAGAATGAGGAATAACAGCAACAATGTCTGTAATGACTTAAGCTAGTATAATGATGCCACAGGATACATAGTGTTATGAATGGAAATGTGGCCTCCCAAAAGAAATCCTGAGGTACCTGTGTATGTAACTTTATTTGAAAAGAGGGTCTTTTCAGAAGTGGCAAACAAAAGGTGCAGTCATTAATGGTGGACCTTAATATGATATGACTGGTGTCCTTATAAGAAGGAGAAATTTGGACAGACACAAAAAGGGAGAACATCATATGACAACAGAGGCAGAGATTGGAATAACGCAGCTGCAAGCCAAGGAAGGCCAAGCATTGAAAGCCAATATCTGCAGTTAAAAAAAAGCAAGGAAGAATTCTACATAGAAGGAGCATGAACCTTGAATATTTACTTCCAGCCTCCAGACTGTGAGAGAACACATTTCTATTGTTTTAACCACTTAGCTGATAGTACTTTGTTATGGTGGCCTTGGGAAACTTACGCACATGGTTTCAATAAAAAAGTCAATTATTTGGCTGGGCGCAGTGGCTCACGCCTGTAATCCCAGCACTTTGGGAGGCCAAGGCAGGCGGATCACGAGGTCAGGAGATGGAGACCATCCTGGCTGACACGGTGAAACCCCGTCTCTACTAAAAATAGAAAAAATAAAATTAGCGGAGCGTTGTGCTGGGCACCTGTAGTCACAGCTACTCGGGAGGCTGAGGCAGGAGAATGGCATGAACCCGGGAGGCGGAGCTTGCAGTGAGCCAAGATCGCGCCTCTGCACTCCAGCCTGGGCGACAGAGCGAGACTCTGTCTCAAAAAAAAAAAAAAAGAAAAAGTCAATTATTTTTTGCTATAACAGGGATAAATACATCAAACAAAATATGTGCAGGACTTATATTAAAAGACCCACAAAACTCTGATGAAAGAAATCAAAGAGAAACTAAACAAAGAGCGATAGCCCATGTTATGAATTTGCTAAGATGCCAATATTCCCAACTGGCTATTTAGATTCAATGTAATCCTTATAAAAATTTCATTGAACTGTTTTGTAGATATCCACAAACTGGTTAGAAAGTTTATATGTAAAGGCAGAAGGTCTAGAAGAGCCAACACAATACTGCAGAAAAACAAAGGAAGGGGATTGACACTCTTGATTCAAGATTTACTCTAAAGCTACAACAATAAAGACAGCGTAATATTGGAAGAAGGATGCACATGGAAATTAACTGACCAGATTAGGGAGGCCAAAAATTGACCTACACAAATATAGTAAACTGATCTTTGATAGGAGCAGAGGCAATTGAATAGAGAAAGGATAGTCTTCTCACCAATTGGTGCTGGAACATTTGGCTGTCCATATGTAAAAGAAAAATCAACCTAGGCATATACATTACACATTTCAGGTGAATTAACTCAAACTAGATCAGAGACATAAATGTAAGCATACAAAACTAAAAATCTCCTAGAAGCATCAGAAGAACAAATCTAGCTGACCTTGTATTTGTCAATGTATTTTTAGATACAATACCAAAAGCGTGGTCCAAGAAAAACAGATAATTTGATCTTTACTAAAACTAATACTTCTGTGAAAAACCCTGTGACAAGAATGAAATAACAAGCCAGGTGTGACAGTACGTGCCTGTTGACTCAGCTACTTTGGAGGCTGAGGCAGGAGGATCATTTGAGCCCAGGAATTTGAGACCAGCCTGGGCAATATGGGGAGACTTCACCTCTAAGAGAGAGACAGAAAAAAAAGAAATGACAAGACAGAGTTCAGATAAAATATTTGCAGAAGAACATATCTGATAAGTAACTTTGTATCCAAAACACTCAAGGAATCCTTATGACCCAACAGTAAAAAAACTAACAGCCCAATTTAAAAATAGGCAAAAGTGGGGAGGCTGTGCATGTGTGGGGACAGGGGCTATATGAGAGCTCTCTGTATTTTCCACTCAATTTTTTTTTTGTAAATCTAAAATTGCTCTGTTAATTAAAAATGGGCAAAATATCTAAACAAACGCCTCATCGAAGAAAATATAGTTGGCAAATAAGCATATGAAGATATTTTCAACATCATTTGTCATTAGGGAGTCACAAATTATAACAACAATGTGATATCACTATACACATTTTAGGTTGGCTAAACAAAAACAAAAACAAAGCTGGCAATACCAGCTGCAAATGAGAAAAACCAGAATCCTTCCTCATTGCTGGTGGGGATACAAAAGAGTACCACGTTGGAAGACAATCTGGCAGTTTCTTACTAAAGTAAACATGGTTTTACCATATGATCCAGTATTGTGCTACTCCATATTTACTAGCTAATTTGAAAAATGTCTAAAAACCTGCACTTGAATATTTATAGCAGATTTATTTATAAGCACCAAAAATGATTGGAAGCAACCAAGATTTTCTTCAATAAGTGAAAGTATAAACAAAGCATGGTACCCCAATGCAATGAGTATTATTCAGAGATAAAAAGAAATAAAGTATCAAGCGCAAAATAATATGAAAGCATCTTAAATTCATGGAGCAAAATGAAAAAAGCCAGTCTGAAAAGGCTATGTACTGTGTGGTTATAATTATACCTCATTCTAGAAAAAGCAAACTATAGAGACACAAAAAGATGAGTGGCTGTCAAAGGTATGGGGGAGATAGAGGATTAAATATGTGAAATGAAATATTTTAGGATAGTGATTCTATTATGTATCACACTTTAATTGTGGATATGTGAGACTATTCCTATGTCAAAACACATTGAGATTTACAGCACACAATGAACTTTAATGCATGAAAATTATAAACATTTTTACAAGTTTGGAGAAATCACAAGATTGAATGTAAAATAATATATATAATCTAACTGTATTGCAAATATGTAAAACAACCTCAGTAAAGGAGGTAGGAGAAAAAGGTGTTGACCTCAAAATAACTTTGGAAATGAGTGGAGGTCCATAAAACTAATGGCAAGAAATTGTACATAACCACTGAAGCTTCGTTGTTAAAATTTTATTCCACGGTGATACAAGTTAAAAATTCTGATAGTACTATTCATGTATACTGGAATTGAACAACTAAGTAGAAGGATGAGAAATGTTGGGAGCCAGATTTCTCCCTGTTGGAATGGGAATTTATAGATAAATGAGGGAAGGAGGGGAGAATGATCCATAGAGTAATGGATTAGAATTAGAAACATCAGTCTGAACAGATGTTTACTTAATATGGACATGGATGGTTACACATATAAATATTTAAAGAGATGTATAAATCCATTGGTTAGTATATACATGCATATATTTTCTTGTTCTAACAGCTAAGAGAGAAGAGAAGCAGGATATCCCAGTAGCAATAAATATATGGATACCTAACCTGTTCTTGATTTCTAATATTCTTTAATAAAAGGAACCAAGGAACCAGGTGTCTTTGGAGAAATGACTGACTTTAACACTTGGGCAGGAAAGTTTCAAGATGAACCTGGAGCATTTTGCAGTGTCAGAAATTAAGGAAATGCTGTAAAAACAAACACACAAACAAAAAAACTCCTTCACACAACTATGGAGTATGCTAAAAAACACAACACAACACAACAAAACAAAACAAAACAAAAAACACAGGAGCCAACTGAAAGAGCTCCCAGTGGCCAAACCTGGAAAGATTCGAGTGACAATAAATAAAGCAATATTGGATTCTAATCTAAAAAATAAAATACATATCCATGAATTCATGCTATAATCAATTAAGGATTGAATAAATAAATACATAGATTCAGGGGAGAAAATTTTCCATGCAGAAAATTTCCAAATTATTTATGTAGATACCTTGTCCTCAAAGAGGTGAAGCATGACTCCTCACCCCTTAAGTGTGGGCTGTGCATAGTGACTTTCTTCCAAAAAATATGATATGAAAAGTTGGAGAAAATATAACTTTACAGTGAATAAAGCTGATGAACATTACTGCAGGCAGGTGATAAAAATCATCTTCAACTATGATAAGTGATGTGGATACAATATATCCTTGGTAGGATGTTAGTAAAATAGTACTTTACTTCTGTGGTTTTTCTCCCAAATGTCCAGAACCCTGGTCTCATCCTGAGAAAAACTTCATACAAATGCTAATGTATGAATTAGAATGTGGGACATTCTAATTATCTGACCAGCACTCTTCAAAACTGTCATGGTTATCAGAAACAGCCAAAGTCTGAGAAAACACTGCAGAAAACGGAGCCTAAAAAGGCATGACAACTTAATGCAATGTGGTATCCTGAAAAAGAAAAGGAGATTAGGTAAAAACTAAGAAAATCCAAATTAAGGATGTCCTTTATTCAATAATAATTTATCAAAATTGGGTCCTTAATTGTAACAAGTGTACTGTATTAAGGTAGGATATTAATAAAAGGGAACACTAAACGTGTATATAAGAACCCTCTGTATTATATTAGAAATACCCTGTAAATCAAAAACTGTTAAAATGTATTAAAATTATTTTCAGAGGTTAAAATGTCTTTTATTTATGTGGATATTAGGAGAAATTTCTGTATTGTAGGTTTATTGGATGATAAGGTACTTAATAAGTAGCAGTATCCAGCCTGCTTTCTCTTCTTTTGTAGTAGAAATAACCATGAAAAGAAGCAAATCTCTGACAGAAATCTAAAGTTTCAAGCAAAGTGTAACATTAGAGAAGTATAACTAAAAATATTCAATGAAGAATATAGAGCAGAAGGGAGAGATCTTAAAAGAGCAAGCAAATAGAAAACAAGTTATAAAATGGCTTACAAAAACCATATCATATCAATAGTCACCTTAAGCATTGATGGACCAAGCACTAACAAACAGGTTGTCATCTAATTTTACCAATTTCTGGGTAGTATATAGCAGATAAATGTAAGTGTAATGGATACTGTCTTTAATTTTTACTGTGGCTTATTTATAAACACTTATTCAGAGACAAAAAACAAGCTTGACTTTGTAAATGTACAGCATATACAAGCATACTCATGCATAAACTAGCTAAAATGTATTTGATTGGTTTTTAAAACTTATGTAATATAATTGCACATCAAGGTTACAAATCTCTGTTAGAAATTTTTGCAAAATCTCACCATTATTATTTAAGGTTGTTATTTAAGAATAAATGTAATGTATGGATATATTTGATAATCATTTTTAATATACAACATTTCAACCACATATATAAGCCTAGTTCAACAAATATTGTATGCAAATAGTTTAAAGTCTAACTACCTTCTAGTATATTTACTTAATTCATTTTCATTAATTCAGACCCAGAGATTGTGAATAATATATAAAATTTCAATTGAACATATACATATATTCTCCATTTGCAGATTAACCTAAAAATAGATATAATGTTTAGTTTTTGAAATCTAATGATTTATGGAAAATGCACTGGAAATTTGCTTGCAACATACGTGTTTGTGTGTGTGAGTGTGTGTGTGTATGTGTGTGTGCATACTTGGGTTATGGATTTGGCTCAAGATATTTTAATTGGTTGAGGTCATTCATGCGATGTTTAAAAAAAGTTTTTTTTTTTAATTTTTTCAAATTAAAAGTGGCAGAGCCAGTCAGCCTTGAAATGATTGACAATATCCACTATGAACTGTAATCAAGTACATTTGAGAAAAGCTCTTCTTTAATTTTCTTTAATGAAGCCACAAATTGAAGCTATTATATGCAAAGTAATTAGTAGCAATGTTTAAAATATTAATTTTTAGACTATGGGTTGTACATTTAATATATCCTTAGTATTTAACTTCTGATATTTGATCTATGTCTAATTTTGAAATTTATTTTAGAATAAAATAGGTAGATTAAAATTAATAAAAATACTATATTTTTCATATTACAATGTTTTTGCTTGGTATAAGAAAATCTGTTCATTAATGAGATTTTGACATTATATGAAAAATATATCATCATTTTTATTAGCTTAATAGGAGAAAAATTGACTTTATTTTTCTCAATTTCATATTTTTAAATTGTGGACAAATAAAGGCAATGGTAGAGCCTAAGTGTGAATCTATTTTATACTGCAGATATCAGATTATTTTATTACTTTGGGTTGTTAAATTTTGATAAGCAATTATGTTTAGCTCTTCAAATGTAATTAAGCATTGGTATATTTCAACCCATGGATTTCATCAGTGACCTCTTCATCCAGAAGTTGCCTGATAGGATTTGCTGAAATATTGTGGCAACTACATTGAGAAACAAACAACAAAATCTGCTAATTATGAAAAAAAAGCAGCAACAAATTCAGCTCTGAGGCCCTCAGATGTCATATTGTAGCTGGATTAAGACACCTAGCAATTTAAGAAATGTGAATTGAAAAGACATGAGTCAGCCAGAGTATTTCAGAATTTTTTTAGTTAGTTTTGAATGAATATTCTTGCCTGTAAACATAAACATTTAGAATAAAGGTATTGCAATTTATATTTATTTATGAAAATACTCATATTTAGGAGGACAGTATATTAATACTATCAACAGAGTTAAACATTGCAATGCCCAGGTTTCAGGCTGAAATATTATTGCTTTGCCTTTTGATGATACCTAAGGGCTCATATCTGAAATGATATGTTAAAAGGCCCGTGAGACCTAACAGTGAACTTAGCATACAAATTGGAATTTTTATTTATTTAATTTTAAGTGATTCAAATGAATTTTTATTGCAACAAGACAGTTATTATTTTCTAGAAATAATTTTCTAGAAATTTTTGAATGCTAAATGTTTGCTAAAAATACTCAAATTTTCTTTAATTTTTTGTGAAAATTATGGATATTTTTTAGAGGTTTTCCCCTAATGATAATGCTGCCTCATTAAATTTTTTATTTTATGATTATCCAGATACCATAGTTTCAGATCTCTCATATGGCTATTCTACCCATATAGTACAATGAGTTTAACCCTCTTCCGCTAACATACTCATAAAGGCAAAGATCAGTAAATGTTCAACCCTGAGGTACCTGACAGGGGAGGGAACATCACTGAAGCTCTTTTAGAATAGAGAAGTTTGAATCCCTCAAATCTTAGGATTCAGGTGAAAAATGTCCCATGCTATCATATTCCACTGTTTTAGCATACGGTTAGCATTTCTTCAATTTTTTTCTAAAATTGACACTTAAATAAGAGGCTCCAATTTTATTTTGTGGCTTCTGATACCTCTAAATGTAAACCCCTATGTCATATAAAGCCCACTTTTAGATGCAAAACCTAGAAGATATAGATTATTACCTTCCTACAAATACCATGAGTAAAAATATTAAACTCCATTGGAAAGCAGAAATGGAAAGAAAATGGTTCTCAAATTTCTGCCCCCGGAATACACATCATATGTAATTCTTCCCCCTTAAGTGTGAGCAGAAACCCTGAGTATGATGAGATGTCATTCCTGTTTATGGTGAACTGTATGGCAAAAATATTTTACAGATGTAGTTAAGGTTTCTAATCAAAAGAGAGGTTACTTGTTATCAGACAAGCCCTTTGAAATAGAGTCTAGGCTGGGCTCAGTGGCTCATGCCTGTAATCTCAGCATTTTGCAGGCTGAGGCAGGAGGACTGCTTGACCTCAGGAGTTCAACGTCAGCATGGGCAACGTGGTGAAACCCAGTCTCTACAAAAAAAAAAACAAAAATTAGGCAGAAGTAGTGGCGCATGCCCATAGTCCCAGCTTCCTGGGGAGCTGAAGTGGAAGGGTCAGTTGAGCCTGGGAGTTTGAAACTTCCTGGAGCTGTGTTCACACCACTTCACTCCTGCCTGGGTGACAAAGTGAGACCCTATCTCAAAAAGTAAATAAATAAATGAAATTAAATAAAATACAATAAGCACTCAATGTAAAAGACCGGAAGCAACAGACTTCTTTCCCCATTCTTCTGTCTCTTACTCTTAATATCACTCCCTCACTTTCTGCTAGCTTTGAAGAGACACAGCACAATGCATTCTATAACTGAAAGGAAATACATTTTGCCAACAACCACGAGGTAGAATGAGAACCATAAGCTTCAGATGACAGGACAGTTACCACTGACACTTTAATTGCAGCCCTGTGAGACCCTGAACAGAAGCCATAGCAAGTACTTTTAATATAAAAGCAAGCTCTTTTTATGTTAATATATTCCTGCCCTAAACAAATTTGTTATTTTACTGTATTACTGTTTTTCATTTCAATCTGCAAAACAGACATATAGGTCCTAGTTCTTAATTGTGCTTAAAATTAAATAATTCCAAATAATAATGTCTTTAGTTGAATTTGAAAAAATAGGCAAGAAAGTTAGAAATAAATTAAATAATTTAGATCACCATTGAAGAACATACCTATTTCAGGAACTTTTTTGACTTCTAACACCTAATGTGTAATTATAAACAATTTTTTTCTCTTTTCTTTGTAATCTAAAATACATAGTTTAAATAAAGTTGTATTGCCAAATTGTTATGGAAATCACAAATAACATGCTGTATAAGGAGGGTACAAATAATGTAATTAAAAATAGTTTTATTTTGTCTCCTACAGTCCCTTTAATATTCAACGTGGTATTATCTTTTCCCCTTGCCATTAAATAAAAATTTCAGGTGGCTCAAGGGTTATTCCTAGGAAAGATAAAATTTCATGTTCACTCTAAACTGGAAAAACACCATCTGGGTTACGAAATTAGAATGCTTATCCAAATATCTTTATTCAGAACTTCAATCATGATTTTTAAAAAATGATACTCATTCCTGCCTTCTCCCCGCACCAGCAAGGGCTTGGCAGCAGAGCCTTGTCTAGTTCAGGGAAGGAGGTTTTGTCCCTCTTCCCACATTCTTCCTCACCATATCCTTCTCCCAAAGCTACTATAATAGAACTTACAAAATTTAAGGATAGGGAAGGTAGCAGAAAGGTCAGCTTCTCTTTAATCCCTGCTGTAATGAAGTGAGGTTGCTCCCTGGTGAGTATTTTCATGGCTGCTTCCAGCCTGGCCTTTCCATGTGTGACTCCTTTGATGGGCAGTACTTGGCTTCAGGTGGCAGTTTCTGTCCCTGTTTCAATTTTTAATTATTTTCAGGCATTCTAACCCGTGTAAACTCTCACTGTTTTGGTGGTGCAGTATTTATCAAGCAAATCTTTTAAAGTATCCATTTTAAATTATCCCAGTCTAACATTGCTCCCTGGAGTCCAAGTCTGGTCCCAGGGTTTCATGGGTCTTCTACAGGTCACAGAGGGGTTTGCAGTCATGTTCAAAGCAGCACCGACTCTCACTCAGAGTCTCTCTCTTTCAGCCTATCCTTCCCTCTCATCTTTTCCATCTTACAAATAACCACAGACTACTCTATGTTAGCTCAGTTATTCAATAAACACTCCCAATTTAACACCTTGTCACACTGCCAGCTAGGTCGGGGAGACCCTAACCCAGCAGCGCTAGAGAAATTAAAGACACACACACACAAATATAGAGGGGTGAAGTGGGAAATCAGGGGTCTCACAGACTTCCGAGCTGAGAGCCCTGAACAGAGATTTACCCACATATTTATTAACAGCAAACCAGTCATTAGCATTGTTTCTATAGATATTAAATTAACTAAAAGTATCGCTTATGGGAAACGAAGGGATGGGCCAAATAAAAGGAATAGGTTGGGCTAATTAACTGCAGCAGGAATATGCTCTTAAGGCATAAATCGCTCATGCTATTGCTTGTGGCTTAAGAATGCCTTTAGGTGGTTTTCCGCCCTGGGTGGGCCAGGTGTTCCTTGCCCTCATTCCCGTAAACCCACAACCTTCCAGCATGGGCATTAGGGCCATCATGAACATGTTGCAGTGCTGCAGAGATTTTGTTTATGGCCAGTCTTGGGGCCAGTTTATGGCCAAATTTTGGGGGACTTGCTCCCAACATCACACATTTCAATTCTTATCTTTTCTATCCAAGAAAAGGGAATACAAGAGAGTTTGATGTCATTTGCAATTGTTTGTAGCAGAAAAAAATGTTTTTGCTCATACTTACAATCACCAGATGTGACTGAAGGAAATAGATGAATAAAATATAGTGTTACTTGCTGTATTACAGACTTAGGGATGAATATTTCTTATATATTTATATTATTCATGTTATGTACAATGTTTATGCATTATACTTAA
The DNA here is from genome assembly GCF_000001405.40 of Homo sapiens. NCBI lineage: Eukaryota > Metazoa > Chordata > Mammalia > Primates > Hominidae > Homo > Homo sapiens. Next base: position 24,411,330 of record NC_000021.9, read on the forward strand.
TTCAGAAATCAACCAAACACAATGTTTATTTTTAAAAATGCAAGCACGTTTAAAGTGAAGGAGGTTTCTCAGTATACCTTTCAAGGCTTCTGTTATTGTTGCTTCAATTTTTTGCTGGGTTATCACTTCAATCTCACAAATGCTTTCCATGTAAGACTGGGATGTGAACCTGGGTCACAGGAGACACCATTCCAAGTCTCAGTTTCCTTTGAAGATTGTTCATCCTAATATGAAGTCAGAGAAACATGCACTGGTGTTATACTCCCTGCCCCTTTGTCCTGTCACTGAAGTTATAATGCTTATAGGCTTCAGAGAGAAGTCTTCTTTCAACTTGTAGTTTCATTTTCTTAACATGGTAAATATGCCTAGCTAACTACATTTGTTAAGGCTGGTATTTAAAAATGTCATCAGACCTTCAAAGTGTAAAGGATCTTCCACAGTGAACAGAAATAGACAAAAAAGAGATTTGTTTCTGACCAATTTCTATGGTTAGTTATCTCACAAAATACAGGATTCCTTCAAGGCAGTGCTTACCTCTTTAAAAGTTATCTGTGGTAAGAGTGGCAAGAGTGGTAAGAGTGAAAGACCAGAATTCTAAGTTTCTTATACATATTTTTAATATTTGGCAAGCACACATCCTTAAAGATTTTCTCAATTATAAAAATGAAGTTTGGGCATTAACTTAGCCTTGTAAATATGTATCCAAGACTGAAAAATATCTTGAAATGTGTAACTGCTCATAAAACTTTGAAATTTATAATTGGTCATAAAAATAAACAAACATAAACTCTTGGATAAGGGAGTGAAAACTCATAATTTAATGGAGTTGGTTAGCTGAATGATCCGTATGTGAACAGCTTACAATATTACTTAGAACAATTGTACAAATGGAAACATAAGCAATGGTTTTTTTATAATTTCCTACTCAAATTTTTCTTCTTAACAAATAAAATGGTTTAGTTGAAAGTCTATCAAGATTTCAACATTAATTTAAATGACCCCTCCTTTCAGATTTAAAGTGTTTTTTAAATCTTTGCCCTCACTAGATGTCAGCTTTTATTTATAACACTGTATCATATACATATGTATATGTACACATATCATATATGTATGCATATAGGTACAGTGTATATGTAATGATAAATCTCACTTTGAATTGTAGTAATCCCCATGTGTCAAGAGTGGGACCAAGTGGTGATAATTGAATCATGGGGGTGGTTTCCTCCATGCTGTTCTTGTGATATTGAGTTCTCACAAGATCTGACGGTTTTGTAAGGGGCTTCTTCCTTTGCTCTTCAAACACACTCTCTTGCCTGCTGCCATGTAAGACGTGCCTGCTTTCCCTTCTGCCGTGATCGTAAGTTTCTTGAGGCCTCCCCAGCCCTGCAGAACTGTGAGTCAATTAAGTTTCCCTTTAAGTTACCCAGTCTTTCCCTTATAAATTACCCAGTCTCAGGCATGTCTTTATTAGTACTGTGAGAACGGACTAATATATGTACATACAGATACATATGTATATATATGTATATATATATATATATACATATATATATTCTTGTAATATGTGTATCTCTTGTACTAGATAAGATTTTATATGACAGAGTTTATGTTTATTCATACTCTTATTTTACAGAGATTGCTATGATGCTTTGTTATAAACAATTATTTTCACAGTGGGATATTATTCTATTATGTATCCACTGGGGAGAATATAGCATATAAAACCAGATAAGATAATGTTATGTACAATGTGTAAGTTTCTTTGGCTGTACTCATTGAACTCCAGAATCTCAATAGCATTAACTAGATTTAATCAAAATAACTATTTTTATTATATAAAGTTTGATTTTATTTCTATATTACAAGCATAAGAAAACAGAAAATGTTACTGATAATTATAGGATAAATATGATAGTGGAAAATAAGCATGTAGTAAAAGCAATGCTTTGGTCTTTTTGACCCAAAAGTCTATCTTTAATTGTCAACTGAGATGAAAATGCTCCATATATGTGGTTTACATCTGTTTCACAATTGAGCTCCCAAGTCTTATCTATCATTGTATCAGCAATGCCTAAGCACAGTCCAGTGCAGACACATTTTTAAAATAAATATTGTTGAATGAAGTATCCAGATACCACTAAATAAAGGAATGTAATTCATATTTCTTTGTTAAATAGCACAGGAATACTGTCAGATGCTTTAGAATTTTTAGCTTTACCCACCCCCAGTTCTCCATCAGTCTCTGAAGGTCAATAGAGCACTAAAATCACATTAATTAGAATTGATCAAGCAAGAAAATATTAACTATTATAAGTGTAATAAAGAATAAAAATGAGTAGTCTGGAGGTACCTTTATATATGGTGATCTGAAAACAATCTTGATATTGTCATGGATCAGAAAAACAAAAACAAATCAACAACAACAACAGCAAAAACTACCGGTCTAGAGACTATAAATTAGAAAGAGAAAGGTAGAGAATAATGTCAAAAATGGAGGCCTGGGCCAAACACAGAAGAACTTTTGTGTCAAGATAAGGATTTTGGATTTTATTTTAAATGCATTAAAAAACCAGTAGGTGGTTTTAATTTGGTTATTTAAGTACATTCTTTATGTTTATTACTGCTATGTGAAAAAATACATTTCAGAAGTGTCAAAAAGTAGAAATCAGTGAGGATATTTTTCAGGCTATTTGGGTAATCATGGTTAAAATGGAGGGAAAAAGAAGCAGACCTATTTAGGATATACATGTAGAAAGACGTGCAAGGGAATTTTAGTATATTCAACAGAGAATTGGAAGACAGAGAATAAGGCTAATTTGTTGCTCTAAAATTAAACACTGAGTAAAGGTTCATGTAATTGATGTTCTGAGGAATGTGGAATGAATAGGTTTTACTGATAAATACCATCATCTTACTGTGAGGTTTGCGTTGTGTATCTAACAGTCATGTGGAGATGTCCTGTAATGCATAAAAATCTGGAGTTCAGTGAAGAAGGGTCAGAGATGTACATGTTTTAGTCATTGGCATGTGGGAATATCAGGTGTGCAAGTGATTACATACAACTGAGGAATGAGCCCTTGAGAAATGGGCATTTAAGAATTTCAAAGAGAAGAAGCCAGTGAAAAGGATCTGGAATGTTTGGACAGTGATGCAGAAGGACAGCCAAGAGACTGAGATGATGTGGGATTCAAGAGAAGAAGATAAATAAACAGGGTTTGGTCAACTGTGTCTAAGACTGTTGTCAGATCAAGAAATAAGAGTACAACAAGGTTTCTCAGTGGATAACTTAAACATGAATTATTCTTTCTGTCACATAATTATATATGCAAACACAAATTGTGGCAAATAGTATTTCCCTAATGACATCAATACTATAAATATGAAAATTGTATTTTAATAATAAATGCCTTAATAAAACAAAACAAATAATATATTTTATTTAGAAATAATTTAACCTGCATTTGATTTTCGGAGCCTTTATAGTACTCTGAAGTGCGTGAATTTGGGTTGCAAAACTACAGCTTTTCTTAGTGCTAAGAAAGAAACTTGAATGATTAAATTGCAATATAATTTTGTTTAGAAGAAAAAGACATAGAAGCCATGATGACTTCATTTTCTTGGCCCCTCTTTCATTTGCCATTTTACTTTCTTCTTTCTACTTTTATTCTGTATGCAAAACACATATATCCGGACCAACTAGCAGAAGTATAACACAAAATTATGGAAAATTCATACAATGATTTAATTTTTCTTTCTATAAGATAATTTTTGCTTGTTCCCTGTACCTGAAAAATTCATTCTCATCCCCTCTTTCTTTCCTACTCCTTTATTCACACGTTTGACTGGTTTACAATATTGGAAGGAGGATCATTTTGAGAGTAAAGTGAACCAAATATGGTAACTGCTTTACTCTTCTGGTTGTCTTTGAAAATACTGAAATACCAACATTTACTGATTCAAAATCTATCTGTAGCTTTGATCTTTTAAAAGTCACCCTTGTAACTGGTCACTGAGTAAAGGTAGGATGGAGGATACTTAATTTCACACTCTCAAAGGCTTAACTTTCTGCCTTTTTTCTGCACATTGTTAGTTTGTTGCTGAGTAGGAGATGACAGGAGATGTTTGTTTATTTTGGAACGATAGTTTTGGCATAGTAACTATTCCTTGTAAATGTAACAGCAATATAATTCCAGGTCATGAGCCTCAAAAGCCACAACCAGCAATTGCATTAACCTAGTTTATTGAGTTTGAATCATTATTCCCAGGCACATTTCAAATTTGGCCAGCTATGCTAATTACCATTGCCATAATACTCATGAAAATAATATTACAGCAAAGACTCATACGTATTATATTTGAAAACATAGTCTCATTTGCTGTAATAATAGTAGTTATGTTTCTGTACACAAAGTCATCCAGGAAAACATTGTAGAAAGGATTAGGGATGAAAAGTTAATAAATTACTAAGATTCACACTTAGAAAGCAAGGCATTTAGACTACATAAATGTATTTTTTCAATAGCTATGACAAGATTTCATGACAGCAAAAATTGTTTTTATATAAATGACAAAAATTAATGTTAATGAGGTTGCCTCCTTCAAGTCTCAACACCTAGAACTGCTTCCCTTTCAGCAAGGTACAATGTTGCTAGCAATACAGGTCCAAGCTCTACACATAGAACAAAATCAACAGAAAACAAGTTGAGGGTGTATCCTAGGCCTTGGTCTCAAGATCTCTTTTTTCCATTTCTAAGGTGCTGACCAGCTATATCTGTGAGAGGCACGTGATCCAGAGCAACTCCATCTTAAATAAGAGCTAGGTAAAATGAGGCTGAGACCTACTGGGCTGCATTCCCAGATTGTTAAGACATTCTAACTCACAGGATGAGATAAGAGGTCAGCACAAAATATAGGTCATGAAGACTTTGCTGATAAAACAGGTTGCAGTAAAGAAGCTGGCCCAAACCCACCAAAACCAAGATGGTGAAGAGAGTGACCTCTAGTTGTCCTCACTGCTATACGCCATGACAGTTTACAAATGCCATGTCAACATCTGGAAGTTACCCTATATGGTCTAACAAGGGGAGGCATGAATAATTCAGCCCTTGTTAGCATATCATCAAGAAATACCACAAAAATGGACAACCAGCAGCCCTCAGGGCTGCTGTGTCTATGGAGTAGCCATTCTTTTATACCTTTATTTTCTTAGTAAACTTGCTTTCACTTTACTCTATGGACTCGCCCCGAATTCTTTCTTGCATGAAATCCAAAATCCCTCTCTTGGGGTCTGGATCAGGACCCCTTTCCTGTAACATCTTTCTGGCAACCACAAAAGGGACTATAGTGAGCAACCCCTGACCCAAAGGCTAACTTTGGGTAAGTGGTGGGGTCCTGTAGGAAACCCCCAACACAAAGGCTAACTTTGGGTAAGTGGTGAGGTCTTGTAACAACTTTCTGCTGAACCACAGAAGGGACGATACTGAGGAGAACCCTCTGACCCAAAGGAAATGGACTGCAACACTGATTGAATGACTTTCGGTAAGTGGTGGAGTACCTGGGTAAAGGATGGGATTGGCTTAGAGGCCCAACTTAGGGGAGTTAAAGTCTCTCCTAAGACAGACAGGGTTAAAGGCTCCTCTCAATGGAAGGCAAGGATACTTGCCAAATTTTGGTTCCAGGGCAAACTTTGGAGGCTTTGCATCCCTTCTAAGATTTAGGGGGTTAGAGGCCCCTCTCAGTAAAGTCACTCTCCATAAAGTCCCTTTTGGTTAAGAACAGGTTTGGCATTACGGGATGTTAACTGCTCTTCTCTTTGGAATAATCTGCCTTGCACTCTTGGATGATGGCTGTGGGTGACAGGATTAGGCATGTACAGGATCGTGGGACATGAGAAAGTTTTTCTTCCCTGAAAAGAGAAAACTTGAGAGCTGATGGGAGTGCTGGAAAAGATACCTTCACTACCAAGAAGTAGCTGCCTGAACATTTCAGTGTCCACTGTCATTGGTGGGTCTTTCTCTGGCCTCTCTGAGTGCCTTGCCTTCCTCACCCTGCCTCTCTGTCTGTCTCCCTGTGCAAACTGGTTAAACGGTAAAAATCACTGTTTATCTACTCTGTAAAGTTTTAATCAGAAAAAAGGATTTGTGAGGCTAATCTTGAGCTGTAGCCAATTTGTGTGCTTTGTGTGTCCTCCTGTATTGTTCCGTCATAATGAGGGGTACCTTAGGACAGAAAATGGGCTTAAGACACCTGTAAGCCTGCTTTTCAAGACAGGCCAGCAAATTGGTCAGTCGTATACTTGGGAGCTTGAACTTGTAAACGTGGCAGTGTCTTCTCTTTTCACGACGGCGACCAAGGCTCAGAGTTCAGTTCCCTGCTTAGGAGATAAGTCCTTTATCTTATTCTGTCTGTGTATTCATATGTGTTGTGTGTGTGATATAAAAGTGCTTTGATTAATTGGCTTAAAAATAAGTGCTTAAATCAAACATTTTGTCAGAAAGTAAAAAGTGTAATGTCTTTGAGTTCATGTTACTTAAGTAATCTGTGGGAAATAGAATTTTAAAGATTATTGGTAAAATAATATCTTCAAAAATGTCAACAATTGGTCTAAATTGGGTCAGATATTAAGTTCACTAAATGCTTTATGGTCATAAACTACTTATTTGACTTTTGAAAATTGTTCAATTTACCTACTTTGGAGCATGAGATTCTAAATAAGTCCAAGGACTTGTGGAGTTAGCCACGCCCCATAGCTATGCTAGAGGCAGCCCTTATCTGCACTTCTGCCTGGTGTGTCTTTGTCCTAGTGAGAGCTTATACAGAGAAACTTCACCTTATAAATCCATCAGATCTCACGAGACTTATTCACTATCATGAGAACAGCACGGGAAAGACCTGCTCATGATTCACTTAGCTCCCACCAGGTCCCTACCGCAACATGAGGGAATTCAAGATGAGATTTGCTTGAGGACAGAGCCAAACCATATAATTCCACCCATAGCCCCTCCCAAATATCATGTCCTCACATTTCAAAACTAATCATGTCTTCCTAACAGTCCCCCAAAGTAATAACCCATTTCAGCATTAACTCAAAAGTCCACAGTTCAAAGTCATATCCAAGACGAGGCAAATCCCTTCTGCCTATGAGCCTGTAAAACCAAAAGTGAGTTAGTTACCTCATAGATACATTGGGGATACAGGCATTGGGTAAACACAACTATTCCAAATGGGAGAAATTGTCCAAAACAAAGGGGCTACAGGCTCCACGCAAGTCCAAAATCGAGCAGGGCAGTCAAATCTTAAAGCTCCAGAATGATCTCCTTTCAATTCATGACTCACATACAGGTCATGCTGATGCAGGAGGTGGGCTCCCATGGTCTTGGGCAGCTCTGCCCCAGGGGCTTTGCAGGGTACAGCCTTCCTCCCAGCTGCTTTTATGGGCTGGTGATGAGTGTCTGTGGCCTTTCCAGGAGCACAGTGAAAGCCACTGGTGGATCTGCCATTCTGAGCTCTGGAGGATGATGGCCCTCTTCTCACAGCTCCACTAGGTGGTGCCCCACTCTGTGTGGGCTCTGACCCCACATTTCCCTTCCACACTGCCCTAGCAGAGGTTCTTCAGGAGGGCACTGCCCCTGCAGCAAACTTCTGCCTGGGCATTCAGGCATTTCCATATATTCTTTGAAATCTAGGTGGAGGTTTCTAAACCCCAATTCTTGACTTCTGTGCACTCACAGGCTGAACACCAAGACTTGAGGCTTGCACTCAGTCTGAGCTCTATTTTGGCCTTTTTCAGCCATGGCTGGAATGGCTGAGATTCAGGGCACCATGTTCCTAGGCTGAACATAGCAATGGGACCCTGGGCGCGGCCCACAAAACCATCTTTTCCTCCTAGGCCTCTGGGCTTGTGATGGGAAGGGCTGCCATGAAGACCTCTGACATGCCCTGGAGACATTTTCGCCATTCATTTTCTTGGAAATTAACATTTGTCTCCTTGTTACTTATGCAAATTTCTGCAACAGGTTTGGGTTTCTCCTCAGAAAATGGGATTTTCTATTGCATTGTCAGTCTGCAAATTTTTCACTTCTATGCCCTCTTTCCCTTTTGAAACTGAATGTCTTTAACAGCACCCAAGACACCTCTTTAATGGTTTGCTGGTCAGAAATTTCTTCACCAGATACCCTAAGCCATCTTTCTCAAGTCCAAAGTTCCACAAATCTTTAGAGCAGGGGCAAAATCCTGCCAATCTTTTTGCTAAAACATAACAAGAGTCATCTTTGCTCCAGTTCCCAACAAGTTCCTCATCTCCGTCTGAGACCTTCTCAGCTTAGATGTTATTGTCCATATCACTATCAGCATTTTGGTCAAACCCATTCAACAGGTCTCTAGGGTGTTCCAAACTTTCCCACATTTTCCTGTCTTCTGAACCCTTCAAATTGTTCCAACTTCTGCATGTTACCTAGTTCCAAAGTTGCTTCCACATTTTTGGGTATCTTTTCAGCAGCACCCCACTCCTGGTACCAATTTACCATATTAGTCTGTTTTCATGCTGCTTATAAAGACATACCTGAGACTTGGTAATTTATACAGGAAAAAGGTTTATTGGACTTACAGTTCCACATGGCTGGGGAAGTCTCACAATCATGGTGAAAGGCAAGGAGGAGGAAGACATGTCCTACATTGATAGCAGCAGGCAAAGAGAGAGCTTTTCCAGGGAAACTCTGCCTTATAAAGCCATCAGATCTTGTGAGACTTATTTGCTATCATGAGAACAGCATGGGAAAGACCTGGCCCCATGTTTCAATTACCTCCCACCAGGTCCCTCCCACAACATGTGGGAAATCAAGATGAGACTTTGATGGGAACACAGCCAAACCATATCACGTGGCAATGTCAGAAAGTTACTCTACATGGTCTAAAAAGGGGAGTTATTAATCCAGCCCTTGTTTAGCATATCATCAAGAAAATAACCATAAAAATGGGCAACCAGCAGTTCTTGGGGCTTCTCTGCCTATGGAGTAGCCATTCTTTTATTCCTTTACTTTCCTAATAAACTTGCTTTCACTTTATGGACTCTACCTGAATCAGCTTTGAATAAAAATCAGTGTGTTGTTTAGAACAGAATGGATTATTTTATTAGAGAGACCTCTCTGAAAGAACTCTTCTTTTTCCTATAGTCTCTTAATATACAAAAACAACATTCTCAAGAGTTTTCTGAGTTATTTTATACTTACTTGCCACAAAGATTAAGATTATTCTGTTTATGTGAATCTTTTGAAACTCTCTTCTTTTGATGAGTTTTTTCTGGCTGCTTTAACTAATTACCATAAATTTAGTGTCTAAAAAATACAAATGGATTATCTCACAGTTCTGTAGTGTCTCCATGGGCTTAAATCAAGGTCTTGGGAAGACTTATTACATTTTGTAGAATTTAATGGGGCGTGCATTATCTTGTATTTTACAGTTTCTAGAGGTCTCACACATTGTTTGGCTCATGACCCCATTATTTTATCTTCAAAGTCTGCAACACTGCATTTCTGTGACCATTCTTGTGCAGTCACAACTCCTCTGACTTTCACTTCCACTTTTCAGGACTTCTGAGTTTACATTGCACCCAGTTAAATAAGAAAGGATGATCTCTCTATTTAAGGTCAACTGGTTAACAACCTTAATTTTATCTGCAACCTTAATTGATCTTCACCATGTAAGCTGACATATTCATGAATTTGGGGATTAGGACTTGCACTCCTTGCAAATTGATGAAATCCTTATTTGCATTTGTAGTTAAGAACAGCTTTCAAGGTAATTAGAATATGCAGTCAGGCTATTTTTTTTTTCCTGGCAAATCCTAGCAGGGAAAGAAAGAAAAGGGAGGAGATAAAGGGAAAACAGTGGATGATTCTTACACAATGTCACAATTCATGGAAAATTGAAAAGCCTGTCTTTGAATAAGTCATTGACCTTAACTATTCATTATTTTTCTCCCATCTCTTTTTGATATAATTAAATATAATTTCTTTTCCTGTATTTGATGGTTTTAACTTTATTAATATTGATTTTCATGTGCATGGTAAGGCAAATTTCACCAAATTTATTTATGTTGAATTATCCAATACTTCTTTCAATGCTGTATTTCTTATTTGATTGTGACTTCCTTGAAATAATGGCTATAACTTATCCATCTCCATGTTCGTCAGAGCTGACACATTAATGATTATGTTGCACATTACAGACGTTCCTTGAATAGTTGAGTGGAGGGATGTATGAATGATTGCCGATCAATAAGTTATTGCCATGTCATTTTGTCTACTAACAAGCCTTTAAAGCTTTGGTCAATATTTAACACTAGTTACAATTGCATTTTTCTTTTTATTTTACAAGCAACATTTCAAATTGCATTTATTTTAGAATAACTTAGAAAATGTTAAGCCAGCCATATTTATTTTGTATTCCAAGTTTATAATCTAAATGGAAAAGAAGAAACTAAAAAAATATTGCTTACTTTGAGGACAGTTGCCATATGAATTTTTATAACATTTGTTTTATTTTACCTTACTGGGTAATCATCTTTTGTTTCCAATCATTTAGTATATAATTTTAATATCAAAAGACCACAGTCACATGTAGGAATGGAGAGAGTAATAGCTGCTAAATTCTAATGTAAAACCAAGATGCTTATGGGGTCAGGCAGTGACATTATTTATCATAACATATCCAATTGAATAGGAAGACTCTGCTGAGACCATTCCACCATGTCAATTACATAGTCAAAAGGGGACATCTCAGGCTGGAGAATAATTAAGCCTGGATGAGTTAGGCATTGGATTTCAACAAAGGCTCATTATCAACCCAATAGCTGTTCTTTGAAAAAGGGTATGTCTCTCAATTAGTCAGACCTCAAGTTTAGAACTCCAAAAGAGGGTATCTATAGCTGCTTCCATTTTTCTTGGTTAGGAGCAAAAGAGATAGAATTTGAATTGCAAGACTGCCAGACCTTAGAGACTAGAGGCATTTGTATTGAATCCAAACTACCTGCTGGTTGTAAAGGGCAGAGGAGTGTGTCTCACTTGTGTAATTACAACTTTCCCCTATTGCTTTATTGGGATAGTCTACTCTGGAGCTTATGAGATAGAAAATAACAAGCAAATAACATAACACATCAATTCCTAAAATACACTCAAAGACAGAAGCAATGAAACACTACAATAAAACATTTAATTATTTTTTTCTCCACAACAAATTTTGCTCAAAGCCATTATTTTATTGTTTTAGAGATAAACTCACAGCTGCCACAAGATCCTGAGATCCTGTTATTTCCTGGCTAGAAAATTTGTAATGCAAAGGTGGAACTGAAGTGCCAAAAGCTCTCTAAGAGATCACTTAAGCAACAGGAGAGTGAGCATGTTTGTACACTCTCTTGGGCACACATGTTCTCTCTCTCTCCTTTTTGACTACTTGACAACAGAGTTTTTATCACTGTGCATGTGGAGTAAACACGGCCCAAGGGATCATTTACTGTGTCCCCTCAGATCCTACCTTGGTTCCATCCTAAATTTCTTGGTGCCTTTAGCCACCTCTGTACCCACTATCCATAAAAGAATGGGCATTCACGTGCCAGTATCCAAAAGAGCCATAACAATTAAAATCCTTCTCTGCTTGAAATTTCCAAATATGGGGTATAACATCCACAGTGAGACCTTGGACTCACCCCTAATTTTTAAAGTAGTAAAGTCCTTTGTAGAAGGGCACAAGAGATCAGGTGAACATGGAAAAGCTTATATCTGTGTCAGTGAATGAGACACAGTTCCTTTCAGGTTCAAGAATAGCAGCTGAGCTTCCCCAAACCATGTTCCAGCTATAGAAATTAAATAATCTTTCACTTCTCTTTGGAGGAGAAAGTGAAAAACAGCAGCAACAATTAAGCTCCTTGTATTAATCCTACTTCCTACGTAACAAACATCTTCTTAATTCCTCATTAAAGAAAAAGGAGGAGAACCACATATTACTAATTGGCTAAATGATTTAGTCAGTATGCTTGCTACCAATATCTACTAGCTAATGGGCCCTTGCTTTTTTTTTTTCCAGCTAATCATGTTTATGACAAGATTCCACCTTCTTTACCTAAATTGATATTTTTTATATTTATATTTATTTTTTAAAATCTGACAGTAAAAACAAAGTTTATGAATCAGAGGTTAAAAATATCATTTGCTTATAGAATATCTTAACACAGGTTCTGCTTGTTTCATTTCTACAGAAGTAACCTGCACATATAGAAGAGGCATCTGCAGTACAGGATTGGAGCTCCACCCTTACAAAATCTCCAAACTTACATAGGGCAATTTGTACATATTTTTTCTTCCCTTCTTGAGAAAGAAGAGAAAGCTTTTTCTCTAATGTAAACAAATCCCCTCTGGGAAGTGTACAAAAAGGTCCCTAAGTTGCTTCAACTCTTTAAAATGTAAATGAATGGGTTAGAAATTGATTACCTGTTGTTATGTAAATGAATGGCTCTAGAGATGATGAATTTGTAAATTTCCCTAGGGTTTTTATCTTTAATTTCCAGGACTTGTTTGCCTCTTCCTCATTTTCTTTTAAGTTGGATTGCCAGTACATTTTGCCCAGAAAGTCATGACCGTGCAAAAATGTAAAAATAGTCACATTTTGTTCTAACACAAATTGATCTCTATACCGATGGTGTTATATTTATGGCAAATAATGATTTTCTCAGTACATAATTATTAAACATGTAGTAATGCTAATGTGGAGGATAAGGCAGTAAACAAGGGGGGAAATATCTTTGCCCTCTAGACATGGGAAAACAAATAAGCAAAACAAATGGTAACTTAATAATAAAAGCCAAGGGAACAAATAATCAGAGAAACAGATTGAAATCATGGGGACTTTGGGATTTTCAAGCGGATGTTCAGAGAAGTTCACATTAATGAGAAGACAGTATCTGAATGAAGAATCTAAAAATGAGGGTGTGAACCTTGACAGTGACAGAGAGAATTTGATTAGGGAGCAGGACCAGTGAAAGCAAAAGCCTTAAGCCGGAGTCATGTTTGGCTATTCAAGAAACAACAAGGATAATAGCATAGCGAGGACAGAGAAAGTGGAAGAGAGACTGGCTATGATAGATAATATTCACAGTCAGGTCACTAAATTAATTTAATATATAATTGAATGCTAATATATTGCATATGTTACACAGTAAAATTAGGAAAGGTGTCATGGAAGGATTGGAAATTGGATTCCTTCTATAAAGAAAAATATATTTTATATATACAGAGTAGGGATTGCAAAGGAATTTAGGCAAAGTGTTTGTGGCTAAAACCCCTATGATATTACCAAATTTTACCCCTTTTATCTTCAGCAGAGATAATTAGCAGAGATAATTAACATGACTGCCCAACTAAAATACATGTCTCCCCCTCTTTTATAATTAGGTGTGGACATAGCTAAATTATCACAAAAGGCAAATATGTGGAATTAAGTAAGCTTGAGAAAAATGGAATGGCTTGTTCCTCAATATTGTCCACCACGCTGAATCTAAAACACAAAACTGCAAGTTCTTCTGCTTTCTCTTTTCTGCCCTTCCTCCTTTTCACCTTTCTTTTTTAATCATCTCCCCCTTCCTTTCTCTTTTCTTTCTTCCTTTACGCCTTCCTCATTTTCTTCCACAAATGATTCATCCACTTCTACATGTCAGGCACTGTACAGGGTGTCTGAGATTCAGCTGTAAGTCAAACCAGAATCTGTCTTACCCCAGTGGATCTCGTACTCACATATATGAAGAGATGATGATAAAAAAAGTTGCCCTGTTGATTTGGGGAGGTCGAGGCCAGGCCCCCACTTGGCTTGAAGGGACATTTTCAGACTTTTCTTTCTGTCACTTGGAGTGTCTATGCCTCTCATGTTTCCCTAATAAACTCCTCAACTTTTTTTAAAAAAAGTTTCAGATATGAATGTTACATTCCAACTTGTATAACTGGTAATGAAGAAGTGTCATAAATTAAAATAATAATAAGTGAAATATGGCAGTATAATATAGTGCTCAAAAAAGTTCCATCATTTTCTGAAATTTCAAAGCCATATAACATTAGGTAAGTTACACAAACTTTGAAAGTTTTAGTTTCTGTTTTAAAAGAATATAAAGGGAATGCTTCATGTAGTGAGCAATTGTGTTTATAAAAAATTTTAGCCAGTGTAAGGATGCTAACGATGATGCATGTGAAGTTTATGTAAAATGCTCTGAAACAACATTCTCTGAAGCATAGTGAGAGCTTAATGAATTTGAGCTATGGATATTGTGAATTACTAACTATTTGACCTTGGCAGAATCATGATAGAGGATGTCCTGAGGATGCAGTGATGTGCCGAGAATTTGAGAGTAAGAGTTTAAAGCAATGTTATATTCACAAAGAAATAATAAAATATACAAGGCCAGATGTCTAGAGATCACAGACTTTTTAAAATAATTCATGCTTTTAAATTCATACTTTGTTTTTAACAAATTCAAATGCCTTCACAGGAGGGGTAACAACCATAACTGTGTGAAAAACTGAGCCATCACCTAAGTAATAATAATTTTTAAAAATTAATAAGAATCATAAATAATCAAAAGCCTGGAGTCAACTTCCACATCCCAATTTAAACGTGAAGCTATAATGAGACTTCAAAAATTCATGGAAAAATTGAATTAAAATATAAAAATAAAAAATACAAACTTTATTTCTCAACAGACACTCCATTAAGTTCAAAACACTTTTATAAGTGACTCCAAACATTTAGTCCCTCCATAAAGGAATGAGAGTCCTTGGAATTTAACCATGTCAATGCAGTCTGTTTTTATATTATTACATAAATAAATGGCTGTTCTTTACATAATTTTAAAAGTTAGGAAACCCAGAAATTGCCAGAAGGCACCAAATCAGGACTGGAAAGTGGATGGCTAATAATTTCTCATTGAAATTCTCACAATATTGTTTTTGTTTTAGGAGAAGAATGAGCAGGAACATTGTCATGGTAGTGAAGCTTTGTTGAGTGTTTCTCTGCTAACGCTTTAGCTAACTTTCTCAAAACACTCTTATAATAAGCAGATGTTATTATCCTTGGCCCTCCAGAAACTCAGAAAGTAAAATGCCTTGAGCATTCTAAAAACCTGTTGCAATGACCTTTGCTCTTGACCAGTCTGTTTTTGCTTTGACTGGACCACTTCTACCTCTTGGTAGCCATTGTTTTGATTGTACTTTGTCTTTAGGATTGTACTGGTGAAGCTTTGTTTCATCTCTTGTTATATGTTTAAAATAATTGCTTCAAGATCTTGATCCCATTTGGTTTAAAATTTCCACTGAAAGCTCTTCTCTGGTCTGCCGCTGATCTCGGTGCAATTATTTTGGCACCTATCAAGTAGAAAATGTTCTCAACTTCAATTTTTCAGTCAGAATTATGGAAGCTGAACAAGTTGAGATATGTATGTTGTTGGCTATTGTTTCTGTTATTGGTCTTCTGTCTGCTTCAATTAGGGCAGAAACAGGATTAATTTTTTTCCTTGCAAATTGGTGTGGATGTTCTGCCACTGCAAGCTTCATCTTCAACATTATCTCATCCCTTCTTAAAGTTAGCTATCTGTTGTAAACTGCTGATTTATTGGGGGCATTGTTTCTATAAAGTTTTCTCTTTTTTTCTTCCACAGAATAGAAAATATGGGAAAATTTCCCACTCACTTTATGAGACTTTTATAACTTTGGAATTAACTTTATGGGGACATTACAATTCAGGAGAATTACAAGCCAATTTTATTAATGAATGCAAGTAAAATCCTACATAAAATATGAAGACATCAAATGTACCAATTTATGAAAGGGAAACTGTGATGGACATTACCCATAAACTTTTTATAAGGTATTAATCATGTGATCATTCTTCCACTTAATGATTACCATAAATTTGATGTTTGTTCTTTCTTCAATTTTCACAGATTTCATGTTGCTCTGATAGGGCTTTTGTCAAACCAGTGTCCTCTCCTTGGTGCCTCAAACTAGATCATATTTAGACAAGTTAGGAAAAGTTGCAACAGGCTGGGTGTGGTGGCTCATGCCTGTAATCCCAGCACTTTGGGAGGCCGAGGCGGGCAGATGGTCAGAGCTCAGGAGTTTGAGACCAGCTTGGGCAACACGCTGAAACTCCGTCTCTACTAAAATACAAAAAATTAGCTGGGCGTGGTGGCAGGCGCCTGTAATCCTAGCTACTTGGGAGGCTGAGGCAGGACAATTCCTTGAACCTGGGAGGCGGAGGTTGCAGTGAGCCGAGATCACCCCACTGCACTCCATTCAGGGCGACAGAGTGAGACTCCACGCCGTCTCAAAAAAAAAAAAAAAAAAAAAAAAAAAAAAGAAAAGAGAAGAAAAGTTGCAACAAGTTAATATAAGTTTATTTTGGTACAAAAAATGTTTAAAATTGATACATAAGTTTTATGATAACAATTTTTTATGAACATCTTGAAGACCCTTAGTTTGAGAAGAAAAAAAGAAGTACTACATGGAAACATTCACTCAGTTCAAAAATAATGACTATTAAGCAACGGTTCTATGAGAAAGGTACTATTAATTTGTAATGAGAAAGAGCCTATGGATCATCTTATATTTTTAAAATTGAGGGGACAACAAGAATGTTTACTATAGGGCTATTATAGCACATTCGTGAAAAAGGGAGTCAGAATTTAAAAGAACAACATTGGCAAAGATTACTTATTACACTTCATGTTTGTGACCAAGATTTATCAATAGAAAAGTACTCTTATTTTACCTAAAACTTTTAATCCTTAAAGATCTTTACTATGTTATATTGCAATTTTCATAAAGATGGCCAAGTAAAAAAATTATAGGGAAACAATGTACTCTGGTTTCAACTAAAGTCAGAAATACTATACTTCAGTAAAGCACACTTTAATTAAAATTTAAAGAATTATTTAACACTCCCAATATTTGATCGATTAAAGTTGGCAAAAGTCAGAAAGTATTTGGCATGTAAAATTTCCCTTTAATGGTTAGATGTAATGAGGCATTTTTTTAAGTGTTTTAGAATAACCCCTGGGAATACCATCACTAGAAATACTAACTGGAATATTTAGTGAGTAAAGCAAATGCCACATTCTTGGGTACCTACAAAAAAAATCTCACTTTCAGAGAGGCACAAATTATGCATCTTATTAATGTGCAGAACTAGATCTACAAATGGGCAATCAGAAAAAACTGAAAACTCTCAAAAAGCTAAGTTCTTAGGAGAAATGTGTATATTTGGGACAATAGTAAATAACCCCTTAAAAGAAGTAAATCCAGTCCTCAAAGCAAAAGGGCGAGTCTGAGAGCAAGAGCCCCAGAGAAAGACGCCGGAAGGAAGTCGTAGATGTAGGAAGTGACTGTAGGTTTAGATGAATGGAAAATGAACTTGCCAGTTCACAGCTATGTCCTTCCCAATTTAGGAGGTTAAGGGCAGGAAAAACATGAGAAACTCTTTTGAGAAGCTGCACAAGCTGACATGGAGGATCAAGGATTTCAAAAGCTTTGAATATAAAGAGGTGAGAATTTTTATTTTATTTTTTTACTATTATTCTGGTCTGTTGGTTGAGCTCTGAGGTTAACATCTTACAACACTTTAAAGTGAAACTAAAACAAACACATCATTTTTAAAATTGGCCATATCCGGAGCCCAGAAAAATATTACAAATAGTAACGTGTCCTTTCGGACACCTCATAAAAATTTAGGGAAGAGATATATGGAAATACCTTTTAAACACTTGGCAAATAGAATAGGTTTCAATTACATCAGATTATAGTTTTTAGTCTGACAGTTTGTGTCTGGATGTACAACGGATTAATTTTATTAAGTTTGTTGGAAGAGTTATTGAAACAACAGGTTTCAATTATTTTGTTCTCACTGAAATCTGTTTCACAAAATGGACCACTGAAATAAGAAAAATGGTTTCAGTTTATTTTAATGTGATTTCCTGAGTGGAGAGAATTTTCTACATATATATGTAAAAGTCAAGTTATTGCTTATGAATACAGCATTACTTTTTAACTATTCTATTAAAATAATATTCTCTTAGATTTCAATAACATGTAATGTGCACGTATTACACACATGAAAAGTCAATTCTCATGGTCACTCACACTAAGGTGAGTGAATATATGACTGTCCTCTGCATGTGATGCTCAGGATATCTCATGAAAATGTACAAATTGTCATAAATGGAATTTCCTAGCACTGCTATCTTACCATAAAAATGATGTGGTGATAATAGTGGTAAACAAAATTGTCAGAGATCAAATGTGACATATCACTATTCATTTAAGGTATAAAATGGCTGTTGATAAGATATTTGGAAATGGATATAGCATGATCATAATACAGAAATTACAAATATTGCTACAAATTACAATTTTTAGAATTTGTTTTAAGATATTTCATTATCACTAAACAGGCTTCAAATGCCTAGTGAACTGATAAATCCCACTGCCAACTGATTTGTTTCAATATGATGTGTTCATTGCTTGTATTTGGACCTATTAATAACTTGCAGAGCTAAGAAGTATGTGCTTTCCTTGCATCTTTATTGTACTCCAACTCTATTCCCTGGAAGATAGCCAATGTAAAACAATATTAATTTAATACCAACTTAAATTTTGCTTCATACAATTTTCAGTTTATATGAGAAGGTAATTTCTTTATGGATTCTGAGTTAAAATGAAATTTTAAGATTTCAAAGTTTATTATTGTTATTTCAAAAATTGCGGTTAAAATTTTATCATAAAAATCATACTTAAGAATCATAATCTTCTAATATTAAAAGAAGGAATACAAGGGAACAGGTGATTGAGCTGACCATAGAATATCGTATGAGTGGAAAGTAAAAGCTCTTGGCAGTGTAGAGATAGAACTTGTTAAAGCAGTTGCAGTTCCGTATGTTGTCTTCTTAAATAGATATGAGATTGGAATTAACTTGTTAGTGATATTCATTTCTAAGAATATCATAGAACGCCAAAATTGGAAGATTAATTTGGTTGTGATCCCAAGTTCATTGAATAGTATTTTATCTTACTGTGTGTATAAGTAATATGATAATGGTGATGGTCAAAATAGAAACCTTGCTTGATGCCATGCATGGTACTAATAAGCATTAGTATGCTCATAAAGCATGAGCATTATGTTATGTAATTCTAACAATCTTATGATGTAGTTATAACTATTACCTCATGCTTTTATTTATTAATTTAAATGATATTTATTAAGTACATTTGGTCTTCAATTTTATAGATGGCATAGCTATCATAAATTAAACAAATAAGCTCCTTGGAGTTATAGAGTTTATTCAGGTTTAAAAGTGAGCAAAAACACACAAAAAATAGTAAATGAGGAAATGGAGAAAATAGAGTTATGGTGAGATTGGGTAAGTCAACAGATGTAATAGGGAGACATTTTTTCTAAAGCACTGATATTTGAACTGATTTCTGAACTTTTGAATCAGTCATCTGCACAAAATGCTTGTGGGGATAATTTCAGGCAATTGGAACAGACTGCAGCTATCATGTTGTGAAAAATAAGTGTATATTTTTGACAAATCAAAGATACAGGGGATAGTAAGAGAAATCTAATGTCTGGATTACCAGAAGAAAAATACAGAATGTAGAAAAATTTATAGTTAATGAACAGATAGAGGTTAAGAATGTTTCTATACTAATGAAATAAATGAAAACAATAAAAATATAAGAAATCCACAAAACTCTAAGCAGCATGAAACATGTAAATCTACCACTGCTATTTCTGCAGAAAGCAAAGGCAAATAGGAGATATTTTTAAAGCCAGAAACAAAAAGATAAATAATTCTAATGCTGCAAATGCTGTATACTGAATGCAGTCTGCCATGTACTAAAAAAATATTACTACCTATAATAATACCCTTTTGTAATTAAGGTAATATGTATACATTTGAAAGCCAAAAGAGAGAGGAAAGAGAAGAGAGAGAGGATAAGAAGGAGAAGGAGAGAGAGAAAATTTGTAACCAGCATAATTATACTGAAGGAAATACTAGAATGTATTGTTCATGCAGGTGAAAAGTTAAAGATAAATATTCTATGTTCAAATAAATTTTGACTATATAAAACCAAAAGAGCAATATTATTTAAAATTTATAATATAGACTTAATTAAGGCACAGCAAAATGATAGGATATTCTTGTGGAGGGGGAAATAAAAGGGCAGTTCATTGTTTAGAGAAGAATAAAAAGTAGTCAGCAATGTAAGACTCTTATAAGTCTGAGATACTTTGATGTGAAGTTCCTTATGGAACAATTACTATTAAATGGTAATAAAATATTGTGTATAACATCGAAACAGAATAGAAGCAGAAAAAACAAAAAAGATACAGAATAAGGAAAACAAAGAGAGAAAAAATATATCATTAGAGGAACAAATAGAAAGCACTTATTATATTTATGTATAATTATGTTATATACATATATACACACATCTATATGTATATATATACACATACATATATATATATATATAAAATTACATTAATTGGCCAATGAAAAATACTTCCAAAATGGAAAAAAAAAACCCTAAGTTATTTAGAAGAGAAACACTGAATCATAACCACAGCAAATTTACAAATAAAAACAATGAAAAAGAATATTCCAATCAAACATTAACCTATATTAATGCCAGATGAACTAATTTTAAGACAAAAATACATTGCTAGAGATGAATGGAATGTTTAATATTGATAATAAAATGAATTCCTAAAAGGTTGTAAGAAATATATAAGAACTTAATGATACTATTTTAAAATGCAGACTCACTAATTTACAGAAAACCAAGGGGAAATAGACAAACCGACAATTTCAGCAAAATATTTCTTAGTAATTAATAAAATAATAAAATAGTAAAATATTTCAAAATGTTAATTGATAAATCAGTAATAAAAGATAACTAGATTGTCCTTACAAACTTGGAAATCAACAAATAAAAGACTAAACAATCCATTACCTGTAAATTCATAATAGAATTAAAAAATATCTCTAACTGAATTATACCAAAGTAATACAGGTGATGACTTGAAGAATGCACAAAAGCAGTATAAAGACAAAAATACATAGCAGTAATGACCAGTAATAGGTATGCAACATAAATGAGAAAATTAATCTATCCCATCTATCTCAGAAAGTTAGGATTGAAAAAATTGACCTATAGAATGCAGAAAGAAGGGAATGATAATGATGAAATCAAAGTAAAGAAAAAGGAAAAAACAAAGCACACAATGGAGAGAATGAACAAAATAAAAAATAGTTATTTGGAAAGGTTTTAAAATATATAATAATCTGGTGTGGTTAAACATAACCACATTTTTACCTCTCCCTTTTTTTTTTCCTTCAGAAAGAACACATCTAAGGTTTTTCTTTAATGGGATTAAATTAGTGACAAGATTCTCTTTCTCCCTCCCTCTGTCTCTTTCTATCTCTCCAATATCTACGTTTTCTAACCCTGTCTTTTCCAATCTCACTAATACCTAAGTTTTCTAAATGGAACTAGCACTGTTTTGTGTCTGAAACCTTCTCATTTTAAAAATGCACTGGTGATGTATCCTATCTGAGCCACTAATGCCTGGTAGCCAGATAGGAGAATGAAAAAAGGTTATGAATTGATTGGTGGAGAGTGAGTATGGAAGAAGGAGACAGATGGGAATGCTAGTTAATAAACATGAATTCTGGAAACAATGACAAATGGAGAATGCTTTGTCCTGACTTTGTTTCATGTAAGGGTTAGGCCTGGTTTTTCCTTTGGTACTTGCTGAGCAACCGCAATTCATAATTATTTCTCCTCCTTACAGAGAAAGGTTTAAATTAGATTTTTCATGAAGTGATTTCTAGGCCTAAAGCTCCATGAAATAAGCTAAACCCATTTTTAAGTGTGTACAGCATGTGCATGTTGAATGTCCTCAAATTACTAGTTATATTACTATGGTCAATTATACTTGGCAATTGTGCTTAATTGAAGGTGAAAACACATTAGGTTTTTAATTTAAAAGCCATAGGTAAAACCACTCTAAACGTCCTATTTGGATCTCAGACCTGGTGATGCTTTTCTCTATAGACTGGAATTTTACAGTACATTAACCTGTTCATTCACATAATTAGAACAATAACCGAATGAGCTGTTGTATCAGGTAATACATGATAGCAATTCCATTCATCTCTACTGAAATTTAGATTATGAACATGAAACCACATTTGAAGAAACTCAGAGAAAAATATATGCATAAAACATATGTGGTGGCTCATGCCTGTAATCCCAGAACATCAAGAGGCCAGAATGGTAGGATTGCTTGAGGCCAAGAGTTCGAGATCAGCCTGAGCAATATAGTGAGATACTGTCCCTACCAAAAATAAATAAATAAATAAATACATAAACAATAAAATTAGCTGGGCATGGTGGTGCACCTGTTATCCTTGCTACTCAAGAAGCTGAGGTGAGAGGCTTGCTTAAGCCCAGGAGTTCCAGGTTACTGTGAGCTATTATGTCACTGCACTATAGCTTGGATGACAGAGCAAGGCCCCATCTACAAAAATAAAACTTAAAAAAATGCATAGGGCATATTTTTTCCTCTTGAACACTTTCAATCAGATTATGGTGATACAAATCATCAAAACATCAATGACAGGAACTGTTAGTTTCTGCAGACTGCCCTTTCCTCATTTCCTTCAACACTCCATACTTCTACAAGTTGCCACATGCTGTTTCTGAAATAGTTCTCACATCTGTCTCCTTCTCTCCAGCACTGCTGGCTCACTATGGTCAGTTTCTACCTCCAGTGTCAAGACCCTCACATTCATCTTTCACACTGTTAATAAAATCATCTTCACCAGGTCATACCCTCGTTCAAAGGACCTCTAGTAACCTTCCGATTTTAGGCTAACTCCACATGCTTAGTGCCATCTCCCAGCCTTGATCCCTTTGTTTTCTGTCCTCAGATGTATTTCTTACCATCTGAGAAACCAGATGTGTGCTCTTTTTTTTTTTTAACTTATTTTAGGTTTGGGGGTACATGTGAATGTTTGTTACATAGGTAAACATGTGTCACAGGGGTTTGCTGTACATATTATTTCATCACCCAGGTAGTAAGCCCAGTACCCAATAGGTATCTTTTCTGTTCCTCTCCCTACTCCCACCCTCCACTCTCAAATAGACCCCAGTTTCTGTCGTTTCCTTCTCTGTGTTCTTCAGTTCTTATCATTTAGCTCCAACTTAAACGTGGGAACATGTGGTATTTGGTTTTATGTTCCTGTGTTAGTTTGCTAAGGATAGTAGCCTCCAGCTCCATCCATGTTCCCTCAAAAGTCATGATCTCACTTTTTTATGGCTGCATAATATTCCAACCATAATAGTGTTAATATTGCTGAGGTCATGGCCATTATCAACCCTAGTTCTGCATATCAAGGAGAATACATGGAAAGGCAAAGATGTTGCACTAGCATATTTAATTTTATACCTGATGAGACTGTTGGATCCAGGAGAAACTCATATTAATACTTGATAGGGGCTGGGTGTGGTGGCTAATGCCTGTAATCTCAGCACTTTTGGAGCCCAAGGGGGTCAGATCACCTGAGTTCAGGAGTTTGAGACCAGCCTGGCCCACATAGTGAAACCCCATCTCTACTAAAAATACAAAAATTAGCCAAGCGTGGTGGTGCACACCTGTAATCCCAGCTATTAGAGAGGCTGAGGCAGGAGAATTGCTTGAACCTGGGAGTTGGAGGTTGCAGTGAGCTGAGATTGTACCACTGTACTCCAGCCTGGCTGACAGAGCAAGACTCCATCTCAAAAAACAAACAAACAAACAGAAATACTTGATATGGTTTGACTGTGTCCCCACCCAAATCTCATCTTGTATTTTAGCTCCCATAATTCCCACATGTTGTGGGAGGGACCTGGTGGGAAATAATTGAATCATGGGGGCAGTTTCCCTGAAACTGTTCTCATGGTAGTGAGTAAGTCTCATGAGATCTGATGGTTTTATAAGGAGTTTCCCCTTTCACTTGGCTCTCATTCTGTCTTGGCTGCCACCATGTAAGATGTGCCTTTGCCTTCTGCCATGATTGTGAGGCCTCCTCAGCCACGTGGAACTGTGAGTCCATTAAACCTCTTTCTCTTTATAAATTACCCAGTCTCATGTGTGCCTGTATGAGCAGCATGAAAATGGACTAATATAATACTTAATATCAACACTGAAAAAAACAATGATACCTGCTTCTTGTTATCCCATATATATTTCCATCATCTGAGAATAAGTCAAAATTACTGTAAGTCAAAACTTTCTTTGCATACTCTTTTCATCAAATGCATTCACTGAGCCCCTTAGGAGGGATGAAGTACCTCCCAACATCTCAGAAGCAGAATAACGAAACGTTTTGCTTATATGATTTTCTCTACATCCATCCCACACACATACACAAGAGAACAATAACATCTCAGTGGTTTAACACTATATGTTTAACTTCTAGGTCGTGGCACACTTCAATGAAGATTGTCTATTTCACATGAGTGGCAATCCTTGAAGTAACAACCTGTTTTTACAGTCTCCTTACCTCTTTGATGCCACTGTTTCCAGCATGTGACCCCCATGGTCACCACACAAAGGGCAGAAAGAATATAAAATATCTTTGAAGCCCAGTGGAAACTTCAGACTGAATCTGGGTATTGTATTAGGTTGGTGCAAAAGTAATTGTGATTTTCGCTATTACTTTGCATTGCAAAAACCGTAATTACCTTTCCACCAATCTGATATTATAAAGGCTTGGTATTCATATTATATGCAAATTTACAATATAAAATCTAAGAAAAAATCCTCTATCAGTTTGTAAGTTTCCTCTTTCTCTTATAACAGGTTGCCACAAATGTAATAACTTTAAAGAACACAGATTTATTATTTCTCAGTTCTGTAGGCCAAACATCCAAGCTGGCTCAGCTGGTTTCTTTGTTTTCAGTTTCACAAGGGCAAAATCAAGCTGTTGGCTGGCTTGGCTCTTTGTCAGGAGACTCTTGGAAGAACTGGCTCTTATGCCCATTCAAGTTGTTGCTCAAATCCGGTGCCCAGTGGTTGTAAAACTGCAGTCCCTGTTTCCTTAATGGCCAGCAGTCAATCTAGCCTACAGAGGCCTCCTACCTCCTCACACTTCAAGACTCTCTCACCTTCCTTTCTTCCTCTTGTGTTCTGACTTCATCTTCTGACATATCTCTCAGCCCCTAACCAAAGAAAAATTATCTGTCTTTATGGCTTCTGTGATTATGTTGAACACATCTGAATAATTAAGAGTAATGTCGTTATTTTAAGGGGAGCTGATTCACTTTAGTTACATCTGCAAAGTCCCCTGACAGCAGTACTGAGATTTGTGTTTGGATTAATTCCCTGAAAATGGGAATCTTTAGAACTCTGCTTACCATAATCAGTAACACTAACTTGAACTACAACCACACAATTTATTTATTTATAGTCACCCTAATCTTTCATAACAAAAACGTACAAATAATTCTATGGTTAGGCACAATGGTTCATGCCTGTAACTCCAGCACTTTGGGAGGCCGATGCTGGAGGATTGCTTGAGCCTAGAAGTTCGTGATCAGCCTGGACAACAATACGAGACCTCACCCCTTAAAAAAAATGAAAAAATACACACAGATGTTTTAAAACAAATACAGAAGCTTAAAGTCATTCATGTAAATACATAGATTTAAGAAGTAAATTTAAACTTTAAAGTGATAGTCCTTATTGAGATATATATTATTATGAAACTTGCGGATGAGTAAATAATCATAATATATGAGCGATTAGCAGGAGGCAAAAAAAATCCTCTGTAGTAATATATAACAGAATTTGGGATATAATGGAAAGTCCCCTTTAATACTTATACTTTAAAGTATCAGCATCTAAAAGTTAAATTGACAGACAAAGATGAGACAGAAAGGAAGATACCAGTAAAAATACCCAAGAATGGATCATTGAGAATCCAAGCAGAAAGGATGTTACAGTAAATAGCACGCTTGAAAAATAAAAAGTTGAGTTAACTGTTGTATTGTTACTACACTTTTCCCTTGGGTAAGGGTAGTATTATTAAGGTATTTATTTACATACCCTATGATGATATTTTAAGAACAAAGTTAAAGTCCATAATAGAGAGGACTTTATTTACAAGACTCACTTTTGCAATTGGTTAAATTCTTTCATATATAATGTTAAGAGGTAAAAGAAGAAAACGGTCCAAATAATTGAAATAAAACAATTTGTATGCATCCACTAGCAAAAAAGGCAAAACAAAGCAACAACAACAACAATAAAAAACTGTTTAAAGTTTCAGTCAGCTATAATTATGTTTTACACTCGTCAAATTAATGGGGTAATTGTTCCACCTATATATTTAAAAGTGTACATTTGCAGATAATGATTTATTGACTTCTTGGATATATGTAATTATGAGTAGTTAATGCTGGGATTGAGTGAGGTGTCCAAGAGGCTTATTAGGGGTTAATACCTGTGAAAGATAAAAATGAGGACAAATTGGAGTTGGAGAAAGAAATTCTTCGACTGCAATGCGTATATGATACATGTAAGAAAAGGAAGAAAAGCAGAAAACAGACTCTGTCCCCCTCCCCATCCCCCCCCAAAAAAAAGAACGTGTTCTTAGTGGAAATGCCATTAACCAATGCCTCAGCATAGCAAGATTGACAGAATTAAAATATTTTTGTCAAAAGTGGAATTCCTTTAATGGGTATTTTCTTCTCTTAACCTCTTTGGAGACCTGGCAAAACCTCTCAGAGCTGCCCTGCTCTTCTTACTCCAATCTTTCTTCCTTTTCTCTCTCCCTTCACAGGTGTCAGACTTACATCAGAGCCTGAGACTTGACATGCCTATTTTTGCACTCGCTCATTTTTCAAATTTCATAGGCATTGCTCCCTCCAAATCACCGCTCTTCTAATTTTATCCTGGAGTGTGCATCCCAGAAGACATAAGCTGACACAATTGGGAACTGAAGTTGCTTGAAAAAGCTGGTGGTAAGATTAGGTAAAATAATTGTGTTACCACCTTCTGAATGGCAATCAATATTGCATCCTAAGTAGCATGTTTGGTTGGGTGCAGATAGTTTTTGAAACTAGGTGGTGACCCAACTTACAAATATGTCACCAGTGGTGACCTAGGAAAACAGACTGATATAAGGGAAAGCTCTTCTCAGTGAGATGATTTAGACATTTGAAAGGGCAAGGGCAATGAATGGGGTATGCATGTTAGGATAATGAAATTAACTTCTAAAGCCTAAGGTGTATTGAGATACCACAAAGAAATGATAAAAAAAAAAAAAACTGGTGCCATTGCACAAATAATATTTAACAGTGAAAGTTGGCCTCTTATACAGCTTATAAGGAGTGTAAGAAAGGATACAGCTGAGATGCAAGTACAAGTCTTAGTAGAGTCACAGAGCTCCAAATATGTTGAAATGATTAGCTAAATTAGATCTGTCATGCTGTAAACAGGTCCTAATTGAGAAAATCTGAAACTCTAAAATATGGCATGCTATATCTATGCCAGCTTGCAACAGTGACTCACCCTTTTAAAAAAAATTGTTGGCTGGGCGTGGTGGCTCATGTCTGAAATCCCAGCACTTTGGGAGGCTAAGGCGGGTGGATCACTTGAGGTCAGGAGTTCGAGACCAGCCTGGCCAACATGGTGAAACCTTGTCTCTATTAACATTTCAAAAATTAGCCAGGTGTGTTGGCGGGTGCCTGTAATCCCAGCTACTCAGGAAGCTGAGGCAGGAGAATCACTTGAACCTGAAAGGCAGAGGTTGCAGTGAGCCGAGATTGTGCCAATGCACTCCAGCCTGAGTGACAGAGCAAGACTTTGTCTCAAAAAAAATTGTTTATATTTAATATGTGCAACATGTTTTTGGCCCACCCTTCTTAAGTAAGAGTTTACGTTTCTACCATGTTGCATTAGTCTGTTTTCACACTGCTATAAAGATACTACCTAAGACTGGGTAATTTATAATCAAAAGAGGTTTATTTTTCTCAAAGTTCTGCAAGGGGAGGCCTCAGGAAACTTACAATCATGGTGGAAGGCAAAGGGGAGGCAGACACCATCTTCATACAGTATCAGGAGAGAGACAGAGATAGAGAACTCAGGGGAAACTGCCATTTTTAAACCATCAGACCTTGTGAGAACTCCCTCACTATCACGAGAAGAGCATGGGGAAACCTCCCCCATGATCCAATCACCTCCCACGAGGTTCTTCTGTAGACACGTGGGGATTACAATTCCAAATGAAATTTGGGTGCGGACACAGAGCCAAACCATATCACATGTGAAAAGACCCTTTACAATTCACTTCCTCATAAGGCAATAGATGTTTCCTATAGGAATGTGGCCTACCTTGTGTCCTAGATGTTAACCAATAATTACCATTAATTTCCAGTATAAGCCATCTGGCAATATGCTGGGCCTCAAAGAGAAATATGACTAAAGTATATTTTGAGACTTCTTCATCAAGGGACCTAGAATGTAAAATGGATAAGTAATAAATCACTAACTAGAGGCCCTTTATGAAACACAAGATTTAACATTTGGTTTAGAACCTTAGGGTGTAGGGCAAATTCACTCCACAGTTAAGTAGAAGCCTAGAAAATGTAATCGTCTATGCTACATGAAGTTTAAATATATGTTTCTATGCCAGATGGTAGAGGAAGGAATTTTTAAAAAGCTCAGAAAAGTAGCTGTGATAAAATGAGGTTGTGTGAGGCCATGAAACTTACCAGATGATTGTCATATATGAGAGGTCCCAGAAGACCCACTATTCACTAAGATCATCAGAAATATGCTGTTAATTAGGGCACCAACATCATAAAAGATTAGCTATCTTTTGCAGATCAGGACTGATGGTAGAAGAGGTAGTCACAGGGTTTAGTTTGTTAATAGTGATGGAGAATATGACATCCTGGATCAACAGAGACCAGATGGTGGCACATAACCACAGAATTCATAAGAATTGGCAAAGTCAGAAAGTCAGACACTGGGAGTTGTAGTGACAGTGGAAGCTGTCTTCTTTAGAAGTAAAAAATAAGGTTCTATTTAATATCTACACTCAGAAGAGGGTAAGAGGGTGATGAGAGTCATCCCAATAAAAATCGTGGTTCTTTGCTCTATTCCTGGACCAGTTACAATTTGGATACCCAAAGTCTCATTGTGGATCCCCTTTTACAGTCTGGAATTACAGGGACCATATAATAAATGAGGTCCAGTAGGTGCGCTGCTGGGATTGATGTTCTTAGCAGTTGGAGTAACCAATAGTAAGAGCTATAGCAGCAGGAAGGACTGGGAATATATTAGCATCTTAATGGGGATGACAGGGCCTGTAAGTACAAGTACTGGAACTTCAAGGACAAGGAGTACTGTGTTAGAGGAATATGGAGGCAGCATATATAACAAAGTGGACAACAGATTGTCCATATGCTGACAGTATTTGGTTTGTTTGTTTGTTTGTTTTGAGACTGAGTCCCACTCTGTCAGCCAGACTGGAGTGCAGTGGCTCACTGCAACCTCCGCCTCCCAGGTTCAAGCGATTCTCCTGCCTCAGTCTCTGACTGTATTTGTTTTTGGACACCCCAGGACACACCAATATAAACGGAGTCATAACAGTGGCAGAGATGGGGTTAAGCATGGTTCCAAGTACAGAGACTTTTATACTTTCCAAGACCAATTTATTTACTAATGTTTACAATCCTTGCATATTTAACAGGGATCAGCATCATATATCACTATTTCTCAAAGATTATCTGGTCTCTTGATGGCAAATCTACAATATTGAAACCTTTGAAAGAGAAATTGTGTTTTGTGAGTTACATGACTACCGTTTGCATCCAAGGTCTCCTCTGTAGTCAAGAGAAGAATGCAGAAACTACATGTCCAAGAATCTCTTTCCAGGTTAGAGTTTACCAGTGGGATTAAATCATGTGAATATTGGAAGGAAGAGAAAAACAAATTCCGATATTCTCAGGCAAGCATTGTGACCAGAGGTAGAAACTCATGGCAGCCAGATGAGGTGGCTGCATAGACTTCTTTGCAAACTCTCATTTCATGGTTGTATTGTCAAGAGTTCTGCATCTCAAACCTTTTTACAGAGGATACACAGCTCAATTAAAAATTTTAAGGGATAGTATACTGAACACATTTTCCAATAAAACTTATTTTATTTTAGCTTGAATTTCTCCACATATAAAATTTATAGAAAATGGATATATTCTATTGATGATTATAATTTAACCTTTAGATGAATTATTTGTTAACATCTTGCATCTTGATACAAACATTATTCTTCATATAATCACTTTATTTTTGTGTTTAACTGAGGCCCTGTTGTTACAGACTCTAGACAGCTTATACGTATTTGGACAAGGCAACGTGATGAAGAAATAATATAATTGTAGGATCACCTCTGTCCAGTAGCTGTTATCCAACATCTGCATACTTAGATTTCTGGAGAGGTAGGTAAACTACTGTATTAGAAAACACTAGAAGTGCATGATTGTATTTTTCATGTCCAAAGTCTAACACATTAAAAGAGAAAAGGATTCGAAAATTATCTACTTTGAAAGTTTTAAACAAAAGTGAATTTTCTTGGTTAAATATCCTATTTAATTGCCTTTCTAAAAATAGCCTAAATGTCCATTGTTTGATATATGTGGTGAGATATTTTTTAAAGTACTTAATTATAATGTTTTATTTGATGAGACTAGCTATTTGGTATTTTTTTAAATGGAAAGGGGGCAAACATACTTAATAAAATGCAAAAATAGTACTGGAAAAATATTTTAAATGATTGCTAAGTATTTTAGTGAATACCTAATTGCATTAATTTGCTGAGACTGCCATAACAAAATAAGACACATTAAATGGCTTGAACAACATAAATTATTTTCACACAATTCTGGAGGCCAGAAGTTTAAGAACATGGTGTCTGCAGGTTTGACTCCTCCTGAGGCTTTTCCACTCTGCTTGCAGTTGTGTGCTTTCTCACTGTATCCTCACACTGTCTCCCTCTGTCTGTGTGTTCTACAATCTAATCTCCTCTTCTTACAAGGATACCAGTCATATTAAATTAAATCTGCACCCTAACGACCTAATTTAATTTAATTAGCTCCTTAAATATTTTATCTCCAAATACAGTTACATTCTGAAGTACTACAGATTAGGACTTCAACATATTAATTCTGGGGGGAGGGACACAATTCAACTCATAGCACTTGTGTTGTTCATCTCATAGAAATATAACTTTCTATGGGTCTTTCACAACAATGAATGTTAGATGAATGCTATGGTTTGAATGTGTTCCTTCCAAAATTCAGGTGTTGCCAATGTGATGATTTGCTTTGTTTTGTTTTGTTCCTTTGAGACAGAGTCTTTCTCTGTCACCCAGGTTGGAGTGCAGTGGCACCATCTCGGTTCACTGCAACCTCCACCTTTGAGGTTCAAGCAATTCTCCTGCCTCAGCCTCCTGAGTAGCTGGGACTACATGCGCGTGCCACCAAACCCAGCTAATTTTTGTAGTTTTTAGTAGAGTTGGGGTTCACCATATTGGACAGACTGGTCTTCAACTCATGACCTCAAGTAATCTGCCTGACTTCGCTTCCCAAAGTGTTGGGATTACAGACATAAGCCACCATGCCTGGTCCAATACAATGATATTAAGAGGTTGATGCTTGTATACATGTGTAACTAGCCTGCACATTGTGGACATGTACCCTAAAACTTAAAGTATAATAATAATAAAATAAATAAATAAATAAATAAATAAAAATAAAATAAATAAAAAATAAAGAGGTGATGCTTTAAAGAGGTGATTAGGTCATGAGGACTTCTTCCCTCATTAGTTGGACTAAGGTCCTTATACAAGAGGCTTCACACACCATTTGGTTCTAGCTGTGCTTCTGCCTCCCACCATGTGAGGACACAGCATTTCCCCCTCTGGAGGATTTAGCAACAAGCAACCATCTTGGAAGCAGAGAGCAACCATTTCCTAGACAACCAAACCTGCTAGAGCCTGGATCCTGAACTTCTCAGCCTTCAAAATTATGAGAAATACTTTTCTGATTATTATTAGCTACCCAGTTTCAAGTATTTTGTTATAGAAGCACAAAATGGACCAAGATGATGAATTTCTGAGACTGCTGACACCATCATAGGAGCAACATGTTTATTGTGTAATCTCTTGAGACTTATCTCAAGTTAGAAAGAAGGAGGAATAGATTCTACTGCCCACAGACAAAGATTCTTTGAACTTTGGATTTTGATGGATCTAAGCACAATATTTAATTGTGAGTACATGTTATTAAACTGAAGAACAAAAGAAAGTTATATGTATTTATAGATGTTTGTGGAGAAAGATGAAAAAATATTGACAATACTCGACCTGTACAATGCAGAGTTGATGAAATTCAGAAAGTATGATTGCAGGAAAACAAAGCTAGTTGGCTTCCAACTGGTAAAAGTTCACACTATGAAGAATTAACTCCCTCACACTTCCTGTCTGTATAGCCCTATGCCTTCACAAGAACAAGTTCCCACACCAGGGTCAAGAAGGAAACCGTAAGTCAAGACAAAAGTGCCCAGTGAAGGCAGAAGATGAGGGGTCTCAGGTTGCATCTTCGGAGGCACGAGGATTCAAAGGTGAACAAAGCACACAGTACATCATTTGATGTGGTAAGTTTCATGGACATAGAAGTAAGGGGGATGAAATGTCGAGGTGTGTGTGGCGGGGGAGGAGGGGAATTCAAATGATATTCTGATCATTAAATAAACTTGAAACAAACTTGGAAAGGTGAAGTAAAACAGCAGCCATTTTCCTGACACTCAAGGATTGCTTCTGCAGGTGGAGAAAACGACAGCTTCAGATATTCTATGATGTACAGATGCCATTTATCAAATTCTTTGATTTCAAGTAATAATGGTGTTGGTGCAGCCAGAGTTGCAAAAGAGGACTGTTGATTCCAACACAGTCTCAAAGATGGTTGAATTATGTGCTTCTACTAATGTGTCTGTTATTCTGGAGCCCATATTTGGAAACCCAGTCTAAAAAATGCATCTTAATCCCTATCTATGATTTTGAAACCATTTAATTATTTACTTCTCCATATGTCTGAAGGCAGTACTACACATTGGAAGTTTGAGGAAATAGGATACTTAAATATTTATTTAAGATAATTGAAGAGTAATTAGTCCAGGGAAAGATTATAGGATTCCCTAGAGGTATAGGGCCTACTGGAGGTGATCAAATTAAAATGAAGTCATTCATAATGATTTTTTTTCACTAGTCCTCTCATGCCTGCATGATGAGAAGATATGAACAAGTAAATAATTGGACTTAACCTGTGCTTTTCCTACTTGCATAAAATGAGGATGTTAATGGGAATTGTGGATATGTGAAAGATGAAGATTATGATGATAGGCCACAGAATTTAAGTTTAGTAAAATGGAAAGTGAGAGCATTTGGTGGTTAGAGAGTAAAAAGGTAGTAGAAACCATGGTTTGGACAAGGCAATTAAATAGGAGTGAAGTAGAGCAAATAAAAGGAAACACTATTAAGGCAGAAGGTTGATACTATAGAATTCTGAGATAATAATCAACTATTGTTTGGAAATAAAATTTGTTTATATTTATACTTGCTTATTTTACCATCTCATTTTTTGGTTAAAGTTACAAGAAGTAGAGTTATGTCCTAGTTTTCTGTAACCAGTGACAATAGTAAAAACAAGAATTAATTGACCACATACTATTTTTGAGACTATTTTATGTGATTTTATTGATTAAATAATTGATATTTCAAACAACTCTGTGAAAAAGGAAATATCACTAAGCCTATTACATAGACAAAAAAGAAGAGCAGAGAAGCAAAGCATCACAGGGCTGGTAAATTGCAGAGCTGAGATTAGAACGAAGTAGTTTGACTTTAGAGCCTGCGTGCTTACCTGGACTTTTTCACTTTCTTGACCAGAATTTAGATCTGATTTCTAGCTATCTTTCTTTTTTCCCACATAGCCATTTTATCTGACTGAAAGATTATAGAAATATGTGCACAACTGGACTGAATACTTGATTGTATAGTTAACTCATAGTGATGCCAGCCTCTAAAATGGCTTACATGATGAAATGAAGAAGTATCTCTGCTATAAAGGCTTTGGAGTAATGTATTTGTGACCATATTTGTTCATGTTTGTAACAACATCAGACTAAAATGGAGAGTTCTGATCGGCTGCACAATAACCACTGTGCAAACATTCAGCACAGTCATCAAAATATCAAAAACAGAAAAAAAAAAATCCAGGTAATGTAAGGCTATAATCATTTCAGAATATTTATTAAATTTAAATTCATTGTAAATAATTCTGAATCTCATACCTCATTATCACAGACTTAATCTAGATAATAAATATAAAAATTACATTAAAAATTCTGTAAACTATAAAAAAATTAAAAAGGATTTGATACAGACTTGAGTTTTGGTTTGTTTATAATCTTGACTGTTGCTATATTGACCCTTAATTTCAACAGTCACTGAAAATCATAAGGTAAAATTACTTCCCAGTTTTTTTTTAAGTTTCTTAATTAGAATTTGCTTTCTGAGAACACTCAAAACAGCTTTATGTGCCATGCAAAGTAATTAGGGGAATTCTTATTACTCTTGCAACTAGGAGATGGAAGCATCAAAAAATTAATTGAATAATAAATATCACCATAGGGAAACAACATTATTTGAATATCACCATCCTTCTGGCTTGAATCCCAGAATGAAGGAAACTGATGGATTTTCAGAAAGGTAGGAAACAATGTACAGGTTTTGTTTTCAATAATTTTTTATTCAATTCTGTACATGAAGCAAATATTTTACTTCTAAAATATCGGTCATCGTTTTTCCATTATCTGAAATTCTATAGGAAACTCCAAGAATGCAAAAGTGGTCATATGTGTGTTTGTGTTTGTGTGTGTTTGTCCATATATTCATTTTCTCAAATGTACTATATAAGAGCCTCATTAATACTGAAGACTGCAAAATAAATCATAAAAATATTTCAGCACTGGTTCCAATTCAGGCAGAATAAGTGGAACATACATCTGCTGCATGTTTTATTTTATTATTTAAAATATCCAACAATAAAATGGAAGATGAAATGGTTTGCTCATTTAATTTCCAGATATCACCTCATTTTGAAGAGATAAATGTGGTATCACCTGGAGATTGTTACAAAATATTTCAAATGGAAAGGCAAGTGTAAAACCCAGAATAACATTGTGAAGCCAATATTGATCAATAGGTGGAGCATATTACCGGAAACAGGAAATTGTTACGTTGAATGATTTCTCCATTTAGGTGCTACAGGGGCATGAGAGGCCATTGGAATTCTACCTTATGGGTCTCTTCCCCACTGCTAACTATGTAAACTTGTGTTCTTGCACCTCTGAGGTGTGATCTGATATCATTTCTACAATCCTCCATGTATTAGTCTGTGTTCACACTGCTTTAAATACCCGGGACTTGGTAATTTATAAAGGAAAGAGGTTTAATTAAGTCACCATTTGGCATGACTGAGGAAGCCTCAGGAAACTTACAATTATGGTGGAACAGGAAGCAGACACTTTCTTCACAAGTTGGCGAGAAAAAGAATAGCAAAGGAGAAACTTTCAAACACATAAAAACCCATCAGATCTGATGAGAACTCACTCATTTTCACAAGAACCGCATGGGGGAAGCTGCCCCCATAATCCATTACCACCTCCCTTCCACAACACCTGGGAATTGCAGGTCCCTCCCTTGATACATGGGGATTAAATTCAAGATGAGATTTGGGTTGGAACACAGAGCCAAACCATATCATTCTGCCCCTTGCCCCTAGCAAATCTCATGTCTTTTCACATTTCAAAACCAATCATCCCTTCCCAACAGTCCCCCAGTCTTAACTCATTCCAGCATTAACTCAAAAGTCCACAGTCTGAAGTCTCATCTGAGACAAGGCAAGTGCCTTCCACCTATGAGCCTGTAAAATCAAAATCAAGTTAGTAACTTTTATACCATGGGGATTTAGGCATTGCATAAATGCTCCCATTCCAAATGGGAGAAATAGGCCAAAACAAAGGGGCTACAGACCCCATGCAAGTCCAAAATCCAGTGGGACAGTCATTAAATCTTAAAGCTCCAAAATGATCTCCTTTGACTCCATATCTCACATCCATGGAACGAGAGTGAGCAATGTATTAAAGAAACAGGTTTAATTGACTCACAGTTCATCATGGCTGGGGAGGCCACAGGAAACTTACAATTATGGTGGAAGGGGAAGCAGGCAACTTCTTCACAACTGGGCAGGAAAGAGAAGACTGGAGGAGAAACTTCCAAACACTTATAAATTCATTAGATCTCATGATAACTCACTCACTATCATGAGAACACCATGGAGAAAACCATCCCCAGGATCCAATCACCTCCCTCCCTTGATACTTGGAGATTACAGGTCTCTCCCTTGACATGTGGGAAATACAATTCCAGATAAAACTCGAGTGGGGACACAGAATCAAACCATGTCACTCTACCACCACAATTACTCTGTTATTCGCCAACAGGAAATATTTTACTTCTTCAAAAAAGGCACTTTCACCTGTTTTCTTTATTGCTATGTGATGTTCATTCAATCTCACTTACCCAGTGCAGTTTCCCCAGGCCCAGAGATTTCTGGTTAACACCTATTCTTGGCATCTTAGTTGGTTATCAATTTTTTCCAGAATATATTTATTGACCACTACCCCACTCCATTCATTTTGATTAAATGTGTTAAACATAACCCATGAAACCAGCACTTTCATGTCAATCTATAGTTTTCATAATCTTAGAATTCTTCAGATTTTATTGAACTTAGTTTTGTTCATTTAACCCTCAAACTTGTAAGCTTGGTGGAATTTTGGTTTGGGGTTCTTTATATCTCTAGTACTTAGCACTAAGCATGGCATAAGTTCTCAAGAAACATTGACATTAATTGGTGATTTGTTAAATTTTCATTTTATTCCCAAGGAGGTTCTTACTTCACAGGTTATTCATATAACATTTTGCAAAGTAAAAATGTTAAAAACTAATCATATTTTTAACTGTATGTGCTTTCCATTTGTATATGTTCCATGTGAGTATTTTAAATTTATAAGCATAACGTATACATTTAAAGCAATATACAAAACCTAGAATAAGTATTTTCTACAAATTTAAAAAACTATACAAATAAATTAAAAATATAGATTTTAGCAATTCTGATTTCTTCAGGATCTGCAGGACAACAGCCGCTTGTTTGTGATTTAAAAGCACCAATAAAATTGAATATGAATCACATGAATAAGCAGACCCCCACTCAAGATTCAGGTACTGCAAGGTGTCTGCATTTCGAGACAACACAGGGTTTCAATTACAGCAATTACTCAAGATGTTAACAAGGGATACTACTGTAAGATTTTTATGATGGTCAAAGGATAAAATACAGCAGTAGAAAGAAAATACAGACAAACATCTAAGATGATTGAGACATTGAGGCATATCTTCCAGGGTTAACTGTCAATCACACAGGATGTAATTTGTCTCCAGACCATGAACTGCCAAAAATGTATAATATCTTGGCTTGGGGAAGACTCATTCATACTCAAGGTGGTGTTTTTTATATTTTATAACCCTCTGGAAGCATGGCCATATTCAATAGCAGAAATAGGTCAAAACAGTCACCAGATGCAAACATGCATTCTGGATATATTCTGTACAGAATGGATTGGAAAGGTTGCATTCCTTCTGGAAGAGGTAGGGAAGAACAATTTCCTTGACTTTTCCAGGTTCTAGAGGCCACCAGCATGTCTCAGCTTGTGTCTCCACATCCCTCCAAATTCTACTTCTTCTCATTACATCTTTTTTTGACTCTGATCCTCTGACTCCATCCTATAAGGACCTTGTGATCACATGCAGGGTAACCTCTCCATCTAAAGATCCTCAACTCATCACATCCACAAAGTTCCATATACAATGTAAAGTAATATCAGTATCAGATATTAACAGGTAGAAATCGTTTTGGAGGAGATCCCACAGCCAGTTTTTAATTTGGGCATTGGGTGTTGGCAGAGGAACCAAGTGTAAATTATACCCCACCTGTTTAAATTCTCATAGATTGGTGGGATAATAATTATCCTGTACATCGATTTACTGTACTTCTACTAACAAGATGCTTCACCTGTCTGTTTGAATATCTGTAGGAATATGCCTCATTTTTCATCTTGAATCAGTGTCCATGATCTTTCCCAAATTTGACCTCCTTTAACATGTTGTCCAACTGTTTGCTGAGTTTGTGTAATCTATTTTTAAATCTATATTATGTGTTCAAATTTCTTGACACTTTTTAAATATCATCCCTTCTAATTAGCCAATAAAATCAACGTTTTTTCCCTCAATATGACTGTTTTTTAGGTTCATTTATCCTTTTCTAGGAATCCTATTTTTATGTCAATTATATTTAAGTCTCTTTTTCACAGCAACATTTAAAGGTATGATCATGATGTCGTGTTTAGTGACCAAGCTTTTCTTAGGATTTCATAAATTTAATCCATTTCCTGCCACTGCAATTTTAGGCAGAGAAAAAAAAATAGAAGAAGTGAAAATGTATGTAAATTCCTATGCCATTCCCCATTATCGCTTTCCTATATTCCTTACCTTATCTCAACCATTGATTAGATGGTGACCTCTTCACTTCTACATACATTTGTTCAATCATGTGACTCATCTCTTCGGTCTTTTCTGAAACCTCAGTTTTACAAACAGGTGTTTCAATTGTCCTTTTTTTTTTAAATCAGTCCACTATCTTGTGACTTGTAAGGAAAATGATACTTTCATCGTACATGTTTCTTAACCTCAAACAAGTGTTATGGTGCACCTGCAGAAAAATGATCTCTTCATCATTTGACAAAGCAGTGGATCCAAACTGAAATAATGTTTCTAGCCAAAGACCCCTAGTATCTTTATGGCATCTTGTTCAGGTACCAGATATCAGATATGCAAGTCCAAATCCAGAATCAATATAATTTAAGTCAGTATCCCCTAATTATTCAGTTAGAATCCTGGAAGGTGGTTAAATGTAACAGATATGTCATTTATGGGTCAGCCTGATCCTCTTGGTAACATGAAACATAACTGTCTTTAGGCTTATATGTCTTTTGACAAAAGGCCAAGTGTTATTCAAAGTTAAATTTTTGAAGAAGAAAGTGGAGTATTCTCCTTTTATTCTGCTAATTGTTGCATTGCTCAAATGACTTAATTACCTCTCATTATGTCTACCTAAGAGGCCACTTCCAATAAAAGATTGAGGTCATCAGTTTGTTTATTTTATTCCCCTGCTGAAGTAAGAAATGCTTTTTTTTTCCTTCTCTAACTGCATGATAATTTTTCATAATAAGCACTCGACACTGTGATTCCTTTTAGTTTCCAGTCATTTAAGGCCCATTTTTTGACCACATAGCCAGTTTATTGGCTACTGTCCAAAACTGATATAAATCCATACACTATTATTATTATCACTCCCCAGTTTCTCTGATAGCATGGGCAACACCATTTTCTTCCCAATGAGTGGATTTACCTTCACCCCTTATGAAGTACGTGCAATTATCCACCAGTTGTAGTACAGCTGCTTCCAGATTGAAGGCCAGCTCTCCACCGTTGAAAAGTAAACCCTGCTGTGTTTTTTTTGTTTTTGTTTTTGTTTTTGTTTTTGTTTTTTTGTTTTTTTGGTTGGTTTGTTTGTTTTTACTGAGATGGAGTCTCAATTTGTCACCCAGGCTGGAGTGCAGTGGCGCGATCTTGGCTCACTGCAACTTTCGCCTCCTGGGTTCTCCTGCCTCAGCCTCCCTGTAGCTGGGATTACAGGTGGGCGCCATGATGCCCAGCTAATTTTTTGTATTTTTTAGTAGAGACGGGGTTTTGCCATGTTGGCCAGCTGGTCTCAAACTCCTGACCTCAGGTGATCTGCCTGCCTCAGCTTCCCAAAGTGCTGGGGTTACAGGTGTGAGCCACCGTTCCTGGCCAATCTGCTGCTTGTTTAGCAACCTCCAGTAACTGATCATATATAGGAACTCATTTGGCAGTGAAGTGAGGGCAACTCCTCAGGAGGAACCAAAATAACAAGACTCAAAGACATGGAAGAAACTCTTCATGTAGGCAATATGTGCCTCCAGGGGTCCTCCGACACAGGTGCTTGAGCATTTGATGTGGAAACATGTTTGTACATTTCCCTCCCTACTGGAATGTTGTTCTGACATAGTCCATTTCATGATGGGTATATGATATCAAATAATAATTTATGCATTCTTATAATGAAGAATTTTAATAATAATAATAATAAAAGCAGTTTTAAATAAAGCCCAGAATAACAGTTGCCTTTCAAAGAAATGTATTTAGTAGCAGCCTCAAGTCACTTTATAGTAAAATCTTAACAGTTATGGGTGGCAGTTAAGAACTTATTCCAAAATTCCTAGTAATGTGAGTACAGTGGCTGACATTTCAAATACCGTTGAACCTGTTTGGCATTCTCAGAGGAATTATCTGGGTTATTACTCTTTGAAG
Organism: Homo sapiens; assembly: GCF_000001405.40. Taxonomy (NCBI): domain Eukaryota; kingdom Metazoa; phylum Chordata; class Mammalia; order Primates; family Hominidae; genus Homo; species Homo sapiens. The sequence goes on from NC_000021.9 coordinate 24,452,050, forward strand.
CTCCAAGAGAGATGGCTTTTGCTCAGAGTCCCATGCAAATTAACTTTCATAAAAATAAATTGGTAAACACAAAACAAAGAAAAAAATAGTTTGAATAATAGGTTAGTATGTTCCTCAATATAGTATGAAATTTCTCTAGAAACCAAAAATCCTATTAGTCTTGTGCACCTTTTTGGATTTGGAGCTTGCAGAGAATAACTTGTATGTGTATGTGTGTGTGTGTGTGTGTGTAAGAGCTCTAGTATCTCTGACCCAGGTAATTCCTAATAATTTCACCATTTTGCTGTCCCAGTATTTTAACCAGCTATTTATTAGTTAACCCCCAGTTGTCAAACGATGAGTCCAGGGAGAAATGAACATTATATCATAAACATAATGAATTACAATATTTTAAATAAAAATCTAAACCTCAGGTTGTCGTGATAAGAAATATAATTTTAATATTTCTGGGGGTGAAAATAAACATGTATTGGAATCAACCCCACAGGAATACAAATAATGTTTTATTTTCTCCTGAAAAGAAAGCATTAATCAAATAGGTTACAGAATAAAATGACCCTTAGCTTGTTGGTTAGTGCTAGGATAACCTATAATCTGTATTTTTAAAAAATAAAATAACAATAATACCAAAATACCTTGATCACAACCTCACTTTATACAAAAATTAACTTGCAAATCAATCATAGAAAGAAATATTTTAAAAGTACAAAATATTTGCAAACCTAGGGGAGGTAAATATTTCTTGGCCAGGACATGAAAGCGCTACATATGAAATAGAGGACAAATGGGTTACATCCAAGTTAAAAATATCTATTCATTACAATATTTTTTTTGTAGAAAAAGAAATGGCACCAATACATAAATTAACCAAAAAAAAAACATATTCATAACTAAAAAGCTTTAAATAGAGTACAAAAAACACTCCAACAACTCAATAATGAGAAGATATTAAAATTAAATAATACACAAAAAGACTGGAACAGGCAATTCACAACAAAAGTTATGTAAATGGAAAACCAGTGGGTAAAACAATACTCAATATATCATTAGTCATGAAGGGAATGCAAATTAAGAACAACAAGATACTACTATTATTCAGTGCACTAGCATGGCTTAAATTTGAAAGAACGACAACACCAAATGTTGCTGAGGACATGAAACAACCGGAATCCATTATACTGAAAAGACCATATAATGGTATATCCATTTTACAGTCTATATGACAATTTCTTATCAAGCTAAACACACATTCATTCTTTCACAAAGAAGTTTAACTTACAGTTATTCACCAAAGATAAATGAGAGTATATAAGCACAGGAAGAATTTATACTAATGTTCATAGAGCTCTGATTTTTAAAAAATCTAATACTGTAAACAGCCCAAGTGATAGTATAGCCATGCAATGGAATATTACTCAACAACAACAAAAATAAATGTTGCAAATAGTCATTGCCAATAATGCAACAATATGGAAGAATCTCAGTTTATGTTGAATGAAAGAAGCCAAACAGAAAATATTGTACAATTTCACTTATAAGAAGCTCTAGAACAGGCACAATTATGATAGTGAAGATCAGATCAATGTTTGCTTTAGATAGGACATGAAAGAGATTTCCTAAAAGGAAAAACAGGATCTTCCTAAGGTGATGATAATGGTCTGTATCTTTGCTGAAATGGTGAGTACAGAAACAAACATATTTGTCATTGAGCTTGCACTACAAATTATTGAGCTGTACACTAACCTATGCATTTTATTGCATGATATATTCTATATAGGATATTTCATAATATATTCTACAAACACCCTAGTGGGACATCAACAGGAAGCTGTGTACAAATATGCTTCCACCAACTAGAATAATGTAGCATAGTACATGAAATTAATTACAGTCTTAAATTATAAATAGATAATAGAGGTCATTCAGCACAATCCTATACGAAAATTAGAAGTAATAGCTGCTGCTTGAAAGGTCATAGGGTCATCAACACTTTAATTTAGCATTCACCATTATGGGAACTCATTTTATCACAGTGTGATAATAGCTTTCATCATTGCAAAAGTGCTGATATGATCAAGAAACTTCCATGACATCTTTCCTTTAGTCCTGGTTTTGATCTTTGAACTGTATGATGTGGGATGCATTCCTCCTCATGAGACAATCTTTTAAATGAAAATATGTATTTAACTTATTATGGTTTGCAGTTTCCCACACTGAAGGATAATTAATTCCACTATACAACACATTAATTTTCAAATGTGTAACCCTTTTGGTTATCCTTCAGTTTGTCAATATCCCTCACTGAAAATTGATCTTAAAAATAAACAGACTAGGTAAGGTGTGATCTGAGGAGTAGAGCTCTATTGTTTCTGAACACTACACTTCTAATCACAGTGTGTCTGCTGATTTGTAAATTTGAGTCAATTAAATCCCTGCCTAACCCACTATTGTTACAGTTCATTAGCTTTGACCTAAATATTAGAATTACGCTTATTCTCTTACATTCTATTACATTTTCAAAACCAATTTTTTCTACATTATGATTCCAATTTCAAATAAGCTAAATTGAGACAAATATATCTAATATGTCTAAATTCAGATATTAAGAAAAAGCATGTTGAATCAGACAGAACTATTTTATCCAGGAGACTTACATAAGACAATAGTTTGGCAGTTGTCCATAAGAAACTTTCTAAATCTATTTTCACTCAGTAAAAATAGCATGCATGATTTATTCTCCTCAAACATTCACTTTTGTTTTTCATAGAACACATTTCAAGCAAATTCTGATTTTAAGCTTTCCGTTGCTGTTACCCCATTTTTTAAATTTGCTAGACATTTTTAGCACTCTTAAAGCACTTGTGTAATAAATTGTTATAGCTCTTTACCTTTAGGAAACATTTGATTGAAAACTGGCAAACAAGTAATTACAAAACTCCGGGATGCAACAAAAAATTACTCCACTATTCTAGGTAGTTTGTCTGTAATAGATGCCCTCTAAATGCAATTTTATTGATTGCTTCCATTTTGTATTTAAAAATAAATTCTAGTAATAATTATAAAAAATTAAATTTCTGCTTGGTAAATTTAATGAATACATCAGATGTTAAATTACTTTGCCTATGAGCACATGACCTCTCATAATTAATTAAATGGCTCAAACTCATTCTTTTTATATTAACTCCAGAGAAGCCTGCAGAGGAGTTATTCTATATTTGGAAAAGGGTTTAAGAGTATTGCTTGTTTTATTACAAAATTGACCTAACATTAGTGTGGTATTAAAAAACTTGATACAAATGAAGTCAGAACTAGAGCATACTGACAGATCTTTTGCCTGACTTATTTTCTAGATCATTTGAATTAATTAGGGTAAAACATAAGATTTGGATACATTTATTTATATTTGACTTAATTTTGAACTAATAGAAAGACAGTCAATCCTGGAATTTTTATTTATACTCAGGCTGTAAAATGGATTGTCTCATTTTTAGGTTACTAAATGCCCTTGTGTTGTGAATATGTGGAATTATAACCATCAGGAATGTTTCTTACCTCATTCTTCAAGCAGATGACTAGAATTCCAGTTTTACACTAGATCATTATTTTAAATGAAACCCACTTGGTCTAACTGTCATGTAATCAGAAGAGTCACACCATGGTGAATTTAATTAAAGACATAATTATATGTTTTCACTTAATCAGAATAGCAACCTTAATCTTTACCTACAGAAAAGACTCATTTGCCAATTTTACATGACATATTTTATACAGTTAGTGACTTAAAATATTATTTTATCACATACTGTCATTAATAATGTTTATTGATAAGAGGAATTCAAAAGGCACTAGAGCAATTTAGTGCACATTTTTTTAAAAGCAAGTGTAGACTCTTCCTATGGTAAGTTTACTTAAAAATTATGCTACTGTGTAATGTTTGGTTGTTGCAAAATATGTCAGTTACTCCAATGCAACAGTCACCTTTTGGAAGACAGTATCTGGTCATAAGTAGCATTTGCTCATGAGTTAACAAGTAGAATAAATACGATGCATACATAATTATGAGTTTACCACTAAACCTGATTAAGGTGACAAATTCAACATAAAATATCTCACTACTAAATCATATAATGTTGTAAACCTGTGTGAAGTATTGTCTGGATCTTTATTATTCTAAATATTCCTGATATTCTGATTAATATAATTGGGAGCCTCTTGCTTTAATCCCTCAGGTTAGAATGGTTACATTCTCTTTATACACAAATGCTGGCCTCTCCTTAATTTTTTCTTCTATTGTTGACTTCATTTTAGAATAGCCACAATTACCAGTAACTGCATTCCTGAATTTTCTGGAATGGCATTTTAACAAAACATTCATGTCTGTGTCACAGGAATCTTGGGGTATTGCTTCACCAGCCAGAAACCTCTGTGGTCAGTGGCACCATTGCTTGAGTTTTGCTCGGCTGTTGGGCTTGTTCTGCCCACTCAGCATGGCACGCTGTGCTCAGCTTGTGCTACTGGCCTGGATCCCATGCCTGCCAAAGGCAAGCCAAGTGCAAAGTGGCAAGGGGTGTGTAAGCAAGCATGGATTCTGATCACTGCACACAGCCAGGCATGCTGGGTGTGGCAGGGTGGGTAGCATCGGACTCTGGCATGGGCACTGGCTAACTGTGAAGTTGCAGCTGGACCAGGTGTCCCACAAGCAGCTTCCATGACTGGCACTGGGAAATGTAGCGAAGCTTGGAGAAGCCAGGGACCACAAAGTCCCAAAGAGGGTATAGCCCTGGCTTGGGGAGTCAATGTATGTAATACATTTATATATAGTTATATAATACATTAATATATATTATACATAATATATTTATATTACATATAATACATTTATATATAATATAAAGAATACATTTATATACATGTACACACAAACACACCCACATATGCATTTAAACAAGGTTTTACAAAGCAATACTAAATACAGTGATATCTGATGTTTTCAATCCCATTCAATTTTCTTCTAATATACATTAATTAAAAATTAAGCAACATTGCAAGCTATATGGTTGATTTACTTACCCACAGATAGGTCACACTCTGAAACCTAAGGACTTACTCTTTGAGGACTAACTTATTTGCAGAGGATTTTAAAGGAGGAGATGCTAGCAGAAGAAAACATAATTTCAGCAAAGATAGTGTTTATTATTTTAAAAACTTATATTGTATAAAGTTGGGCCATTCACAAATATTTTACTTTACCTCTCCTTTAAAAAAATGTTAAAATGTTAATAATGCTCTTCTGAATCTACTCTCAAAGTAGACATTGTTATTAATCTTGGTTGGGCCAAACAAAGGTTAATAAAAGTAATATTACACTTCTAGAGAGAATTAGGAAACAGCACACATTGCCACCTTCTCCCTTTACTGTCGTGATGAATTGTGTTCCAGACGGAGCAAGGTCTGCCATATTTAATTCCAGAATGAGAGGACACTGCACAGTTCCAGCCAACTCCCAATGAACCAGTAGAATCAATGAGAAATAAAACTTTTTTGTTACTATAGCATAGTCTGAAATAAAACATTTCTTTGTTCTGTACCATAGTCCAGTTGATTTGACACTCAAAAGTGAGTCATGAACTAACATAAAATAAAAATATTTGGTATTGGCTTGGTAGTTTGCTGAATAGCAGCAATGATGCTGTTTCAGAGTTTGGAAGAACCATGTAAGTGCCAATGAAATATTAGGGGACATTTTGACCTGCAGTAACTTGGAAAACAGCATAACGAACGTACATAGCCTTACCGGAAGTAGTTAGAAAAGAAAAAGATAGCTCTATTTGGCAAAGTACAATAAGTACATGAACATAGGAAAGAACTGACTATTTTTTGAGCAACAGTGAAAAGAAATAAAGGGAGTCCAGGAATTTAAGAACTTTCAGGATTGTAAAGGAAACCCGCTTCTCAACCCTAAAGGTTATGTCGAAACTGAGGTCATTGAGCAATAAAGAGTAATTATTATTATAATTTGAGGCAAGGGTTAAAAGAAAATATTCTGCCTCTCAAACCTATTGTTAAAGAATTCTGAGTGGAATGAGGTATCTCCCAATAAAGATCCAAATAAACACAAGATACCCAATAAAAAATTGACATAAGCACTCACTGTCTAGGCTCAAGATTCTTTAAATTAAGTGAGAAACGCACATTGAGAAACAGACAGAAACAAAGACAAAAAAAAAATAATAAAGAAAACATTCCCCTGAAAAAATTAAAAGAATAGACATGAAGCAGAATCAACCTTTCAAATGAGATATTGGTCTGGTGTTATGATCCCCCTCCCACGTGATAGCTTATCAGTGTCTCCTGATGCAGAAAATTACTGGACATGAGGATCAAAAAAGTGATAGATTTTATTAATCACTATAAAAGTTTTGAGTAATAAGAAATTTTATTGCACAAGTATCTTGAAGACAGTTTGTAATATCAGTAAGTTTTGGATGATAAAGTTCCAAAGAACAATTAAGGTATATTAACACATAAAACAACCAGCTCTTGAATTACAATATAAATTATTAAAATAAGGCTGTTTAAAAGATATAGGGGGAACAACTTATGTATGATCATGTCAAATTTTATAAATGAAAATTTTAATACTTATGTTCTTCACCTACAATGTTGTGACAATAGTGACATTTCAGAAATAAGTGTTCAAATTTTAAGTAATAAAATATGAAATATAATTAATATTGAGTACTGAAAGTTGATTCTCTGTAAATCGGTCTTCTCTGTAAATCAATCAATACCTGCAGCTGTCCAGTAGAGGAATTTTTAATTAGGCATTCAGGTTGACTTAAAATATACCTGCTGGGTTGATAACTAAATCTATTCCATGTTATAAATGCTACCACATAACAAAAAACTGAGTATGATAGCTTTATATTAGCGAGGCATTGGCATAAACCAGCTTTGCAAAAAGAATGTCATCATTAACGGACAGAATAATTAGGCATCTATAAAATATATTATTAGTGTCAAAGTTTACTAATATCCATAAAATTAAACTTCATTTTACTCAATATATTTCACTTTAGTTATTAAAAGTGTATTCTAAAATACGTTTAATTAAATTTATTAAAATTATGCTTTTAAAATTAATTCGAACTTTGAATTAAGATGTAATGGATGTCTTCAGAAAAACTGATCAAGTTTTGAGGTATTACGGCACTGTGTAAAATTATTTTTGATTTTCAAAAAAATGTGATAATAAATAGCTGTTGCAGTGTCATTTTAAAACTCTTTATCTCTTTTAGTTAACTTTGGCCTGGCTTTAGTTCCAGCATCACAATAAGCCATTAATTATTCTCGGTAACAATAAATCTATGAGTAATAAAAAGGAACACATATTATTTTTTCCTGAATAATTAAATAAGATTTTTAGTTGACAGTACACATTGCAATAGCTTTTTGTATCCTATTAAGATAATAGTTCAATAAATATCTAAAATGAAATAATTTAATATTGGATACATTTGAAAACTTGGATGTCAGTGAAAACGATCAGTAATCTTATTTGATATTTTAGTATCATGTAAGGGGCATATTATCTGAAATAAATTAAATGGTTTAATCAGGAGCAAATGTCATATAGAAAGTCTTACTTATTACTTCTTAAGAAAAAACGGTCTACACAGAGAAGGTAAAAGCTACTAAGGCTAATCCTGCGAAACATTGCACAGTTAGACCATACTTGTCATGTCAGCCTATGATATAAATATAAAACTCTTACAAAATTTTCTTGCTATGTATGCTAAATATATTTTCAAATTAATCTGGTTGCATGATGTTAGTAATCACTAAAAAATGATTTTGGGAAACTAAAAGCAGAAGAACATAATATGGGATACAAATAATTGTTCTAACAAAGGTAGCTTACAGAAACACATTCAAGACTACCTTCAATAATGACAGTTTGGGAAACTAATTAATTTCAGTCCAGAATAACACATATAAAGTAAAAACAATTATTTATAAAAATAAAATAAAATTTAAAAATAACAATTTCAACAAATTTGAAAACTCCCAAAGTGATTCATAAAAAACAGCTACTTTTTGAGGTAAGAATGGTAAGTATATGAACTTTTTGACTGAGAATATGGAAGAGGAAATTAAAACTAACTAGGAAATATTTAAAATGAGAGAACTGTAGAAGGACTAAGATAATAAGCATTCTACAAATTCTGGGATGACTGATAAACTACTTTAACTACATAAACATGAAGAAGCCAGAATCCTCGTGAAGATTTAAAGCCTGGGAGACTTGAAAACTTGCTGTGCCTGTGAGAGCATTCTTTAATCCACATACATCTGAAATGGCAGAAAGCCTAATTGGCTTGAAGAGTCTAAGCACAGCCTTTGGAAATCATTTTCTGGCCTTTAAACCACACAAGTGCAGGATATATCTCTATGGAGACATTGACCAACAATTGTACACAGTAGGGGATGCAGGTTTGAAAATTTGAGTCTGGGCATTTTAAGTGCATTGAAAAATTAAAATCCATTTACCTTCAAAGAACAACACAAAATGTATAGTCACTAAAATGTATTTTCAAAACGCCCAGTCTTCAAAAAAAGAATTACTAACTATGCAAAACAATAAGAAAATGTGATTCTTGTTCTGAAAAAAGCATTCAACATAAAATGACTTCAGTTAGACTGAGATATCAGACTTAGCAAACAAATGCTTCATCAATTTCCTAAATATATTAATTAACAGAATTAAAATAATATATGCTTAAAATAAGTGAACAGGTAGAAAATCTCAATGAAATCAAATAAAATTAATCTTAAAGAAAATTTGAAGTAAAAAATATGATAATGTCATATTTATTAGAGAGATCTAATTCAAATTCAAGATGCAGATGAAGGAATATGTATATGAGAAATATAAGACCACTAGATGCACAATAGGGTCTTAATAAATGTATTTATTGCAAGCATGAATGAATAAATAAAGACCTAAGGAATTTTATGGAAGTAGTTATAGACTGAGTAAGCACACTATTTTACTTAGATTCTATATCATCGTATGTATATTCATGGAGTTGAGACTGTAACTAATGGTACTCAAGCCACCACCAAGCCCTACTTACTTTGTCAGTTGCACAGAGAAGAAACCAGCCCTAATGTCTATCCATTTCTCTCCTCAAGGCAACTACTATCATCAATTTCATAGTTATGTTTCAACATAATTCAATGTATGTGCCTTCATCTAAGGTTATTTTCTTTAGCTTTGTTGTAGTATAATTTACATACAAGAAAATCCACTCATGTTATGTATCCAGTTGGACGAGTTTTGGTAAAACTATAAGAAATGTAACCACTACCACTATATAGCTTTAGAAAACTTTCTGTCTCCCCCAGATGTTCTTTCATGTTGTTTTGCTTTCAATTTGTCCTCTGATCCTTGGCCACTGGCAATGACTAGATTTCTGACACTATAGTTATGCCTCTTAAACAATTTCATATAAATGGAATCATACCGTATGTCCTTTTTGAGGCTTGTTTCTTTTACTTATCATTAGTTTATTTTTAGAGGTTTCAAGGTTGCTGTATCAGTATCTTGCTTATTTTTTATTTGCCGGGCAGTATTTCATTGCATGCAAACACCAAGGTTTGCCTATCCATTTATCATTTTGACATTTTAGCTTATTCCTTTTGGGACTCTCATGAATAAAGTTTCTATGAGTATTAATTTACAAGTGTGTGTGGACATACAATTTTATTTCTCTTGAGTGTACACATAGAGTAGAAATACTTAGTCATTCGGTAATTGAAGGTTTAAATTAAAATCAAAACAAAACAAAAATGACTGTACCATTTTGCATGTGAAAAAAATAACATTTGCATTTTGACAAGTGGAATATGGAAGCTTAAAAGAAAGACACCCAACTTTCTAAGGTAGGTTCTGACAGTTTATTGGATTAGTTAAGCTGGGCAACTGGAGCCGATGAGGTCTGGGCATGACTAAGTTATCACTGAAGGTTTGCATCATTCTACTATTTGCAGTACGTTGATAGTGCCCTCAGTTAAACGATGCATGAATCAAAGTTAACAAAGTTGTCCCATTACACATCAGTCAAATTAGCTGATGAAATGGTGTATTCATGAGAAAACTTTCCAGAAGCCAAAACAGTGGGGAAATAAGGGAAAAATTTTGGAGAGGGAGTGTAAATTTTCCATGGGTCTCTCGCACTACTGCCTGTTTTCTGAGCAAGGGACATTAACAACTTTATTCCAGATTGTCTTTTTAAGAATATTTTGTATATCAAACACTTTTGAGAGATGTAAGTAAAATTTTCCTTACTCGTGTCTTTCAGGAGGGCAGATTTGTTTCCTGACCAGGATTATAAAGATGATACTCCTGTTCAGGGAAAAATTTGAGCCGGTTTTCAGCAACACACTTATAAGGCTATGGGCTTCCAAAGCTAAGGTTCCTCAGCTGTGACATAAATTCATTGTGTTTTCTGTATCATCCTGTACTACTTCACATCAGCCTCATGGTCCTCAGGGAAAGGGGAGTAGTTGCAAATGTATGCTACCTACTGTGCTGTGAGGGAAAAAAAATGCCTTTGGCTCTAAACCAGGAGGCCGTGTCTTCTGCCAGCATCTATAAAGCTGTGACACACTAACTCACAAGCTTACAGATAAAGTAAGTTTTCAGACCCTTCACTGATCTTGACATATTGGTATCCCTAAACATACCTTCCAACGTAGAGAGATAGATGCTAACATGCAATCAATACTGGTATTTAAAGTAAGAGATGCACTTATGAAAAAGAATAATGCAATATAAAGAGGACAGAGAAACGGTGGTGGATGCTGTTTTATCTAAGGTGTTTCAACACTGAAATAGACTTAAAGGAAGTGAGAACATGAGCTATGAGAATGATGCAAACAGATGGCTGCATTGTTTGTGTAAACCCTCAAATTACTTCAGTTGTAAATATTTTATAGTTCGCGTTTTTAAATCATTTCCATGTATAAGCATTCTCAAAGAAAAATCCTAAAATTAAACTTAGTGAAATAAAATAAAACAGGAAATGTGATAAAAGTGAAAATGAACGAACGTAAATCTCCTGCAAAGACTCTCTGATCCTTGGAGCTCACAAACTTTAGCTCTCAGTGTCCTTTCCTCTTTAGTCCATATACCCAGCAATGGCCGAGCACCTTCTGTATCCTTGAGGTATCTTAATGCTTTTATGAGAGTCTGGGGTCTGTCAACTTCTCCTTTTTCTTTTTTGTAATTCCTATATTAAATTCAGTAAGGGAGTCAGAAACTCATGATATATGCCATCATATTTCTGTTTCTCTTTTGATATTGAGAATGATTTCTATTTTTTTTATATTTATTCTCTGTAAATACCCTCAAATTATTTGAGGACGATCACAGAATGGTGACATGAAACAATGACCTGTCAAATATCTGTGTTAAAATTAGACTTCTTAAGTATTTTGATTTAATGTGGCCTTACATTTTCTTTATTATGAAAAGTTTATTTGTCATTTAACAAATGAAACGTGAGGTTATGCATACAGCCAACATCACATTTACATATATGCACCCACACACATAAACTTTCCTCATTCAGAAGAACGATCAGGTCAAACTGAAATATTTGTAATATTATTGTAAACTAGGAAAGTAACACTTGGTTCATTCCGATAAGATAATGAATAAACATAATGCTATAGTTTTCCAACTTGTCGCCAATCCTATAATATTCATCCACCTTGTGATGCAACTGTTGGGAAGTGTTACCATGTTCAAAGGTTGTCATATATATTTTAAATATATATATTCAAATATAAAAATATGTATAAGTATACATATATATTCAAAAATAAATACACATATAAATATTACTATAAATACATACTCGGAGTACCATATTTGTAATTGTAAAAGCATGTTGCTGTCAACAACAAATAAAGATAGATACCTAATTCTAAGTCAGCTATTGGGTAGCTATTAAATCCCTAAGAGAGGGTCTGATTCCAGATAGCTCTGTAACTGGGTCCTCTTTGTGGTCATTCACTGAAAGAGAATAGTAAATGGCATAGTATTCTACAGAAACACAAAGATAAAGTAAAATGACTGAGCCATAATACATAGGAAAGAATAGCTTTAGTTTGTTGGAGGCTAAGAAGAAATAGCTACAAAGGAGAAATACTGGAAGGGAGAAAATTGAATTGGTGTCTTTTGTGAAGAGAGCAAGATGCAGTTTGTGTTATATCCTGAAGGTTATTCTGGTTTCTGCATGATAACTTATTCTGTGTGATATAAGGATGCAGGGTTTTTGTTGATGTTTTATAGTCTTTTTATTGCTCTTCCTGTGTGGTATAAGGATGCAGGGTTTTTGTTGATGTTTTATAGTCTTTTTATTGCTCTTCCTGTGTGGTTTAAATAAAGTCATAATTACTGAAGTAAAGCTGAACATTTTAGAATTTTGTCTGACAATCGGAAAAGCCTAGCAAACGTTGCCTAGCAAGGATAAGGTTGTATGAGTTTGGAAAAACAGGGAAATTTCAGGTTATATTTCAAAAGTAAACATGTATCTATGAGCATGTAGTAAACCATACTGAAACAAATACTTTTTATTCAAAATCCCAAGCCTGTAATTCATTAAACATTGCCTAATTCTACAAAGACACAGATAGTCGTATATTGGAAATAAAGAAACAGCAATGGAGGTGTATAACTTATTAATCAAATATAAAATCTGAGGAAGTAACCAAACTCTGTGTATATGAGTTTGTATGTATACATCTATTCCGGAAGCAGAGTGCTTTCATGACCTTAGCACAGTGCTGGGTGTAAGATGACAAGGTGACAGTGAGAGAGGAAAGTAATGTATTCTTTAATAATTTTTAGCAATGCTAATTTTTGTGATAGAGAATAAATGAAGATTCTTTTTTGAGACAGAATCTCGCTCTGCCACCCAGGCTGGAGTGCAGTGGCGTGATCTTGGCTCACTGCAACCTCTGCCTCCTGGGTTCAAGCGATTCTGCTGCCTCAGCCTCCAGAGTAGCTGGGATTACAGGTGCCCGCCACCATGCTCAGCTAATTTTTGTGTTTTTAGTAGAGACGGGGTTTCACCATCTCAGGCTGGCTAATCTCGAACTCCTGGCCTCAGGTGATCCGCCCACCTTGGCCTCCCAAGGTGCTGGGATTACAGGCATAAGCCATCGAGCCCCGCCAAATGAAGAGTCTTATGACTACAGATGATATGGTTTGTCTCTGTGTTCTCACAGAAATCTCGTCTTGAATTGTAATCCCCATGTGTTGAGGGAGGGAGGTGAGTGGAATATGGGGCAATTTCTCCCATGCTGTTCTCATGATAGTGAGTGAGTTCTCACAAGATCTGATGGTTTTATAAGGGGCTCTTCCCCCTTCGCTCTTCACACACTCTCACACCTCCTGCTAGGTAAGGTGTGCCTACTTCCTCTTCTGCCATGATTGTAAGTTTCCTGAGGCCTCCCAGCCATATGGAACTGAGTCAATTAAACCTCTATTATTTATAGTTACCCAGTCTCAGATAGTATCTTTATAGCAGTATGAGAATAAACTAATATAGTCAATTGGCACTGCAGAGAGTGGGGTGTTGCTATAAAGATACCAAAAAATGTGGAAGTGACTTTGGAACTGGGTAACAGGGAGAGATTGAACCGTTTGGAAGGCACAGAGGACATAGGGAGATGTGGGAAAGTTTGAAACTTCCTAGCGATGTCTTGAATGGTTTTGACCAAAATGCTGATATTAATATGGACAATGAAGTCCAGGCTGAGGTGATCTCAGATGGAGAAGACGAACTTGTTGGTAACTGGAGTAAAGGTCACTTTTGCTGTGCTTTAGCAAAGAGACTCTTGGCATTTTGCCCCTGCCCTAGAGATCTGTGTAACACTGAACTTGAGAGAGATGATTTGAAATTGGAACTTATGTTTAAAAGGGAAGCAAACTTGAAAAGTTTGGAAAATTTGCAGCCTGATGATGTGAAAGAATAAGAGCTCCAACTTTCCCTGCAGTAGGATGTCCCAAGGTGTTCCAGGATTAAAGCATCAGCAAAGTGTTTTTGTCTCTTAATCAAGCTATACCTTTCACCTTAATGTTTGACAATACTAAACAGATACTTTTGTTCTACCTGTATAGGTTTTTTTGTCTTCATTTTTAAACTGATTTAGAATTCTTGTAAGGTGAAAGAATGCTGGTTATGCCCCCCAGATTTCTTGTAATTATCTACTCTTCCACTAGCCCTGAAAGTAGAAAGTACATACTTGTATGTATATCACATATAAGTTGAGTGTGCTTACTGATCAAATAGCTCCCACATCAGTGTGATTCTAAATGTTAAAATCTTTTTAAATCAACTCATAGCCCTACAGCTTTCCATATGTATTGTTATTAAGCTTTACCACTCTTTTGATGTAATTATTTGTACACATACTTGTCACCCAGTTGTCTTCCCCTTTAAGACAGATAACTAATAAAAATACTGGTTCTCTCACTCATGTTTTCATTAGTAAAGTAACTGACACATAACCATGACATAAAAAAAACCACCACCACCACCAAACATTTGATGAACCAATTACCAGGATGCACAAAAAAGTAGAAACTGAGTTATGTTTATGAAGAAAAGTGGTCATAGGCACCATCAAATGCATACGGGAGCATGACCATAAATCTGATGTAATACTAATGGCACAGGCATAGCTACAAATATTCCTGAAAGAGACTGGCCTTTGGGTGAAATAGGAAGAGCATGCCAAGCTAAACAGTAAAACTCAGGGAGTGATAACACTTAAAAGTGGAGTCAATTTGGCATTCCAAATATTAAGATTCTAATTTTGTAGGCATCCTTTACCCTAATGAAATCTCCCACCTAAACTTTCTTTTTCATTTATTATTGTTGTCGTTGAGAGTTTGAATATGAGGTTCAGACTTATATCATTTATTGTTTGCATGTAGACGTCTTTTTATAGGTTTTTATTCTATCTAGCATAACTTTATCTCAAGTGCAATATTATAAAACACACTACTGTTTACAACCTATAACCTTGGTCTTCTCTAATTGATAGAGGCACAAGGACCTTCAGAGCCCATTTTGCCTTCACTCAGAGGCCCTTACAGATCTATTAAG
The DNA here is from genome assembly GCF_000001405.40 of Homo sapiens. Lineage (NCBI taxonomy): Eukaryota > Metazoa > Chordata > Mammalia > Primates > Hominidae > Homo > Homo sapiens. The sequence goes on from NC_000021.9 coordinate 24,467,235, forward strand.
AATTATAAGGCACAATATGAAAAAAAGAACCCCCTGGTGTATTTCAGGGAATGTCGAAAAAAATTCTCTTATATTCAACCCACAGCCTGTTTTATGTTTTATTTATTGCTAAGAAGTCTCTTTCCATATGTCTAGACGTTGAATATTTTTTAAAGTTCCACATCAACACTGCATCTTTATCTAAGATTAGTATACCATGTTCTGATTGCTGAGGCATTAAACTGTTTTCAATTCTAGAAAAATGGAGGTATACTGTTATTTTCATTAGCTTTCTCCATGGTACTATTTGGATTATATTTAAATTGTTCTCAGTTGGCTCGATGACAGCAGAAATGCCAAGATTTTGAACAAAAATAACTAGTCTGACAGTTTCATATTCAACTTACGAAGCAATTGATGATTTGGCCGGACGCGATGGCTCACGCCTGTAATCCCAGCACTTTGGGAGGCTGAGCCAGGCAGATCACGAGGTCAGGAAATCGAGACCGTCCTGGCTAACACGGTGAAACGCTGTCTCTACTTAAAATACAAAAAATTAGCCGGGCGTGGTGGTGGGCACCTGTAGTCCCAGCTACTCGGGAGGCTGAGGTAGGAGAATGGTGCAAACCCGGGACGTGGAGCTTGCAGAGAGCCGAGATCGCACCACTGCACTCCAGCCCAGGCGACAGAGCGAGACTCCATCTCAAAAAATAAATAAATAAATAATATTTTTCATCCAACAATACATATTTACAAGATTTTTATGTTTGTACTTGGAAAATGTATCTTCTAATCCAGAAGGCCTATTGAATGTGTGAGTATTGTGTTTTATATGCAGATCACAAAGTGTAAATGAATAGCTGATTTACACTTAGGCTGATATTAATATTACCATTATGCCATTTAAAATCAAAGCTAGCATAATTCATGAGAAATCATACATTAAGTTAACAACAGTCTGGAAACAATGGATTCACCTTTTAACAAGGTACACATTTAAATATAGTTTTAAAAATTTGATTGGTACACTGTAAAAACACAGTAACATATAAAGAAATAGAGAAATGTGTGAAAAGCTCATAAACTACAAAAGTGCTGATGATAAAAAACTTAATTAAAAATTCAAAATGTAGATGAAAATATAAAATTAAATTAAAAGCTCTTCTCAGCCCTCACTCCAAATTTTTCTTCCCCAAATTAATCATAGTTACTAGTGGGCTTTTTATTCTAGGAGAAAATATTTTATCTGTCTACCAACATGTATACATGTCTGAAGGATATTTAATTTTTGATTACAAAAATGGATTATATTTATCAGGGCTCTGTTAAAAAAGCAAAATATCATCAAGTGTTGCTTAGTCAGTACCCAGTAAAAATCTTCATATGAGCTTTCACATGTATGTGCTTCCACAGTATATTTGGGGTTTTTCAACCCTTTAATTAAGAAAAAAGGGCCAGGCTCGGTCGCTTACACCTGTAATCCCAGCACTTTGGGAGGCTGAGGTAGGAGGATCATTTGAGGTCAGGAGTTTGAGACCGGCCTGCGCAACATGGTGAAACCCCATCTCTACTAAAAATACAAAAAATTAGCCATGTGTGGTGGTGGGCACTTGTAATCCCAGGAGAATTGCTTGAACCTGGGAGATGAAAGTTGCAGTGAGTCGAGATCATGCCACTGCACCCCAGCCTGGGTGACAGAAAAAGACTCCATCTCAAAAAAAAAAAACAAAAAACAACAAAAAAAATGCAGAAACAAAGGAACTTGAGTAACCTGCTCACAGTCACAAAATCAGGGTATGTTAGCATTCATATTGTCAATTTCAACAAATGGTGCTGGGACATTTGATTATCTGCACGCAGAAAGATGAACTTAAACCCTTACTTGTCTCATACAACACACAGAAACTAACCCAAAATGGGTGATATATTTAAATTTGAGAGCTTATATTAAAAATTTTAGGAGAAAATGTGGAAAGACATCTTTCAGATTTGGGTTAGGTAATAGTTTCTTAAATTTGATACTGAGAACATGATCTGTTAAACAAACAAAACATAATTTGGACTTTATCAAAATTCAAAACTTTTCCATCTCAAAAGACAGTATTAAGAAAATAAAACTATAAGCAAGGGGCTAGGAGACTATGTTTGTGAAGTACAAAGATACATATATCTGACAAAGGATTGTTATCTAGGATATACAATAAACTCTTGAAACTCCATGAGAAAATAACCAAACTAATTTTAGAATGGACAAATATAAAAGTAGACATTTTATTAACTAAGGTATATAAATTACTAATAAGAGATTTATATTACCAGTAAAAGCATCTTTAGTCATCAAGGAAATGTAAATTTCAAACATAGATACCATTTCATACATACTATTAGGTTGGGGCAAAAGTGATTGCACTTTTTGCCATTACTTCCAAAGGTAAAAACCGCAATCACTTTTGCACCAAACTAATAGTATGTCTAGTTAAAAAAAAAAAGACAGAAATCAGAAATAACAAATATTGGTGAGGATGTGAAAAATAAGGATTTTTAATATGTTGCTGGCGGAAATGAAAACTGTGGGAATTTTGGAAAACAGTCTCTTGAATGACAAACTAGTCGGTGGGGGCTGAAACTACATTTTATGGACAACGTGTGGAAAAAAAATGCGACCATCAAAAAATGTGACTTACATGTAAATTCATGGTGCATTTTGCTAAAAATGATGGTATAAATATTTGAAACATTGTTTATTTTATTGATCTAACAAATGTTCATAGACAAATTTTAGAACAAAACGCAATTTGTAAATGAGAACTCTGAGAACTAACAGATTTACTACTTCAAAGAACAATGTTTTCTGTGATTCAGATCCATTCCCCAAAAAGTCCAAAGTTGAAAACCAATATAAATGAAAATATATAATTTACTAAACAATAATTTAGCCAAATATTTACATTTATTATAATGAATAGAAGGAAAATAAAGTATCATTAGAAAACAATCAGAAATAACTCTATGAGAACTGTCTTGAAACTTTTGTTGTGCAATGGATATAGAAATAGTGTAACATAACCCTCAAAATGAGGATATCAATTTCAGACAGCCCTTCTTCAGAGGCTTCACATATACTTTCTTTGAATTTTGCTTTAATTACCTTAAAATATGCATTGGGGAACTTTCCATGTATCACATTCCGGTGTATTTCATTCATTTTTAATGGCTACAAATTATTTCATCTTGTGCATGAATTACCACATATTAAAATAGTTTCCTACTAATGAATATAAATGTCATTTCCTACTATTTTATTTCAAATGTAACCAATAGTAAATACATTATACCTATAGCCTAACATTTTCTTAAGTCCTCCTGAAGAGTAAAGTCCTAAGGTTGGAATTTGTGAAAGAAATGTAACATGTGCATAACCTTTTAAATTAACACTTTCACATTTTCCTCCAAAAATTTTTTAACAATTATGTTATCAGCTATGTCTTTTATTAGTTATTTCATATTCCTGTAAATAGGATAGGATTTATACTTACCCACTGTGTTGTCAATGGGAGAGCTAGTCTCTCTTGTGGGGTCTTTAAGATAATCACTTCAGTGTAACTGCAGAAATTACACTCCGAGAGGCATATGAAATTGAAGGATTTATTATACTCACAGGTCCTAGGGAGGGAAGCACGGCAAGTCCAGAGGGCCACACAAAGTCACGGCAAGCAGAGAGAAAATGGAGTAAGGACCCCTGGGCTAGTTCCTTTATTGAGGCTAATAGCAGGGGTAGTTTGTGGCACATGGGGGGCACTCTATCTGAGTAATTTGAATGTAGCTGGGTCAACATGAAAGGAGGAACTGATAAAATGGGGAAGTCATCATGAGGCTTGGCACTTGAAGACACATGTTGGAGACGGGTACCCAGAAATGGGCAATACGTCTGTAATAGTTCAAAGCAAGAATGGCAGGTGCTGGCACTCAGGAAGCCATCGAGGCAACAAATAACAACTTCACATTACACCTACCTCTCCGCCAATATTGCAAAAAGCTTGTAATGCAAACTGTGAACATTGTTTTCCAAGCTGTTGCTTGAAAAATGTCATTTTTTAAATTTTACTGTTCTATAATTTTGAATGATATCTCTTCTTATTTATTTCTTTTCATGTCTTTTCTGCAATTTTCTAGTGTTAATCATTTTCAGTTTATCAACTTTTCCAGTCTTGTGTATTTAATGCACAGGACCAATTTTTAAATATTTGATGAATTCAAGTGTGACTAATGAATACTAAAATATACTATTGTATTGGCATCATTACTTGGTCTAATAGGCTAGTATTTGAATCTACTGGTGAATTATAACCTCACAATCTAAGACTGTGTGGTAAATTTTTGCTGAATCCTATTTATTGTTAAATGAAACTTTTGGACAAACTCTAAGCTCTGTGTTCTTGTAAACCTGTTGTCACGATAAATAAAAAATATTAATCTCAACATTATTTGCTGATATAACAGCTAGCTTGCATTCTGAGTGAGATAAGAGAATCAGTAAGTAAAAGAATTTGAAAAAACTGTATGTGCCATGTGAAGTCATGGATGGATTTAGGGCAAAGAGTAGCAACTAAGACAGAAATAACTGGGCTTCAAGGGATCTCAAATTAAGTCAAAGAGAATATTAAGAGGCTTTTTGAGAAAGACATCAGATGTTTGTAGTACAAGGGAGGAAGCCAGCAATCTTCGATTTTCCTCCAGTTTTGCTGTTGATTCACTTATTATTTAAAATCTATTCCTCTTAACATTCTGTCTTCAGGTTCCTCTGACCAGGAAAAGAGAAGGAAGTGTGGTTTGGGGGCCTAGAAAATCAACCTTTGTTCTCCCCTTTACCTATCAAGGTGACTTATAGAAGCTTAGGACAATGTAAAATGAGTTTAAATCCAAATTATTCAACTATATAATATTAAAATCAGAGATTTTGATTTTAACCATCTGTAATTTGTTAGATCCAATGACAGTTTAGCTATCTCTAAAAATTGGATATTTTTTAACTTTCATTTTAAGTTTAGAGGGTTACATGTGCAGATTGATTACTTGGATAAATTGTCTGTCCCTGGAGGTTGATGTACAAATGATCCCATCACCCAGGTAGAGAGCATAGTACGTGATAGGTAGTTTTTCTACCTTCCCACTTCTCCAACCCTCCTCCTTCAAGTAGACCCCATGTCTATTGTTCCTATCTTCATATCCATGTGTACTCGGTGTTTAGCTCCAACTTACAAGTGAGAACAAACAGTATTTGGTTTTCTGTTTGTGTATTCATTTGCTTAGGATAGTGGCCTCCAGCTCTATTCATGTTGCTGCAAAAGACATGATTTCTTTTCTTTTAAATGGATGCATAGTATTCCATGGTGAATATGTACCATATTTTCTTCATCTGGTCCACCATTGATGGGCATCTAGGTTGATTCCAGTCTTTGTTGTTGCAAATAGTGCTGCTATGAACATAGAAGTGCATGTATCTTTTTGGTGGAATAACTTATATTCCTTTGGGTAGATACTTAGTAATGAGTTTGCTGGGTCAATTCTGTTTTAAGTTCTTTGAGAAATCTCCAAACTACTTTCCAAAGTTGCTGAACTAATATACATTCCCGTCAGTTAACAACTGTTTTTTTTGTTTTTTACTTTTTAATAATAGCCATTCTGATTGGTGTGAGATGGATTTAAAAATCAGCTTGTTAAGCAATCATGCATAACACATTAAAGGAACATTTTATCTTTTAAATTCAAATGTGAAATTCTTATTTTATTCAATATCTGGATTAACCAGAAAATCTAAACATCAACTAATGTCAGCTTTCACAATAACATTTCTGTCATGATATTTTGGGAAATGTTTGGTTTCATTTGTTTCAGGCAAATGATGATTTTATAAGGTAGTTATATGAGGTAGCTATACTAAATGATAACTCACAGAAATCACCCTGAAGGTTAACACTTCCAATTATATCACTGCCTTTGAATATGTCATTTAATAACTGCTTTATGCATTATTAGTATTTATGCTTTTAGGTGGCATCAAATTCTATTGATATAATGACAGATGATTAAGAAAATGAATGTAAATATTGCATGTGTCAGGTGTAATTATTTCAAATATATATATATTTTTATAAAATGCAAACATTAAATTTCATCTTAAAGAAGTTTATTTGCTTTGGATATTTATATAAAATACTCCTTTAAAAGGAATGGAATAAATATTTTCAAATACGTGTGTTGCTCCAGGATTGTTTCTAGATAACCTGCTGTAACCTAATGTAAGTAGCTGAAGAATGCTTAATTTCTAAGTTTCAGAACTTACAATAAGTTTCAAGACTAAATATTTTTGCAGCACTGAAATGAAAGAACAAAAATTAAATGTGCACCCTCTAACTATAGGAAGTGATATCTTATAATGATGTTGTACTTTTTTAGTTATATATTTTTAATAAATGACTGTTCTTCATTAACTTGGAAACATAGTTTATGACATTACAGAAGGCTGAAAACAGTGACTCTCTTTGCAAAGTATGAAGGATAGTGCTAACTGTATAATCAACAGATGAATTAATAATAAGTCTAATGATGCATTTCTATCGTTAAATAGAAATTAACTGCTTATAATTGACAATGCTTTTGAAAAATGCTATGTTGCGTACTTTGTTTTTACCTGATTTTAGAATCTAAACTTGTAATAAAAACAAAAACTATAAAGATTCAGGGTCCTGGAGCTAAGTCTCCACCATATTTTCAGTCTTTTTCTAAATGAGTTAGCTATTTATCCAGTCAGGCTTGTTCTTAAGCCTGCCTTGGCTAAACCACACAGGGTTGGACTAATACCTGGCAAGGTGTAAAGGTTTGGATTATGCCAAATGTGGATACAGAGATACCAGGTCTTAAGTTTACAGGCAAATTGGGCCTTCCATAGACCACTGTCTAGAAAAACACACCACGCAACCTCCCTCCACACTTAAAACGTACTTTACTTAATTTAACGTACTTCACCACCTCATCAGTCTGAGTGGCCCCTTGGAATTTAAAGATGTGCCACCTGTTATCCAGACTTTGCATTTACTTAGGTTATTTGCATTTCTGATCACTCTGTTCAATTTATTTTAAAATTATCTTTCTCTTGAGCAGAATAGGTACTCATGCCCTTGCTAACCCTGGCTGTACATTCTTAATGTAGGACTTCAAGGAATATTTTTTTCAGTGCATATGCATGTGTGTATTTGGATATAATCATACGTATGCATGAACAGTTTATTTAAAATACGAATATACTATAGAAACGACCTTTAACATATAAGTATGTATGTGTGTGCATATGGATGTGTATGTTTCTTATATAAATTGTTAGAGGTGTGCTTTATTGTTGATTTCGCACTTTCATAACTAATAAAGAATAAATGCTTTAAAATGCATGCAAGAAAAATGATATGAATATGCACCATTTCATAGCTTAGAACAATATTAAGAAACATTACATTTGGATGCTAATATATATTGTTTAATCAAACTAGTTCGCGCCGTAATCTCTTTCATCTTACTTAAATGGCTCCATTTACCTTAAATAAGGAATGAAGAAGCCTGCTATTTATGCAGACTGTTCAATCTATGAAGTATTGGGAAAAAATTATTCTCAATAGTCAAAATAAGATCACAAAATGAGATGCACTATATGCCTTATTTTTTATAATGATCTTAAATGGAACAGATGGCAGTTTATTTCTACTGAATTATGTTTGACACATAAAACCATTTAATTTTTATACCAATCGTCTTCTTTAAGGTAGAAAATGTTAAATTATTGATATAATTTTTCTAGTTTTATTTCTTTCCATTGTCCCTTTACAATTATCATAAATTCGACATTTGAAATATAAAGCATTATATTTTGTAACAAGAAAAGTCTGTTATGCTCAAGTATTTTCTATTAAATTTTTATATGCAAAACTCAATTACATTAGCCATTATTTTACTTAGAATAAACATTAGAACATGTTGGATTCCTTCCGCTAATCACAGTGACTGATAATAGAAGATTGCCCATGTTAATTTACTTATACAAACATTAGACTGAGAATATACTCTATAAAATGTCTTTTTTAAAATATGTAATCCACTTTCCCAAAGCTATACTTTATATTACTTATGCATACAGTCTACTATTACTTTACATATTTAAAAACACAATTGCCAAGAAAAAGCACTGTCAAACATAATCAATATGTCAATTTAAATGCATTGAAGTGTTGAGTAAGTTGAGTTAAAGTATTCTGAAAGAAGGATCCAAGCAGGGTCAGTGATCTATAGAAAATATACAAACTGGAAGCATTTCCTTTGAAAACTGGCACAAGACAAGGATGCCCTCTCTTACCACTCCTATTCAACATAGTGTTGGAAGTTCTGGCCAGGGCAATCAGGCAAGAGAAAGAAATAAAGGTATTCAATTAGGAAAAGAGGAAGTCAAATTGTCCCTATTTGCAGATGATGTGATTGTATATTTAGAAAACCCCATCGTCTCAGCCCAAAATCTCCTAAGCTGATAAGCAACTTCAGCGAAGTCTCAGGATACAAAATCAATGTGCAAAAATCACAAGCATTCTTATGCACCAATAACAGGCAAACAGCCCAATCATGAGTGAACTCCCATTCACAATTGCTACAAAGAGAATAAAATACCTAGGACTCCAACTTACAAGGGATGTGAAGGACCTCTTCAAGGAGAACTACAAGCCACTGCTCAACGAAATAAAAGAGGACACAAACAAATGGAAGAACATTCCATGCTCATGGATAGGAAGAATCAATATCGTGAAAATGGCCATACTGCCCAAGGTAATTTATAGATTCAGTGCCATCCCCATCAAGCTACCAATGACTTTCTTCACAGAATTGGAGAAAACTACTTTAAAATTCACATGGAAACAAAAAAAAGCCCACATTGCCAAGATAATCCTAAGCAAAAAGAACAAAGCTGGAGGTATCACGCCACCTGACTTCAAACTATACTACAAAGCTACAGTAACCAAAACAGCATGGTACTGGCACCAAAACAGAGATATAGACCAATGGAACAGAACAGAGGCCTCAGAAAAAACACCACACATCCACAACCATCTGATCTTTGACAAACATGATGAAAACAAGAAATCGGGAAAGGATTCCCTATTTAATAAATGGTGCTGGAAAAACTGGCTAGCCATATGTAGAAAGCTGAAACTGGATCCCTTCCTTACACCTTATACAAAAATTAATTCAAGATGGATTAAAGACTTAAATATTAGACCTAAAACCATAAAAACCCTGGAAGAAAACCTAGGCAATACCATTCAGGACATAGGCATAGGCAAGGACTTCATGACTAAAACACCAAAAGCAGTGGCAACAAAAGCCAAAATTGACAAATGGGATCTAAGTAAACTAAAGAGCTTCTGCACAGCAAAAGAAACTACCATCAGAGTGAACAAGCAACCTACAGAATGGGAGAAAATTTTTGCAATCTACCCATCTGACAAAGAGCTAATATCCGGAATCTACAAATAACTTAAACAAATTTACAAGAAAAAATCAAAAAACCCCATCAAAAAGTGGGCAAAGGATATGAACAGACCCTTTTCAAAAGAGGACATTTATGCAGCCAACAGACGCATGAAAATATGCTCATCATCACTGGCCATCAGAGAAATGCAAATCAAAGCCACAATGAGATACTATCTCACACCAGTTAGACTGGCAATCATTAAAAAGTCAGGAAACAACAAAGTGCTGGAGAGGATGTGGAGAAATAGGAACACTTTCACACTGTTGGTGGGACTGTAAACTAGTGCAACCATTGTGGAAGGCAGTGTGGTGATTCCTCAAGGATCTAGAACTAGAAATACCATTTGACCCAGCAATCCCATTACTGGGTATATACCCAAAGGATTATAAATCATGCTACTATAAAGACATATGCACACGTATGCTTATTGTGGCACTATTCACAATAGCAAAGACTTGGAACCAACTCAAATGTCCATCAATGATAGACTGGATTAAGAAAATGTGGCACATATACACCATGGAATACTATGCAGCCATAAAAAAGGATGAGTTCATGTCCTTTGTAGGGACATGGATGAAGCTGGAAACCATCATTCTGAGCAAACTATCACAAGGACAAAAAACCAAACACCACATGTTCTCACTCATAGGTGGGAATCGAACAATGAGAACACTTGGACACAGGGCGGGGAACATCACAGTCTGGGGCCTGTCATGGGATGAGGAGATGGGGGAGGGATAGCATTAGGAGAAATATGTAATGTAAATGACAAGTTAATGGGTGCAGCAAACCAACACGGCACATGTATACATACATAATAAACCCACACGTTGTGCACATGTACCCTAGGACTTAAAGTGTAATTAAAAAAAAAAAGAAAATATGCAAAATGAGAGTCACTCTTCTTATCCTCGGACCTTGTTTTTGTTATACTCATCAGATCAAAGTTGGTTACATCTTTAAAATTAGGAGGAACTCCAGGTCTTTACTACCTTGACTGAGGAATGGAATATTCTCTTTCTGATTTCATGAAAATATATTCAACATTCATTTGCTTTAGATTACATCCATTACTACCATCTCTATTTCAGCCTCTTTCGCCACCTTCACTGGTATTACTGCAAAAGCCTCCTAAGTTTCTCCATGTCTTCATGTGCTCTCTGATACAGAAAGATCCTTTCAAAGTGAAGATATGATCATGTCAATACCCAGCTCATCATCCAAAAGTAGTCCTGCATTTTACTCAGAGATAAGACAAAGTCGTTACACAGTTTCACTCTGTGATTTGTCCTCCGCTCACTTTCTCAGTGAGCTCATCTCTGTATTGCTTTTCCCTTCACACCACACTACAGCCACATGAGTCCTTTCCAGATATCAGTGAACCAAGCACCATCTGGCATTGCAGCATTTGCACTGGTTCTTCCCAGTACTCACTCACATCTCCTTGAAATCTGCTCAAATGTCACCTTCACAATGAGGTCTCTTTCTTGGATGTCCAATGATAATCATTAAGTTTCTCTTTCTAATTGGCCATCCCATTTCCTTGAGCCATCTCCATGTTTTCATTGTATGAATAACATTTAATACCTGATATATTAGATAACATACTTCTCATATTTATTGTTTATTTTGTGCTGCTATAATTTAAGCACTATCATTGAAAAAACCCTTCTCTTTCTTATTTGTTGATGTTTTAATCTCCTAAGGGCATCAAATAATTTCTGGAACATACGAGGTATATATCTCAAAATTATTTTATATGGAAGAAATATTATAGAAAATGCTCTAAAATATGTTTTAAGAAAATATATTCTCATTTTGCTTTTTTAAAAACTAGAATACAGAAATAAAATTGTTTTCAAATAGAGGCAATTTAATGTAGAGTAATCTTACAAATCAGTTGGTTAAAAGAGAAACAGGGAATTGTTTAAATGAAAAGAAATGGAGGAACAAAAGGAAAAATTTTTAATCTCAGAAATTTGAAGCAGCTAAAGCCCCCAGTTTGGAAGTCATAAGCCTACGCCAGCTGCTGCATTTTGTATAGAGATGAAGAAGAGGTACTTTTTCAACCAAAGCTAGAACTGTCAAAATAATGTTACATTTGCTGGGCTGCTGGATTCCAGAATCACCTAACTGCTACTGCTTCTTCAACCTTCAGCAACTACCAGTAACCGCCTTGTTGTTCAAGCCAGAATTACAAAGTAATTATTAAGTAATTACAAAGATATTATCTTCTGTATGCCTACCTACATCCTACTGACAGAATAAAACAGAAATTATACGTATTGTAAAAAGAGCCTGAAAAGTGTAATCTGCAAATGTTGTGATTGAACAGAGAAAGGTTAGTATGGAAGTGAGAGAAAATGGAAAATAGCCAACCCAATCAGTACCTACTAACAATTAAAACCAGATTTTTCTTTTGGCATATATCAAGCCAATGAATTACAGGAAATTTTGAATGATAGTTATATTTTTTCTTATTTTATTATATAAATAAAATATTTTTAATGCGTAACATTTAAAAACATGGACTATTTTTGCCATGTAAAATCATCATCATTTAACTGATGCAAAACAACAAATTTCACTTGAGTTTTCTTAGTTGAAAATGTGGTAGCTTTTAATTAAGCTCTTCATTACTATTTTTCTGTTTTGTAATCTTCAGTTAACATTAAATAACATGCTCTAAGCCATCAGCATTTATGATTGTTTAAAGAATTTAAATTATCTGCCATAGCTAAGATATGGAACTAACATAAATACCCACCCATGAAAAAAATAGATTTAAAAATGCAGTATATACATATGATGGAATATTATTCAGCCTCAAAAAAGAAGAAAATCCTGCCATATGGGACAACATGATGAACCTGGAGGACATTATGTAGGTGAAATAAGTCAGTCACAGGACAAATATTACATGATACTACTTATCAAAGTATCTAAAATAGTTAAGCTCATAAAAGCAGAAAGAGGAATGGTGGCTGCCAGGAATTGGGGAGAGGGGAAAATGGGAAGCTGTTTAATGAGTATAAAGTTTCAGTTATGTGAGATGAATAAGTTCCTGAGATCTGCCCTGCAACATAGTGTCTACAGTTAACAACGCTATACTGTGTATTTAAAAATTTATTATGAGGGTAAATCTCATATTAAGTGCTTTTACCACAAAACACAAACACACACATGCACATATGCACATGCACACACAGATGCAAACACACACATGCACACACACACATGCACACAAACACACACATGTACACACACACACATGCACACACACATGAAGCATGCAATTTTGGAGGTGCTGAATATGTTATGTTTTGGATATGCCTATTATCTTGATTTTAATGATAGTTTCATGGGTATATGTATATGTCAAAACTCACCAAATAGTATATATTAAGTGTGTGGAGTTTTTTGTTTATCAATCATACAACACTTTTAGCTTCACCAATCACATTTCCTGAGATGTGTAAAAACAAAAACCTATTTCCCCCCCCACCCCCAAAACAGAGTAATTTTCACATGGAAACAATAGCATAAGCATGCACTACATTAACAGATTTTTGCATGCTGATTTTTTTTTTTTTTTTAGATGGAGTCTCGCTCTGTTGCCTAGGCTGGAGTATACTGGCATGATCTCGCCTCACTGCAAGCTCTGCCTCCCAGGTTCACGTCATTCTCCTGCCTCAGCCTCCCGAGTAGCTGGGACTACAGGAGCGTGTCACCACGCCCGGCTAATTTTTTTTTGTAGTTTTAGTGGAGACTGGGTTTCACCATGTTAACCAGGAAGATTTTTGCATGCTGAATATTTATAAACTTTATTGTATGCAGTTTTCTTGCCAATCCTCTATTCCTCCCTACACAAATCAAAAATGTCCAATATATTTTACATAAAAGAAATCTAAAATCAAAACTGAGAGATAAAGATCTAGTGAAGAAATCTGTCACCTTAAAAATAAACATGATTATTGGTGGCAATAGTAATTCAGAATCACTTGCAAAGTTAAAATTCGGAGCTAAACCGTGTACATTTTGTAAGCAAATATAACAGTAAACTCTTTAATTTGAACATTGAACTAGAAATCTATCTCCCAAAAAATTACAATTTTGTGAAACAGGAACCAAAACTATATACTAAGATAACAGTAATTCATCAGGTACTTTTTTGGATATTATTTACTATACACATTTTTGTTCTACCTTACAAAAGTTAATAATCTTTCATTAACATTAAATAGAATTAATCAATTCAACAATGGTGTAATATTTAATTTTAATTTTGTAGGTCATTGATCTGATTTCATTTGTAATCAGTTTTAGCATAAGTCTGCATTAAGAGACCAGAGGAGAAAAAAAAATGAAAGAAAAATAAAATCTAAAAGTGCAGAAAAATAATATCTTAGTAAGAAAAGAACATTTTCCTGGCACTGTTTGAAACAAGGCCATGTAATAGGCTTTAACCAGAGTTACCCTAAACCCTGCCTGCCCTTCCTTCCCCAGCCATTTATCAGCTCAATCAAAATTCTTGTGGCAATGTAGCATCAACTAACCCCATCAATACAACCATATCTTTGGTCATCGTCGTATTTGCTTCCCCTCTGGGTAGCCATCCTCTGTACTCCACCCCCGATTGTTCATTAGTTTTCTCTTCCTACCAGCTTGATACCTATTTCTCTTGCTGAAACACTTGTTTGTTTTTACTTTGTTTGTTTAAAGATCAACAAAACTTAAACATTTTTAAAGGCTTTTAAATAACTAAAAACTAACTGTATTTCCATTGTATCATCTCTCTTGCATCCTATACTATGTCCATTATCTTTTAAGTTACATTACTACCTTGCTAACCTCCAGAAAATATGCTTACTCTAGAAAATCTTGGCTTTACCATGTTTCACCTGTTTCTCCTCTGGTTTTCAACCAACATTTTAATGCCCCATTTATTATACTTAGTGCCCAACCGAATGGAGGCTTTTGTTTGTTTTTGTTTTTGTTTTCTTTCTATTCCAAATTATCTCCAGCATCCTAATTAGTCTGATTCTTCATGTTGATATTCCAACTGTTTAGTATTACTGAAAGTATGATTTCCGTCAAAAAACTATAATTGGTCCACTATGAGATAAGCACAGAAATTGAAAGTAAGACATTAGAAACCTTAAAACCACAGGATCCCTGCATATAATAATTTGCCAAATTCATTGGTTTATTTTTAGATAAAAACACTGCTGTGAAAAAAATTTGAACTTAAGGAAAAATCTCCTTTTCCTCTTTCTAGAGAAACACTGCTCTAGACGAGTTCTTTACCTCACATTTTCAGATACTTTAATTCACTTCTACTTCAAACTGAAGTTTCTCCATACCTCATGAATTTACTAGTAGTTTTAACCTTCGGCATGTGCAATATTACATTGAGATATCCTATTATTTGACCATAATCTTCTACATTTTTTAATAATTATATAACTATACCTGTATTTTATGTAAAGATATCTATTCCCCGAACCTTTATTTTTTTTCATAAGGACTTTTTCCGGTTTGACCTGAACCTTTTTATTTAAACTAAGTGGCCACCCTTACTTCCTCAATTGTTTGAGATTTTCCTTTTTTAATCCCAACAATTTTTTTTTTTTTTTTTTTTTTTTTTTTTTGGAGATCTTCTCTACTTCCTCGTCTCCTTGGAAATTTTTTTCTTACAGTGAATCTACAAGTGAAAAGTTGGACAGTATTGAGAGAATAAGAAAATTTACTAAATGATGCTGTTCACAATTTTATGGTTTCTAATCTGACTAGACGCTGAACTACCCAAGGAAATTATTTCTCTCTTTTTTTTTTTTTTGGAGACAGAGTTGCTCTGTCACCCAGGCTGAAGTGCAGTGACGCAATCTCAGCTCACTGCAGCCTCCACCTCCCAGGCTCAAGCAATTCTCTTGTCTCAGCCTCCCAGGTAGCTGGGATTACACCCATGCGTCACCACGCCCAGCTAATTTTTTGTATTTTTAGTAGAGACAGGGTTTCACCATGTTGACCAGGCTGGTCTTGAACTCCTGACCTGGTGATCTGCTTGCCTTGGCGTACCAAAGTGCTGAGATTACAGGCGTGAGCCACCAAGCCCGGTCTATTTCTCCCTTTTCTATCATTGCTCTCCTTACTCTTCTTAAACTTGCTGCCCTTCTTCCATCTAAGTCAAAGTTTATATTGTCACTTTGACTTTACAAACAAAATATAGAAAATTCATCTTATCTTTGAAAAATGGACTGCTAACGTAGCTGGATTAACAAATACTCTTTCCTTTTATCCCTTATTTGCAATGGATATGTTGGTACAAATTATTTCTAAGCCCAATACTTATATTCCTGTTCTTAATTTTATCTACTTATCTCCAGAAATTCATCTGATAGCTTTCTCTTCATTTTTGAAACACAGTCTATTCTTGACTTTTAAAAATAATGCAACAGGCAGGGTGCAGTGGCTCACACCTATAATCCCAACACTTTGGGAGGCCAAGGTGGGTGGATCACGTGAAGTCCGGAGTTCAAGACCAGCCTGGCCAACATGGTGAAAGCCTATCTCTACTAAAAACACAAAAATTAGCCAGGCATGGTGGCACGTGCCTGAAATCCCAGCTACTTGGGAGGCTGAGGCAGGAGTATTGCTTGAATCTGGGAGGCAGAGGTTGCAGTGAGCAGAGACTGTGCCATTGCACTCCAGCCTGGGCAACAAGAGCAAAACTCTGTCTCAAAAATAAAATAAAATAAAATAAAATAAATAAAATAAAATAAAATAAAATAAAATAAAATATAGTAAAAATAATGAAACAAAGGAACAAAAACAAAAAGCATCAATGTCATCATACACATGGTTATTCCTTTGGCAACTAAATAGCTACCATTTTCTATTAAATCCATAAATTAATGTATGAGAAAATGTATGATGCTAAATAGTTCTATCTTACTAAGATTTACCTACTTTGTCTATATATATAGATAAGTAGATGAATGTTATCGATAAAATTACATAGAAACTTGTATGCATCTAATAAATTCGTATGTATCTAATAATCTAGGTTAAAATAGATAAAGAAAAACTGATACAATTTTAAAAAAGGAAAATTCACTATCATTTTAAGAGATATAGTATAAATTGCTTCTGTTCAAAACTGGTAAATCAACCAGACTCTATAATAAGAATGTAGAAGACTAGCTAGGTGATTAAACAGAAATAAATGGAATACCATAATCAACAATACTTTATAGTGATTTTGTTGCTAATTACTTTTATTTAAAAAGTTTATGGAAACTGCCTAAAAAGTGATCAGAAATTGAATCTCAAATTTTAAACATTGATGTAATGTAGGTCATATATTCTAAAACTCCAATAAAATTAAGTTAGATGTTAGTTTAAACAGTGAGAAAAAAAACCCTTACATGTAGAAATTATGAAAAAAACCCCGACACTTCTAAACATCTTATGGGCCAAAGTTATTGTAACAATAATCAGAAAACACATAAAACTGAATAAAATATAAATATTACATATCAAAACTAACGAACACCTAAATAAAACATTATTTAACTTTAATTGATTATATTCTAAAAAGGAAAGACTGAAAGTGAACGAGCCAATAACCAAACTTAAGACTCAAGAACTTGAAAAATTAACATAATACAGAATACAAACAAAACTGTATATTATCATCAGAAATTATTTATATATAATAAATCTGAAATAGAAGAAAAAGCAAAAGATAATTTTTGAAGAGATAAAACTGACAAATCTTTAGTGAGACTAATACGGGAAAAAAACACATAAATACACATTGTTAAGAATACAGGCTTGGTGTGGTTGCTCACACCTATACTCCCAGCATTTTGGGAAGCCAAGGCGGGAGGATCACTTGAAGCATGGAGTTCCAGACTAGCCTCTGAAACATAGAGAGACCCTGTCTCTACAATAATAATTATAAAAAATTAGCTAGGCATGGTGGCACATGCCTATAGTCCCAGCTACTCAGGAGGCTTATATGAGCCCAGAGTTCAAGGCTGCAACTAGCCATGATTGTGGCATTGCACTGCAGACTGCGTGACAGAGCAAGAGTCCATCTCTACAAAAAAATAATAATAATAATAACATAAATGCAGGAAGAAAGTGCAGAGACTAGAAACATGAGTATCAAAGTTGGACACATAAAAATATGTATACATTTAATTATATAAATATAAAAATTACAATATATATCATACAACACATCTCTATTTGCATCTCTATCTCTATGTCCTTATATTTATAGCTAAAATATAATTACACATACCTATAGTTTATTCTTATTATTTACAGTATTTCTGTTTTATAAGTCCCCACAGACACTGAATTAGCCAATAGTGAACTCAGACAAAAATACAGTTAGATTTGTGACCCTTTGTTCACATTATTTTGTTAATCCATCAACACGCACCTTTGTTTTATATGTCTCCATTTAAAGACAACTTATTTAATGTATTTTGTTGATTCATTAACATTGAACTCATAGCCAACAGCACTGCAACTCATGCCTAGACACAGCTTATCTAACACACATAATTTTACCTTAAGTCTCATTACCACCTTTTGCACTTAGGAACATTACATAGCACTTTAAGCACTACATTTGGGGGCCATTTTAAACAGTGAAATTTTCAACAAAAAGCACAAGAATGTGAAAAACACAGCTCTAAATAAAGCACAGAAAGGACATTTGCTTGCAGTAAGTGAGCTGAAACAGAAAGGCAAAGTGTCACTGTGTTTGATCTCACTTGGGAATGTATGCATTGTGCAACTTGTATTTTTGGCTCTCTGCAGATATCCATGAATGACCATGAAAGTACAGCAAGTGATTTTCAAGCTGCAAACAAATTTTAGCAAGTAAGTGCATTTGCCAATAAGCAATACATGAATATGAGAATCAAAAGCATATATACCATAATATGCCATAAGTTTATACACCATAAAATATATCTACATATTTATATCTATATCTATATCAATCTATATGTATATCATAAAAACAACAATTATCAACAATGCAATGAATTTAAGAATACATTGGAAATGGGAATAGAATAGATGAATTCATAGAATAGTCCTATTGATAAACAACTCTAATATAGTACAAATTATTCTACCGTATGAAAAAAAGAATACTAGTTCAATCATTTTCTGAAGCTAGAGTAACTTAAATACAAAAATGTGACAAGGATAGTCTTAGAATGTAGAACACACTTATAAACATAGATTTTTGTGCAGTATTAAATAGAAAATAGTTGGTCAATACAAACAAAAAGGCCAAGTGTGGTGGCTTACACTTGTAATCCCAAAATGTTGAGAGGCCAAGACAGGAAGATCACTTGAAGCCAGGAGTGGGAGACCAGCCGGGGCAACATAGTGAGACCCCCATCTCTAATATATATATATATAAAAGCTGGGCATGGTGGCACATGCCTATAGTCCCAGCTACTCTGGAGACTAAGAGAGGAAGATCCCTTTAGCCCAGGAGTTCATGGCTTCAGTGAGCTATGATCGTGTTACTGCACTCCACCGTGGCCCACAGAGTGAAACCTTGTCTCTAAAACAAAATCCAAACACCAAAACCCAAAATAAAGACATTTATTTATTAAATTTTATGTAGCATCAGAATCTTCAGCTAAGCTAGGCATGCTTCACAATGTAACACCCTTTAAAGCAAGAAGAATCTTGAATCTACTTCTCAACTATTTTGCATATATCTTCTCCAATTCTTTTCACATTCCCCGTTATGTCAGTTCCTATTCACCTCTTTTTTAGTCATCTCCATTTATTTTTAGCAGCTCATATTATCACCTAGACAAAAGGTCAAAGACTTTATCAGCCCCTGTTGTGTTCTGTTTGGGTTTTTGTTTGTAATGTCCTGTCTATTTTCCTTTTAAAATGGCAAAATGATAATTCTATATTATAAGGCATAATAACCTTGAGATTGCCCAATTGTTGTTGAGTGGATAATTTAAAAATAATTGTAGAGTTTTCGTCAAGAAAGTGAAAATAAACACAAGCCAGCATCAGTTCCATTTAAAGCAATACTACATAGATAAGCCACTTCACCTTTTTAATATAGCATTGACATTGGCAACAAATGTTAAGGATGTCATATACACCATGAATTTGAATAAATTAAATGCAGAAACTAGTTGACAAGTCTATTTTTTCATAAAATTAATGTTAAAAATTGAGTTTAAGCTTGAGTGTCCTACTGTATTATTATTATTACATAACAAATGAGTTAGTTATATTGAAAATGTAGGAAAAGCAAACTTTTCCCAACCCCCCTCGCATCAAAGATGGTGTCTCTCAACTGCATTAGAAAATGCTGATTCAGGTAATCCCACCCTAACCCCAGATGCTGTCTAATAGTGTATTAGGAAACCCCTAGTAGCTTGGAAAGTATTAACCTAGTATTTCTGTTTATATTGCCTTGATTATTAGTGTAATTAAACATTTGATTTCATCTTTTGTAATACATAGGTGTATGTCTCTTAAAAATATTTTACCAATTGCTTACTTGATTATTAGTGTAATTGAACATTTGATTTCATCTTTTGTGATACATAGGTGTATGTCTCTTAAAAATATTTTAGCAATTGCTTATTTTTTCTTGTAGATTTTTCTTCTCTGAATCTTTTTTATTGAAAATTTTATTCCTGAGTGAATCTCATAAGTTGCAAACATTGAATGAAGTAGGATTTTTAACTTTATTTTGTTCACATGTGTTGTCAAGTGTTTAAATGCCATCAATAAATTTGTATATATTAAATTCCTTATACGATTTGTTACCACAGTCCTTATTATAGCTAGTTTTTCAGTTTGTTCCATTATATCACCATTTAATTGCTTTATAATTAATAGCATTTTTGAAAGAGTCTTCATAAGTCTTCAGTGATTTTCTTAAATTATTTTTATTTTGCAGTTAAATAATTTTCCAAACAAATGAACTAATTTAAAGTGATAATTTTTACTGTTATTACTTTAATTTACATAATAATTTGGCAAGAAATGAATTCCAGTAGATATAGCAATGCATTGTATTCCCTCTGCTGTAGTGGAAAGCGCCAGTGTTACAACTAGAAATAAAAATCTCAGGTATGGTAGTGTAGAAAAATTGAAGGTCTGGTAGCTGTCTCATATGAATCCAAGTAGTTCTGTTCAGTGCTGGAAATAGCTTACGATGTCATGGTTCCAGGTTCTCTCTTGTTACTCTGTCATGTTCAGCAAACCATCCTTGCAGCTGTTTTTGCTTTCATCATCCCATTCTCATTGCAGGCAAATGGAAGAAGAAAGAGGAGAGTGGTGGTGTGTGCTTTCCCTTTAATGGCAGAACCCAACAGTCGTACACACCACTTCTACCCTCTTAAGATGGGTCAGAATCCAGGCCCAATTCCATGTATACATGGAAGAGAGGCTTATTAAAGTAGCCTTCAGTTGCTGGACAGAGTTCCATCCAAAACTACAGTTAATAGGTAAGTCGAGAACTTACATTAAGTGATAAATGGCAGTCTCTGCCAAGGAAAATATTCTTATCCATGCTCATGGATAAGAAGAATCAATATCATGAAAATGGCCATACTGCCAAAAGTAATTTATAGATTCAATGCTATTCCCATCAAGCTACCATTGACTTTCTTCACAGAATTAGAAAAAACTACTTTAAATTTCATATGGAACCAAAAAAGAGCCTGCATAGCCAAGACAATCCTCAGCAAAAAGAACAAAGCTGGAGGCAGCATGCTACCTGACTTCAAACTACACTACAAAGCTACAGTAACCAAAACAGCTTGGTGCTGGTACCAAAACAGATACATAGACCAAGGGAACAGAACAGAGGCCTAAGAAATAACACCACACATCTACAACCATTGAAACTTTGACTAACCAGACAAAAACAAGCCATGGGGAAAGGATTCCCTATTTAATACATGCTGATGGAAAAACTAGCTAGCCGTCTGCAGAAAACTGAAACTGGACCTTATACAAAAATTAACTTACATCTTATACAAAAATTAACTCAAGATAGATCAAAGATTTAAGTGTAAGACCTAAAACCAAAAAACCCTAGAAGAAAACCTAGGCAATACCATTCAGGACATAGGCATTGCCAAAAACCTTATGATGAAAATACCAAAAGGAATGGCAACAAAAGCCAAAATTGACAAATGGGATCTAATTAAACTAAAGAGCTTCTGCACAGCAAAAGAAACTACCATCAGAGTGAACAGGCAACCTACAGAATGGGAGAAAAATTTTGAAATCTATCTTTCTGACAAAGGGCTAATATCCAGAATCTATAAGGAACTTAAACAAATTTACAAGAAAAAAACAAACAACTCCATCAGAAATTGGGCAAAGGATATGAACAGACACATCTCAAAAGAAGACATTTATGCAGCCACCAAACACATGAGAAAAAGCTCATCATCACTGGTCATTAGAGAAATGCAAATCAAAACCACAATGAGACACCATCTCACATCAGTTAGAATGGCGATCATTAAAAAGTCAGGAAACAACAGATTCTGGAGAGAATGTGGAGAAATAGAAATGGTTTTACACTGTTGGTGGGAGTGTAAATTAGTTCAACCATTGTGGAAGACAGTGTGGTGATTCCTCAAAAATCTAGAACTAGAAATAACATTTGACCCTGAAATCACATTACTGGGTATATACCCAAAGATTATAAATCATTCTACTATAAAGACACATGCACACGTATCTTTATTGCAGCACTATTCACAATAGCAAAGATTTAGAACCAACCCAAGTGCCCATCAATGATAGACTGGACTAAGAAAATGTGGCATATGTACACCATGGGATACTATGCAGCCATAAAAAGAATGAGTTTATGTCCTTTGCAGGGACATGGATGAAGCTGGAAACCATCATTCTCAGCAAACTAACACAGGAACAGAAAACCAAACACCGCATGTTGTCACTCATAAGTGGGAGTTGAACAATGAGAATATATGGGCACAGGGAGGGGAACATCACACACTGGGGCCTGTCTGGGGGTTGGGGGCAATGGAAAGGATAGCATTAGGTGAAATACGTAATGTAGATGGTGGGTTGATGGGTGCAGAAAACCACCATGGCACATGTACACCTATGTAACAAATCTGCATGTTCTGCACATGTATCTTAGAACTTAAGCATAACAAAAAAATATATTTCTGGGCAGAGGAAAAATACTTTGAAATTTACATTTAATCCAGTAAAATTTCAGTGCATTAAATTAAAGCTTGTAATATAATAATGATAATAACAGACAGCATTTAAAGAGCACCTCTTGTGGATAATCAAGTTATTGAGAAATTATGTGTGTTATCTCTGGGATAAAGATTGCTGCATCCTTATATTCTTGTGTATAAACAGACCCTGTATATGTAAAAAAAGGAAAGAGAAAAGTATTTTTAAATGCACTAATTTGTAATTACCACATAAACTATTACTCATGGAAGATTAGTTATTTGTTGTCAGTACTTTTTTTTTCCCTTTCAAAAATGTATTCAGATTTTACTATGGCCTAATATGTAATAAATGTATATTTCCTGTGTGTCCCATTGGGGCTTTCAAAGAAAACATATCTCTTTTAGAAAACATTTTTCACATAGAGATATTATGCATCATATTCAAAACCTTTGTAGATATCTTTCTTGAATTATTTTATGAGTCAAAGTTTATATTTCAGAAATATTTCTTTATTTTTTCCAGTAAAGGAGAAATCATTAATAAAGAGGCAAATTTATTAACACTATTACCTGAATTTTTTAGAATGATAACAAATAAATTTAGTAAATATTGCTGATTTATTAGCAGATAAAGTCATTCTGCTCCAAGAGCATGACAGCTAAACTTCCACTAGCTCATTTATACTCTGTGGAAATATGATTTACTGCCATATGAGAGAAATTAAATTCTATTATTTTAATTCTGTATTTTGTATCATAAAAGAGAAACCAGATATGGAATACAGAATATGCATATATGGAATAAAACAATGGGGAATAAATAAGATTTAGTTCAAGAAATAAAGAGATCATGTATTCAAACACACCAGTGAGTTCTTTAAAAAGGAAATCTTTTATGTTCTAATTAAAGTAGCAAACTTCACAACTTGAGTTTTTCAGCTCATTTGTTTCCTGACTTCTTTATTCCAAGTTAAATACTCCTAAGGTGGGTCATATAATTCAGTGACCTTTAAAGTAAAATTGAAATATTTAATTTTACTACTTTTCTTTATCTCTTTTTCTCTCACCACATGCAGCTTATAAATGCCAATAGAATTAATTGCCTAATTATAAGGAATAAAAACATTGCCTTTTGAAGGATTTCAAATTTATGTATCCTGCTGTGGAGATTTTGCTTGACTACCTGACCTATACAGTCTGTGCTTCTTAAGGAAAGAAAATAAGTGGACTACTTTCGAACACATTTTGAACTTGGTAATGAATGCTACAATACTGCTCTGCTCTATAATCTTAGGTTATTTTATATTTTAAGGGCTTCACCTGGAGCCATTTTACTGTTAACCATAACTATTATATATACTCTTTAATAAGCTCCATTATATTTTTTTTTACTTTTTTCCTTATACAATTTAGTAATATGGCAGAAAAGCAGGTAATAAGGAAAATACTAATCATCATTAGTTTACAACACATTGACACACATTTTCCAGCAAGAAAATTCGATTAACAGGTAGCACGAAAAAAAGCTGCCTACCTGGATAACTCATATAACACTTTACACTATATCTCTCAGAAAAAAATTACCATATTCAATATGCTTCATATTTATTTTCTTAATAACCACATTTTTAATAACCTCATTTTCTCTGGGAATTTTGGGTTTCAGGTACATATAGCATCTTCATGCCAATTTTATAAGGTCATACCTTAATCACTAGTTGCAAAAGTAGGGATATAAAGGCAAGAATTCTAGATTAGAAAGTGATATATGTGATTTTACAGGAAGACAGAAGAAAGGGAGAATTTGTGAATACTATGTGAAAGAAGAATAAACCCATGAGCCAAACTTAATTTGGATATTAAAGCTGATTATATCACACATACACCAAGAGAGTATGAAAAGATTTATTTCTCACATAATGAGACTTTCTGGACAGATCATGGCAAGCTCAAAAACAGTTCTGAAAATGGCCTAAGATAATATGGAGGGATGAGTAGCTTGCCTGTTATTTTACTTGGAGTTGGGAGTTGTGCATCTGGGATGAAGTTTACATGGTTTGAACTTTCCACTGGCACTGAGGTAAAGATCTAAGATATATAACTGGCTTGCCAAGATGTAGAACAAAACAGAAGGGCGGGTGGTAAAGCATAAAAACTATTAACAATAAGGCAATAAAAATCAATCCAGACTCTTTATTATAACTCACTCCAATGTTTGACTGAGGAGTAAAATGTGCTATGATTTATTTAATTGCATTTGAAGTTGTTATAGTAAGCCATTATGGTTACCTATGAGGCTCACAGCATGAGAACGGTAAGGAAATAAAACTTCCATTGAATACCTTCGTCAGCAGATGTGATGGTTAATTTTATTTGTCAATTTAATTGGTTGATGGGATGTTCCAGTGTTTGCTTAAACACTATTCTGGGTGTTTCCATGAGGGTATTTGGGATGCAATTAACATTTATATCAGTAGACTGAGTAGAGCAGATTTTCTGCCGTATTGTAGTTGGAACTTACCTAATCAGTTGGAAATCTAAATAAAACAAAAAGTCTGAATCACCCTAAAGTAAGAGAGAATCTTGCTACCTGACACTTTTTGAACTGTGACATTGGCTTCTTTTCCTGACTTCAGACTCAAACTGAAAGATCAGCTTTTTCTGATTTTTAAGCCTGCCAGCCTTTGGACTGGAACTACTTCATTTGTTCTCCTGAGTCTCCAGTTTTGTGACTTGCCCTGTAAACCTTGGGACCTGCTAGCCTCCATGAACTTCCATGATATTACTAATTTCCTTAATAAATCTCATTCATTCTCTCTCTCTCTCTCTCTCCCTCTCTTAGTTCTGTTTTTTTTGTTGTTTTGATTTGTTTTGTTTTGTTTTTTCCTGGAAAACTCTAACTAGTACATGAGCCCAGCATTGTGTATTTTGTGAAGTAAAATGTGTTCCTTGCTCACAATTGCTCACAATCAATTGCTCACTATTATTAATGTGTAGAACCGTGAAGGGGTAAGGAATAATTTGGTAAAGATTTGTATTGTGGCATCATTATGTAAAAAGACTTGCAACCCTGGTTATATAGTGGGTACTTGTAATTCACAAAATTTCAGAGTTATTTTTTCCAAACAGGAGGATGTTGGACATGAAAATTTTGTTGCTAGCATTGGCCTGCCCAAATGGCCAGACCATTGTCCACAGATAAATATTCCGCAAAATTATGCAGATATGGCTGATTCTTGGACAGAGCATTTATTGTTAAGATTACTGCATGATGTTTGGCCAGTTGCACTGAGCCTTGGGTCTCATTCTTGATCAGGGACATTCTGTTGAAGCAACAGAAAGTGGCTGTTATGCAGTGGGCTCTATTATGTGTAATGGCAGTGCTTCCATCCATCATGGTATATTAATGGACTCACAGTTCCACATGGCTGGGGAGGTCTCACAATCACGGTGGAAATCAAAGGAGGAGCAAAGGCACGTCTTACATGGTGGCAGGCAAGAGAGAGTGTGCAGGGGAGCTGCACTTTATAAAATGATCAGATCTAGTGAGACTTATTCACTATCACAAGAATACCATGGGAAAAACCCACCTCCATGATTCAATTATCTCCCACCAGTACCCCCATGAAACGTGGGGATTATGGGAACTACAATTCAAGAAAAGAAGTGGATGGGGACACAGCCTAACCATATCACATGGGTAGTCTGGAACCTCTAAAAGACATAAGAAGAGGTTGCCAAAGCTTCTACAGTGAACAATCTTTGGGGGGCACTAACTTAAGTCTCTGTTGTATTGCAATACTGATAGATTCTAGAGTCTTTTGTTGTAGGGTGACCCATTCAGGGTAAGTCAATTTGTGAGCAACAACATAAATGAGCTTAAATAAATGTAAATAAGGAATATGTTTCTTTCAGAATCCAAAAGGTCGAAAAGATGTTGAATTTGTTTTAACATTGTGGGTGATGACAGAATGAACAACTGTTTCTTTATAATGTCAGGAACGGAGCACCCTCTAGTTAAATGATAGTGAGAAATTTTACTGAGGTAGTGAGGCCTTTTGCTTTGTGTGAGTAAGTAGTCCACTAATTTTGATGAGCTCTGTTGTGACTGTTTGGTTGTCCTGAATGAATGTGTAAATAGACTCTCCTAGGAGGATGACATCAATATAATGTCATACATATGTTCCTAGAAAAATTTTAATGTGATTAAGGTCTTACCTACAAAGGCTGTGTGCAACAGTAAATCTGTTGCGATGCCCCTGGGTTGCTGCATAAGGATGTATTGTCTTTTTGAAGGTGAAGAAAAACTGCAGCTAAGAAGCTGTTGAAATAGGCAATGAAAGGAATTTACTAGCTAAATCTGTGACTGCAAAGTACTTACCCGTTTCTGATTGGATTGAATGGAGTCAGTAATTTAAGTAATATCGGGTATAGAAGACTTAATGGGTGAGATTATGACATTAAGGTTGCAATAATCCATCATTAAGTGTTATTCATTATTTCCAGTTTTAAGAATAGACCAAATACAGTTATTAAATAAAGAGAAACTGTGGGGGATAATTACCTCTTCTCCAAATAGTTCTTGTATAATGTGTTTTGATCTTCGAAGGCTCTGTTTAACTTTGTATGTGGCCACATTAAGTATTTTGACCAGAGGGGAAAACCCATGAGGTCCAATTCTGTGAAGCTGATTGTAAGTGCCAAACATTTGATTTTATTTTAATGTATTATTTATGGGGTCACATCATCCATGCACACTATGGAATATTTTAGTGCAAAGCAGGAGCTTATAAGTAGGTCTGTCTCATTCTCTTGATATTGGTTGTTGGCAAATGCAGATCCAAATTCAGGCCTGCATGTGCGAACCCTCACTCTGATTCCTCTCCCTAACTATAAGAAAAGTCAAGCCGCTGGCTGCACCCCCATCCCAACCTGCGCTATCTCAAACTGTTTTCTTCCTGCTTAAGAACTAGCCATGTTCATCCCACAAAGCCTCATTATGCGAGTAATAAACTGCTTCATACCCTCTTGATGTCTGTGTATGGTATTATCAGCTTCGACAACTTGACTAAATGTTTGGTTGGGTGTACATTCTTATTGCACAGATCAACCACAAAAAGAAACCATTTTCGTCTGATGTAGTCATGAAAATTTTTACAGAATAATTTAAATTTGAAGGAGACTGACAGGTAAAAGGATTTGCATAAGCTCAAATGAGAAATGGGAAAATTCAGTGCAGGTTATGTGGACCATCATATATACTGGTTTGTCAAGTTGAAAAATATTTAATGTGCACTAGATTCTGGTACATTAATTGATGTTGGAGTATATTTTTACTTATTCATTGTTTTCTCATGTATTTCTTTTCTTTGTGTTTCTCTCCTTTCCCATAGACAACAAATAGGGTTATTCTATGTTCATTACTTCAAGGATGATCACAGAAATATTTTTTCCCCTGGAGCTCTAAGAGTAGATATCCTTAAGGAAATAAACAAGTTTAAACAAATGGTTTGCTAACATATGGTTTGATTAGGTTTGGCCTTCCCTTCCCCAAATAAAAAGAAAAGAAACATAATATATAGATACAGATATAGAAGTATAGATATTTCTAGGGCAGGAGAAGAGAACAGAAGGAATGACAAGTTTAAATTTATCGAATCATATACGGAGGAAAAATATATGCTGCTTCTAGTCTTGGCTTGAGTGAAATGGTAGTACTCAAAAGAAATTTGCAAAATTGGAGAGAAGAAGAACCCTGAACAGTTCAGGAAGTCTAATAAAGAAAGGCTGTATATTCGATCGAAGCAGACACATATTTAAACAAACTTCAGTGACTCTCATGCTTTAGTGAGACATTGGACCTGCAGTTCACACACTAAAATGAGGCACGGAGATTGCCACTGGACCAGAAGGGTACATCTTCTTGGGAATCAGGGTTATCTTAGCAGCAATATACATAGACTAATAACTGAGACTCAAGAAGAAAAATCGAAATATCTTTGTTGAAAAATGCAATCAGATATCTGAGACTGTGGGCTTGTCCACATTGATGCCTTGGCAGTAAATACGCCACCTAGAACTAATTCCAACTCAAGGACAGATGCTGGCAACATGGAATTGCAAACCTACTCCGAGTGTTCTGACACTCACATAGAATAAAAACTTGAGTTAGGAAAAAATAGAGAAAATTATATTGTTTCACTTTTTAAAAATTACTATGTCAATTAAAATTTATATACTATATTTAGATGAAATAAGGTTGACAGTAATGTGGAACCCTAGCTATGAAGGACTCATATCAGATTACAGCAATTAGTCTTTATTTTCTACAGAAGATTTTGAGTTTGGGATTTTGTTATAAAATCAGTCCTTAAGGAAAATTAATCTAGTTTTTTGCACTTTGCAATAAGAGGACATTTAGAAAATATAAATTACAGTTAATTTCTCTAATGCAGTTATGAGATAAAAATTGCCCCAGATTATGTTGTTGGATACACATGATAGACAGGAACATAAAAACAAAATGACAAAATATTAAAACTTGATTATAAATTTACTATAAAGGCCAATAAGAAGAAAGGAAGTACTTGAAGTTGTAGTTCTGGTGACTGGAAAGACAGAACCAATGGATTACAGAATCAAATCAAGAGGTTTGATTGAGAAAACAAGACAATGCCAATTTGGATTATACAAGTTTCTATGTTATCTAGAAGGCAAACTGAAAAGTAGTTGAAAATATACAAATAGAATGCACAAGTTATCTTGAGATGGATTTAGGCTTTTCTAATAGAGATTAAGAAAGGCCCAATAAGCAGTGCATCAAAATGCTTCAAACATAAAAAGATGCCAATTTGGAAAGGTTTTACCTTCTCATTTGTAGGCAGCATATTAATGGCAAATAAATAGAAAGTAAGGGGGAGAAAAATGGAAGCAAGATGCTTGGAAGGAAAAGGGATTAAAGTATATGAACAGAATGCTCTTTGAAAACCAAGCAGGAATCCAGGCGTGAGGAAACCATTTATCACATACATTAATATTGGTATTGTATGATTTTTCATTGCTAAATTTATAATACTTTAGTTCATGATACTCTAATTTGTAGTAGAATGTGTTAAATACACTGAATAAGAGAACACCTTAATAGTGTTCTAAGGGGTCAGAACACGCACAATCAGACATTAGTATACATTCGAACTTCTTCATATTTTCTATTCATCTTGTTTTTCCTATTTGGGGCCTTAAATTCTGCTTTCCAGGCTGTCTTTTCTTGATCAATTTCTTCATTGCACTGTAAGAAAATACTATTAAAAGCTAAGCATTAATAGGCCTTAACTTTTGAAAACACTTAATATTTAGAGACCCAAGCATGTCGTTCAGAAAAAAGAAAACAAGTTACAAATGCAAAGCATTGCAGGAATATCTATTTTTCTGAGTAACTCAAGTACCTCTATACCTTGTTTATAAATTAAAATAATGTTTCACTGAACTGTACTTTGCTGTTTTAGAAATATTTTCTCGAAGAAATTGAAAAATAACTCTGACCTTTACTGCGTAGACCTGTGGGAACTGAGGCTCACAGAATCAGCACAACATATTGTTGTGGTTGCTGGCTTTTATCATGGCTAATGAACAGTCCTTGTCTTTTAAGGAAGGGTCCTGTGTTTTCTGTCAGTGTATGTTGTATACGAAACGGTGGTAGGTGAGCTTGCTAGCTTGAAAGTCTTGTCAAATCACTGACTTCAGGCTTCTAACTTAACCACTACACTAAAGGTCTTACTTTTGATGTGAGAATGTTGGTAAGACATAAAAATTAATTAATATATATTTAGTATAATATATAGTATACTAATATTAAATATCTATATATTTAATATATATTTAGTATACTATATATAATATATAATATATATATTTAGTATATACGGATATGTGTATATTTAATATATATACAATTAAAGGCAGGGTCTTGCTTTGCCATCCAGGCTGGAATGCAGTGGTGTCAACCTATCTCCTTTTAGCCTTGAACTCCTGTGTTCCAGCAATACTCCCAACTCAGCCTGCTGAACATGTGCATACCACCACATCCAGCTACTTTCTAAAAGTTTTGATTAATAAAAATATTTTAACATTAGGACATCCAACTTTCGAAGTAGTTCAATAAGCATTTTATTTTGATACCCACTCCAAATTAAATTCTATATGATGGTTTAGATTATGCATTAATGAGCAGATCACTCTTTATCCATAAAATCATCAATATAATTGAAATCAGTTTTATCACATATAACCCATAGAAAAATTGAATGTCAATGTTTTAATAAAAGCAGAATGTAACCAATGACTTCAGCCACTTTCTATTTTCCGGTAAGTGCTAAAAAGAAAATTGTATGAATTTTAAGAGCCATATAACTTTTTAAAAAACATTTGTAATGTTATTCAAATGCCCACCAAGGCTTCCTGCATGCTTAATCTACTGACTTCTAAAGAGGTTTTCCAGAATTATTAAGTACAATGATCTGAATAAAAATTTAGAAGATAAAATGTATAACCAAATATAATCTCTTTGTCATATTTATTTTAGAAACATAATAAATGTGGGGTTTTCTGCAAAAAATGTACCTTATTAGATTGTGATAAATGGAAATCAGATGTAAATTATTTTTTTCTGTTGTGTTAGTTGTACCTGAATCCAGCTGTACACATCTGCTCATTGACATAATCTCCGAGGAAGTTTTGGTGAATCAGGTTAGTTCCTAAGATTAACACAACAGGAAACGGCCATCACCTCTTAATTAAAAGTTTGCACTGGGCCCGGCGCGGTGGCTCACGCCTGTAATCCCAGCACTTTAGGAGGCCCAGGTGGGCAGATCGTGAGGTCAGGAGATGGAGACCATCCTGGCTAACACGGTGAAACCCTGTCTCTACTAAAAATACAAAAAATTAGCCGGGCGTGGTGGCGGGCGCCTGTAGTCCCAGCTACTCGGGAGGCTGAGGCAGGAGCATAGTGTGAACCCAGGAGGCGGAGCTTGCAGTGAGCCGAGATCGCACCACTGCACTCCAGCCTGGGCAACAGAGCAAGACTCCGTCTCAAAAAAAAAAGAAAATGTTTGCGATTAGTTGAATTTACAAATTCTATAAAACTAAGATGTAGGGAAGATATCTTCTCATGTATATGACTAAAATTATCATGTTCCTAACTGCAATATGGTATCCGGAGATTAAACCTAGGACAGAACAGGAACAATATGAAAAAAAATTGCAAATTGTAAAGAAATCTGTCTAACAAATTGTAGATAAATCTGTCTAATTAATAGAACTAGTCTAATGCTTATTTAGTTAAGATTTTTCAATAGTGTCTCATATGGAAATATTAATATTAGAGAAAATTCAGTGAAGAATATACAAAAATTATCTGTATTATTTTAATTTTCATGTAATTATCTTCCAATTTTTAAAAATACCAAGTGAGATAATTTTGTTTTTTCAGTAGTGACCATCACTTCTGTATGTCTCTACTATACTAATCCTCTTCATCCCTACTCAGTTTTCTTTGCTCTTCTACTAATTACATTTTGAATTCCAGCATAGTTTTATCGATTTTCTCATTAGTCCTATAATTCTAAAATCAAAATATTCCATGAAAGAGGAAAAGGAGCTTCAAAAGGGTGAAGCCTGATAAAGCACACTATATATCTAAGCTCCTGAAAAGAGTAAGCACATGTTTTTTTATTTTTTATTGTCTAATACAGTTTTCATTATCTGCATTTACCTTTTTATATAATTTCAACTTTTATTTTAGATTCAGGGGGTACATATGCAGGTTTGTTACATAAGTATATTCCATGATGCTGAGGTTTGGGGTATAATTGATCCAGTCACTGAGGTACTGAGCATAGTACCCAATAGTTTTTCAACCCTTGCCTTCATTCCTCCCACTTCCCTTAGTAGTCCCCAGTATCCATCATCGACGTCTTTATGTCCATGACTGCCAAATATTTAGTTCCCACTGCTAAATAAGAATATGCAGGCCAGGCGTGGTGGCTCGCGCCTGTAATCCCAGCACTTTGGGAGGCCGAGGTGGTGGATCACGAGGTCAAGAGATCGAGACCATCCTGGCCAATATGGTGAAACCCTGTCTCTACTAAAAATACAAAAATTAGCGGGGCATGGTGGCAGGCGTCTGTAGTCCCAGCTACTCGGGAGGCTGAGGCAGGAGAATCACTTGACCCAGGAGGAGGAGGGTGCAGTGAGCCGAGATCACGCCACTGCACTGCAGCCTGGTGACAGAGCGACACTCCATCTAAAAATAAAAAGTAAAAAATAAAAAAAACAGAATATGCAGTATTTGGTTTTCTGTTCCCTTGTTAACTTGCTTAGATGATGGCCTCCAGCAGCATCCATGTTGCTGCAAAGAACATGATTTTATTATTTTTTGTGTCTGCATTGTATTCTGTGGCATGTATGTATCACATTTTCTTTATTCAGTCCACCACTGATGGGCACCTAGGTTGATTCCATGTCTTTGCCATTGTGAATAGTGCTGCAACAAATATAAGCGTGCATGTATCTTTTTGATAGAGCAATTTATTTTCTTTTGAATATTTATCCAATAATGGGAGCAGCAGACATCAGCCCTGGGAAATAATTTATGATTAATTCCTCAAAAGCAATTGTAACAACAACTACAAATGACAAGTAAGACCTAATTAAACTAAAGAGCTTCTGGCTGAGCATGGTGGTTCACACCCTGTAATCCCAGCACTTCGGGAGTCCAAGGCGGGCAGATGACTTGAGGTCAGGAGTTTGAGACCAGCCTGGCCAACATGGTGAAACTCTGTCTCTACTGAAAAATACAAAAATTATCCAGGCGTGGTGATGTGCAACTGCAGTCCAGCTACTTGGGAGTCTGAGGCATGAGAATCTCCTGAACGTGTGAGCCGAGATCCTGCTATTGCACTCCAGCCTGGGGGACAGAGTGAGACTTCATCACAAAACAAAACAAAACAAAACAAAACAAAACAAAACAAAAAGCTGCAGTTCAGCAAAAGAAACTATCAAAAGAGTAAACAATCCACAGAATGGGGATTCATAAACTATACATCTGACAAAGGTCTGAATGGATGGGGAACTTAATTCAACAAGCAGGAAATGAAGAACCCCATTAAAAAGTAGGCAAAAGACATGAAGAGACACTTCTAGAAAGAAGACGTGCAAGCAGCCAACAAACATGAAAAAATGCTCATCATCACTAATCATCAGAGAAATGAAAATCTAAACTATGATGAGATACCATCTCACACCAGTCAGAATGGCTATTATTAAAAAGACAAAATTTAGCAAATGCCCAGCAAGGCTGTGGAGAATAGGGATTGCTTATACACTGGAACATACTGAATTTATAGATTAATTTTAGGAGATTTGACATTTTTACCATGTTTATTCTTTCAATAGATGATTGTGATATATGTTTTCATTTACACATCTTATCTTAATTATTTTATCAGTGTTATGTCACTTTCCGCGTACTGATTCTGTGTATTTTGTCAAGAACTTTTACTGAATTAATTGATAGAATTGTGATTATTTCTTGTTTAGGCTCTTAATATGATTTGTCACTTTGATTGATTTGAAAGTATTGAAACAGTCTTGCACTCACAGGATAAATATCACTTCAATAGTACATTGCTGTCATATTTTGGATATTTTGTTGTGGATTTTTATGTCTATTACATGAGGGCAATTGGTCTACATTTTTATTATTATGAGTTATATGTGTTTGTTTTTTATATGAGAGCAACCCTGGCCTCCTAAAATAAGTTGAGAAATATGTCCACCTCTTTTATGTTTCAGAAGAGCTTTGTGTTTATTTTTCTCTTTTTTTTTCTTTTCTTTTTTTTTTTTTTTTTCTGAGACAGAGGCTTGCTCTGTCCACCAGGCTGGAATACAGTGGCACAATTTCGACTCACAGCAACCTCCGCCTCCTGGGTTCAGGTGATTCTCCTGACTCAGCCTCCCAAATAGCTGGGATTACAGGTGCATGCCACCATGCCCAGCTACTTTTTGTATTTTTAGCAGAGACACAGTTTCACCGTGTTGGCCAGGCTGGTCTTGAACTCATGACCTCAAGTGATTCACCCACCTCGCCCTCCCAAAGTGCTAGGATTACAGGCATGAGCCACTGTGCCCCACCTGTGTTCATTTGTGTCCCTTGTGCTTTAAAAGGTTGGTATAACTCATCATAAAACCAGTTGAAACTAGATATTTAATCATTAGAAAATGTTAAAGTACAAATTCAAGCTTTTAAAGTGTAGGTATACACAAGTTAACTTTTTCGTTTTGGTTAAATTTTGACATTGGTTTGACAATGTGGTTTTCTAGGAATTGGTCTATTCCGTCTAAGTTGCCTTATTTAGGTCCTCAATTATAGCATTACCTTATTATCATTTTATTACTGGTTGGATTTGTATTAATATCTTTTGTTTCTTTCCTGCTACTGTCACTGCATGTGTCCCTTTTTTATCTTTGTCATTAGTGCCAGAGTTTACCAGTTTTCTTGATCTTTTCAAGGAACCACTTTTAGTATCACTGATTTTCTGTTGATTTTCAGTTTTACATTTCATTAATTTCTGCCTCTATATTTATTTCTTTTCCTCTGCATATGTGATGCTATTTTCTTCTTTTTGTGTGTGGGTCTTTTTTAGTTTCTTCAAATTGAAGTTTAGGTAATTGATTTAAGACTTCTTTTCTAAGATACAGATTCAACAGTATAAATTCCCCTTCAAGAACTGCTTCAGTTGTGTCACAGAAACTTAATGTACTTCATTGTATTTTGAGTCAGTTTAAAATAATTTATAATTTCCTTCAGGCCATATTTTCTTTTAATACTTTCCTAGATTATTTAGAATTGTAGTGTTTAATTTCCAAGTGTTTGTACATTTTTCTGTAATATTTATTGTATTAATTTCTAGTTGAATGGCCAGAGTACATACTTTACATGCTTTTAAGTATTTTAAATTTAAGATCTATTAAAATGTTTATTTGTTATTTGTTATATTCATGTATATATTTATGTATGGTATATCTATGTACGGTATGTATGTATGCATCCATGTTTCAGTTTACTTATAATTAATAGTAGGGTCCATTTTGGTTAACGTTTATGTGTATCTGAAAAAAATTTGTATCTACTTTTTTTTTAAAAAAAGTGTTCTATATATCAGTTGGATTTAGTTTGACAAAGTTGTTCAATTTTCTCATCTTCTCACTGATTATTTTGTCCATTAGTTATTTCTAAAATTCTGGATTTTTCATGCCTATTTTCAGTTCTAACATTTTTGCTTCATATAATTTATGACACCCTACTACTTATGTAGGATTGCTATGTATCTTTTGTAAACAGACAATTTTACAGTTATCTCATGTCTCTCTTTATTCCTAGTACTTTTCTTTGCTCTGAATTCTACTTTGGTATTAGTATCACCACTATAGACATTTTTTGAAACCAGGTTTTATATAGTGTATCTCCATTTCTTTAATTTTAATTATTTTTTTTTGAAATGAATTTCTGGTAGACAGTATATAATTGTGACTTTTTTATCGGGTCTGTTGATCTCAATGTTTTCTTAGTAGTATCAAAATCACTGAAATGTAATGCAATTATATACATGTTTGAACTCATGTCTACCATATTATTATTTGTTATTCTGTCACTTTTCTCTGTTTTTTAATTCTCAATTTATCCTTTTTTGAGATTATTTGAACATATTTTATTATCCATTTTTTATTTCGTCTATTTTTTTCTTTTTATTTCACCTATATTTTAGTTTTTATTTTTAGTGGTTTTTCTGAAAATTAAAATATACACACCTAAGGTTTACAGTCTGGTTAGAATCAATATTTTATCACTTTATTTAGGAAATATAGAAACTATCACCATATTGGTGTGCCTACTTCTCTTCTTCATGATATTCATGATGTAGTTATCTATTTACACATTGACTCTACATATATTGAAAACACTATCAGACAAGTTTATAATTCTACTTTCAACTATAAAGCATATCTTAAGAACTTAAGAGAGGAAGAATAGTCAATTATGTTTATTCAGATAACTATTATTTATGATTTTTTTTCTTAATTCTGATGTTCTTTATTTCCTTCTAATATCATTCCCTTCCTGTCTGGAGATCATTCCATAGAATTTTTTTTTGGAGCAGGACTGCTGGAGAAAAATTATCTTAGTTTCTTTTTACTATAAGATGTCTATATTCTACATTCATTCCTAAAATATATTGTTGGTGGATATCAATTTCTGGGTTGACAGTTCTTTCAATATTTAAGCAGTGTTCCATTTCTGCTTGCTTCCGTAGTTCCTGAGATATGCTCAGTATTTAAAATTATTGCCCTCCTAAAGCAATGTATCATTGTGTTCTGGCTGTTTTCAAGACTTTTTCCTTTGTCTTTAAGTTTGATTTTTATATTTCTGAGAATGGATTTCTTTTTGTGCTTAAATTGTTTGGGGATAATGGAGTTTCTTGATTCTTTAGTTACGTGTATTTCAGTTTATCTGGGAATTTTCGTCCACCATTTATTCAAATAATATTTGTGCATGTCACACTCTCCTTTTTATTTCTATGATTCTGATGACATGAATATTAGACATTTTGTAATTGTCACACAGGTTCTTGACGTTTTGCCAATTTTTTTTCAATCTTTTGTCCTCTATTATTCAAATTGATAGTTTCAGTTTGTTTAAATGTATTTTCAAATTCACTGACTCATCTTTATTCTGCTACTCAAACCATTTGAATCTCTAATTTTTGTTACTGCATTTTTCAGTTGTCTTTGTTTTTTGGTGGTTTTGTCTTAATAACTTTTATTTCTTTCCTTAGTCTTTCTAGGTGTCCATTTATTTCAAGAAGAACTGCCCTTACTCCTTGGGACATTTGAGTAATAGGTTTTAAACTAATTTCTGGTAAGTCTAGTATTTGTTACATCTAGGCTTTATATCTCTTTTGTTTTGTTTTTGGGGCCTTTTTTGTTTGTTTGTTTGAGACAGAGTCTTGCCCTGTTGCCCAGGCTGGAGTGC
The DNA here is from genome assembly GCF_000001405.40 of Homo sapiens. NCBI lineage: Eukaryota > Metazoa > Chordata > Mammalia > Primates > Hominidae > Homo > Homo sapiens. Next base: position 24,505,123 of record NC_000021.9, read on the forward strand.
GGTGGCACCATCTTGGCTCACTGCAAGCTCCACCTCTCAGGTTCACGCCTTTCTCCTGCCTCAGCCTCCTGAGTAGCTGGGACTGCAGGCGCCCACCACCACTCCCAGCTAAATTTTTTTTTGTATTTTTAGTAGAGACGGGGTTTCACCATGTTAGCCAGGATGGTCTCAATCTCCTGACCTCATAATCCACCCACCTCGGCCTGCCAAAGTGCTGGAATTACAGGCGTGAGCTACCATGCCGGGCTATGCTTTATATCTTATTGATTTCTTCTATCATGCAAGTTGACACTTTCCTGGTTCTTTATATGCCAGATTAATTTGGTTTATATCCTCAGCATATTTTTATGAGGCTCTGATTCTTTCTAAAATTCTATGGAGATTTTTATTAAATATATTTTTAAGCAGGTATATTAGATTCCTGATGCTGTAACAAGTTACCAAACACTTAGGGCCTTAAAACAATGCAAATTTATTATAGTACTTTTTGGTCAGAATTCAAAATTGGGCTTTACAGGGTCAAAATCAAGATGTCTGCAGAGCTGTGGGTTTTTCTTTCTTTCTTTCTTTTTTTTTTTTTTTGAAAGATCCTAGTCTTTTCCAGCTTCTAAAGATTGTTCATACTCCTTGGCTTGTGGCCCCCTTCCAGCAGTGCCATCGTTCTGACAACTTTTCCGTGGTCTCATCTCCTTCTCTAACTCTGTGTCTCCTGCCTTACTCTTTTTTTTCCTCTTTTATTCTTGTTTTTTAACTCTTATTTTTTTGTTCAGGGGTATGTGCACAAGTTTGTTACATAGATAAACTTGTGTCATGAGGGTTTGTTGTACAAATTTTTCATCACCAAGGTATTAAGCATAGTACCCATTAGTTCTTTTTCATAATCCTCTCTCTTTTCCCATCCTTCACCCTCCAATAGGCCCCAATATGTGTTGCTCCCCTATATGTATCCATATGTTCTCATCATTCAGTTCCCACTTTTAAGTGAAAACATGTGGTGTTTGGTTTTCTATTACCACATTATTTTGCCAAGGATAATGGCCTTCAGTTCCATGGTATTTCTGTCTTTACGTCTTTGAGGAATTGCCATACTGTCTTCCACAATGGTTGAACTAATTTACACCCCTGCCAACAATGTATAAGTGCTCCTTTTTCTCCACAACCTCACCAGCATCTGTTACTTTTTGACATTTTAATAATAGCTCTTCTGACTGGTGTGAGATGGTATCTCATTGTGTTTTTGATTTGCATTTCTTTAATGATCAGTGATGTTGAGCTTTTTTTCATGTTTGTTGGCTACATGAATATCTTCTTTTAAAAAGTGTCTGTTCATATCCTTTGCCCATTTTTAAAACAGGTTGTTTTTTTTTCTTGTAAATTTGTTTCAGTTTCTTATAGATGCTGAATATTAGATCTTTGTTAGATGCATAGTTTGAAAAAAATTTCTCCCATTCTGTAGGTTGTTTCTTCTTTTGATAGTTTGTTTTGCTATGCAGAAGCTCTTTAGTTTAATTAGATCCAAATTGTCAATTTTTGCTTTTGCTGCAATTGCTTTCAGCATTTGTGTCATAATATTTTTGTCCGTGGCTATGTCCAGAATGGTATTGCCTAGGTTGTCTTCCAGGGTTTTTATACTTTGGGTTTTACATTTAAGTCTTTAATCCATCTTGAGTTAATTTTTGTATATGGTGTAAGGAAGAGGTCCAGTTTCAATTTCTTTCATATGGATAGACAGTTATTCCAACACCATTTATTAAATAGTGAATCCTTGCCCCATTGCTTGTTTTTTGTGAAGGTTGTCAAAGATCAGGTAGTTGTTGGTGTGTGGCCTTGTTTCTGGGTTCTCTGTTCTGTTGCACTGGTCTATGTGTCTGTTCTTATACCAGTATCATGCTGTTTTGATTATTGTATCCCTGTAGTATAGTTTGAAGTCAGGTGGCATGATACCTCCAGCTTTGTTCTTTTTGCTTAGGATTGCCTCATCTATTCAGGCTCTTTTTCTTTCCATATGAGTTTTAAAATAGTTTTTTCTAGGGCCATGAAGAATCTCAAAGGTAGTTTAATAGGAATAGCATTGAATCCATAAGTTGCATTGGGCAGTATGGCCATTTTAATGATATTGATTCTTCCTATCTATGAGCATGGAATGGTTTTCCATTTGTTTGTGTCATCTCTGATTTCTTTGAGTATTGTTTTGTGGTTCTTTTTGTAGAGATCTTTCACCCCCGTAATTAGCTGCATTCCTAAATATTTTATTCTTTTTGTGGCAATTGTGAATGGGAGTTGTTTCCTGACATGGCTCTTGGCTAAGTCCTCTTAAAAGCACTCTTTTGATCATGTCGGGCCTATACATAAAATCCAGAAAAGTCTCTGTATCCCAATTTTCTTAACTGAATCACATATTTATAATCCTTTTGCAATATAGGGTAACATATTCACAAGTTCTGAGGATTTGGATGTGGACATCATTGGAGGGCCGTCATTCTGCTAGTAGAATTGATTTTTGAAGTTTATATTGACTGTCTACCTAATCCTTTCAACTCTATTACCTAATTAGGATAGTAAAAGCTGTGAAACCCAAGATAGACATCTTGCTGGGATTAAATTTGTCTACTTAACACATCATTTTACTCTGAATTATTTTTTGTTCTTCATCCTGGAAGTGCTGCTTTCTCGTTGATACATAAATTTTATTTTATTTTATTTTATTTATTTATGTTTTCTGAGACAGAGTCTCACTCTGTCGCCCAGGCTGGAGTGCAGTGGCGCCATCTCGGCTCACTGCAAGCTCCGCCGCCCAGGTTCACGCCATTCTCCTGCCTCAGCCTCCCGAGTAGCTGCGATTACAGGCACCTGCCACCATGCCTGGCTATTTTTTTTATTTTTTAGTAGAGACGGGGTTTCACCATGTTAGCCAGGATGGTCTTGATCTCTTGACCTCATGATCTGCCCACCTCGGCTTCCCAAAGTGCTGGGATTACAGGCGTGAGCCACTGCTCCTGGCCATAAATTTTATGCTGCATGCCTCTGACATATTATTTTTTTCTATAGTCACAGACTTGAAGTATTTTTAATAAGACCTTCAAACTAGGACCAAAAGAAAAGTGGTTATACTGAATATTGTTCCATTCACCTATGCCCTCTCCCTATTACCATAATTTAATTTAATTTTATAAGTAAAATGAGGTTTAGTATCTAAAGAGATAGTTGTAAACATTTCCTCAACTACTTGGAGACTAGATTCCTATTCCTATGAACATTTCTTCCCTTATTTCCAAACGGTTATTAGGTATATTTTTCACTGATCTCATCCTACTTCCTACTTCTTCACTTCAAAGAAAATCAGACAATTTATTTTTTGTGACCAAAAAAAAAAAAAAAAGCCCTGCTCATTATGCTCATGAATATCCATTCCCCTCCCTACCTCAGTAACATAACATAGTATAAGAAATTTATATCCAGCAACTCTACCTTCAGATATCACTTCAAATTGTATTACTTGTACTACCTCGTGGTTACTCTGGAAATGCAATAACTTCAGGAATGACATGTGAACTGTAATGTGGTTCAGAATACTTTCAAAGTGTTTCAGCAGTGTTACAAGTTCTAGACCCCAGCTTCTAGCAGGATATTGTAGAAGAAAACTTGCGTATTTTACCTATGTATGTTTATAGATATTTTCTCAGTTCTTTGCTCACTCTAATTTCTTAAGGTTCTTGTCATCTCTCATGTGGTATTATCATCTTTTTGCCTTTACTTAAACACATGGAAAGAAAGGATTTTGTACACCTTATTTTTAAGGCACTTGTACCACAGTGCATTGTGAAGAAAAACTATTTATGCCATACTCTAATACTGACTGGTTGTTAAATAAATTGTAAGCAAGTAAGTTTTTTTTCCAAGCAGTAAGGTCATCAAAATATTTTACATATTAGCACACATCTTTGAATTTTAACAAACATATATATTTAGATCTCTTGTCAGAACACTCTGAAAACTCCACTAACCCATTATACATGTAAAATTTAGGGCATGTGAAGAACTGAGTAGAATTCAACTAAAATAAATGGTTCACAAAGCAGTCACCAGCTTGCTTCAGCTGATTTAACAAATAGAGCAATCTGATTTATGGCTCAGTTATTTGTTGGCTGTTATTTTGAGAGAAGAGGAGAAAGAAAGAGAATCGCTTGCAGTAGTTTTGACAGCACTGTCTCCAGATATATAGAAATTATCCCCATGGGATAGCCTACTCTTCAGTAGAAACTATTGTGAGTACTCTAATTTTACAGGTAGAAATCTTTCTACTGACAAAAGTTAAATATTGTTCTGTAAACTCTTACAAAATCATCACATGGTCAATAACTAGATTTTTAAGTCTGTAACTTCCATTTTAAACATATATAATTATTTAGATTTCAGTGTTCTATAAATCCTAATGAGAGATGAAGCCAGCTGGACTTCTGGGTTGAGTGGGGACTTGGAGAACTTTTCTATGTCTAGCTAAAGGATTGTAAATGCACCAATCAGCACTCTGTAAAATGGACCAATCAGTAGGATGTGGGTGGGGACAAATAAAGGAATAAAAGCTGGCCACCCCAGGCAGCAGCAGCAACCCATTCAGGTCCCCTTACACGCTGTGGAAGCTTTATTATTTCACACTAAGAGGGGTCAAAATACAACAGATTCTTAATACTAAAACACAACATGTTGCTATCTTTTTTCCTTGGATATGTGATTGTGAATCACTAAGGGGCCTTAACAACTCTAGAAATATGAACATATAGAAAAGTAATGCATAGTTTGAAGGACAATCCAGTACCTTTGAAAACACCAACTACATAGCTTGAGGAAGATTTAAAACAAGCTTGTCCAACCCACGACCCGCAGACCACATGTGGGCTCATGAGGGCTTTGAATGCAGCCCAACACAAATTAGTAAACTTTCTTAAAACATTATGAAAATAGTTTGCATTTTTCTTTTGCTTATCAGCTATTATTAGTGTTAGTGTATTTTATGTGTAGCCCAAGACAATTCTTCTTCTTCCAATGTGGCCCAGGGAAGCCAAAAGATTGGACACCCCTGAAAAGAATGAAGGCTGTAAGAAGACTGCCATTGATGGAAGGCAGACTATCTTACTTAGTAAGAATTGAGGATGTTTGTAAGTGAGGACTGGTAAGGCTACAGGTGACATTTATTTCTTCGTGGTGACTGTACCACCAAGTCCTAATTGAAATGTGGCCATCAGACTGCCCTGCCAAGGAGAACCTGGTAAATCATTATCAGAAAATTATTTCTTTTACTTATGAATGTCTTTAGGCACAGTTGTCTTGGGAGAAAATTAACCTACTGTAAATGGTTTTCTAGAAAACCTTAGAATGTTTCTCATTTAATAAAAAACTGAAATTCAAACATGTGTCTTTGTTACATGCATCAACTACGTGCTATGTTTCTAGAAGAAGCAGTATGGTGACACCTCCTGCACTATTATTCTCTACAGTTTAGCATTTGAGCTAATATTGGACAGTTGAACCTACAGGTTAATCATTCATAAATTTAACAGATCCTTTGTAATTTAAAGTGAAAACTTTGAGTATCTCATAAAGCATACATTACTAACATAATAATTAAACACTATTTACCTCTCTTTTAAATATATAACAATAGCTATTAAATTGCCATATGCATCATAGTCACCTGGGAGAAGTATTAAAATATGGATTGCTGAGCTCCATTGCCAATGCTTCTGATTAATTCAGTAAAAGGGGGTCCCGATAATGTTTTATTTTTAGAAACTCCCAGGTTATGCTGGTGCTACTGGTTGGGGCACAACAAACACTTTGAGAAGGAACCGCTGCTTCATGGCAAACGATTGTATTGGGAGACATTAGAAATTCTGGTTTCTAGAGACATGTTGTTATAAAAATAATGGAGAATACATTGCATTGTATATAAGAAGTGTATTTTATTATCCAAAGCTCTTTAAAATGTCACTGTTGTCAGGATGTAATAACAACATTGAGCTAATGGCTCATAAATAATTACAAACAACAACTGACAAATTCATTAGCGAAGATCCTGAAATGAAATGGTGTCATCTGAAGAGCATTTATTTTGTAAAAATATTGTTTAGAAATGGATACCTGTTAACTATATGAGATTTGAATAAGACATAGGTGCTTGAGCTATGCAAAGTGTATTTTTATTTAAACAGAAACTCCTGTCTCAAAAATAAAAATTCAATATAATTTGAACCAGAATTTGGTTCAAAATGTGGCAACTATATCATTTAGTCATATTCTAAGTGAATAGACAGTAATTCAATCAAGTATAATTGCTTAGTTGAAATATAAGGATAACAAATGAGTTACAGCTTTTGCTATTTGATATTTTCTATTCACTCAGAGCCTGTGCTCCCTAGAGTAATTTGTCAACTAAAATGTGATTTAAAGAGGTTACAAAATTTTATGAAAAAAATCATCCTATGCCTTTAAAATAGGCAACAACATTTTAATTACTTTAATAAAACAGAAATGGATAATGTGTAGATTATGAGATAATGTAAAGTCTTTAATATCATGACTGACTTCTAAATGTTCAAATTGTGTGTCATAAAAGTGGATGCTTATGGGCTGGGCGCAGTGGCTCATGCCTGCAATCCCAGCACTTTGGGAGGCCAAGACGGGCAGGTCATGGGGTCAGGAGATTGAGACCATCCTGGCCAACATGGTGAAACACTGTCTCTACTAAAAATACAAAAATTAGCCGGGCGTGGTGGTGCACGCCTGTAGTCCCAGCTACTTGGGAGGCTGAGGCAAGAGAATCGCTGGAACCCAGGAGGCAAAGATTGCAGTGAGCCAAGATTGAGCCACTGCACTCCAGCCTGGCGACAGAGTGAGATTATGTCTAAAAAAAAAAAAAAAAAAAAAAAGTGGTTGCTATGAGGATTAAAATGGTACCAAATTAAAAAAACAGAAATTTGAAAACTGAAACTAAAACTGTTGTTGTGAAATGAAGTAGAAATCACCTAACCAATTTACGAAAAGAACATGAATATAAAAAGGGTGGTATGAGATATTCTGTTTTTCAAGTGAGCACTCATAAGTGTAGATTAAATAAGTTATCAAAAAATAATTAACAACGAAAAAAACATGAAACTGGCCTTATACTCAAGAGTTTTCTTTGGTAAACATTAGTTTGTGTACACACTTCATATGTAATTAGAAATAAGAATTGATAAGAAGAGACAACATGCTTGTGGAAGTTGCAAGAATAATTATTTTCCTTTAGCCTTGACATTTCATTTCCTTCCTACTCTGAAAATTGTCAAATGAAGTTCGGCACCTGCTTGCAGCCCCTTCCGTGTCTACTAGGGATGCTGAAGTAAACTTTATTATTTGAGATTCTTGTACTGCAAAATGCATAATAGATTTTCATCATGTCTAGTGTTCTCTACCTAAGAGGAGCTTAGGAAGAGTTTGCTAGTCATAGTACCAAAAGAAAGACAAATGGACTTATATGCATCTGAAAATCGACTTTTAGATTGAGATTCCCTAATTTATTCTATATCGGATTTGCACTTTGCCGTTACTATGTTAACTATCCACTCTAAGTTTTTAATCATTTATTCTATGGATGATATGATATTATATCATATCTCATATGAGATATGATATAATATGATATGAGATATGATATATGATATAATATGATATGATATATGATATGATATATGATATAATATGATATGAGATATAATATGAGATATGATATAATATGAGATATGATATGAGATATGATAGAATATGATATGAGATATGATATAATATGGATGATATGATATAATATGTGCTTTCTCATTCCACGTCCAAACTATATCATTGATTAGAGTATCCTGAAAATCTAATTGATGTTGATTTTCTAAAAATAAATTTCTGAAATACCTGTATTTAGTTAAGTATTTTATTATTGTAGCTAATCTGAAGGCCAATGTTGTTTTCCAGATATGCCAACCCAAAAAAATATTTGGAGGCATGATGTTATACATATGGGTTTAGATACACACATAGGTATAAACACATCAGTATATTTTACAAAAGTCATTTTCTTAATGTTTTAAAAAATTTAGTTTGATTTTTAACCATAAATTTTTCATGTTGATAAATATTCTTATCTAATAGTATTTTCATATTTATTTCCCATTGTATGACGTATCATGAAAAATTGACAAGTTCTTATTACTGAATATTGAGATTGTATCAAATGTTTTACTGTTGTAAATAATACTATACTAGACATCTTTACGGCCGATTTGTTCACTCTTTCTGAATATTTCTTTGGAAATATATATTCAGTACTCATTTATCTTTTCAAAATACAAACATATTGCCTAATTGTTCTCCAGTTTGTTTATCCTGGTTTACATATATATCATTTGTATTTGAGAAGCATAACTTTCTAAAAATTTACCAATATTTCATATTAAGAATGTTTAATTTTTCATAATAAGTAAATCTGTAGAAATAGATCACATTTCCAAAAACATTGCATAAAATGTATGGTGGTAACTATTGAAAATAACAATGTCATAGGTATTCTCAGGACTTCTTTAGAACCAATATAAACACCGATTAAAAGAAAAGAGCAGGGAAGAGAAATAGCTCACTAATATCCCCGTAAAATCTTTTGTTATACTTAACTAAAAAAATAAATTATATTACATTGTGTTTTCTGCTGTTTTGAAAATACTGAAATGTTGATCCTTCTCACCAAGTAGAACATTTATAGAAGAGCAATTATTTTTGTAGGGGTGGTGAGATAGAAAGTCTGTAAATTATAACCTAAGTATCAAAATAATCCAGCTGTACAGAGTGATGTTATTTCAATCTGGGGCAATACATATTGTCTAGACCACTCTCAAGATATTAAGAAACTCAATGACATTCCTATTCTTTTAATAATAACAAACATCAACAATAACCATTGTAAATACATTTAACTCGTACATCTTTACCAGACTCCTGGAAACATGAAATAAAGCCGAAGTCTTACAGAATATCGAGGGTTAAGAAGCAAAATTTCACTGCAAATAATGCGTTTTCTTTGATTCATCACTATTTAAATCTATAAACAGAAATTGTGATCTTCAGATGCTGAATGCCATTTCAATGAAGAATAAAGGAGATACTACCACCTAGTGGTAAAATATGCTGCTGAAAACAAAGTATTTTCATATTCAAATATTTTTAGAAAAGACCAGGCTGATGTGTGATTGTGTTATGGTTAAATGAAGTGTGCAATAATTATCAAAATTATGCATCTGTTAGGTTCTTAACTGCTGTGCACTTTATTCTGTTTACTTTTACAGTTTAAGCACTTTCACACGGAAATAGACATTATTGTGATGTGACTAGGGAAAAATTAATAAACTAGTGTCTTTACAGAATGATTGAATCTAATTTTCCTGGCTAAAGTAGTCGTTAATATTCTCCATTGCTTAAGACAGTTTAAAAGAGAACATTTTACTTAAAACATGCATTTATCTTACATTTATTTTAATAAATGTATATTTAGGTTTGCTCACATAATACTAAATATGGTGAAGTTCTGTAGATTTGGAAAACCGTTAGCTTAAATTAGCAACCATAGATTAGAGACATTAAATACCTTAAAGAAACTTATCTCTTGAAAATAAAATGTCCATAGATAATTAAAATGTAGAATTTTTAAATAAGAATCAATAAGAAAATATTCTTATTTGTAAAATACTATATATTCCTTGAATAGTATATTTTCAAAGAAGTAGCATGAATTCTTGTGATTCTGCACAGGTGTATTGTACAAGAAATAGCATTTTTTTTTGCTAGACATATCCATAATGTGATCCCCATAACAGGCAAGTACAAGTGAAACATTACATAAAAGTAAAATTAAATTTTAAAATACACCTGAATGCTTTTGTTGCTTGCTTGAAGTTTGGATAGATGTTCTATAGGCAGTGTTCACTCTTCTCATGTAGCATATACTTAAGACCAGCCTTCATTTTGCTCTGCGTGTTCTCTACAATTGCATAATACATTGTGCTAGGAAAAATTTAACAAAATGATGTTTCATTATGTCAAAAACTATGGAGAGTATTTTTTTTAATCACAAAATATTTTGCCACAACACCACACCTGGGAACACAGAATGCTTTCTATCTAATGCCTCATGCTATTTAATCAGAAAAAAAGGATGCTCTTATAAGAATATATTCAATGAAATATTAATTAATTTATTCACCGACTACTTATTGAGTTCCTCCCGTGGGCCATACATTATTCCAAAAGTGTCTGCAAGTAACTCCCTGAGACAGACAGGATCTTGTTTGCATTGAAGCTCCTTCTCTTTTTCCTTCTTCCTCTTCTCCTCTTTCATATCCTAAGTGGTAGATAAGCAGATAAATTTGATTGTTTGATTTCCTTGGTTTTCTCTTCTATTTTTTCCTTGTTTTGATTTTATTAAACTGCTGTTTTTATTATTCTATCTACTCAATCTACTTTGAGATTCATTTGATTTTATTTTTCTAGATTCTTAATTTGTAAACTGAGCTCAACAATGTAAGAACTTTCTTCTTTTTCTCCCAAGTGCTTAGTGCTACAATATTTCCTGAGTGCTGTGTCCTCTACTTCCCGCAAATTTTGATATGTTGAATTTTAATTTTCTTTCAATTCAAAATACATTTTAATTTCCCATTTGATTTTTTACTTGAACTCTTGAATTGTTCAGAAGCATTATTTACTATCTAAATATTTGATGATTTTCCAGATATTGTTCTGTTATTGATTTAAATGGAATTTCTTTGTAGTTGGAGAACATACTGTGTATGACTTGAATACTTTTAAATTTACTGAGATTTGTTTTAGGTAATAAAATCTGGTCTACATTTTAAACAGTGCTTTTCTACTGTACCTAAGTGAAGTGTTTCATAAATATCAATTAGGTCAAATTGATAGTATTGTTTAAATTTTCTACATATTTAGTAACCTTTTTCATAATTTTTCTATTGAGAAAGGATGTTTAAAATCTGATTATAATTTTAGATTTTGTATTTCTCTTTACATTTTTATCATTTTCCTTGATTAATTTTAAAACTCTGTTTTAGATTGATAAGTATTAATAAATGTTATGTCATTTTTAATTGACCCTGTTATTTTCAAATGACTCTCTTTTGTCTGGCAATCTTCCTTGTTCTAAAAATGGTTTTCTCTTATATCGATAGTTATCCCAGCTTGCTTTTCCTTAGTGTTATCAGGTGATATATTTTTTATTGTTTTGTTTTAACCAATTTGTTTCATACATTAAAGTGGGAGCAAGCATATGCTAAGTCTTGCTTTTTCATCCAATCTGAAAAGTTATGCCCTTTAATTGAGATGTTCAGACCATTTGCATTATTGTGATTATTGACATGGGTATTAATTTTCTATTACTATTATAACAAATCACCACAAATTTGGCGCCTTAAAGCAACCCAAATTTATTATCTTATATTCAGAAAGTCAGAAGTCATGGGAACAACATGCTGACAGGGCTGCATTCCTTCTGGATGTTCTAGGAAAATGTTTCTTTGGCTTTTCCAACTTCTAGGGACTGCATGTACTTCTTATCTCACGACTCTGTCTTCCATTTTCAAATCCATCACTTAAATATCTTAAGAAAAGCTGGTACCATTTCTACTGAAACTATTTCAAAAAATTGCAAAGGAGGAACTCCTTCCTAACTCATTTTATGAGGCCAGTATCATCATGATACCAAAACCTGGCAGAGATACAACATAAAAAGGAAACTTCAGGATAATATCCCTGATGAACATTGATGCAAAAATCTTCAATAAAATACTAAGAAACAGAATACAGTGGCTCATCAAAAAGCTTATCCACCATGATCAAGTTGGCTTCATCCCAGGGATGCAAGATTGGGTCAACACGCACAAATCAATAAATGTGATTCATCACATAAATGGAACTAAAGATAAAAACCATATAATTATCTCAATAGATGCAGAAAACGACTTCAATAAAATTCAACATCCATTCATGTTAAAGTCTCTCAATAAACTAGGTATTGAAGGAACATAGCTAAAAATAGTAAGAGCCATACATGACAAACCTGTAGCCAATAACATACTGAATGGGCAAAAGCCAGAAGCATTCCCCTTGAACACTGGCATAAGAAAAGAATGCCCTCTCTCACCACTCCTATTCAAGATAGTATTGGAAGTTCTGGCCATGGCAATCAGGCAAAAGAAAAAAATAAAGGAAAAAAGTAGGAAAAGAGGAAGTAAAGTTATCTTTGTTTGCAGATGACATATATAGAAACCCGCATCGCCTCAGCACAAAAGCTTCTTAAGCTAATAAGCAACTTCAGCAAAGTCTCAGGATATAAAATGAATGTGCAAAAATCACTAGCATTCCTATACACCAACAACAGGCAAGCAGAAAACCAAATCATGAATGAACTCCCATTCACAATTGCTAGTAAAAGAATAAGACACCTGGAAATACAGCTAGCAAGGGAAATGAAGGACCTCTTCAAGAATTATAAACCACTTCTCAAAGAAATCAGAGAGGACACAAACAAATAGAAAAATATTCCATGCTCATGGATGAAAAGAATCAGTATTGTTAAAATGGCCCTACTGCCCTAAGCAATTTATAGATTCCATGCAATTCCCATTAAACTAACATTGACATTCGTCACAGAATTAGAAAAAAATATTTTAAAATTCATATAGAACCAAAAAAGAGTCTGAATAGCCAAGACAATCCTAGGCAAAAAGAACAAAGCTGGAGGTTATCACGCTACCCAACCTCAAACTATACTTACTACAAGGCTACAGTAATTAAAAGAGCATGGTACTGGTACAAAAACAGACACATAGACCAAAGCAACAGAATAGAAAACTCAGATATAAGACCACATACCTTCAAACATCTGATTTTTGACAAACCTGACAAAAACAAGCAATGGGGAAAGGATTCCCTATTCAATAAATGGTGTTGGGAGAACTGGCTAGCCACACGCAAAAAAAAAAAAAAAAAAAAAAAAAAATGAAACTAGACTTCTTCCTTACACCTTATACTAAAATTAACTCGAGACTGATTAAATACTTAAATGCAAAACTCCAAACTATAAAAACCCTGGAAAACAACCTAAGCAATACCATTCAGGACAAAAACACCAAAAGCAATTGGAGCAAAAGCAAAAATTGACAAATGGGATCTAATTAAAAAGAGCTTCTGCCCAGCAAAATAAACTATCATCAGAGTGAACAGACAATCTACAAAACAGGAGACAATTTTTGCAACCTATCCATCTGACAAAGGCCTAATACCTAGAGTCTGTAAGAAACTTTAACAAGTTTACAAGAAAAGTGGGCAAAGGACACGAAAAGACACGTCTCAAAAGAAGACATATATGCAACCAACCAATATATGAAAAGAAGCTCAACATCACTGATCATTAGAGAAATGCAAATCAAAACCACAATGACACAGTATCTCACACCAATCAGAATGGTGATTATTAAAAAGTCAAAAAAACTGATGCTGGCTCAGTTGTGGAGGAAAAGGAACACTTTTATGCTATTGGTGGGAGTGTAAATTTGTTCGATCATCATGGAAGACTGTGGCGATTCCTCAAAAATCTAGAGGCAGAAATTCCATTTGACCCAGGAGTCCCATTACTGAGTATATATCCAAAGGAATGTAAATCATTCTATTATAAAGATACATGCATGTGTATGTTTATTGCAGCACTATTCACAATAGCAAAGACATGGAATCAACCCAAATGCCCATAAATAATAGACTGAATAAAGAAAATGTGGTACCTATACACATGGAATACCATGCGGCCATAAAAAGGAATGAGATCATGTCCTTTGCAGGAACATGGATGGAGCTGGAAGCCGTTATCCTCAGCAAACTAATGCAGGATCAGAAAACCAGCATCACATGTTCTCACTTATAAGTGGGAGCTGAACAATGAGAACACAGAGAGAGGAACAACACACACTGGGCCCTATCACGGGGATGGAGTAGGGGCGAGGGAGAGCATTAGGAAGAATAGCTAATGAATGCTGGGCTTAATACCTAGGTGATGGGTTGATCTGTGCAGCAAACCACCAAGGCACATGTTTACCCATGTAACAAACCTGCACATCGTGCATGTGTACCCCTGAACTGAAAAGTTGAAGATTAAAAAAATGAAATCAAATGAACAAAAGTAAAGAATCTTTAAATCTCTCTCTCCCTTTCTCTGTCTCTCTCTCTCTCTCTCACACACACACACACAAACACATACCTATGCTTCTGTTGTCATGTTGCTTCTCTGACATTGAAACTTCTCTCTCTCTCTTACAAACTTGTGATTACACTGAGCTCAACTTAATAATTCAGGATAATCTCCCTCTCTTAAAATCATTAACTTAGACATATATGCAATGTTCTTATTGCCATGTAAAATAACATATTTACTGGTTATGGGAATTAGGACATCACATCTTTGTAAAGCAAATATTCTGTCTACCATTTTGCTATTTTTTTCTTTTTGTGTCTTCATTCCTTTTTTTTTCTTTCCTCTTTTTGTAACGTTCTTTGGGTTTAAATATTATTCTATTCATTTTATCTAGTTCATCACCTTTTCCAGGTTATTAGCTATAGCACTTTGCATTATTTCTGTGGTTACTCTAAGGTTTATAGTATGCAGCTTTAAGTTGTCACAATATACCTTCAAGTTTTGCATGAAGTCTCTTACAAAAGTGTATTTCCATTTCTCCCTACCAAGTTTTGTGATGTTCCTGGTACATATGTTTTAGACTCTAAAAATACCATTAGTATTTTTACTTTAAACGATCAATTAAGGATAAGAGGTAAAAGTTCTTATAGCAATCCATGTAGCTACCATTGACAGTACTCTTTATATATCCAGGTTTCTATCTGCTACCATTTTCTTCTGTTTTAAGGACTCCTTAAAATATACTATAGTGCATATCCACTGGTGATGAAGTCTTTAAGTTTTTATATATTAAGCAAAGTTTTTCACTTTCTTTTTGAAATATATGTTCACTGGGTAAATAAATACAGGGAAACAGGTTTTATTTTGGCTTTTCAATGATACAGATATAATTGGATGAAATAATAATTTTGCTATGTTTCATTTTGTTTAGACTCTTTCAAAATTCTTATTTTTAAAGTATTTTAAGATTTTTCTACTAATTTATTATGACTGTCATTTTGTTTTGGTTATTTTTGGTTAATTTTATATTTTTCTTAACCATGAGTTGTATTTCTCTGCCTTTTTGAATGTCAGGTAATTTTGAGTGCATACTAGATAATGTGAATTTACCCTGTTGGGTGCTAAATATTTGCTTTGCTAAATAAATATTCTTGAGACTATTGGGGGATTCAGTTAAGTTACTTAAAACCAATTCGATTCTCTTGAGTATTTATGCTTTGCTTATGCAGTGTTCACTTTGTCTCTGGCTAATTTTTTGTGGGTACCAAAGTAAGGCCCTTCTTACTTGTCACGTGTGTTTTGGCACAGTTACTTCTAAGCATTTCAGGCAATTTTTCCCTCACCTCAGGTGAATTTCTCTTACATGTATCTGAATCTATACTCAGATCTGTAAGGTATGATGAGAAATTTGCACATCCGCAATGTCTTTTCTCTGCACAGCTTTTTGTTCGTTGGCATGTTGGTTTTGTGACCTACAAACTCGAGACACATTGGCTTCCCTGGATTACTATCTCAGTCTCCTCAATTCAGGGAGTACTTCCTGGGTTCCTCCTCTGTATGTCATAGCCTGGATTCTTTCTGGCTAGTAAGCTGGGAAATTTTTAGGTTTCGGTTGGTTTGCTCATTGACGCTTAGCGATTATTAGATTTACTTATTATTTATCCAATATCTTTGAACAATTTTTTTCATATATTTATGTTGGTTTTCAGTTGTTTCAGATGGGAATTTGGTCCCTGTTATTGCATAAGAACTTACTTTTATCTTTAAAATATTTTGAACAATATAAAATTATAGTAAATTTTCAAGACTATAATCAATACCTAATTACCCTTTGCTTAGATTCATTAATTTTTAAAATTCTGCCTTCTTTATTTCTATATATATTAAGAAAATAGGGCTGGGTGTGGTGGCTCACACCTGTAATTCCAGCAGTTTGGGAGGCCGAGGTGGGGCAGATCTCCTGAGGTCTGGAGTTCGAGACCAGCATGACCAACATGGTGAATCCCCATATCTACTAAAAATACAAAATTATCTGGGCGTGGTGGCACCTGCCTCTAATCCCAACTACTTGGGACGCTGAGGTAGGAGAATTGCTTGAACCCGGGAGGCAGAGGTTGCAGTGAGCTGAGATTGCACCATTATACTCCAGCCTGGGCAACAAGAGTGAAACTTCATCTCAAAAAAAAAAAAAAAGAAAAAGAAAAAGAAAAGAGTTATTTCCTGAACCATTTGAAAGACATTGTAGACAACATGGTCTATATCCTGAATACTTCCACATACAGCACATCTCTTGAGAAGGAAAAATTACTACTTAGACTGACTAGCAAAAGTATTCTCTTGTCTCAGTGATGTAAAATAAAATATATTCTGGTGTTTTTGTTTATAAAAATTGAAGAAATGAATTCATTAAGTCAAGAGGTGAGAATCCGGAACCAAGCACTAAATTAATTGTTCCACACTAGGAGCTAATACCTAGAAGATACATTCCATATAGAGCACCATCTGATTAAGCTCATGAAGCAAAAGGTAGAGAAGATAATGATGAAAGAGGAAGCAGAACCATAAACATGGACAACTATAAAAATTATGTGATGAAATCTACATGTTCAAGACCCTAAGGTGTTAAATATAACAGTGTTTATAAGTGAAGCATTTTTAAATTCATAAATATTCCTATTTGCTGTGTTGCAGAGAATGTATTTAAGGTTTTTGAAGAAACCAAGTGAGACTCAGCACATAAATTATAATCTAGGGTGACTTAACATAGGTTGCTTTTTAAGAGGTTCAGCATATTAAAAATTTGATTAAAAATTACAAGAAACAACATGAATGAATTGATGACTGATTATATACATACAGTAGAAGAACAAAAGGAAGTCTCAGGTACATTTGAGGAACATCACTGCTGGTAATTCTACTTATGGAGATGAGAAAGGTAGATTGGTTTTCCTTTATGAAAGTTAGGGGTATTGAATTTGGGCTTTGATGAAGGACAATTAGTGACACCCCTGTGTAGATAGATACCCATTGCTATATAACAAATTATCATGAATATTTGTATCTCAAAAATAAATATTCATTTTAATTAATAACACACCTGTATTAGGTACCTATTGTATGTAAAATATTAACCACAAAAATAGTGTCTTTAAATAACAATAAACATATTTGTCTCACACAATTTATCAGAGCCAAGAATTTCAGTGTCTTAACTAGGTAGTCCTGCCTCTTAAGTTTTTTATGATGTTGCAGTTAAGATGTTGTCTGGGACTTCACTCAATCCTTGAACAGGTGTGGATGGTACACTTTTAAGGTAACTCATTCAAATGATTGCAAGTTAATGCTGGTTGATGGGAGAAGCCTCAGTTCCTCACCATGATTACATCACTACTGAACTTATGTGTAACTAACCAAAAAATATGGTATGGTATGGTAGGGATATATTGGCTGTTGATACTGACCACAAAATATGTCTGTAAATCTGTGTTTACTAGGACAGTCAATATTTTTTCCCTGAGTTTGAAAAAATCATTTTCAAATGTTCACTGGCAAATCTGGATAACAGCAGGCTCCTCCCACGCATGCAGACCCTGACCACAAAGCAGGTAATTGACCTTGGCCGGGACACCAGAATCGGGTGAAGTAGCTGACTCTCCAGAACAGAATTTAATATTGTCTTCAAGAAACCAAAGGGAAGCATGCAAATCCTGTCTTTTCTCCCCAGGAAAGAGTGAAAGGAGGGCAAAGGGAAAGAATATTTCCTAGTATTTCTTTTTTTTAATTCAATTTAATTTAATTTTAAGTTCCAGGATACATGTGCAGGACGTGCAGATTTGTTTTATAGGTAAATGTGTGCTATGGTGGTTTGCTGCACCTGTCAACCCATCACCTGGGTATTAAACCCCACGTGCATTAGTTATTTATCCTGATGCTTTCCCTCCCACCACACTCCCTAAAGGCCCCAGGTCCCTAGTATTTCTAAAATAATTACATTCAAATAAAAGAATAAGAATAGAAAATGCGGTTTTTCCACTAACAACAATTTCAGGTATAGCAATCTCTACATATCTTGTGATTATGTCTTGAATCAACACGTCCTATCTCAAGCAAGGAACTAGATTGGAGATTAAAACACAATTATGTTTAAAAAACATAAGCCCTATGCACTATTGAAATTTACCTAGGAGAAGAGATAGGAAAAGCAAAGTAAAAAGAGAAGAGGATTTGTTAAGCAGTTTGTGATATATATTAATTAATATTTATTTTTTGTGTTCTTTAATAGGGTAAAATCACACGAAACATTTGACACAACATTAATATGAGTTTTCAACCATCTTTGCTACTTTATAAAAGTAAAATGAAATATACTTTACATAAATTATTAAAGATAAGTGTATATATTTTGTACACAGATACTGTGTCATTATAATACTTAAAATAAAATAAATAATATTATCTGACCAAAAAGATTTGTGAAATTCTGGACAAAGTTATATATTGCATGGGCGGGTAATCTGTAAAATGAGTCTAAAATGGGTCCAACTATGGGTAGTCTTGATGCCAGGTAAAAAGAACCAATAAAACTTTTAAACAGGAGAGGTGCACAAACAGATTTCGTTTGAATACTAAATCCACTGGCATCATACAGAATTGATTATAGGAGAAGTTTTGTGTCAACAATACCCAGAACTACTATGCACTTAACCTAATCCAGAACAAAATTCTCAAATTTGTGTTTTTTTCAGTGCATTTTATTATTTATTTATTTTTTACTTCTGCACATGTATCCCAAATTTCTATTTTCTAGAGTTTAACGTAATATTAATATTTTAACATAAAATAGAGAAAACTAATTTAAATGACTTGTATATTTATATAGTCTTTGATCCAGTTTTCTCTTTTGTTGTTTCTTGGTTCTATAGGAAAGATTAAGACTCATTGATTGAGTTAGTCATGGCAGTCACCCCAAAATGATTACAAGACTGTTAATACTGCATGATAATTAATTTCAGAAAGTAAAATCTTCTAGAAAGTTTTCTTCATTACTTACTGTCTTTTTCTTTATTTTTAAAAATGTTTGCCAGCTTTGAGATATAATCCCTAGACCATAAAGTTCCCGCATTTAAAGTGTACAATTCAATGGCTTTTAGTATATTCTGAGTTGTGCATGCATCACCGCAATCGATTTTGGAGCATTTAATTATTTCCTTCCAAAAAACCCTCTAAAACCTTTCCATACAACCCAGCTTAAAGCAAACACTAATCTGCTTTCTGTCTTTATAGATTTGCCTATCCTGAACATTTCTTATGAATCATACAATGTATGGTCCTTTGTAATTGGCATTTTGAATTAGTATGCTTTCATCCTTTTTGTACCATATATCAGTACATTTATTTTTTAATTTTTAAATGTAAATTGAAATATACAGAAGGCTGAAAAATGGACCCTTATCTCACATCATACAGAAAAATCAACTCAAAATGAAATACAGACTTAAACGTTAGACCTCAAACTGTAAAACTACTATAAGAAAACACAAGGGAAAAAATTACATGACATTAATCTGTGCAATGGTATTTTAGATTTGACCCCAAACGTGCAAACAACAAAAGCAAAAACAGACAAGTGGAATTACATAGAAATAAAAAGCTGTACAACAAAGGAAACAACAGAATAAAGAGAAAACTTACAGATCGGGAGAAAATATTTGCAAGACATACATCTGATAAGGGATTAATATCCGAAATATATAAGGAACTCAAACAATTCTACAGAAAGAAAACAAATTCTATAAAACTCAAACAATTCTACAGAAGGAAAACAATTTTTTTTTCTAAACAAAGAAAACAAATTTGTTTCTTTCCATAGAAAGAAACAAATCATAGAAAGAAAACATACAAATAATGGTCTGTTTTAATCCAAACAAATTTTGGATTAAAAAGTGGGCAAGGTATCCAAATAGATATTTCTTAAAAGAAGACATACAAATGACAAACCAGAAATATGAAAAATGTTCAACACACTAATTCTTTCTTTAAATCTAGAACAGTTTAAAACCAGTCACATCATTTTCAGTGGCATAATCAACATAAGTAATGTAAGTATTCAAAGAACATATCTGTTCTTTTAAATCAATTATGACCTTTCACATTTCAATGAAAATGTATGATTTTAACAAGTATCTGCAGGTTGGTTGATCCATAGGCTTCATAACAACCTCAGGCATCAGGGTCTTTTCTCATCCACAATATCAGCTGCATCATAAATCTCATATCTTCTTAATTATAGGATTGGTGCCAACAGCACCAATTATATGTACTTCCTTATTAGAGTCATTTGGGAGCCATATGCCAATTACTATTCCCTCCTGTCATAGTATTTTGAGTTATGGTGGTAGATACAAGCATGAAGTAGGTAAAAGACAAATTTCTCTCCTATATTGTTAATAATCTCTATGACTCGTTGTCTTTTTTTCTATTTTACCTTATACAGAAGAGGCCTGATCACTTTCCATTAAACATTTGAAAGATTTAGAAATAGATACATTGCTTCTCTAATTGGTATTTTTTAATTTTGTATTTTGTTATTGAAAAATACATAGTTTTCACTATCATCAGTATCAAAAGTTTATATTTTGCTAGAGCAATCCTTTGGAAATGCATATCAATTATTCGAAAATGTTTTGAATAAAGCAACTTCTTGCGATAGTCTGTTGAAACACAGCCTCATACAGAACACTGTGGGAAAAATTAGTTCACCATTTTCATGTTTAGACAATTAAAAATAATTTGAGGTATTAAAAGGATACTCAGGAAATTAGAAATTGTTATTCTATTTGGGAGCAGCTATAGAGGTCCTTATGTTGTAGACCTATATAAATTTGTTTCTTATAAATTATGTTTATAATTTATATATTTTTACTTTATCTTTTTTTTTTTTTTTTTTAGACAAATTCTCCTGTTTCCCAGGCTGGAGTGCAGTGGTGCGATCTGGGCTCACTTCATCCTATGCCTCCCAGGCTCAAGCGATCCTCCTGCCTCCACCACTGGAATAACTGGGACTACAAACTCACACCACCATGCCTAGTTAATTTCTGTATCTTTTTGAGTAGAGATAGTGTTTTGCCATGTTATCCAGGGTGGCCTCCAACCCGGGAGCTCAAGCCATCCACCCTCTTCGGCCTCCCAAAGTGCTGGGATTGCAAGCATGAGCCACTGCACTGGCTAATTCTTTATTTTAATGTTCATGTTTTCATTAGGCAATTTCAGTACACCCAAGTGTATTTTGAGAAGTGATTCACTTTTAATCTCTCCTAGTTTCTTTCAATTATGGCCGCAAAATTCATTAACGTTGTATGACTGATTTAAGGAAATGCTGTTGCATTAGTGAGTATCTACTTTTATAAACCTAAAATAGTTTCTTACCTCATGTCTCCTTACAATCATCTGATTATAGACAGTATCAATTCTATGAACTTGCATACTTCCAAAAAGAAAATACATATCCTGGGACTTTTGTATATTTTACATTTTTCTTGATTTTTAAAATTCAGTATTTAAGTTATTTTGGCAGTAGGAGCACGGAAACAAAATGACTTCTAAGAAAGTTTAAATCTATGGAAACACCAATTTTCTTTTTTTTTTTTTTTGAGAAGGAATCTCGCACTGTCGCCCAGGCTGGAGTGCAGTGGCGCGAGCTCGGCTCACTGCAAGCTCCGCCTCCGGGTTTCACGCCATTCTCCTGCCTCAGCCTCCCGAGGAGCTGGAACTACAGGCACCCGCCACCACGCCTGGCTAATTTTTTGTATTTTTAGTAGAGACGGGGTTTCACCGTGTTAGCCAGGATGATCTCGATCTCCTGACCTCGTGATCTGCCCACCTAGGCCTCCCAGAGTGCTGGGATTACAGGAGTGAGCCCACCGCGTCCAGCCCTATTTTCTTTTTTTCTTCTTCTTCTTTTTTTTTTTTTTTTTTTTTTTTGAGATGGAGTCTCGCTCTGTCGCCCAGGCTGGAGTGCAGTGGCGCAATTTCGGCTCACTGCAACCTCCACCTCCCGGCTTCAAGCGATTCTCCTGCCTTAGCCATCCGAGTAGCGGGATTACAGGTGCCTGCCACCACACCTGGCTAAGAAAGACCTATTTTCATTCTTAAAGAAGAACAGTGAGAAGTATTTAAGATACTTACTCATGTTGTTTCACATTCTAATGCCTCCCTAATCATCCACCAACACATTACAAAAAAAACAGCAATGTACAGCAATGAATTGAGACAAAGTTTCCATTATATGTCTCAGACATGTCATTTCCAACAGAGCCTATTGGAGTCTTTATTAAATTAAATGCTTTTTACTTACAACAAGATTCACATGGCTTCTTCAGAAATCCTAGGGCTACTAAAGTAAATAAAATTTTACTAAAGTTTTCAAAATAAATTTTGTAATTAAAATTTTAATCACACTGATTTACTGAAGGGATAGAATACATTCAAGTGTAACAAATATCCAAAACATTTTTAAAACCCAAGAAGTTATAATAATAGCTCTATCTCAATGTGATTATACTTGCAATATTTTCCATAAAATTACTTTAAAAGATTTTTTCAGTATTTAATTACTCATAGACATTGTGCAATATTATCAAATTATATTTAAATAGTTGTTTAAATAGTCAAATGTATGCATATATAAAATATTAGAAAATCATAAATATATGCTCTTAGAGGAATGCTCACATTTTAGATTAGTTAAAAAAACACAGCTTCAATTACTGATAAACATGCAGTTGAATATAGTTTTCTAAACTATATTCAAAAGTATAGTCAAGCTTTAGTATCTTATGAGTAAACACCTCGAATTTTGTCAAACCACATCTTTATGTATAGTGTAGTGTTATAGGCTTCACTATCATTATGAAGGTTTACATGTTAAGCTGTCAAAGTTGTAGTGTGGTAATGAACAGATAATTTCAGATCAATTGCAATCAGTCAACTTACCCCATAACTTCTCCGACTTATCCTCAGCAGATTATTATGTTAGACATTATGGTGTTGTTAATTAATGTATTCAGATTTGATGGGTTATTTTTCTAACATGATTTTAGATCATGATAGGAATTTAAAGTGAAGTTAATTACTTCTTATTTCCAAGAAAGTAATGCATTGGTGCTCCACATGAAAATAAAATGAACTTACATTAAAATTATTTAACATTACATTTTTTAAAATTATTTAATGATAATATTTAAAGAGAAAACTTGTTTACCAATATATGTTGCATCACTATATGAATAAGAACATACCTATTCTATTAGTCTTTTTTCATGCTGTTGATAAAGACATACCCAAGACTGGAGAATTTAGAAAGAAAAGAAGTTTAATTGGCCCACCGTTCCACATGGCTAGGGAGGCCTCAAAATCATGGCAGAAGGCAAAGAGGAGCAAAGTCACATCTTACATGGATGGCCGCAGGCAAAAACAGGGAACTTGTTCAGGGGATCTCCTCTTTATAAAACCATCAGACCTGTGAGACTTATTCACTATCATGAGGACAGCAGGAGAAAGACCCACCCCCATGATTCAATTACCTCCCACTGGGTCCCTCTCATGACACAGGGGAATTGTGGGAGTTACAATTCATGGTGAGATTTGGGTGGGAACACAGCCAAATCATATCACCTACGAAAATAGACAATAGTTGTTATGTGAAAATTGTATGTGTAAATATTTCCAAGACTTTTGTGTAACTAATATTTACCATATTGGGCTATTTTGAGGTAAAAATGAAATAATGCATGTAAAATACTTCAGCCATTAAATGAATTCGCTAAATCGTACATGCTGATAGACACATTTCAAGAACTCTCATGACTGGAAAAGAGCTTTAGTTTTGATCACCAGGCAAAGAACAGCAGCTAGCTCTTGAGTACAAACTAGGGCAACATGGAAAGTCAGTATTAAAAGGTAGGGATGAAGAGCAGCCATGCCCCATAAACATTTTCAGAAATAAAAACTTGTTTCCACTTGTATTTAAATTTTTTTTGCTTCTCTAAATTTGGATATTCAATTTGATGAATTATTTACCCTATCACTCTTGGCTTTTCTAATTCTTTAAAAATATACTATTTTTGCCAGCTTGTTTACATATTTTTAAGAGGTTGTCTTTGGATTGAACTAAACATTTATTAAGTAATTTGCAAAATTTAAGAAAAGAGATTTTGATGGGATTGACCTATAATTTAAAGGATAAATGGATATCACTAGAAATTTTAAGATACAATTTTGAAGAATTTCAAAGTAATCCTGGAAACTTCTAAATATGATTGTAGGAGACTCTGCTTGAATAGAGGTGATGACTATTAAATAGGCATATCAAATGATTTGCCTTGAGACAGGAACCAAAGTATAGTGACAGGATTGATTAGATGGCGAAACAATAAAAGCACCAGGAGCTAAGCTACATTGATGGGGTATGTCCTGTTTGATAACAGGGTTTTGTTCCTAACTAGCATTCTGGTTCAAAATCCATAAGGTTTAGCTATTTTCCTATCTCTTTCACTCCATCCCCATCCACTCACTGATTTCTTTTGTTTCTATGGACGTTATTATGTGACCCAGTTTATTACATTTGACTGATATGGTTTTGAATAAATGTATAAATATACACAGACATGTGTTTGTGTGTGTGTGTGTAATCAAACAAGTATATTACTCAAAAGTAGAAAACAATGAACAGTGGAAGTCAAACTCTTGTTTTTCTGGTTTTTTTTTTTTTTTTGAGAGGAAGCAATTGAAGAAATGAGACATCAAATTAATCTTTTAATTGGGATACTCCCCATTGGCACTTGTTTTATGTTCATAAAATTCTTTAAATTTTGTATTGGAAATAAAATTTTATATTTGTATCTCACTCTTCATACATAGTATAATGTTCTTCGCAATTAGGAAATAATAAAATAGTGATAAAAATTTAAACTATTTAGAAAATAAACGGCGATTGTATTCCAAATATAACTCCCATGAGCAAGTAGGTAAATAGAAGAGAGGAGAGAAATTTTCCAAGTGAATATTAAGGAAGATGCATGTTTGGGAATGAGAGAGAGAGAATGGAGTCTGAGTGAATTACAGACAGATTATGCGAGCATAATTATTTTGCACATTACTATTGCTGCTTGCAATTTCAGCAGCCTCCCTTTCTATCACAGTTGAAGATGAAGGGGAAAGGTGCTTTATTATTTCCATTTTTGAAAGCCCTTATTTTTCTTCATGTTGCCAGGTCTACCTTAAATCAGTAAGGTCTGTGGCTGTCCAGATGCACATCATAATCGGCACAGAACTCTACCATTTGGTCAAAACCAAAAACTAACTGGGACGCCTAAGGTATTTGTTTCTTTCTGGCCTTTAACTGCTATACTCATTCACTTTCTGATTGTGCTTTTAGCACTTAACACCAATGCCAGAGAGTGGTCATTTCCTCTTTAGTAAATAGGATAATGGTATACAAATGCTGAAAAAATAAACATCAAAATGAGACACTCTATATCAAAAGACCTCTAATGCCCAGATTACTCTCATTGTCTCATAGATAAACAGCTGCTAGATTAACAGTATAATTTTTAATCCATTTTCGGAGTATAAAACTTGTCAGTGAACATTCGCCAGGTTAACTTTCTCAAGATTCCCTATGGACACCATTGCAGAAAACACAGACAAAGGCACCCCCATGCTCTGTTGTGTCAAGATAGGTGGGTACTACAGGACTATCGGAGTTTTCTGAACACACTTGTTTTTCTGACTTTTGATTTCTAAACCCTGAGGTCCTAGAGGAGATTATAATATGGGGTAAAGGGAATGGCAAGAAGTTGAGAGATCGGGTTGCCATTTTCTATACATTGAGCCAAGCCTGCTCCATGGTAGTTGGAGAGGTGGCAGAACCAAAACGGGAGGATGCACAGCTGGGCCCAAGTATGCCTTGGAACTAATCAATATTGGTGATTAACAAGGGTGAATATTAGGGAATTACACAAGTCAGTTTTCAAACAAACTGTCTCAGTCCATTTAGGCAGCTACAACAGAACAGCATACACTAGGTGGTTTTTAGCCCATTCTTGAGTTTTTGTTTTTGTTTTTTGTTTGTTTTGTTTGTTGTTTCTTATTGAGATAGGGTCTTGCTCTGTCACCCTTGCTGGAGTGCAGTGGCACAATCATGGCTTATTGTAGCCTTGATCTCCTAGGCTTGGGTGATCCTCTCTCTTCAGCCTCCCAAGTAGCTGGAATTACAGGCCTGCACCACCATGCCCAGCTACTTTTAAAATTTTTGGTGGCAATGTGGTCTCTATGATCCCAGGAGTGATCACCTGATTTTAACTGGTTTTCCCTTTCTATCACTGGAAGAAGCACTGAAAAGGGTAGGAATAACAGTCTTGAATAGCTGATGCCACCCCTCTCTGATCTCCCAGCAGTGGCCCCATTACATGGAGACAAATTCTGTGTGCTTGGGGAAGAGACAACACAGTAATTGTGGGAATTTCCATTAAACCTCAGTGCTGCCCTGTCAAAGCAGAAAGCAACATCAGGCAGAAGTCAGTCAGTGCCCACAGAAGGGGCATTTATACCAGCCCTAGCCAGAGGGGAATTGCCCATCCCAGTGGTCGGAACCTGAGTTCTAGCAAGTCTTGCCACTATGAGCTAAAGGACTCTGGGGTCCTAAATAAACTTGAAAGACAATCTAGGCCACAAGGACTACAATTCCTGGTCAAGTCCTGGTGCTGTGCTGGGCTTGGAGCCAGTGGATTTGTGGGGCCTGTGACCTGGGGCAGCCAAGGGAATGCTTATGTCATCCCTCCCCAACCCCAGGCAATGCAGCTCACAGCTCTGGGAGACACCACTTCTTTTGGCTTGAGACAGGAGAGGGAAAAGTAAAGAGGACTTTGTCTTGCAACTTGGATACTAGCTCAGCCACAGTAAAACAGGCCATCAAGCAGGCCTCCATTCTAGACCCTAGCTCATGGACATTTCTAGAAACGGCCTGGGCCACATGCAAAACCACTGCCTTAAAGAGGACCCAGTCCTCACAGGATTCAGCCGCTGCTGCCTAAAGAGGCCCTTGGGCCCTAAAATATTCATCAGTGATAGCCAGGCAGTACTTGCCATGGACCTTGGGTGAGACTCAGAGATGTGCTGGTTTCAGGTGAGACCTAATACATTCTTACCTGTGGTGGCTAAAGGGAGAGACTCTGTTGGCTTGAGAAAAGCAGAGAGAAGACTAAAGTAGACTTTGTCAGGTACCTTATATAGCAGCTCAGCCATAGTGCAGTAGAGCACTAAAGCAGATTCTTGGGGCCCTGATTCCAGGCCTTGGCTCTCTAGCAGCATTTCTGGACCTGCCCTGGGCCAGAAGGGAGCCCACTGACCCGTAGTGAGAGTCTCATGCCTGGTGGCATTCACCACATGCTAAATGAGGAGTCTTTGGTCCTTGATTGAACATTGGAGATACCCTGGCAATACACACAACAGACCTAGCATGCACCATCTTTGACCTCAGGAATAGCAGACCAAACTGTCTAAGTTATATATATATTGACATTTTGCATATGTATTAGTTATTGAGATATTAATCCTTTTTCATTATCTTAAAATCATATATCTATTTAAAGGAACATAAGATATGGAATGTAGTATTCAACCCATATATTATCTGATATTATCTGTTAATTATCTTAAATATCCTCTTTTCTATTTCAAATCTTTCTCAATACTTTCATAATATTGATATTTCACAGAGTAAGTCCAACATTGTTAAAGTGTGTTAATTTACTCTCGAAATTTTTAGATTTAGGTGTAAATGTCTTTAACATTTTATATAATACTTTTAAAACTTTGTTATTTTCACATAGTTTAAATGTATGTGTAATGTTTTCAATGATATACAACATTTTAATACAAGCAATCACACATGAAAATAAATATGAAAATCAGTCACATAATGGGAAAAAGAGAACTATGTGTGTGTGTGTGTGTGTGTGTGTGTGTGTGTGTATTTGACTTTTGAGCAATGCAAGGGGATTGTGGCACAGCCCCCCTGCACAGTCAAAAATCCATGTATAACTTTTGGTTCTCCAAAAATTTAACTACTAAAGACCTACTGTTGACTGAAATCCTTACTGATAACATAAACAATCAATTAACACATATTTTGTATGTTATATTATCATATGCTATATTTTTACAATAAAGTAAGCTAGAGGAAAAAATGTGATTAAGAAAACATAACAAAGAGAAAATATATTTACTGATCATTAAGTCAACGTGGATCAAAATAAAGGTCTTCATCCTCCTCGTCTTCCTGTTGAGTAGGCTGAGGAAGAAGAGGAAGAGGAGGAGTAGGTCTGGATTTCTCAGGGCAGAGAGAAGAGGTGGAGGAGATTGAAGGAGAGGCAGAGTAGGCAGGCACACTTGGTGTAACTTTATGGAAATACATTGTGATTTTTGCTTGACTTTTTGCTTTTTTATTTTTCTGAAAATATTTTTATATGACACTAATCCTTCTATCATTTTCTCTAGTTTCAGTGCCCACCATTTCATAGGAATCAAAAGCAGTCTTGAGTAATTGGAACCCTACTGCCAAATTGCCTAAGATCCATTTATTTTCTGGCTGTTTCTATGTCTTCTTTTTCATTGTCTGGCAGTGGTTCAGAAGCACTCATCTCCATCAAGTCATCTTCGTTTAATTCCTCTGGTGTAGTAACTATTAGATCTTCTATTTCTCCATGACCTATATCATGGCATTCTTCACCAAACCCCATTGTTTTTGCTATATTCACATCTTTCATGATTTCCTCGATTGGCTTTTTATAAATTCTGTGAAGTCATGCACAACATGTGAACGTAGTTTTCTCTAGCAGGAATTTACTGTTTAAGGCTTGATTACTTTCAAGGCTGTTTCTATACCAGTAATGGCATCTTCAAAAGTGTAATCCTTCCAGACTTTTTTTTTTATTATTATACTTTAAGTTTTAGGGTATATGTGCACAATGTGCAGGTTAGTTACATATGTATACATGTGCCATGTTGGTGTGCTGCACCCATTAACTCTTCATTTAACATTAGGTATATCTCCTAATGCTATCCCTCCCCGCTCCCTCAACCCCACAACAGGCCCCAGTGTGTGATGTTCCCCTTCCTGTGTCCACGTGTTCTCATTGTTCAATTTCCACCTATGAGTGAGAACATGCGGTGTTTGGTTTTTTGTCCTTGTGATAGTTTGCTGAGAATGATGGTTTCCAGCTTCATCTATGTCGCTACAAAGGACATGAACTCATCCTTTTTTATGGCTGCATAGTGTTCCATGGTGTATGTGTGCCACATTTTCTTAATCCAGTCTATCATTGTTGAACATTTGGGCTGGTTCCAAGTCTTTGCTATTGTGAATAGTGCCACAATAAACATACGTGTGCATGCGTCTTTATAGCAGCATGTTTTATAATCCTTTAGGTATATACCCAGTGATGGGATGGCTGGGTCAAATGGTGTTTCTAGTTCTAGATCCCTGAGGAATCACCACACTGACTTCCACAATGGTTGAACTAGTTTACAGTCCCACCAACAGTGTAAAAGTGTTCCTATTTCTCCACATCCTCTCCAGCACCAGTTGTTTCCTGACTTTTTAATGATTGCCATTCTAACTGGTGTGAGATGGTATCTCATTGTGGTTTTGATTTGCATTTCTCTGATGGCCAGTGATGATGAACATTTTTTCATGTGTCTTTTGGCACATACATGTCTTCTTTTGAGAAGTGTCTGTTCGTATCCTTTGCCCACTTTTTGATGGGGTTGTTTTTTTCTTGTAAATTTGTTTGAGTTCATTGTAGATTCTGGATATTAGCCCTTTGTCAGATGAGTAGGTTGCAAAAATTTTCACGCATTCTGTAGGTTGCCTGTTCACTCTGATGGTAGTTTCTTTTGCTGTGCAGAAGGTCTTTAGTTTAATTAGATCCCATTTGTCAATTTTGGCTTTTGTTGCCATTGCTTTTGGTGTTTTAGACATGAAGTCCTTGCCCATGCCTATGTCCTGAATGGTATTGCCTAGCTTTTCTTCTAGGGTTTTTATGGTTTTAGATCTAACATGTAAGTCTTTAATCCATCTTGAATAAATTTTTGTATAAGGTGTAAGGAAGGGATCCAGTTTCAGCTTTCTACATATGGCCAGCCAGTTTTCCCAGCACCACTTATTAAATAGGGAATCCTTTCTCCATTTCTTGTTTTTGTCAGGTTTGTCAAAGATCAGATGGTTGTAGATATGCAGCATTATTTCTGAGGGCTCTGTTCTGTTCCATTGGTCTATATCTCTGTTTTGGTACCAGTACCATGCTGTTTTGGTTACTGCAGCCTTGTAGTATACTTTGAAGTCAGGTAGCGTGATGCCTCCAGCTTTGTTCTTTTGGCTTAGGATTGACTTGGCAATGCGGGCTTTTTTTTGGTTCCATATGAACTTTAGTTTTTTCCAGACTTTTATGATGTTCTTCCTATTGGGGTTTTCAACAATAGAAATTTTTTTTATTTTATAGATGTAGGGGTGTACATTTGCAGTTTGGTTACATGGATGTATTGCCTACTGGTATATAAGTTTGTTTTCACGCTGCTAATAAAGACATACCCAAGACTGGCTAATTTATAAAGGAAAGAGGTATAATTGACTCACAGTTTCACATGGCTCAGGAGGCCTCATAATCATGGCGAAAGGCGAATGAGGAGCTAAGTCATGTCTTACATAGCAGCAGGCAAAGAGAGCACACTCCCCTTTATAATGCCATCACATCTTGTGATACTTATTCACTATCATGAGGAGAGCGTGGGGAAAAACCCACCCCCCATGATTCAATTACCTCCCATCAGGTCCCTTCCCCAAAACAAGTGAGAATTATGGGAGCTACAATTTAAGATATGATTTGTGTGGGGACACAGCCAAACCATATCAATACTCAAATTTATAGTTGACAAAACTGAGATATAAATTGGCTAAATAACAAGTCTTAAGACTTGTAAATGGCAGAGGTTAGATTCAAATCCTCACTGTCTTACTCTACATTAACCACTACCCTATATTCCTTTTCATTTAGTGATTCATCTGCCAAACATTCATTTACTGTGATGCACCATTTTATAAATACCATAGAGCATATTTTAATAAGGCAATGGAAAGCTTCTAAGCTCTAGAAAAAAATAGAATTGTGACATTTTGTAATAGGTTCAAGGAAATCCTCAAGATAGTTAAAGTATGGAGAAAAATGGACTGAGAGTGTTTTTTAGGACTATTACAATTATTTATTTTAAAACAATCAAATTCTGAAATTTGATTTAAATATAAAATATGATTATGCTCAAAACGGTAATCAGTTCTCTCAAAAAGAAAACAAAGAAAATAAAAGACTCGGAGGAGAATATCATCATTTGAAAATGCAAAACCAGTTTACCATATTTTAGGTAATTTTTGTGTTTAAGATCCTCTCTAAAGATATTTTTGACACTATAGAAAGTTGTAAGACATTTTTTTAAGTGTATCAGGCCCTCAGGAAACAATTTAACTAAACCATGCTTCAGAAAAAACTAAAACTAAGTGGTTCAACTGAGCCTGATAATTGAAACCTAGGTTCCAAAAATTCCTGAATAGCTCTCTGGGACTATCTTAAGTGGTGAAAGAACCTGCCTCATTAGGGTATTCATATAATATTTCAATTATGCTAAATACATAAAACCTCAAATGCAGTCAACTTATAGAATTTTAATTTAAAGATTATTCTCTATCTTCCATGTTATCTATTTACCTAATTAGGAAAGAGCAAATACAAATATTATTTTTCTAACAAAGTGGCTGATAATAAATTTGTGAATTTCCGGTTGTTAATTAGAGAAAGAAATAAAGGAAAAATTACATTTAAATTACATTTCACAATAAGTGGTGGCTCACACCTGTAATCCCAGTACTTTGAGAGGCCGAGGCATGCAGATCACGAGGTCAGGAGAT
This sequence comes from Homo sapiens, assembly GCF_000001405.40. Classification (NCBI taxonomy): domain Eukaryota; kingdom Metazoa; phylum Chordata; class Mammalia; order Primates; family Hominidae; genus Homo; species Homo sapiens. The sequence goes on from NC_000021.9 coordinate 24,537,411, forward strand.
CAAGACCATCCTGGGTAACATGATGAAACCCCATCTCTACTAAAAATACAAAAAATTAGCTGGGCATGGTGGCAGGCACCTATAGTCCCAGCTACTTGGGAGGCTGAGGCAGGAGAATGGCGTGAACCCAGGAGGCACAGCTTGCAGTGAGCCGAGATTGTGCCACTGCACTCCAGCCTGGGCGACAGAGTGAGACTCCGTCTAAGAAAAAAAGAAAGAATTGTGTCATCCATTTCCCTGCTCATTTTATTGCCTCCTATAAAATTAAAGATAAGGCTAAGTATAGTGGCTCGTGCCTGTAATCCCAACACTTTAAGAGGCCCAAGCAGGAAGATTGCTTGAGCCCAGGGGTTTAAGACCAGCCTGTTCAACACAGCAAGATCATCTCCACAAAAAATACAAAAATTAGCTGGGTATGATGGCATGTACCTTTAGTCTTAGCTACTTGGGAGGCTGAGGTGGGAGAATTGTTTGAACCTGGGAGGTCAAGGCTGCAGTGAGCCATGATGACACCACTGCACTCCAGATTGGGCAACAAAGTGAGATCCTGTCTAAGAAAAAAAAAGAAAATCTAAAAGAAAAATTAAAGATAGCCAGAAATAATCACATATTAAGATGATTAAAATAATATGCCTAAATTGTTCATCATTACAACGAAATTTATTAGAGTCTTAAGAGTTAAAAGATGAATTGTTTTCAATAAATAAACTTGTATGTAGATTAAAACATTAGAGTTCACTAGACCTTATTGTCTCAAAAAACATTTCTCTCACATTAGACTTTCTTCTTACTTTAAAAATAAAACTTTTAAACCAACAATGTTAATTAGGCTTTATCTGAGCCCCAAATTCTTTAAAAATAATCAGTAATTTTAAATTTAAAGATTTTTTTCTGTCCCTTTTTTTTCCTTAGAGGGTGATTTGTATTTAATGTAATATATTTAAAACATGTACAATTATGATATTTCCCTAATTCCAATGTTTACAACAGCAAAATAATATTTTTGTGACAATTGCAAATGACTTTTTGTGAATTCTGCCTGTACCTTATATCTGGGAACTATCTACTAACATGGAAATGTAGAGAAAGCCAACAATTTTCCTAGAAAGATAGACTTATTCCTGTCACAGTGAAGGTCACACGTATTCCCAGGCCTGTTGAACATCTGAAGACAGAGATTTTGAAGACAGATTGCTTTTTTCCCTCTGCGTAGCATTTTGAAATATTTCTAAGTGAGGATAAAATATGACAGGCACAGAAGTGATTTCAAAAAAAAATGGTGGAGTAGGCAGCTCTAAGCTCCTTTTCTCACAACTAAAACATTAAAGAACAATGAACAACCGTCAGAACCAATTTTGTCAGAACTCTGAAAAACAGCCAAAGATTTATAGCAAGCAGGTGAACACTGAATCAAGAAAAAGGCAACTTTACAATGAAAGAGATCTGTTGCATTGTTACTTGCTCTTGTCACACCTCTTCCCCAGTTTGGTGGCAGTCCTAGTCCTGAAGACAACTGTCCGTGTTGCTAGGGTGCCATCCTGGTCCTTGGATTCAGAAAAAAAAAAAAAAAAGCATGCCTTATTCATAAATTATCGTGTAAATCTGTTCTTAGCTACCTGGAGACAAGCTGAAGGACTAATAAAAATGTACTCATCTCTGTTTCACTGAACTCACCTAAGGCCAGAAAAGCAGTAGGCATTTTTTGAAAACATTGGTGAATAACAAACCACAGATGTCTGGGGCTAATATTCATGGCTGAGACAGACATAAAATAGAATTCCTAAAACCGGGGAGGAAAATCTGCTAGACAGTTATTTGGGAAATTAGGGTGTTCAAAGTCACCTGTGTAGATGGGGGAACTTAGAAAGCTATACACATGATGAGGATAAGATGCATGATCAAAAAGTTTTGGAAGATCAGGGGCTCTCACCTTTGGCCAATCTCTAGACTCAGTGCAAATCTGGCTAAAAGTTTTGAAAGAGAGCTGCAGCATGAAATCCACTGGCAAAAAGTAAGAAACACAAGTTTTGATAGTTTGTTTGTTTTCTAGCTCCTAGTGTTCAAAGAAATGTATATTGAAACACTATATGCATATAGCTACCAAACAAAGTCTTCGGTAACCAACACACAGCAATGAATACAATCTCTGCAAAATAGTTGGGAAAAGTTACTAGACAAATAGATTACGAAAGCCTTCAAAATAAAAAACAAACAAACAAACAAAAAACACACCCTGGGAAAAGCAAAGAATCTGATTTCTAGAGTTACCACTTTTTAATATTCAAATATGCTGTTTTCAACAAATAACCACAGGGAATACAAAGAAACACACAACTATGTGTCATTTAATGGAACAAAGTAAATCAACGGAACATTAGATTAAATAGACAGAAATTAAATAGACATTAGATTAAATAGACAGAGATTGTCTTGGTTCCTTTTGTGCTGCTATAACAGAATACCTGAGACTGGATAATTTATAAACTATAGAAATGTATTTTTCAAAGTTACGGAGGCTAGGAAGTCTAAGATCAAGTCACCAGCTGGTTAATTGTCTGATGAGGGTCCTGTCCTTGCTTCCAAGATGTCATCTGTAATGCTTCATCTTCTAAAGGAGAGGAATGCTGTGTCTTCATGTGGCAGAAGTCGGAAGGGTGAAAGAATAAATTCCCTCATTATATAAGGGCACCTAATCCCATTCATGAAGGTGGAGCCCTCTTGACTCAATCACCTCTCAAGGCCACACCTCCCAATACTGTTGGGTGGAGGATTACCTTTCAACATGAATTTTGGTGGTGACAAAAACATTCAAACCATACCACTGTGTCCCTAGTCCCCCAAAATTCAGGTCCTTTTCAAATAAAAAATACATTCTTTTCATCCCAAATGTTAACTCATTTTTTTACCAACATAAAAGTCTAAAATGTAGAGTCTCATGTAAATCTGATATTTATAAGACTTATTTTATAGTATTTTGTAAGATTAGAATCTTATTTTATAAGATTTATCTTGAGGCAAATTTCCTCTAGAACTGAGAAGCCTGCGAAAATAAATTATGTGCCTCTAAAATTCAATGGTGGAACAGGCATAGGATAGATTTTCCCATTACAAAATGGAAAACTAGAAAAGAAGAAAGGGACAATAGATCTCAAGTAAGCAAAAACCCAATAGTGCAAACAAAATTAAATCTTTAGGTTAGTGAATAATGTTTGACTCCCTGGCTTACCTCCTCAACACAATGGGCTATGAATTGAGTCTCCAAGGTCCAAAAGCATACAACCTTCATGACTTTGTTAGGCATAGCCCACAGCACAGCTCCTGTGTGCTGGAGTTGGGTGCCTGTGGCTCTTTATGAGTGGCATTGCATACTGGTGGCTCCATAGTCACTGGGTACTGGGGACATCACAGCCACCAAGACTCTACTAGATATAGTTTTAGTGGGCACTTGCTGCAGTGGCTCTGCCCCTGTGGCAGGTCTATTCCTGAACCTCAAGGCTCTCTGAGGCGTACTTCTAAATGTAGGTTGAGGCAGCCTGCCTCCACAGCTCCTGTAGTCTGCATTCCTGCAAAATTAGCACTATATGGACTCTGCCAATGTTAATGCCTGTACCTTCTAGAGGTATAGCTCTTGACTCACATGGGCCTACTGGAGACATAGCTAGGATAATTAAGGAGCACTGTGTAGGAATGTGGGGAGCAGAGACATGAGATGGCCATGGATGTGTTAGGAAGAGTATCCTCAAAGATCTTCAAGATGTGTTCGAGGTCATTCTCCTAATGTCTTGGTAAGTAGCAAGTAGCTTCCTTCTATCCACATTAATCTCCTTACCAAACAGGCACTTGGCCACCGCCTTGCTTTTCCCTCCAAAACATGCTTTTTCATTATTTACATAGCCTGGCTGAGAATTTTCCAAATCTGTATGTATCAATCCTTTTCATTACAAAGCTTGTCTCTAAATCATTTCTCTCTTCTCAACTTTTACTATAAGCAGCTAAGAGAAGCCACACAGCATTCTAAATACTTTGCTTCTTAGGGATTTCTTGTGGTCAGTATCCTAGTTCACTGTCCTTAAGTTCTGCTTTCCACAGAGTCCTAGGATATGGATATAATTCAGCAAAGTACTTTGCCATTTTGTAACAAGATGAAAGACCCAGTTTCTAATGATATATTCTTCATTTCCATATAAGACCACATCAGAATGTCCTTTACTGTCCATATTTCCCCCAAGATTCTATTTACAACTACTTAAAAAATATCTTAGAATGATTCAATCTTTATTTGAAGTTTTCTCTTTTCTGTGCCCTCATCAGAATCACCCTTCAGTTTCAAGTTATGGCAAAACAAGCTTCTCAAGAATTCACTTCAAAACTTTTCTAAGCTCTACTTATTACCCAGTTCAAAAGCTGCTTTAACATTTTTAGGTATTTGTTATAGCAGCACCTCACTTCTCTGGTATCAGTTTCTTCTTAGTCAGTGTTATACTGCTATATCAGAATACCTGACACTGGATAATTTATGAAAAACAGAAATTTATTTAGCACAAGCTGGCAGCTGGGATGTCCAATATGAAGGCCCCGGCAGGTTTCTTGTTTGGTGAGCGTTCAGTCTCAGCTTCCAAGATTGCACCTTGAATGCTGCATCCATGGATGGGAAGAGCACTGTGTCTTCACATGGCAGAAGGTGGAAGGGCAAAAGAATAATAAACTCCTCCCCAGCAACTCCCTTCATACTTGTAATAAAGGCCCCTACTCCCTTTTATAAGGGCAGAAGCTCTAGACTCAATCACCTTTAAATGGTCACGTCTCCCAATAATGTCGCCTTGGATGTTGTTTCAACATAAATTTTGGAGGTGAAAATAGCATTTTAACTATAGGAAATATATTACAATAACTTTAAAATGTGTTCAAAGAGTTATATAAAGCACGGTCAAAGGACTAAAAGAAATAAGGAAAGTGTGGTATAAACACAATGATTATGTCAATAAAGACAGAGAAATTACAAAAAGGAACAAAACAAAAATTCTGGTGATAAAATATAATTACTTAAATCAAGTTTTATTAGAATGGTACAAAAGCAGATTAGAACAAACACAAATCTTCAAATTAATCTTTGGTTGGATGAATATAAAAACATTTGAGTTTTGAGAGCAGAAAAAAATGAATAAAATTGAACAGAACCCAAGGAACTGTGAAACACCATCTAGTAGAACGAAATACACATCATCAGAGTTCCAGAAAGTAAACCAAGAGAGAAAAAGAAAGAAAGAATGTTTAAAGAAACAATGACAAAAACCTCCAAAATTTGTTGAAAGACATAAACTTACAAATCTAAGAAATTCAATAAACTCCAAGTAGGGAAAAACTCAGATAGACACATACTGAGACACATAATCACTCTGTTGGATGACAAAGATGAAAGGAACATCTTGGAAAGAGCAATAAAGAAGTGACTCACCTTTTACAAGGGAATCTCAATAAAACTAACAGTTTCTCTTCAGAAACAATGGGAGCAGAAGAAGTAGTATGGCATATTTAAAGTATTTAAAGAAAAAAATTAAGTAAATGAGAAAGACCTTTACCAGATAAATAAAGACGAAAAGGTTTATAACTACTAGATCTGCACTACAAGAAATGTTAAAGGGAGTCCTCCAAGTTAAGATGAAAGAACCCTTGACAGTAACTTGAAGTCATATGAAGAAATAAGAATCTCCAGTAAAGGTAACTATATCAGCAAACATAAAAACCAGTATTATAAAATTTTTGGTTTGTTATAATTTTACTCTAAATTTATAAAAGTTTGGGATATGTGTGTGTGTGTGTGTGTGTGCAGGTGCACATTATTGAAGTCTAATGTGAAAATATTTCAAAAATAAAGCAAGTAAAAGTAGCATAAGGGCTGTGTTTTTCATTTTGTGGATACTAGAATATCAGAATTTATCATATTTTTCTCTATGATGTCTTTCTTAAGACATGCATGAACACAGGTTGTTCCACTACATATGCAAACAGATATATAAAGTCACTTCAAAAACAGGCTTAAAATGTCAGAATTTTAATGTGAAATTGAGAGCATTAGAGAAAAGTCTGTTTGGTATAAACCCTAGGTTTTCTCTCACATTTGAATATCATCCTATCTTTCATTCAGGTTAAATTCCTTCATCCCACTACGTGGTGCAGCCTGACAACATGCCTCAAAATCATTGATTCTTACCAGTGGACTAGGTCCCAGTTGTAACAACTGAAAATAAATTTAGCATCTGACTGAATTTCCCTTCATTTAAAATTAGATTATGGAATAACAATTTTTGAGGCAACTTACTTTATATTGTCTGAGATGCTTCTGTTGCATTAGCAGAAAGTCTGGGAAAAAGTAAGGTAGATAGGAGTGGGATAATAAAGGAGATACTGTGTTCCTGTTGGACCAGAGACCATACAGAAAACAAAATAGTTGAAATAAATATCCCAGAATTCTTCTTAAGAATATATTTGCTAATCTTTTCAAATCATTATGAGTTTGTCTTTGTTTGTTATGGATGAAAAAGGACATTTTATGGAATTAAGTTTTGATATTATTTTTTCCTCTTATATCAGTTAGAAGCGTATGCACTACTTTCTGCAGGAAGAATACTCTGGAAGAGAAGATCATTAATAAGTAAATTTTTGCAGGTGGTATTGATTGGAACAATATTTTATACAAAACATAAAATTGTCATTGCATAGTAAGTCAGAATATGCTGCTTTTCTTTAAAATATGAAATATGTTTCAAAATGAAGACAAGGATGAGGTAGCATTGTATTGAAATGGCATTATCTGCAGATTTTCCTATAAAGCTATAGATCGTGCTTCAACTCTATGCATTTAACACATTCCAGAGCTCCCATTATATTTAAATGATGGAGCAAAATCACAGATTTCTACTGACACATTGTTTTTTCGAAAGAAATAAATTTGAAAGATAACTGGCTTGCAACGCCTACAATTTTATGTAAAAACCTTACTTAATCACATCAAATAGAGTGTTTGTCAGCTGGAAAAAAAATAGTTCCTTCTTAAGCTTCTAAAAAAAGATGCCACCTTAAAAAGTATTCAAATAAGAGCGATATGTGGGAAACCTCATTCTTTGGCAACTTATCACAACAACTGATTATGTATTTAAGCATGCATAAATATACTTTCTATACACATTTAACCTAAACTGATAACTTTTAACCCATAAACCAATTAAATTAAATCATTCCAAAGTGATCTTACATTGCTAGTGTTATAATAAGCAGGTTTTTCCTAGCATAACTATTTTTCAAAATTTTGATTGTGTAGAGACTCAAAGTAAATAACAAGATAATCTATGATAAAACATATCTAAAACATAAAGTCCAAAGTTTAATTGCTCTGTGTTTGTTGATTTTCATGTATACATTGCACTCCTTGTTGTTGACGATGGTGTGGCATTATTCAGAAACAAATAGTTTCACTTAACGGATTCACTGATAAATACCAGTGATTTCATTAGAGATTTATGCTATTGAAATTACTCAGATATTTATCAGTGAATACACTAGTAATTGGATAATTATTGGATCATAATTTGTGCTAAAATACAAAGTTTTTAAAAATCTTTTATTCCTTTCACTCATTCTTTCATTTGTTCAACAAATAGTGACTTGGTGCTTCCTATGTGTCAGCATTGCTCTGGACTCTGATTCTGGCAGTGAGGCAAATATGCGATTGTTCTTAGAACTTTTATTTTTAGTGACAATGGGCAAATATTAAACAAAGTAAATATTTTAACTACTTAAAAGTTTACAAATACTTCAGAACTAAGGCAGGGGAAGGAGAAAAGGTTTCCAGAAGTTGGAGAGTTTATTCCAATATTAAGTAGCGTTATAAGAGAATATCTACTAAAAAGATAATATTTAATCAAAGAACAAAGAAAAAAGGTAGCAATGTTGTGTTCTAGGGCAAGAATGTTGAAAGTATATAAAAAAGAAAGTGCAAAGTTTCTGGGCTGGGGTCATATCTTTCCATTATACAAAGGCATCCAAGGAGGAGCCAGAGAGAGAATAGTAGGATATAAGTAAGAAAAATAATGCAGGGTCAAATTATACTGGACATTTCAGGCCTCTGTATAGTCTATTTTTTGCTATTACAAGTATTGGCAAAAAAAAAAAAGTGAATTACTTTTAATGGCAAAAACCGCGACTGCTTCTGCACCAACCTAATACAAGGACAATGGAATTTATTGTTTGTTGCTATAAGCACTAATGCCTTTAACAGAGAAAATGACAGACTCAAATCAGCCAATTGGTAATTGAATGCATGGTAGGAAAGTTACAATGTATCCATGGGATTATTTAAAGAGACCATAATTTCTTGGAAGTGGAATGTAATTGATGCTGATGATCTGGCCCAAGATCTGATTATAAGAGGAGTAGAATTTCAAATTGAACTGTTTTCTCAGCAAGTCAAAATCAGGGTCATAAAGTGAAGGGACAGGACCCAGAGAGAAGTGATTCAGGAACATTAAAGAACCAGATCTCCTCGAGCTCTCTAAACCTAAAGAAGTGGTTCACTTTTCTTTTTTAGACTGTAACAGACCCCTGGAGACTTCCCACTGGACTCCCCTGAGGCAGATATTTTGCAAAAGAAAACTTCCCGCCATGAGATCTTTTCCCACATTCCCTCTTGGCAACTTAACCAGAAGATAAGGTTAAGTTCATTTCCACGGCCTTTAGAACCTCTGGACCTTATACATGAGAAAAGACATCATTCATGGTTGGAGTCACTGGACCTGGTTAATATGTACCAAAAGGAAACAGAAAAAGCAGTTCTGGTGGCTACATCTTGCAAGTACTAGACCAGAATATAAAGCTGGATGAGAGAGACTTTGATGATATGAAGTACTAGGGTTTAAAGGGAACACCGAACTCAGTGGATTGCAAGAGCATCTGACATCAGCCCTACTGTGCTTTAGGCATGGCTCTTGGAAATATGACAGACCACAGTACATAGTGTGAAGTTTCTAGACCTGCCCTGATACAGTGTTGTGGAACCAATATAAAGACTGAGTCACTGGACAAGCTAGAGTGACTGTGTACTTCAGGATTAACAAAAACATTAGTTTCACTAAGTTTATAAAGATTGAAATTTTTACAGGCTTAACAGTGGCTGTTGTCTATAGGCCAAGAAGGATTAGCAAGTAATGCTCTTATGAAACAAATGTTGAAGATGATATACAATTCTAGAAGAGCAAAGGAAAGGTGGTAGCATGTAATCAGTACAGAGAGATAAGGACCAACATAATTTCCATGCCAGTTATCAGCAACTCAACAGCTGAGGAACTCTATTATGTAGGAATCTAAGATCATGGATGAGCTATCATCACAGTTTTTAGGGGAACTATAGAAAGGCTTCCAATAAGGATTTTTGTACATGTACATATATATTCAGAAAGCAGCTAATGTGGAGAAGCAGAAGGTCGATGTCAGCCACTCCAGTGGAAATTTCAATCACTCATCTACTTTCCAAGCTTGAGCCAACTTTCAGACTGAGAGTCCAATAATTAAAGCAGAAGCTCTGTTTTTCTGAGAAATGACCTGATGGCAGAGCAAATATATACTGTAAAGATAATTCTCTTCCTCTACTCAAAGTGTCTGTAGCCGCAGGTACATATGGAAAAGGGAGCACCCACATTTTTTGATATAGTGTGTGAATTGAAGGAAAGTCAACTTTTACCATAGCCTCCCTTCAAGAGTGGGTACATATGAAAATCAGGTAATAAATTTAGTTTAACCACGAATTCATTTCACAATGGGTCCAATGAGTCCATATATGCACAATAAAACTTTATTTCCTGAATTCATAATTTAGATATACATACATAGTAACTGGCAGAACACTCACTCTAGTTCCTTGAAATGTGAATGAATAATAATTGTCATAGGAAAGGTCAAGGAAAAGACTGAAAAATGTCTTTATACCACAGCCAAGAGACTTCATAAAGCAATATTGCCTTCCAGATACAATAGAAGAGATCAGTGCCATTTTTAAAAACCTAAAAAGTTGCAGAGGCAGTTTCTACTGTATTCTCATTTCAGTCACTTGTGTGGCCACACAAAAATCAAATACATGATGGCAGATTGCAGTGAACTCTAGGACACATACCCAAATGGTAGACATACAAAGCTGTTCTGACAAGTGTGATATTACTGGAATGGGTAGACTTGGGTATGTGATACGTGTTAATTCTTATTTTTAGTTGCAGAATTATAATTAGACACTTTTTTATAAATTTAAGATTTTGGTTAAAAATAATATATTTGCTTAAACATAAAACACAGTATGTATTTTTTTATTGCTACAGGTGACGATGTTTCTCCAGTTTATAGTGATCAAATTTTGTTATCCATTGAGTTCTAGGAAAGTCTTGAATTTTAATGTTTTTAGACAGAAAGTTTCAAAGGCATCTTTATTGTCAATAAGCTCTTCAGCTTGGATAAAAGGTAAAAACTAATAAAGGATTCCATTTACATTTGTTATGTCTCACAATTTGTATTTTCTTGGATCCAGGCAAAATGTTTAAAAATCTAGTTAAACTCATTACATAAATTTATACATAACATTTTTTCTAACTTTGTTTGTCAAGATAATCTTATAAACAATGTATAAATAAAATATAATATACTAATCTCAGGAATTGATGCCACATCCTGAAAATATTAGCTGAAAATACCTGGAAATAAATGTGCAAAGTTCTATGCATTACAAGAAAGAAGCATGTTTAGATAAAATTAACTAGGTTGTTATAAATACCATCTTCAAAATTATTGTTAACCCTACTAAAGGTTATAAAATGTTTTTATTAAAATTTATTCAATCATTTACCAGAGTAATAAGCAAAGTAATTGTCATACATGTAAATATAGAATTTACAAAATTAAATATTCAAAATATGAAAATGAAACATTAACTGCAAATTGTATAGCATTCTTTCATTTATTTAACCTCTCTGACCAAAGCAAGCTCGTTCATGTTTGTCAAGCAATTGTTCTTTGACTTTTTTGAACTTGGTTAAAATGGCACTTTAATGAAATAATGTGGGCATAAAATGGAAAACAATAATTAAAGGCTTTTCTTCAATTATACATTATTAGTACCTAGTTTTTCCTTCACTTAATGTTTACCTTTCCAAGGCTAAGACCAGAAGACATCTGGAGACTCTAAGGAGAGTACTAGATCTGTCAAATATTTCAATATATACAGCTCTCATTCTTCTTTTCCCAATAACCTAGTGTAATTTTAGTAAAACAAAATTAATAGTATTCAGTTATAGACATTTTAAGCCTACTGGTGTGTGTGTGTGTGTGTCTGTGTTTGTCTGTGTGTGTGTGTGCATCTTGGGCCTATTTTTTAGAGAAAGGAAAGGTAAGAGTTGGTTTATGCTGTGTTTGGTCATATGCTTACTTAATACTTTTTGTTTGAAACAATAGCCAAATAAATAGATAAATTAATTAAAATGACCAGCTAAATTGTCACACAAACTATATATATAAAGTTAAAACATGGGTCAACATTCTCTTTCAGGTAATTATGAAGAATAAGCACTCTGTCTCATGGCATATTTCTGGGGAAAAAAAACATAAAAAAGAATTTTAGTTTTCTAAATTCTGAACTTCAAATCCCTGCCTCCGTGCACAACTACATTATTCCAAAGAATAGCATCTGAAATATTATATTTTGTTAGATCATTATTGATTTAATGATGGCATTGGTCAAGATGTAAAGAGCATTCTGTAAACTAGCACACACAGCTCACAGCTTTCAATGTATTTTTTTAAATAATATTTCTTTTCATTTCTTTCTTTCTGTTTTTGAGACAGACTCTTACTTTGTCACCGAGGCTGGAGTGCAGTGGTGTGATTATGGCTCACTTCAGCCTCGACGTCCCAGGCTCAAGCGATTCTCCTGCCCCAGCCTCCCGAGTACCCGGAACTACAGACATGTGCCCCCATGCCTGGCTAATTTTTGTCCTTTCTTTGTAGAGATGGAGTTTTGCCATGTTGCCCAGGCTGGTCTTTGACTCCTGGGCTCAAGCCATCTGCTGGCTTCATCCTCCCAAAGTGCTGGGACTATAAGCTTAAACCACTGTGGCTGGTCTATCTCTTTTCTTATTCTGAGCAGGAAATAAGAAAGCAACTGTGGCAAGATCTGTGAGATGGTAAACAAGTGCCAACATAAACTTAGACATATCTAGTATAATCTGTATTCTAATGCTCCAGAAGCTCCATTGTTTTTTATCCTGTCCCTACCCCAATCTTGATGCCCCCTTTTATTCCAGACTCTGCTCTGGAATGAATAGATATATTTATGTAGCTTTTGTTAAAGTTCTTGTCAAGTATATTTTATGATAAAAAATTTGCATTAAATTTTCTGTAGGGCATGCAGATACAGCTAAACATACTACTTACAAAACTGTACATTTTAAAGTTGAATGGATCCCTGCTAAGCTACATTGCATTCTGTTCCTGTTTCTTTTTTTTTTTTCTTATTTGGAGAAGTGGTGACTGAGAAAGAAATATTTCATTGTTGTGGCAATTCCTTGAACACTAGCTTCTTATATTACTTGTAATATGTCAGTCCTAGAGCCATTCTTCCTCGTGGGAGTTGGCATCACACACATTTATAATGGCAGCAAGAAACCTCAATGTGGATGCTGAACTACACGCCACTTCCCAGCAAAGAGGGGAATACAACCACAAGAGGAACCTTCTTGACAAAACAAATGCTTCACATTGAAGTTCTTTAAGATGTAGATTTAATTTCCATGGGGAAAGGCTGTATCGACATCAACAGCAGAATTTCAAACTGAAATGATGCAGAAATTCACTGCAAGCCAAAATTTCAAAAAGAAAACATGTAGGTCCTTAGTGAGTTATATTTTGCTTTTAGTTAAAGATAAAAAGAACCCACGGACTTTTTAATGACTGCAAAAAGTTGAATTCACATTAATGTCATACTTTGGAACACCTTGGGTATACTTTCAAGTTGAATAAATTATGGTTTTTATTCATTTAAGGAATAACCTCTGGACATTTCCAAACCTGTGTCCTTTCTAACGTCATTCCAATCATGTGTAGTAGTTTTCATACAATCCTGGTTTAGAGGTGGTTGTCTAATTTCTTAGTGACTTTTCCTGAACATTTTTATTTTTTCCAATTATATCCAAAGCTACTGAAAAATATATTTTATGCATTACAACAAAGTTAAACTTTAATAATGACCCTGAAAATAGTGGTAGAGTGAATTTAAACATTTGAAAAATATTTTAAGGAAGCAATTATAGAATAAATAAATAGTAAAAAATATATTTTTGATTTGAAATTCAATGTTCATCTATACATGTATGGTATCTATCTATCAACATTTTCATGAAACTGCCTATCAAAACAAAAAGGACATAGCTCATATAAGAGTTAGTGAAAAAGATAGAATTGTTGAGCCCAGTTAAAAGTCTGTAAGTTAATATTTGAGAATAAAACATTTCTTGAAAACCATGTTGAAATATTCTTTGGATGAAGGTTTCTTAGTCACACTAGACTTTAATCACACTAGACTTCAAGTTCCTTTAATGAAATAACAATTCCTCTTTCAAGACATTTACACATTATTTATTCAATCAGAAAACTGTCCTTGGCATATTTTGCCAATCTAACTTATGCTCATTTTTAAAGCATCAACTTAATCAATTATTCCTTAGCAGAAACTGAAGTGGCCCCAGTGAAATACTCTTCTCAGCAACAGTTCACCTATATTGTCCACTGCCTTAGAGCTGTGGTTTGATAGTTGATTTTGCTAACTGAATATAATAGAAGTGACACTGCATGGCCCTTGAGGTGAGATAAGAAGAAGTCTTACAGATTCCTCCCTGGTCTTCTAATGTGCTCTATGGATCCAGTTACTATAATATAAAAGAGCATATGAAACCTCAGGAAGAAGCTCCCATGAAGAGGAAAAAAATATTCTGATCAAAAGTCTAGTTGAGCTCACAATTAAAAAACAGCCTTACCCATTAGGGATGTGAGGGGGCAATATTGGAAAACACTCCAGTTCCAGCTGGGATCTTCCTGCTGACATTATATTGAGAAGCAATAAGCTTATTTCTAACAAGCATTACCCAATCTGAGAATTACAGGCACAAGAAACGATTATTATTTTAAGCATTGGAGTATTTGCTTTAGGAAATTGTTTAAACAATAGTTAAAAACAAACAAACAAACAAAAAATCTCAAATATACTTTTCTTTTTTTTTTTTTTTTTTGAGACAGGGTCTTGCTCTGTCACCCAGGCTGGAGTGCAATGGCGTGATCTTGGCTCACTGCAGCCTTGATCACCTGGGCTTCAGCAATTCTTCCTCAGCTTCCAGAGAGCGAGGACTACAAGCCTGAGCCACAATACCTGCATTTTTTTTTTCTTTAATGTAGAGACAGGGTCTCACTTTGTTTTCCAGGCTGGTCTCCAATCTTGGGGCTCAAGCAATTGTCCCACCTCAACCTCCCATGCTGGGATTACAGGTGTGAGCCATGATGCCCAATTGTAATATACTTATTTCATAGCAACATATACTTATCCATCATATAACTTTTTAAATATTAAAATGTGTACTTTTATCTGAACATGATTAGGACGTGGATATGTTTTGGAGAGGAAGGAATTATTCAGCTTACCACAATAGGGTCTGTATTTCATTGGAACCGTAATTAAGAAATTCTTTAAAATTCTAGCTGGATGCGGTGGCTCACGCCTGTAATCCCACACCTTGGGAGGCCGAGGTGGGCGGATTACCTCTGGTCAGGAGTTTGAGACCAGCCTGATCAACATGGTGGAACCTCTCTCTTAATAAAAATTTAAAAAAATTAGTTGGGCATGGTGGCAGGTACCTGCAGTGCTAGCTACTTGGGAGGCTGAGGCGAGAGAATTGCTTGAACCTGGAAGGGGAATGTTGCAGTGAGCAAAGATCACTCCACTGAACTCCAGCCTGGACGACAGAGCAACACTCCATCAAAAAAAATATATTCTTTATAATTCTGCCTATCACCAAGAAGTCTCACTGTACTGGCTATACTCAGTACTCAGGAAATATCAAGGGATGGATAGCACATTTGAAATGATACTTGCAAACCTATTTGAGAAACACTGGTTGTCCAAGGTCAAAGGCTTTGCTTTGAGTTCTCATGGCCATTATGTCCACTCCAACAGAAACATACATTCCCATGGGATCGCATTACTAAATATACTCTGCATCTGGACTTCTCACTCCTTAACCTTGATTCTGCTCTTTAAATAGTCTGATAAAGCCAAATAATATACAAGCGTGTTGCTCTATGCCTACGCTTATCAACAATAGGTTCTGTGGCCTTTTTCAAATATAAAACCTAAAAACATTCTGCATGACCTTCAGCCCAGAGATCCAGTTTACTAGAAAAAACAGCCATGTAAGGATGGTCTTTAGGCTCAATGGAGGGATCTTACTGTTAACCGCAAACACTCAGAAAACTCCACTAAATTTATGTTTCCCAATTAAAACTTCACCTATTTACCTCCAAGATTTCCCTGCTGATGGTAGATCTAAAATGCAGATTTCTTCAGGTATTCCCAGAATTACAAGTCATAACTAGGGAAAAACCTCTTCCAAGTAACTTAGATAGTAGGAGATTATTAGAAATGAAATTTTTCTGCCCAAGAGCTTCAGATAGAGACACACAAACGCCAGTATTCACTGATAATTAGATTCTCCTTTGTTTCTTTATCTTCTTTTCTATGTTTATTTTTCCTTCTTTCTATTCATTTAATGTTTTTGAGGGTTACATGATATTCTTAAGAGCTTTACCCTTAAACTTGTTACTTTGTATATCAGGGGGATATGCTGTATTAAATAGACCTACTAATATCAAAGCTCTTTTTCTGACAGACTTTTTATTGGGATCGAATATGTTCTCTTTGATGATTTCAGGTTGGAAAGAATCTTGGTTTAAAGAGATTATTCAAGACTTTCTAATAATTCTAATTTTCATTCTTCTTGTATTCATAGGGCTTTTTAAAATTCACTTTTTCCAGTGTCTTAAAGTATTCCATATAACAACTCATTTGATAACTTATGGAAATTCAACCACAATGAGTACAAGTCATGAGAAGTTTGATGGCAGCTGTCACCAATAAATCTGAAAGTTCAATTGACCCTAGTGGCACAGATTTGAAGGAATTAACAATATTTGTTAAATAATAAGACTCAATCCCTTCTCTGACAAAAAGGAGTTATTGTAGGAGACTCTGGAAGACTGAAAAATTACCGCTTGGCCACCTACCTGCTTCCTCTTGACTTTGGTCCATATGGCTTGTCCTCCCACTCTGATATTTGCATAATCTTAACCTCTAACCCAACCTTCTTGCTAAAACTATATTACCCAAACAAACAGCAGTTAAAGCCCAAAATAATTATTTCTTCTGAGACCCATATTTGACCAAACATTCCCCCAAAGTAGCTTAACATCTGCTAAAACCTTTGGCAAAGCCCCAAGAACATTTTAACCACCCTCTCCCAAGTTAGTACACACCTTTGAGGTATTTTGCAAGCTGCTATATTCTGAATAAAGGCTTATGGTTGACGACATATCAGTTTCTTTTTTTCCATGAATATCAACTTTTATAGCCTTAAAGAGCACACATGACACACTACTAAATGAGGACATTATCTTTTATTGTGTGTCTAGTCTGAGAATAATGTTTAATTAAACTGTTTCAGATGTTTGAAGATGAGTAATAGAAAATTTGTATATTTAACTGGAATAACTAAAAATATCTAATAAATTCACATTTCTTTCCATTAATATAAATCAGGAGCAACTTAGGGTAAGCACAAGACTAACCACAAATTTAGTAATAGGAATAATTCACTTTTTTACTGAGCTTTTGCTGTGAGCTAGGTCCTGTGCTAACTATCTGAACATGCAATTTCTCATTTAATTACCTTGATGCAAAGTATCACAGGGTCATTTTTCCCCAAAGTGATAATAATGCCATGATGACAATTTACACTAAGCATGTTTGCAACCATTTGCTTGGCATTTTAGCCAACATGGCATTTGTATAGTGTCATTGTATTGGTCTCTATTAATATGTGCTGAGAGATCTGGCAAGATGGCTGAATAGGAACTGCTCCCGTCCACAGCTCCCAGCCAGGCCAATGCAGAAGGCCGGTGATCTCTGCATTTCCAACTGAGGTACCCAGTTCATCTCACTGGGACTGGTTAGAGAGTGGATGCAGCCCATGGAAGGCAAGCATAAGCAGGGTGGGGCGTCACCTCACCCGGGATGTGCAAGGGATTGGGAAACTCCCTCCCCAAGCCAAGGGAAGCCATGAGGGAATGTGCCTTGAGAGACAGTGCTATCCGGCCCAGATACTACACTTTTCCCATGGTTTCTGCAACCCACAGACCAGGAGATTCCATCGGGTGCCTACACCACCAGGGCCCTAGGTTTCAAGCACAAAACTGGGTGGCCATTTGGACAGACACTGTGCTAGCTGCAGGAATTTTTTTTCGTATCTCAGTGGCACCTGGAACGCCAATGAGACAGAACCGTTCACCCCCTGGAAAGTGGGTTGAAGCCAGGGAGCCGAGTGGTCTTGCTCAGTGGATCCCACCTCCAAGGAGTCCAACAAGCTAAGATCCACCGGCTTGAGGGAGGGAAGGGCGTCCACCATTACTGAGGCTTGAGTAGGCTGTTTTCCCCTCACAGTGTAGTAGAAGCCACTGGGAAGCTCGGACTGGGCAGAACTCACCACAGTGCTGCAAAGCCGCTGTAGCCAGACTTCCTCTCTGGATTCCTCCTCTCCGGGAAGGACATTTCTGAAAGAAAAACAGCAGCCCCAGTCAGGGGCTTATAGATGAAACTCCCATCTCCCTGGGACAGAGCACCTGGAAGGAGGGGTGGCTGTGGGTGCAGCTTCAGCAGACTTAAATGTTCCTGCCTGCTGGCTCTGAAGAGAGCAGCAGATCTCTCAGCACAGTGCTCTAGCTGTGCTAAGGGACAGACTGCCTCCTCAAGGGGGTCCCTGACTCCCATGCCTCCTGACTGGGAGACACCTCCTAGAAGGGGTCAGCAGACATCTCATACAAGAGAGCTCCAGCTGGCATCTGGCAGGTGCCCCTCTGGGGTGAGGCTTCCAGAGGAAGGAACAGGCAGCAATCTTTGCTGTTCTGCAGCCTCTGCTAGTGATACCCAGGCAAACAGGGTCTGGAGTGGACCTCCAGCAAACTCCAGCAGACCTGCAGAAGAGAGGCCTGACTATTAGAAGGAAAACTAACAAACACAAAACAATATCAACATCAACAAAATGGATGCCAACTCAAAAACCCCATCCAGAGGTCATCAGAATCAAAGATCAAAGGTAGATAAATTCACAAAAATGGAGAAAAACCAGGACAAAAAGGCTGAAAAAGGCCTCTTCTCCTCCAAAGGATCACAACTCCTCACCAGCAAGGGAACAAACCTGGGTGGAGAATGAGCTTGATGAATTAACAGAAGTTAGCTTCAGAAAGAGGGTAATAACAAACTCCTTCGAGCTAAAGAACCATGTTCTAACCCAATGCAAGGAAGCCAAGAACCTTGAAAAAAGGTTACAGGAACTGCTAATTAGAATAACCAGTTTAGACAAGAACATAAATGACCTGATGGGGCTGAAAAACACAGCACAGGGACTTTGTGAAGCATACACAAGTGTCAATAGCCAAATTGATCAAGCAGAAGAAAGGATATCAAAGATTGAAGATAAACTTAATGAAATAAAGCATGAAGACAAGATTAGAGAAAGAAGAATGAAAAGGAATGAACAAATCCTCCAAGAAATATGGGACCATGTGAAAAGACCAAACTACGATTGACTGGTGTACTTAAAAGTGACAGGGAGAATGGAACGAAGTTGGAAAACACACTTCAGGAGGTTATACAGGAGAACTTCCCCAACCTAGCAAGACAGGGCAACATTCAAATTAAGAAAATATAGAGAACACCACTAAGATACTCCTCTAGAAGAGCAACCCAAAGACACATAATCATCAGATTCCTCAACATTGAACCAAAGAAAAAATGTTAAGGGAATCCAGAGAGAAAGGTCAGGTTTCCCACAAAGGGAAGCTCATCAGACTAATAGTGGATCTCTCTGCAGAAACTCTACAAGCCAGAAGAGAGTGGGGGGCCAATATTCAACATTCTTAAAGAAAAGAATTTTCAACCCAGAATTTCATATCCAGCCAAATTAAGCTTCATAAGCAAAGGAGAAATAAAATCCTGTATAGACAAGCAAATGCTGAGGAATTTTGCCACCACCAGGGCTGCCTTACAAGAACTCCTGAAGGAAGCACTAAACATGGAAAGGAACAACTGGTACCAGCCACTGCAAAAACATACCAAATTGTAAAGAACGTCGACACTATGAAGAAACTGCATCAACTAATGGACAAAAAAACCAGCTAGCATCATAATGACAGGATCAAATTCACACATAACAATATTAACTTTAAATGTAAATGGGCTAAATGCCCCAATTAAAGGACACAGACTAGCAAATTGGATAAAACATCAAGACCCAATGGTGTGCTGTATTCAGGAGACCCATCTCAAGTGCAAAGACATACAAAGGCTCAAAAAGGGATAGAGGAATATTTATGAAGCAAATAGAAAGCAAAAAAGCAGGGGTTGCAATCCTAGTCTCTGATAAAACAGGCTTTAAACCACAAAGATCAAAAAAGACATAGAAGGCCATTGCATAATAGTAAAGGGATCAATGCAACAAGAGGAGCTAACTATCCAAAATATTTATGCACCCAATACAGGAGCACCCAGATTCATAAAGCAAGTTCTTAGAAACCGCAAAGAGACTGAGACTGCCACACAGTAATAGTGGGAAACTCTAATACCCCACTGTCAATATTAGACAGATCAACAAGAGAAAAAGTTAACAAGGATATTTGGGACTTGTAATCAGCTCTGAACCAAGTGGACCTAATAGCCATCTACAAAACTCTCCACCCCAAATCAACAGAACGTACATGCTTTTCAGGACCACATTGCACTAAATCTAAAATTGATCACATAATTGGAAATAAAACACTCCTCACCAAATGCAAAAGAATGGAAATCATGACAGTCTCTCAGACCACAGTGCAATCAAATTAGAACTCAGGATTAAGGAACTCACTAAAAACAGCACAACTACATGGAAACTGAACAAATAGCTCCTCAATAACTACTGGGTAAATAATGAAATTAAGGCAGAAATAAATAAGTACTTTAAAACCAATGGGAACAAAGACACAACGTACCAGAATCTCTGGGACACAGCTAAAACAGTGTTTAGAGGGAAATTTATAGCACTAAATGTCCACATGAGAAAGTGGGAAAGATCTAAAATTGACACCCTAACATCAAAATTAGAAGAACTACAGAAGCAAAAGCAAACAAATTCAAAAACTAGCAGAAGACAAGAAATAACTAAGATCAGAGCAGAACTGAAGGAGATAGAGACATGAAAAACCCTTTTAAAAAAATCAGTAAATCCAGGAGCTGACTTTTTGAAAAGATTAACAAAATAGATTGACCACTAGCCAGAATAATAAAGAAGAAAAGAGGGAAGAATCAAATAGACACAATAAAAAATGATAAAGGGGATATCACCACCAATCCCACAGAAATACAAAATAGCATCAGAGAATACTATAAACACCTCTATGCAAATAAACTAGAAAACCTAGCAGAAACGGACAAATTCCTGGACACATACACACTCCCAAGACTAAACCAGGAAGAAGTCAAATCTCTGAGTAGACCAATAACATGTTCTGAAATTGAGGCAGTAATTAATAGCCTACCAATGAAAAAAAGACCGGGACTAGACGGATTCACAGCTGAATTCTCCCAGAGGTACAAAGAGGAGCCTGTATTATTCCTTTTGAAATTTTCCAAACAATAGAAAAAGAGGAACTCCTCCCTAACTCATTTTATGAGGCCAGCACAATCCTGATACCAAAACCTGGCAGAGACACACACAAAAAAGAAAATTTCAGGCCAATGTCCATGATGAACATCGATGTGAAAATCCGCAATAAAATAATGGCAAAACGAATCCAGCAGCACATCAAAAAGCGTATCCACCACAATCAAGTCGGCTTCATACCTGTGATGCAAGGATGGTTCAACATATGAAAATCAGTAAACATAATCCATCACATAAACAGAATCAATGACAAAAACAACGTGATTATCTCAACAGATGCAGAAAAGGCCTTCAATAAAATTCAACACACATTCATGCTAAACAAACTCAATAAACTAGGTATTGAAGGGACATATCTCAAAATAATAAGAGCTATTTACGACAAACGCACAGCCAGTATCATACTGAATGCACAAAAGCTAGAAGCATTTCCCTTGAAAACCGGCACAAGACAAGGATGGCCTCTCTCACTACTCCTATTCAACACTATATTGGAAGTTCTGGCCAGGGCAATCAGGCAAGAGAAAGAAATAAAGGATATTCAAATAGGAAAAGAGGAAGTCAAATTGTCTCTGTTTGCAGATGACATGATTGTATATTTAGGAAACCACATCATCTGAAAACTCCCTAAGCTGATAAGCAACTTAAGCAAAGTCTCAGGATACAAAATCAATGGGCAAAAATCACAAGCATTCCTATACACCAATAATAGACAAACAGAGAGCCAAGTCGTGAGTGAACTCCCATTCACAATTGCTACAAAGAGAATAAAATACCTAGGAATACAACTTATAAGGAATGTGAAGGTCCTCTTCAAGGAGAACTACAAACCACTGCTCAAGGAAATAAGAGAGGACACAAACAAATGGAAAAACATTCCATGCTCATGGATAGGAAGAATCAATATCTTGAAAATGGCCATACTGTCCAAAGTAATTCATAGATTCAATGCTATTTCCCTGAAGCTACTATTGACTTTCTTCACAGAATTAGAAAAAACTACTTTAAATTGTATATGGAACCAAAAAAGAGCCTGTATAGTCAAGACAATCCTAAGCAAAAAAACAAAGCTTGAGGCATTACGCTCCCCGACTTTAAACTATACTACAAAAGTCCACATTAACCAAAATTGCATGGTACTGGTACCAAAACAGTTATATAGACCAACGAAACAGAACAGAGGCCTCAGAAATAACACCACACATACATGACCGTCTGATCTTTGACAAATCTGACACAAACAGGCAATTGGGAAAGGATTCCCTATTTAATAAATTGTGTTGAGAAAACTGACTAGCCATATGCAGAAAACTAAAGCTGGACCACCTCCTTACACCTTACACAAAAATTAACTCAAGATGGGTTAAAGACTTAAATGTAAGACCTAAAGCCACAAATACCCTAGAAGAAAACCTAGGCAATACCATTCAGGACATAGGCATGGGCAAAGACTTCATGTTTAAAACACAAAAAGCAATGGCAGCTAAAGCCAAAATTGACAAATGGGATCTAATTAAACTAAAGAGCTTCTGTACAGCAAAAGAAACTATCATCAGAGTGAACAGGCAACCTACAGAATGGGAGAAAATTTTTGTCATCTATCCATCTGACTAAGGGCTAATATTCAGAATCTATAGGAACTTAAACAAATTTACAAGAACAAAAAAAACCCATCAAAAAGTGGGCAAAGGATATAAACAGACACTTCTCAAAAGACGACATCTATGTGGCCAACAGACATAAGAAAAAATGCTCATCATCACTGGTCGTTAGAGAAATGCAAATCAAAACCATGATGGGATAACATCTCATGCCAGTTAAAATGGCAATCAATAAAAAGTCAGAAAACAACAGATGCTGGAGACGATGTGGAGAAATAAGAATGCTTTTACACTTTTGGTGGGAGTGTAAATTAGTTCAACCATTGTGAAAGTGTGGCAATTCCTCAAGGATCTGGAACCAGAAATGCCATTTAACCCAGTAATCCCATTACTGGGTATATACCCAAAGATTATATATCATTCTACTATAAAGACACATGCACACGTATGTTTATTGCAGCATTATTTACAATAGCAAAGACTTGGAACCAACCCAAATGCCCATCAATGATAGACTGGTTAAAGAAAATGTGGCACATAAACAACGTGGAATACTATGCAGCCATAAAAAAGGTGAGTTCATGTTCTTTTCAGGGACATGGATGAAGCTGGAAACTATCATTCTCAGCAAACTAACACAGGAACAGAAAACCAAATACTGCATGTTCTCACTCATAAGTGGGAGTTGAACAATGAGAATATATCGACATAGGGAGGGGAACATCACACACTAGGGCCTGTTGGGGGGTGGGGGCTAAGGGGAGGGATAGCATTAGGAGAAATACCTAACATAGATGACGGGTTGATGGGTGCAGCAAACCACCATGGCACATGTATACCTATGTTACAAACCTGCACGTTCTGCTCATGTTCCTAGAATTTAAAGTATATTAAAAAATATGCCAAGTGCTTATTATCAGAATGTTAACAGAAAATATAGACAGAAAAAATAACTTTGTGTATATACTCTGTCATAAACAGCACAATCACCAAATTTTAGTCATACTATGCTCTTAAATCATATCTGATGTTTCTAAATTTTTAAAGTATTGTGCTTCTTTTAAACAAAGATCCATATACAAATGTTGAGACAGCCTGCAGCATTTAAGTTGCAAAAAGATGCTCTAAGTGGAAATTGTGTATAATTTTGAGATAACTAAGCAGTATACCTAGACAATATAACAAGACAAGTTCAGTAGCATAACTCTTAGCGGCAGGTATTATAAATTAGGTAAAAATTACATTCACTTTTAAAGAAACACTGATGAATTCACTAATAAGGGAAAGACATTACACATTATTTTAAACATACTGTTAAACAGACACTATTGTAATGCTGTAATGACATCCCAGTAGGCGGCACATATTACACACCATTTACCGCGGCAAGGAGCATGAGAGCCATTGCACAACTGGCTACAGGAGGATAAAGTGGTAAATCGCAGCATCACTGAAGCATGAATGTAGCCTAATTAACAAAACTGAAGCTTCTACACTCATGCTGTCTTTTCACATGTCTTAATTCACTTGCATGGTCTATGCCTTTGTGTTCAGTAGAATGTTGCTTCTCACTGGCATGCTGCAGTGTTTCTCGTCTACCTGCTGCATTTTGAGTGATATCTTAAGATGCTGTGCATGCAATTATCTTTTGCTCAGTAGTATTCTACTTAAAATCTACCATCTAACTTCTAGCTTCTTCTATTAAAAGCAAGTAGAAATGTCTGACTTCTGGAATCACATTCAAAAATATATTTCTTAATTTCTTGTAGTTATGAGTGTAATTCCGTTTATTTCAACAAAATCCTAGCTAAATTCTTTTCTACAATTTTTAATACCCAAGGATATTAACTTACACTGGAGAGTAATAGAGAAGAAAACAAATGAGGCTTACCTTTCTTGATGACAGGCAAAACTACTCATCTCTGAATACTTCTGTCAGCCTCTCCGTCTTCAAAATATACATCAACTTTTCTCTTCTCTCTCCATTCAGTAGAATGAAAAACTGTTTAGTTTTATATAGCTGCACTGTTGTAAGTCATACAAATAATATTATCTGTATGAAATAGTGAAAGATCAGTTGATAGAACATCTTAAGTCCTGTTGTTTAATTACTGAAACCCGTTTAAATCTTCTGTGGCATAATTTGCTCTTTGAATCATGAGAGAGTGATTGATTACTTTTGGAATGTTACTGATTTTGAAGTTCATTTGATTCCATTTATCTTCATCTCTTATCATGTACAACTTTTGAGGAAGGAACAAATCTGAAGCACAATATATTTATGTGTTTGAATACCATAAAGCCAAAATAAAGCCTCATTAACCAATTCTTTCAGTGGCATTGTCACTGATTTTTGTTTGTGAGCTTCAGTAAAGCAGCCTAAACAACAATGCCAGGTCTCTAGATATGTGGCATGATATAATAAAGTCAAGTGAGTTATTCTTATGCCACAATATCTTATCTACAACATGTAATGATGAACAAAATTCAATGTATTAAACACACCTATGTATATATACAATTCATTACATATGTACCTGATATATTCATCCATAAACAGATGCACTGAGTTATTATTGATGACAGTAAAATGAACACATTTAAATTGTTCAATGTAATAATTTTGATATCTGCATACACTAATGGCACTATGATTATAATCAAAACAATAAATATACCTTAACTTCAAAAGCTTTCTGTGATCCTTAAAGTCCTCTCTGTTGTTTATTTTTCAAGATAGTGGTTCAATTTAAAAAATAAAAAAAATTATGAAATACAGAAGAATAATTGAAATATATTTTCACCAGAGCTCATAACCGATCATTATATCTTTCCTCCACCACCCATTACAGCACTTCAGGCGATGATGCTGCTTGGTTGATTGGGTAATCAAGAAGAGCTTAACCCTGAGGGAGATGAGGCACTAATTTTCTTGCCCTATTGAGGTTTTCATTATTGCAATTGCTAATTCATTGTTATAAGTTGGCAGAGACTCAACAATAAAACCCCTGTGCTCTAGACATATTTCATTTTGTAGCAGGAAGTGTAACTCCTCCAATTAACTTTTTTTTTTTGCTTTTGCCTGTTATTCTGTGGTCATGAGAATTCCAAAGTTGACCATGAGGCAGTCTTAGCTTCTCATTTCATGGAAACCCTACTTTCACATGGTAAAACCATCCCTGCCTAGGAATAAGAGCTCTAGTGCAACAGACCTTCACTTTACCATGATAGGAAGCACAATTCTCCAAGTGAGTCACTGGAAATAGTGAGAAGGGCCGATCTTACTTCCATCTTTTGCTTTGTGAACTCATGTATTCTAGCTATTTAAGATCCAATGCCATATTCTACCATTAGTTTGATGACATAACAGTCCCTGGAAAACAGTAAACGAGATTTGCTAAGTATTGTTGTCAAGCTGAATTCTTATCTTGTGCTTTGACAGTCTATCCTGATATTGTCACCCTCAGATGCTGATGAGGGGTGTGCTATTTGGTGGGACTAGGGGAGCCCATGATCATTCATCCATATTGCAACTCCTTTCCTATTAAATGCCTCCCTTGGTCTGAGGTATGTAACACAAAATCTCCTGTAATTAAATCAGGAGGTCTTCTACTGGTGATGACAGAGATATCATTGACAAGAAGGGAAAACCCATATCAGATATAGGTGGGAGTATGCATAATAATACATTTATAATTTCTCAAAGGTAAATGATTCTACTGAAATGGACTTGACACCAAGTAGTTAGCTGGCCTCCTTAAGACATGCTGGGAAATAGAGAGCAGCATAGGTTTCTGTGGTTGATAAATTAAGAACTCAACACTAGCATGTCCTCTGGGTGAGAGGAAGGCCACACTGCAGTGTCCATACATCACACTCATCCTTGAAATCTTGGAAACTCTGTTCATGGATCCTTCATACAAATTCTATGTGACAAAGAAGAGAGAGTAGCTGACATCCACCTGTTATTTGTGAAATAACTCATTTCAAATGATCCTTTTCCATGGGCATTGATACATGATTCAAAGACCTACATACCTTTTTTCCTACTCTAATTGGTCCAATGCTAATCCTTTCCAGACTGTTTTGACTCCAACATTTAGTCTTGTCCTTTCTAATCCCCTAACTTATGAGCTAAGCCATTCACCACTGTCTGGGAGTCCATACATCTATTCTCATCAGGTCATATACACATATATACAGAATTGAATATCAATAATACAGCTTATTATGAAGTTTTTCTACCATTGATGTTTGTTAGGGTCACTGTTAAGTAAGGCAATAATGTGTCAGTGTTTTTTTTGTTGTTGCTGTTGTTGTAATTAATATATTGAGTCACAATGTTTATGACCTACTCAGAACTTTTGATTCACTCTATTAAATGAAGGTAAATCATACATATAAGAAAGATGTAGACTGAGGAGAGAAAATAGGTCAAAAGAGGTAGATGAGGGGGCCAGGCGTGGTGGCTCATGCCTGTAATCCCAGCACTTTGGGAGGCCGAGGCAGGCGGATCACCAGTTTGAGATCAGCCTGACCAATATGGAGAAACCCTGTCTCTACTAAAAATACAACAACAACAAAAAAATTAGCTGAGCATGGTGGCGCATCTCTATAATCCCAGCTACTTGGGAGGCTGAGGCAGGAGAATCGCTTGAACCCAGGAGGTGGAGGTTGCAGTGAGCCGAGATCATGCCATTGCATTCCAGCCTGGGCAACAAGAGCAAAACTGTGTCTAAAAAGAGGTAGACGAGATGGGAGTTTGAGTAAGCTCTTTGAATAGCTTACTGAATTCTCGGGTGCTGTTTGAATTACACAAAATATATCATTTCCTTCATGTTCTAATTACTAGTATCCCTGCTTATCTAATTATTTTGTGGATCTGACAATACCATACGTCATGGTAACCAAGCTCAGTTACTTAATCTACTTTTAGTCTCTCTGATTCTACTAGGCTCCAGTTACATTTCAGAAACTGTTATTAATTGGTAAATAGTTCTCTGTATCAGAAGATATAACCTTGCTCTAGAATCTTGGTATCTGGGGAAGGTTGTAAACTTTGGCTGTAAATTTCTGTTGATACTCTTCCTTTAAAAAAGTGGAGTTCATTTTTCCACCCATGTGAAATTGGGATGGCTTTGTGGATTGCATAAGCCAGTAAATGTGTTGGAAATAATGCTGTTTCTCATAGTTTGAATTCTCCCGGAAACAGAGCCTGAAATGGAGGCTAGTGTGCGTGATGTTTATTAGGGGATGCGCTTTGTATTAACATCTACATAGACAAGGGGAAGAAAGCAATGTTTAACAGAGGAAGAAGATGACCTGCAAACAACTTACTGTATCTTTAGCCGACCTGCCATGGAGCACTGGAACTAAAATGTCTTTCAGAGTCATCCTTCATTTAGTTAAAATGGCCAAGTCTTTCTTTATGCCCGATTACCATCATTTATTGAATGTGGGTGTCCTTGATGGTAGGTTACCACAGGTGCAGTAAATATCTGTAACTGACACAACTTTTGAAAGTGCTCACATGGGAAAACTTTTTGTTAACAAGATTTCCAACCACAAGGCAACATGTTTTTTGAAGAAGAATATGGACGATATATTCCTATGTCCACCATACCGTATGACTTCTCAGGCTATGCTTTAAAATCTGTTTGCTGGCCGGGCGCGGTGGCTCATGCCTCTAATCCCAGCACTTTGGGAGGCCGAGGCGGGCAAATCACAAGGTCAGGAGATTGAGACCACCCTGGCTAATACGGTGAAACCCCGTCTCTACTAAAAATACAAAAAAATTAGCTAGGCATGGTGGGTGGCGCCTGTAGTCCCAGCTACCCGGGAGGCTGGGGCAGGAGAATGGCGTGAACCCGGGAGGTGGAACTTGTAGTGAGCCGAGATCGCGCCACTGCACTCCAGCCTGGGAGACAGTGAGACTCTGTCTCAAAAAAAAAAAAAAAAAAAAAAAAAAAAATCTGTTTGCCTCCTTCTTTTTAATTCTTTTGTAACACTCTTTCATTTATTATTATTTTTAAATTTTCTGTATTTTATGATTCTTTAGCATGTTGGGGCCTTGTAGACCTTGGGAAAGGCTGATTCCCCCAGAATTAGCTTTTTCCTGGACATAGCAAACAACTTACCTGTGAATATGCCTTTGATATGCAAACCAACCGAATCTGAGTTCATAAACTCCATCATCTGCTTTATCAGGCTCTTGCCATCCAGGGACAATATCTCCCTGCCCTAAATCAGTCCAGCACCAAGTACTAGGCAACGAGGGACCACCCTTATAATCCAGAGCCCACCAAAATTATTCAGTGTCAAATTCTAAGCCTACTTACCATTCCTCACCCTTTCCTTCCCAAAATAACCACAATACAGGTTTTCAGCCATGTTCTTCATTTGCTTTTTCAGACTCCTAACTGACCCTGGTGCCTCTCCATGCGGCCTGCATGGTGTGGTATTCCCCATTCTTTTGGAAACAGTGAGTTACAAATTGCCTTTTTTTTTTCTTTTTTCTTTTAGACAGAGTTTCACTCTTGCCGTTCAGGCTGGAGTGCAATGGCATGATCTCGCCTCACTGCAACCTCTGCACCCCAGGTTCAAGCAATTCTCCTCCCTCAGCCTCCCAAGTAGCTAGAATTACAGGTGCCCACCACCATGCCCGGCTAATTTTTGTGTGTGTGTGTATATATATATATATATATATATATATAGTAGAGATGGGGTTTCACCATGTTGGCCAGGCTGGTCTCAACTCCAGACCTCAGGTGTCCCCCTGCCTAGGCCTCCCAAAGTGCTAGGATTACAAGCATGAGCCACCATGCCTGTCCACAATTGCCATTTTAATTACAGTAATCTCCTGATCTGTTGGCCTCACCATACCTAAATAAAGTAAATTCTCATGTACCTTTTAAAATAACTCTCTCTTCAAAGCCATCAACTTTTTGCAGAAGGATAAGCAAAATTATTGGATGATGAGAGACCATGTGCAATGAGAAAGGCTCCATGAACAGAACTGAAGCTATACAGTCAATAGCCTGTACTAAAGCCCCATACATGTGAGAAGGATCTCCTGGGACATTTCAGCCCAGCTGAACTCCCAGATGAAGGCAGTCCCACAGTCATCACAGCCAACACTGTATCTGCCAGCCAATCCTCAGAAGCATGAAAAGTAATAAACCTGTTTTCAAGAAACTGTTTGTGATGATTTGTCATGTCACAATAAATTATTACTCACCATAAACAAATAATCAGAAATTAGTGCCACAGGTAGTGGGCTGTTGTAACAAAACCTGTAATATTTGGCACTGGCTTTTGGAAGTGCTAATAAGTAAGAACATTAAAAAGGATAAGGAAGCCGTAATTGAAAACTAGAGTAATAGTAAACTAATGGTTGGTGGAGGGTGGAGCAGGCAAAAAGAAATTGCTATTTGACACTGGGATAACTGGGAGAAAAGAAGACACATGTTACATGACATCATTACCTACTGTAGCACAGAAGATGGGAAATGTATTAAATGAACTTATTATATATGAAGATATGTTCAAGTAGGATATTAAAAATGCTGATTGGTTTCTTCTATTAATTGGCAGAGATAAAGATAAACTGAACATTTTACATTTTCAAGCAGAATCTAGAAGACAATTTTGTAATGCAGAACTTGCTGGCTTGCAAAATAAAACTTTATCATCCTCAACTTCTTCAGCTGGGAAATGGTTGACAAATTAAGAAGTGATCTCAGGCAAAATTGAATTTCACCTAACTGGTCTCAGAACACTCGAGAAGCCGAGGCAGGTACTGGCTGAAAGGCTTTATGAACGTAGATATGGAATGCCTTCATATGCTACTGGTTTTTCTTTTTCCTTGACTGATTATAGACTTGGTTTGGAAATTCTATAGACTAAGATAACACAATTTTGAAAAGTGAAATGGGACATTAATTTATAGCAAAAAAAAAATTCTACCTTTACATCCTCAGAGAACTTCTATGAGTGAATTTCTCCCTCTCCACCTCTTTCTATCTGCTAAGGCAAGGGTAAGTGATCTGATTGGGGTATGCATGACCCATGGATGTAGAACATCTATCTATCTCACACTCCAGCAGGAGCTTATGGCCTTTTTGTCTGCCTGCCTTGTGTGTTGACATGGTTTGGCTGTGTCCCCACCCAAATCTCATCTTGAATTGTAGCTCCCATTATCCCCAATTGTCATGGGAGGGACTTGGTGTGAGGTAATTGAATCATGGTGAAGGGTTTTTCCCATGTTGTTCTCACGATAGTGAATAAGTCTCATGAGATCTGATGGTTTTATAAAGGGCAGTTTCCCTGCACACACTCTCTTGCCTGCCACCATGTAAGATGAGCCTTTGCTCTTCCTTTGCCTTCCACCATGATTGTGAGGCCTCCTCAACCACGAGGAACGGTGAGTCTGCTAAACCTCTTTTTCTTTATAAATTACCCAGTCTTGGGCATTTCTTCATATCAGTATGAGAATGGACTAATACATGTGTTTATAAGAAAGGTCCAGGTTTTCTTTTCCTATGAGAATTTCTTCATAAGGGTGAGACTGGGAAGCAGGGAGCCATTCCAGATTCTCTGCCTATAATTGAGAAATAAGGTCGCCCCATTGTCCAGGCTCTATTCCATTTAGTTTAGATGGCAAGAGGTACCATCATAATTTCAAACTAACTGATATCAGAGTTTCTGCGTGCATGTTTCATATAGCTCCCTTTAGCTAATCACAGATTCCTTATTTACTATTGGCTTGAATTATGAATAGATAAATGCCAGAATTTAGAAAGCAAACCTCACACTACTATGGCTCACAAAATCTTGACATAATCTGCTATTTACTTTGAAAAGAGCAAGATGGGAATCAAACTATGTTAATTGTGTATGTGTGTTCCATTATTTCATATTAATTTGCTAAATTATTCATTTTATCCTCCTTTGACATTCTAAATGCCATTAGGTTTGGTTTAGCTGGAGTAAGTCATCACTTTGGTTCACAGATCTGGATATTAATATCTTATCTCATAGGTTATTTGGTAAAAGTTATATATTTTTTTCACTGAACATTTATCCCTTTTTAATTTTAATGTCATTCTCTTTCAGAACATGTATGTCCCCATGTAGTTTATTAATCAATACAGGGATTTCAAAAAAAAATGATGGGTGACAAGAGTAAGGAAAGGATATATTCTTCAGGATTCTTCAGAGAACCAGAACCAATAGGATACATATGGATGCATATAAGAAGATTTTTATTGTGGAAATTGACTCACACAATTATGGAAGCTGTGAAGTTCCCTGATATGACATCTGCAAGCTGGAGAATCAGGAAAGCTGGTGGTATAATTGAGTCTGGTTCTGAATACCTGAGAACCAGGGAAGCCAACAAGAAAAATCACAATATGAGGCCAAAGGCCTGAAAAATAGGGAAGTGAGGATATCACTGGTATAAGTCCTAGAGTCTGAAAGCCCAAGTACCAGGGGTGCTGA
The DNA here is from genome assembly GCF_000001405.40 of Homo sapiens. Taxonomy (NCBI): domain Eukaryota; kingdom Metazoa; phylum Chordata; class Mammalia; order Primates; family Hominidae; genus Homo; species Homo sapiens. Next base: position 24,569,560 of record NC_000021.9, read on the forward strand.
TGTCCAAGGGCAGGAGAAGATAGATGCTCCAGCTCAAGGAGACAGAGAGATTAAGAACTCGCCCTTCTTCCACTTTTTTGGTTCTACTTGAGCCCTTCATAAATTGGATGATGTCTGAGTTCACTGGTGAAGGCAGATCTTCCTCAGTGTATGGATTCAAAAGCTAATCTCTTCTGGAAGCACTCTCTCAGACACATGCAGAAATAGTATTTTATTAGCTGTCTGGGCATTCCTCAATCCAATCAAGTTGACACCTAAAATTAACCACCACAGAGAAGGAGAAGAAAGCTTGAGGGAGAGGGGAAGATTTGATAAGAAGGACAAATGCCAATGCTTAGCAGTGAGTTATTGATTACAGATTCGTGGCTGCTGCAGAAAAGTTGTATTGGAAATGGCTCCAAGTACATAGTGCCCCACTTACCCTATAATCTTCCAGATACTTTTTCAAGTAAGAAGATATGAGCAGAACCCTTTACAATTTTGCTCTTCTTTCTTTCAAAAGCATTTGACCATGTGATTCTGTGTTTTCTCTTTGACTTAATTCAAATTATAACTCTAGATATTTTTAGTATTAAGAATTTGAGTTTAAAATACTTTCCTAAATTTGATAAAGGTAATGTTTCTCATTTGATCCATCATTTTCATTAAGTTAATTTAAGTATTAGAAAAGGGTGTGATTCTAGTTAAAGAATTTGAATCCAACACTTAATCATAGTATACACAAATGAGTTAAATAAGAAGGATGACCTATGAATGAATAAGGCAGTGAAAGTTGATTTACAGATAATTGTTATTAATAAAATATTCAATAACTTTAATTTTGTGCAGAAGTAATATTTATAAGTCATATAAATTTCATTCTGCATAGGTATCAATTCTTTATTTTTTAAAAAATCTGGACTAATCAAATTTTGTGTTTTGTAATGAAATAGACATCTTACAATATTTTTAATGGAAGGAATTATACAGAAGTGTAATAATTAAATGCAGAAGTAACTATTAATTATTTTATGATATAATCCTGCAAGAATTTCCTGTTTCTTGAGAAATTATTGTGCCTAAAACTAAAAAGTTGAATTAATTTTTTTAAGTTAAGGATAACTACTATAATCAAGATTTCCATATACTCACTTTTATACAACATAGTTTTTTTTCTTACTTGTAAGTAGAAATGCATTTAGCTTTAACCATCCCAGGAATCTAATTTGGTTTCTTTTTGTTAGAATTTCTTATTTTCTTTTTTAGCAATGAATACACTAGGGTTAGGCATTTGCCTTGATTAGAGCATTTTAAATATGTAAATGCTGAGTAAAAACAAGCAAGATGTTAAAGCAAGATGCTTACAACAAATTTCAATCACCCAAAATATCTCAGATATACAATAGACTATATTATAATCTTGGGTATACTATTAGGAGATAAATTATGCTTCATTTCCCTAATTAATTGCATTACATTGATACAAAATGCCAAACACTAAATAGTAAATATTAAGACAGCATTTGTAAGTAGTTTAAAGTAATTTAAACTTAATTAAATTGAAATGGCACTCAAAGAACACAATTATTCTGTTCATTGTGACATTTAAATGGTAATACTCACTATAAAAGTGATAAGTTAGATGAATGTTTCCCAACTAAATCATGTTTTTAAATTTTAAATAGACCTATAAGCATTCAAAATGAAGATTATATTTGTAATTATCCATTTCAACTTCTTTGTGTTATTTTTTCCTCATTTTTGAAAATGAGTGATATGTTCCCACATTTGTTGCAAGGATCTCAAAATAAATACTTTTAAATTATTTGAATAGATATAAATTTTATCTTAGCACTTGCTGAACACACTCTATCATTCAATTTAACTCTCTCAATCTTAAAGATATGTAAAGTGAGGGCACTCAACAGATTTCCTAAATACGAATTACAAATGTTGTAATTCATGTTAATTCACAAATATTAATTCATGTTAAATTAAAAATTCTGAAGTTATAAAATTATTTTATCCTACAAAAAATTCTACATAACAAAAAAATAACCTGCATTGAGTTATTGCTTTTACTCCTAATATTCCTTCTAAATAAGCTGAACCCAAGCATAGTAAGGGACTCAGAGGAAAAACATAAAGGTTGGGTGCAAACAACTAAAGTGAGTCTCCAGGATCAAAATTTCCAGATATTCCCAACACGAAGTGCTTCCCAGGCTGTAATGCTAACTGCTATGTGCTGAATTATTCCCACCTTTCAAATTCATATGTTAGTCCTAACCCTTAGGACCTCAGAATGTGACTATATTTGGAGATAGGGTCTTTAATTAGGTAACTAAATTAAAATGAGGTTATTAGTGTAAGCCTTAATTCAGTAGGACTGGTGTCCTTATAAGAAGAGAAAAATAGGACACAGACTGATACAGAGGGAAGATCACATGAAGAAAAGAAGGAGACAGCCATCTTACAGCCAAGGAGGGAGGACTTAGTGGAAATCAACCCTGCTGATGCCTTGATCTTAGGCTTCCAGCCTACAGAACTGTGAAAAAATAAAGTTCTGTTGCTTAAGCCACTTAATCAGTTATGTTTTGTTAAGAAAGGTTGAGAAAACTAATACAATAATGCATAAAAAAACTAGATAATATAGACAATTGATTACAGTATTATCTGTAAGGAATCCAGCCAAAGTCAGAGGGGTAATACCAGGATACTACATCCTCAGAAACTACCAGGTAGGGTGATTTGAATCCAGCTCTACATAATTGAAATGTGTTCACTAATGAAATAAATATTATATATCATTTATATACACCTACATTGTACATACACACATGCACACATGTATGCAAATACATAATTTTATACACAAAAGTAATACATAATATGTATATATTTATATGTATTTTGTTTATAGTTCATTTATATTTTTCAAATATATATTAAAATACAAACTTCCTTTTTTTACCCAATTCTACATTCTCTTTATTTTTTTCACAGGATCTTGATTATTTCCAATATTTTTCCTGAATTTATTAGCTTTACATAGTCTATCACTATGAACAAACCTTGATATCTTTCTCCCTTCCATTTCAATAATCATCCTTATAAGCAATTCCGCCATCTCAATACTTTTCTGTTTTTTTCTTATATCGGCATTTTGAATTATCGAAACATTACTTGTTTTCCACAAACTGTGATGTAAGCTTTCTTCTTTTCTCTCTTTTTAAATTTCTTTTAAAAAGGATATCTACTTTAAAACTTTTAATAGTATAATTTTCCCTCAACTCTTCATTTTAATGAAACACTGCAAGATAACACTTTTAAGAGCGAATCCTACATTTTTAAGCAAAACTATTTTAAAAAATATAAAATCTCATCCATTTTATTCAGACTTTAAGTTCACGGCCAACGGAACCATTTTTTTTTTTTTCATATTTGACTACTGTAGATGAATCTGTGAGAAAAACCTGAAGCCATGGTCAAAAAAACAGTTATCCAATATGGCAGAAGTTTGGAGATAAACTGAAGAACGAAAGCTAAGATTTCCTGAGACAGACAGGACTGTTTCTCACTGAAGATGAATACAGTGTTAACATATCCTAGGAGAAACAGGCATTTGGAAAATATTTATCTTTAACTGTTCAGTATTTTGATGCATACATAGGACCCAAACAGCAAATACACAGACAAGTAATTAGCCATGAGTTAGACAGGGATCTTAGAAATTCATCATTGTGCTGAACAGGTGGAAAACATTTAAAATTGTTTAGAGACACTCGACTACTGCATCCCGTGACACACGAGTTTGTGACTGTCTTCGTGTCCTAAATTGATTTTAATTTCAACTCTTATGTGGAAACGTACTGCATAAAAACATTAATTCTCTCTATAAAGAATAGTTAGTGAAGAATATTCTTAAAACATCCACAATTTTCTAAGCAATGCCTTAAGCTCAGCATTATAGTCATCAATGGAAGTACTTATATAATTTCAAATTTTTATTTAAAAATAAGCAGAAATAATATGATTTCAAAAATCAATTTTGTTCTGCCATTAAATGTCTGATTGTTAATTAGTACCATTTAAATGTGACTTGGTGTATATTCTGTTTGTATCTGCAATCAAATAATTTAATTATCTTCTAAATACTTGTGGGGTTTTTTTTACTACCAATTCTAATGGCAAAAAATGTAATTTTCCTTGAGAAAGTTTGTAATAAACTGGAATATATTCATAATTCTAGAAGAACTAAAAGACCTTTTAAAAACATTCTATTAATGCTAACTATAAAATGTTTACCTTTAAAAACATGGAAATTCGAAATTACATTTGGAAAAGTTATTATTGTTAAAGGAAGCAAATTTTTCAGGTAGTTGAGTCACCTTGACAAGGATCATTATTACATCATTTAAAGTAGAAAAAATTATCTGAGCTTTTTAAAATAAAAACAATTATTTGCTATTTTTACTAAAACATTGTGCAGTCATGATACCATATACCAGTTCCATACTCAAAATATGTAAAAATTATATATAAGGTTTGCTGTGCCTATCATTAAGTCATTTTTGCTTCGCTCCATTTCACTCCTGTCAGTCTGTAAGAAGCTTTAGTTATGCTCAACATATGTGAAAATCAAGTTTGGAATAATTATTCATGTCTATGTTTTTATTCTCTACTAAGCATTATATATGTTATATTACTTCATACATACAACACATGTAGCATGGGCAATTTTCTTACTTGTACCCCTTGTGAAGACTAATGCCAATCAAATCCCCAACCCATACTATGGTTAAATGCTTTCCATTAAAACCAACTGGGAGTAGAGCACAAACAATAATGTCACTGCTTTACGTTTGTGTCTCATTTCCCATCTACTTTATTCTGCCACAAACACATTCCTGTTAAGCCAACCAATCAAGATCTACAGGAAAAAAGTATAATTTATGTATTACAGGCAGCCACCAAGAATCCTCCTCACCCTTTAAAACAATAACTTTGAACGAAATATATATACACTAATGATCCACTGCCTATACATTAAACATAATGTCTTATAATTAAATATTCTCCTTTATATTTTTTATGAAATCCGAGCGAGGACAAATATCTTGACAAAGGCTACTGATCATAGCATCAGTTCTGTGCCTTACTGCATGACGAGTTGGTCTGTTATAAAATTATTTCTACTGAAATCAACTGCTTAAATGACCTTACCTCCAAGACAGTTCTGCCATTTATGTAAAACCATTTATATCTAAAAATTCCAACTGGGATCGAAAATAGCAATTTAACTGGATTGTCTCCCTTTCATTCTTTAAAATACTCTAGTGTCATCATGAAAATTACAATTACGTTTAAGCCATTTTTATTATCACTATCTTTTTTAGTAAGTAGTGACAAATCGAAAGCACTCACAGGAAATTGAAATGCTAAAATGAATTGAAGAGTAAGCCAATGCATTTTAAGAAAATGCTAACACAGAGAGAAATAAATCCCTTTTCTAAAAGAAGGATAGTGAATAAATTACATTGCCTTTATATTGGCTTTCAGATTGGCTTTTTAGTCTCTCACATATCCTTTTAGAGAATAATATAACATATAAAATTCAGCTGCATTTCTTTTTATCATTTTAACTTGAGCAAAAATAACTGCTAGTCATTATCATTTTAATTTTCATAAAATTAACCATTATGTTTCCTCAAGATAAAGTGGCAGTAAATTATTAGAATAGTGCTCCTTTCATGATAAAATTACTCTATTTAATTGTTTAGGTTTAAAAGTTCATCATCTTTATCAAAGGGTCTCTTGTAGTAAAAGTTAAAGCAAACCTTAATTAATAGTTAATCTTTTCTGTGATTATGAAAAAATGCTCCTATTCATATTTAAATTATAGTTACTTAATGAAAACATTAAGATTTTAATTCTGATTCTTTTTGGCTTGAGGTCAGGACAAAATATCTGTGGAGTGGAGAGAATATGGCAACTTTTGAGCTATATTGGTGGCATGACCTCTCATTATTCTCAATATAAAATAATCATGCCATTATCTTCTCACTTTATGTACTACTGAAATAACTCATTGATAAACAAATGTAAAATAAACCTTATGACCTCAAGTCTCATACTTATTATTTGTATTAAATTTATATTATGGTCAAAATTCCCTTAAAACCTCTCTTCTATTGCAAAGGCTTTGAAAGGTGTTGATTTATCCGAGCCAACCTATAGGACAAATGATCCAGGCTTGGATACGTTGATGGATAACAACCAGTCAGAATCCTCATTATTAACGATCTACTCCTATCGGTAAGTTTTATGAGCCTCCTGTTATCATATGGAACGAACTTTTTGCAGTAGATGAACATGAGGAAAAGGGACAGAGAGAGGCTGTTGGATGAAAAAAAAACGAAGATTAAAAACTCTGACAATATTGCCAAGGCTCTGTATCCAACCATTTCTGAAACTAATTTATATATTTGTTACCTTAGAATTGTATTGTGTTATTTATTATTATTTTCTTTTTATGCCTGAAATGTTTAATAGTCTGATAGCATTTAACATAATCTATATTAGATTTTACTGTGTGCTTTGCAAATGATTTTGCTATGGTTTAAATGTCTTCTCCAAAAATCATGTTAAAACTTAATTGTCATTGTAACAGTGTTGAGAAGCATGACCTTTAAGAGGTCATTTAGTCATAAGGCTCTGCCCTCAAATGGATTAATGCTGTCATGGGGAGAGTGGGTTCCTGATGAAAGGCAGGAGGCAGAGGTCTGGGGGAAAATGCCGTGGTTCTCATGTCCCCTTCAAAATTCATATTACAAGTTAATTGACATCAGAACAGTGTTGAGAGGTGGTACCTTTAGGAGATGATTAAGTCATGAAGGCTCTGCCCTATAAATGGATTAATGTGATATCACCAAAGTAGATTAGTTATGTCAGGAGTGAGTTACTGTTGAAAGGATGAAGTGCATTTGCTTGCCTTCTGCTATGAGAAGCCACAGCATGAAGGCCCTTTCAAGACTCCAGCATCTTGATATTAGACTTTCCATCCTCCAAAACTGTGAGAAATAAATTTATTTTCTTTATAAATTACTTAGCCTGTGGTATTCTGTTATGGCAGCAGAAAACAAATTAGAACAGATATAAACAAAACTACAAAAATTTATCATTTTCAATTCAAACAGTGAAATTGTTCACAGATGGTGATACTTGACATAGGCTTTTTCAAGTGACAGACCCTATAAACATGAACATAGTTGATTCAACATAAGAACTAAGATGGACAGCCTTTCTTTCTCAAGAGGAATTGTTGAAAATCCTTTATGTGCTGAAGATAAGCCACTAATTAAACTGCTACTTTCTGGGCTTTGGGAGTTATAGTTAGGTAAACAAGACTTAAGGAACTATGATAGAGAACTGTGAATGTTGATGTGGGCTGGCTACTTCTTGTAGTCTTCAGTAACATGAAAAAGAAAGAATTCCACAGTCCAACTATGAAAAATAGTCAGGTAAACAGTTGAAATTCATTTTAATTAAGTGTCATAGAAGTACATTTCTGAACATTAATGGTGAGAATTCTGCTTCTTACCATGTTATTTCTACTCCCGTTTTCAATCGTTTCAACTCTTAATACAACAGGAACCCTAAAATGTGATTATTGTTTCAGTGTCCTTAAAAATTAAGAAAGAAAGCAACTCTATTCTTTATACATATAAAAACTAGCATTATTAAGTTTTTTTTCCAACTCACAGGATAAATACAATTCAATGACTGTATAACCAGATATAAGAAACACAAAAGTTTAAATAAAAGTTCTTCAGTGGAAAACAAAAATAGTATTACACTATGTATTTTTAGAATCTAAGAACTGACTTCAGCATTGACATATTTGTGGCTTAATACTTCCTAAATTTTATCTCAGTAACAGCTGTCTTTGAATTCTGGCAGAATATAACAGTATGAATGGACATTAAGATCATAGGTCCTTTTCGTAATGAAGTGATGAATTGCCTTATTTCTTTTTACTTCCTTCTTCAGTATATCACTTTCAGTAAAAGTTGAAGACTATAATAAATTGACATCGTATTTCCAAACCCTCTTCTTTATACTGAAGGTCATTTGGTTATGAGTTTGCTAGTAATTTCCAATAAGAGGCTATTGTCTAGATAATACTTAAATTTGTCATAGAGCTTTATTAGAGGTTGAATTAATGTTAATTATGCACAAAACACATGGCAGCTTTGAAATACACTTTTAAAAAATTAAGAATTGCATTATTTAAGGCATGAGTTTATTGTAGTTAAGTATACATTTTAATTTAATATTAAATATTCTGTGCAGCCATAAAAAGGAAAGTGATCATATCCTTTGCAGGGACGTGGATGGAGCTGGAAGCCAATATCCTCAGCAAGCTAACATAGAAACAGAAAACCAAACACTGCATGTTCTCATTTATAAGTGAGCGCTGAACAATGAGAACACAGGGAAGGGAACTACACACACTGGGACTTGTTAAGGAGGCAGGGGGAGGGAGAACATCAGAAAAAATAGCTAATGCATGCAGGGCTTAATACCTAGGTGACGGGTTGATAGGTGCAGCAAACCACCACGGCACATGTATAATTATGTAACAAACCTGCACGTCCTGCACATGTATCCTGGAAGTTAAAATAGAATTAAATTAAATTTAAAAAAATTCTGAAGTATGTAAGTAATATGCAGTTTAACTGGATCACATCTGAAGTTTTAAAAAAGTTTGAATCACGATGAATACTGAATTATCTTTAGAAAATGAGAATAACTATCTAAAATATATTTTAAAAAGTTAAAAAGTTAACAAACTTGCATAAAATTACAGGTCCGTACATTTAGCAAATCCACTTACACAAGTAGTGGTTGCTGTCTCTCTCCCAACCACTCCAAACCAGCAAGGCCTTAATACAAGAATGAGACTCTGAAAACAAGCAAGGATTTTAATCTTGACTCCATCACGAAATAGCTGTGTGAACATGGGCAAACTGCTTTACTTCTGTAAGCAGCTTTGTCTGAATATTGGTAATATGATTAGGAAGAATAAATGAGATAGATCACATAAAGAAAGCCATTTTTACTTTGCCTTGGCCCAGTATGTACCCCTACATATTTGCTGTTCTAGTTTCTAATATGATTATTATTATAGTTACTGTTATAAATATACACCCATTACTAAACAAACCTAAAATACATACATTCCAGTGATATACCACTGATTTTCAATTTTGGTAAAGGTATGTTTATTAAATATATGATTTCATGAAGCCATCTGCAGTTTATGGATTGCTTACTAATATTACTCTGTTAGTTAAGGTTCAATGCCCTTTTCAAATTTACATGTTCAAAATCAGAAATATTTGTAAATATATATGAAATCATGTATAAGGAAAAAGACTTAAAATGTGTTTGGAATCCTGACTTTACCACTTCCTAGCTATGTGAGCTTAAGCAATCACCTGAATTCTTTGAGCTTGGGGCACCCTACACACTACCTACACCTGAGTGTAGAGATGACAGGCATTCCTTTTTTGTTTGTTTGTTTTCAGAAACCCTGTTTAGATAAGTAATCTGAGTGCTTCAAACCCAGCATACCTACCACCCTGTGGCAGCCCAGTCTTGCACTATTCGATGCATGAAATGGCACACTGCTCATTGAGAGTGATCAGTTTGCCAGGCTGCTCTCCGGAAATCAGGGACCAGTCATCAGGCCCTGGGATACCCCTAGAGGCATGAATCTCAAAGCTTATGAGAGCATCTGAGATGAGTTGAGAGAGGATGTGCGGGAGTCAGAGTGCCTGAAGGAGAGACATGAAGACTGGAGACTGGGCCCACACAGGAATCAGCCTGGGCTCAGGACTCTCTACCCACAAAATACCCTGGTCTTCAACTCTGTCAGGTACCAAAAAGGACCTTAAATTGTTTGCAAGAAGACACTCATAAATATGGAATTCTGTGAGGTTTGCAGCCCAAAGTAGGAATCTTGTTGTCTCAGATATGTGATCAGTAATGCTCCTCAGCTATAAAATGATAAATTAATATCTCATTGAATAGTACATAATTGTGGGTTTCAAAGATACTGTCTGCATAATGCTCCACACGGCTCCTGACATACAGCTGTATAGTGATAAGAAGAAATAGTTTCAAAACATGAAGCTATTTCAAGAATCAAAAGTAGAAGCCAGATCACAAGTTCACAAATCTTGTATATTATCTCTTGCTTAACTACAGCCCTGTACTGATTTATTTATAAAGAGCTCTAATGGGGTCGGGCTCAGTAGCTCTCTCCTGTAATCCCAGCACTTTGGGAGGCAGAGGCGGGCGGATCAAGAGGTCAGGAGATTAAGACCATCCTGGCTAACAGGGTGAAACCCCGTCTCTACTAGAAATACAAAAAAAGTAGCCAGGCATGGTGGCGGGTGCCTGTAGTCCCAGCTACTGGGGAGGCTGAGGCAGGAGAATGGCGTGAATCCCGGAGGCGGAGCTTGCAGTGAGCCTAGATCGAGCCACTGCACTCCAGCCTGGGCGACAGAGCCAGACTCTGTCTCAAAAAAAAAAAAAAAAAAAAAGAGCCCTAATGGTTGAAAACTCCCCATGGACTCTGTCAATACCCAAATACATTTAAAAAAAAATAAACTCCAAATATTCTTCTGAAAAAAAAGAAAAACTTGAGAATTTGGAAATCGTAAGTCATTAGTTCTTGAACTGATGTGTGCCCGAATCATCTGAAGAGATTGTTAAAACATAGATTGTTAGGACGTAATTCCAGAGTTTCTTTTCTGTAGGTGGGACTGAAATTTCTAGCAAGTCATTAAGTGATTCTGATGCTGCTGGTACAGGCATCACACTATTAGGAATTATTCTGATGATTGTACCATGGCTCTGAACTGTCTTTTCTGTTTGTTAGGTCAAGTCTAAATTTATATTCTATTCAAGGAATTTAGGAAAGGCATATGCCCACATAGCAGACCTCCAAAATGTTTTAGAAGGTAATCGTCTCTGGCCCCTGCTCATCATCATTCTTATTCTATTGCTTTTATTTCCAGTATATATTTGTTGTTATATAACATTTCATGCACACAAAACCAAATGTTACCATTATTCCTCTTTCTTGAATTAGATTGACTATAAAAAGGGCATGATAGCTGAAGGAGATCAATTCATCAGGAGAATATGACTCTTAAATTTATTTATTTAACTCACTGTTTTGGGAGTTCTGAAGCATTTGTTGACCTTTCTCTCTCATAACTTCACTTATATTATCATCATTTTATTATATGTCCTTTTATTAATTTTGTGATATAGTTTGAATAGTATCCACACCCAAATGTCATGTTGAATCATAATCCACTGAATTGAAGTTGGTGCCTGGGGAGATGATTAAATCATGGGGGTGGGTTTCTTATGAATAAATTAGCACCATTCTCTTGGTGCTGTCCTCGTGCTAGTGAGTGACTTTCATGAGATCTGGCTATTTAAATGTGTGTAGCATTTCGCGCTCTCTCTCTTGCTCCTGTTTTCACCACGCAACATACCTGTTCTCTCTTTGCCTTCCACCATGATTGGAAGTTTCCTGAGGCGTCCTCAGAAGCAGATGCCACTATGCTTCCTGTACAGCCTTCAGAACTGTAAGCCAGTAAAACTTCTTATAAATTACCCAGCCTCAAATGTTTGTTTATTGCAATGCAAGAATGGCCTAATACATTTTATAATCATAAGTAAATAAATATAAGTAAGACTACTATGAAATATTTTCAAATAAAATAACTTTTCCACTAACATTGTGACAAACATTTGGGATCATAGATGTTTTTAAGCCAATATATTCCATTTCTGTATGTGTCATGCTACAAGCATATTTTACTTAAATGCCAAATAAATATGCACATGTTACCAATCATGAGATTTGGGGAGGGGGTAGTTAAGTAATAAGTTGAAAATACTATAATGATTTTGTGGTGATATTTTATATAAAAATATTTTTCTTGAGAACAAGAATAGTTGGATTATTTTAAAACAAAATGAAACAAAACCTTGGTATTTCTTATAACAAACGAAATTTGAGACAACATTTTATGCTGGGCATGGTGGCTCACACCTGCAATCCCAGCACTTCGGGAAGCCAAGGTGAAAAGATTGCTTGCATTCAGGAGTTCGACATCAACCTGGGCAACATGGCAAAATCCATCTCTACAAAAAATACAAAAATTAGCCTAGCAGATGGTGCGTGCCTGTGTACTAGCCACTCGGGAGAGAGGCTGAGTTGGGAGGATGGCTTGAGCCCAGGAGGCTTGAGCCTGGGAGGCAGAGGTTGCAGTGAGCCCAGATCTTGCCACTGCACCCCAGTCTGGGCAACAGAATGAAACCCTGTCTCAATCAACAACAACAACAAAAACTCATTTTATTTAATAACTTTGTTACAGAATTAAAATACTCAGTGGATATTTGGGGATGCCTTTCTAATTGTCTGTTCCCTTTTCCCTTCTCCCAGATCTCCAGATTCTTTTTGAGGTTCATGTGAGTCTGGAATATTGATAACCATCCATCACACACCAGCTTTGAGTATGTAGTTAACTAAGCCAAATCACCATACTTCTTCCTTCTGGCTATATGAACTGTATCCTGACTCAACAAACATTTTAAATTAATCCAAACATAGTGCCTCTCAGGGTTTTTGTTAGCAATGCTATAAATGACAGTCTTTCTTGCATGGTATAAAGGTGAACGCATATAACCTGAGATCTGCTTGTTATGATTTTTCCATCAAAAGGAAAGCCACTCTGAAGGTGAAGCCAATTGTAGAGAGTAGCAATCAGAAATTAGGTCTAGTGCAATAGTACTGAATCACGGGACAGAGACTTACTTGAAGCTAACCTCTATTTGTAACATTATGAGAGCCAAGATACTCTTTATTGGTTTAATTTGCTTGATATTACTTGCAAATTAAAAGATATTTTATGAAACGTTATACGTGACAGTATAACAAATAATATAGATCTTGAAAATTCAAAGTGTGTTCTATATAAAGTCTAACTATATGTATATATTTATTTAATAAGAAATTACATACATAAAAGTAAACTGTGCATATTTGCTGCATTTAGAAAATATATCTGAAATTCAAGTCTTTCCACATGAAAACTTCTAAAATTATTTGGATTGGCTTGTGTAATCGAAGTCAAATAGAAAAGCACAGTTAACATAAACTTTCAAAATAAAAACAATGTAGAATCTGTGTAAAATTATCAGGGACCTAAATGTGAGATTATATGCTTATTTTTCACTTTGAAGATTTTAAAAGACATCACATTTCATTAACTGTCTGAAAAGGAGTGCACAAAAATTAATTTGGAGTAGATGTTCCTCCTTGCTATTAGCTAACTGAAGGTTTTGCATCAAGACGCTGAGATGATATCTTTAAACCAGATACTTTTTGATTAACTAATTTCTTAGAGGTTTAATAGATAATCCAGTAAAGTAGCTGCTAAGATTCAGTATGCCAAAAGAATCTAATGGGAGATTCTGGTAAAAATTCAAATTTTTGGTTCCATGTCCTTAGAAATTTTAAAAAAGAATGTCTGTAGTTCTCTCATGAAATTTGTAAAAGCAGCTTAGATATTTTAAATGCAATTTTTCTGGAGGACCATAATCTGAGAGACATGGATCTAGAAGAGCAAATAGATAACATGCTGATTATTTTAGCAGATCTGTATGCCAGGGTTCATTCCATCAACTTACAATCTAATTTCATTTATTTGCAGATATAAATATACGTACACATAAAAAGAAGGATACAGTAAAAAGTCATGGCAAACACTTCAGTCCTTCTCCACAGATACAATCATTATTGATAAATTTCTGTGTACATTTTGGAAACCTGCTATGCATATAAACTCAACACTCACTTTTGTAAGTGATCATGAAACTACATCAGGGTGAAACATTCTTATTCTTAAGATGAAGGCAGAAATAAACTAGCAGCATGCCTTTGACTCCAGGATACACTCACCAACCTGACATCTGTAACAGTAGCCATTTCCTCTCAATTATAATTAGCAATATTCATTGCTTCACTGAACAGAGTTCCCAACTAATCATGACTGACTACATTTAAAATACCAGTTTCTAGAATGGAAACTTAGATTGATATTTGAAATGTCAGCTTCTATTTGAAGAAATGATAGCTGACAAATACAAGTAATGCATGGAGAGTAGATGATGAAAATTATTTAAATATATACAGTAGAAAAGAGATAATGACTCCTTTTGCTATATGCACTAGATAGCATTAGGAGGTGAACTAATAGAAAAGTTTTTAATTTTTTTCTTATCTTCTCATGATTAATAGTGGATTCATTCTAAAGAAGCTAAGGAAGCACTTGTCAGAAAGTTGGTAGAACCAGCTCTTAAAATCGACTTTGAACCTTGCCAGTCATGTCATCGTGACCAAGCCACTTAAATGGGTAGTTCTATAGCATCCTTACCTACAAAATAAAACTAATCATCACTGACACAATTTCTAGCTAAAAACTTGTTTTGATCCTGAAATAGGCCTGTGTTTGTCTCTTCGCATATTGTGTTTCTGTGTCTCTCTCACAAACTTTGAGTTGGCACCTAGCCCCTCTTCTCATTTCACCTTTTCTTGATTTCTCTCTCAGAAAAGGTCTTGGCATTTTACTGGGGCATTGAACTGTGGGTGAATATGTGCTCGGAAAGAGAGGAATTTATAGATCAAAGCTGGATAATTTTTTTTTTTTTTTTTTGAGACAGAGTCTGGCACTGTCGTCCAGGCTGGAGTGCAGTGGCGCAATCTCGGCTCACTGAAAGCTCCGCCTCCCAGGTTCACGCCATTCTCCTGCCTCAGCCTCCCGAGTAGTTGGGACTACAGGTGCCCACCACCACACCAGGCTATTTTTTTGTATTTTTAGTAAAGACGGGGTTTCACCGTGTTACCCAGGGTGGTCTTGATCTCCTGACCTCGTGATCCGCCCGCCTCGGCCTCCCAAAGTGCTGGGATTAGGATAATTTTTAAAAATAGCTTTATTAAGATGTAATTCACACAGTATACAATAAGCCCATTTAGAGTACAAAAGTTAGTGTTCTTGAAAATATATTCACAGAGTTTTGTAATCATTGTCACGATCTATTTTAGAACTGTCTTAAACACATGAGGCTGCTATAACAAAATACCATCAGCAAAGTGACTTATAAAAAACAGAAATTTACTTCTCACAGTTCTGCACCATTCAATATTCATACCAGGAGTGATGGAGATTTCCAATATCTCCACATCTGTGTTAGGCCATTCTTGCATTGCTATAAAGAAATACCTGAGGCTGGGTAATTTATGAAGAAAAGTGGTTTAATTAGCTCACAATTCTGCAGGACAGAAAGCATAGTGCTAGCATCTGCTTGGCTTCTGAGGAGGCCTCAGGGAGCTTTTACTCATAGCAGAAGGTGAAACAGGAGCAGAAACGTCATGTGGCAAAAGCAGGATCAAGAGAGAGCAACATGGGGGGTGGAAACTAACATACTTTTTTTTTTTTTTTGAGACAGAGTTTCACTCTTGTTGCCCAGGCTGGAGTGCAACGGCGCCATTGCCACTCACTGCAGCCTCCGCCTCCTGGGTTCAAGCGATTCTCCTGCCTCAGCCTCCCGAGTAGCTGGCATTACAGGTGTATGCCACCACACCGGGCTAATTTTGTAGTTTTAGTAGAGACGGTGTTTCTCCATGTCAGTCAGGCTGGTCTAGAACTCCGACCTCAGGTGATACGCCCACCTCGGCCTCCCAAAGTGGTGGGATTATGGGCGTGAACCACTGCGCCCAGCACTACCACACACTTTTAAACCAACAGATCTGTTTTTTGTTGTTTTTGTTTTTTGTTTGTTTGTTTTTGAGATGGAGTCTTACTCTATCACTCAGGCTGGAGTGTAGTGGCAACCTCCCCCACCCTCCCCACCCCCACGTTCAAGTGATTCTCTTGCCTCAGCTTCCTGAGTAGCTTGGATTACAGGCACCCACCACCACGCCCGGCCAATTTTTGTGTTTTCAGTGGAGACAGCATTTCACCATGTTGGCCGGGCTGGTCTCGAACTCCTGACCTCAAATGATCTGCCTGCCTCGGCCTCCCAGAGTGCTGGGATTACAGGCGTGAGCCACAGTGCCAGACCAAAGCAACAGATCTTGTATGAATTCAGTGTGAGTGCTCACTTATCACCAAGGCGATGGCCCAAGCCATTCATGAGCAATCTGTCCCCATGATCCAAACATCTCCCACCAGACCTCACCTCCAAGATTGGGGATTACATTTCAACATGAGATCTATGCAGGGACATACATTCAAACTATATCAACATATTCACCAATACTTTTAATTACCTTGTGGCTCTTTAAAAAAAAAAAGAATCATAGCCTCCCTAGTGGGTATGAGATGAAATCTCATTGTGGTTTTAATTTACATTTCCTCATGTCTCTGGTATTGAGCATCTTTTAATGTTTTGGCCATAAATGCTTTTATATCTTTTGTGGACAAACGTGTTTTTAGACCCTTTGCCCATTTAAAAAAATCGGATTGTTTTTTCTTTTCTTTTTTTTTTTTTTTTGAGATGGAGTCTCACTCTGTTGCCAGGCTGGAGTGCAGTGGTGCAATCTCAGCTCACTACAAGCTCTGCCTCCTGGGTTCAAGCAATTCTCCTGCCTCAGCCTCCCAAGTAGCTGGGACTACAGGAGCCCGCCACCATGCCTGGCTAATTTTTGTATTTTTTTTTTTTTTTTTTAGTAGAGATGGGGTTTCACCATGTTGACCAGGATAGTCTCGATCTCTTGGGGTTGTCTTTTTATTATAGAGTTGCAGAAGTATTTTTATACAATGTAGAAAGAAGCTTCTTATCAGATAGATACATGACTTGGAAACATTTTCTCCCATTTTGTGGGGTGTCTTTTCACTTTCTTGATAATGACCTTTGATGGTATCCAACCTATCTATTTTATTTTTTGTTACTGTTGCTTTAGATGTCCTATCTTCAAATCTCTAACCTAAAAATCCATAAATATTTCATCCTATATTTTCTGTTAATAATTTTATAAATTAAGCACATAGATTAATAATTTTTACTCCTTTTGAACAAAATTTTATGTATGCTATGTGGAATGTGCCCAACTTTGTTCTTTTACGTATGGTTGTCCAAAAGACTATTATTTCCCTTATTTATTTGTCTTAGAACCCTTGTCTAAAATCAGTTGACTGAAAATGTGACATTTTATTTCAGAAATCTCAGTTCTGCTCCATTCATCTCTAGGTTTACCTTCTGTCAGTGAAATACTGTCTCACTTAAAGTAGCTTTGTCTCAAGTTTCAAAATCAGGAATTGTGAGTTCTCTAATATTGTTTTTCAAAATAGCTTTGGCTATTCTGAGTAGGTTGAATTTCCATACAAATTTTAGGATCAATTTTAATTTCTGCATTTAAGACGACTGGAATTTTAATAGATATTTTTCAATTTAGAGATTATTTCTATTTTAACTGAGTCTTCTGATCTATGAACATGGAATATTTTTCAAATTACTTAACTCATCTTTAATATTTTTTCTACCACATATCTTAGTTTTCATAATATAAGTTTAATACTTTTTTGTTAAATTTATTCCTGTTTAATGTTTTTTCACTATTAAAATTAAATTGTTTTAATTGCATTTTTATTGGTATTGTGTAAAAGCACAATTGGGTTTTGCATGTTGATTTGGTATCCTGCAACCTTGTTAAATTTATTTATTGGTTGTATCTAGTACATTCTTAAATTAACTACTTAGAATTTTCTATATATACAAGAAGAAATTCAACTTTGTTATGGTATAAAATCCTTTTCATTCATTACTAGATTGCTAGTATTTTTTTGAGTATATTTTGTTTGCTTATATTTATAAATAATATGGGTCTGTAGTTCTTTTTTCTTGTGATATCTTTGGTTCTGACATTAAAAGCTTCTGCAAAATTGTTCTGTTTGTAATTGACAGTCCACTGTTAAAGTGTCCAACTATTATTGTTGAGTTGTCTATACTTCCTTTCAATTTGTTGGGTATTTTATGCATTCAGGGGCTCTCTGAGGTGCATATGTGTTTAAAATTGCTATATCTTCAATTGTAGTGATTTTTATATCTTTATAAAATGTTCTTCTTTATCTCTAGTGTCATGCTTTGCTCTAAAGTCTATTTTATATGAAATTTGTAAAGTGATTCCAAATGTTTTAAGGTTGCTGTTTGCATGATATATCACTTTCCATCCTGCTACTTTCAATTTATTTCTTTATTTGAATATAAATTTTGCATCATATGGACAGAATATAGTTGGAGCTTTTTAACTCTCTAGTCTGACAATTTCTGCATTTTGATGAGATTGTTTAATTCATTTTCATCTAATGTTATTATAGATATAGTTGGATTTGCCTTTGCATTTTAGTCTTTCTATATTTTCCATATCTTTTTTTGTCTGTCTATTCCTCCTTTAATGCTTTCTTTTTCCATTAAGTGAATAGCTGCCAATGTTACATGTTAATTATTTCAACAATTTTTTCACTATATTCTTGCGTTAACTGCTTAGTGGTTACACTACAACTTACAATATACTTTTTTTGAGACGGAGTCTCGCTCTGTCGCCCAGGCTGGAGTGCAGTGGTGCGATCTTGGCTCACTGCAAGCTCCACCTCCCGGCTTCATGCCATTCTCCTGCCTCAGCCACCCCAGTAGCTGGGACTACAGGTGCCCGCCACCACGTCTGGCTAATTTTTTATAATTTTTTAAGTAGAGACGGGGTTTCACCATAATAGCCAGGATGGTCTCAATCTCTTGACCTCGTGATCCGCCCGCCTCAGCCTCCCAAAGTGCTGGGATTACAGGCGTGAGCCATAGCGCCCGGCCTACAATAGACTTCTTAACTTACGAGAAACTACTTCAGTTTTACACTAACTTTATTCTTGTGAGACATAGAAAAGGTGTTCCTCTATAACCCTATCCTCTCTATTGTCTTTTTGTGCTTTTCCTTTTACACATATTGCATCTATATATGTTATAAGCCCAAAATACATTACTGTAATTATTACTTTATAATTTTGTATCTGCTAAAGAAGTTAAGAAATAAGAGAACAAGAATATATGCATAGTGTTTGTTATCTTAATCTTATTTATTTTCTTTCTCCCCATTTGTTTCTGTGGATTTAAGTAGTCATGTGAAGTCATTTTCTTAACTCAAATGTAACTTTGCTCCCACCTGTCTTAGTTGTGCTGTTATTGCCAAATATATTACCTTTTTGTATGTTATGGGCCCAGCAATACAGTTGTGTACATATTGTTTTATACCATTGATTTTTAAATCAGTTGAGAATAAGAAAGTGTAATAAATATGTATCTGTATAGCGTTTTGTAGTTATATAGTTGCTATGACTATTACTTGATTATCTGGTATGAATTGGAATTACCATATATGGTCACTTGTTAGCCTGAAGAACTTCTTTTACTATTTATTTTAGGGTATATCTGCTAGCAACAAATTCTCTCAGACCAACAAAGATCCCGTGACTCTGGCCTGCTGTTCCCATATTGGGGCATGTGAACTCATATTTGATGAATAACAGAGTGGGACACGTTTAACATCTCTCACTTATCAAATGAGAGTGGTATATTCAAGAACATGGAAAGCATAGGTCCAGTGACATTTGAGCTTTTCATGAAAAATTAAAATATTTTTTTTCAGTTTTTTGGAGAGACTGTGCTCCTCTGTACAGTCTTCAGCAGTATCAAGTTGGAAGCTAAGTGGGGAATGCCTACTTTACTCAATGGGTAGAATTCAAGGCCACTGTCAACACCTGGTCAATAATCCTCTTGATGAATCTTGTGTTGTTTTTAGTGATGGTGTTGGGGCTTCCACTTGGAAAACCACAGATGGGCAGCTGGTGAAGGTGCACTGCTCAATTCCTCCCACTGCTTCTGGGATCCATCACCGTTCCAAACATGTCAGCATATCTACCCTCACAGACCAGACGCAAAGCACAGGACTGTTTCTGATGCAGAGTCTACTACTGCTTACCAGCTTTGTAAATCTAAAAGATGAACTGTTTGTTTCCTGGAAGAATGCAGTTTGAATAGAGTGGAGGATGTATGAAACATTTGTGAAGGGTAATTTTTTGCCTTCCCTCTATGATGAAACTGGGAACATTAACATTTCAGATTCCAATTGTAAGTATAGTGGGAGGGCAAAAACTTCAGGATACTAATAATTTTTACCTGGCATATTGTGTGTGAACAGAGAGAATGAAATAGAAGAGAATATTGGGGAAATGTAATCATATGTCATTCATCATAAAGCCTGCTAATAGTAGAATATTAGAATTACAATTAAGTAGCTTTCTTCTTCTCCTCCAGCCCTCTTCTGTCCCTTGCTTTGGGATTCTAAAGCAAGAGTATATTTAGGATAGGAACTTCCTCTGACCTCTGTGCTGGATGAGTTGGTGGTTTTATATATACAGATTTACCCTGACCCCTTCCCCCCAAAAAATGATATCAATCATATTAATTTTGTTTTCTTAAAATCGTGTTATGACTTTTCATAAGCACAGTTGTTTTATGCTGTTAAATATATAAGATCAGTCCTTAAAACAGATCAAGATGTAACATAATATAGTTCTTTCATAACAGATCCTTACTAATTTTCTCAAGTATTCTCTGTTGTCCCTGCCATAAAAATTTTGGCCTAAAAAAAACGAACAGGTGGTGTGACAGTAAGAAGCCATGTGGATGTTAATATGACATTGCTTTCTGCAGAAAAAGAGAAAATGCTTTCAAAATTTCAGGCTGCCAATCGATTTAGCTGGCACCTGCCGACTAAACTGTCACAGTATTTTAAGAGCAGGCATGTTGCCATCATAACAGATGGTTATGTGTATTGATAGCCAAGTGATCATGTATGTACATTGGTTATGAGTGTTGAAGGCAAGCTGCTCAGTTAAGAAGGTCAAATGGCAGTCAGTCCAGAGCTTCCACAATTAATATTAACAGGGATAGCTGTCAACTTATCATATCTTATTAGCTATTGCCTTATTTACCTCTTGAATAATTATAGAGCTACACCAATGAGATCTTTATATTGTAATGAACTGATTACCATCCAATGGCATAGCAGATGCCCTGAATCCAGTACAGAAATAATTTCAATAGCAGAAAAATTAAAAGTGCATATATAAAGTGAATGGATATTTTGGTCATATATTTAGGGTTTTCTTTTTTATAAAAAGGGATTTGATGTGAAACATTTCTCTCCAAACTTTCTTTCAAATTTTAAACAAGGCTGTCTAGCAACCTCTTACATAAATAAGAATTGCTTATTCATTTTGCGAAGTCACTGCATGGTTAAGAATCTAATTCAAGGCAGGCAATGCTTGATTCTTCCCAGTTATTTTTTCCATTCACATAAGCTAACTTCAAACTACACCGACTTATCCTGACCTCTTTCAATCTATCAACCTTAAATATGACACTAGTCTATAATTGTGTATTTATTTTGTTTCAAAAAAATTTGCTAAGAATCAGGGAAAAAACAAAACAAAACAAAATACCTATTTTTCTCCTGCTCTTTAGTAGCTTGCAACCAAAGAAACTAACGTTTTTAGTGAAGAAGAAAAAAATGAATGTACAACAATGTGGTGTTGAGCTCATAAAATGAAACCCCAAAGTATGGTGCTTTGGCACACTTAGTGCTTTAAGCTAAAGGAGACTGGAAGGGCCTCAGATGCAAGAAGTTCTCTCTGCTCTTTTCTCATCCTCCTTTGTTCTTCCCCCATTGCTTCCTTAAGCCGATTATAGAAACTAGAATTCCTCTTCCCCAAAGCAAGTCATAAAGGCGAGAGAGGACACTTTCTGACCTGCCTTCCCTGAAAATGGGCCATAAGACCCTCATTCTAGCAGTGGCCTGCTCCATGCCTGGGGGGAAGAAATGCTACACAAAGAGGCCAAGAATTCCAACAAACGGGCCTTGGTAAGTCTTCCGTAGTCTGTTTCCACTAGCATAGACTTTTTGTTCAATCACAGTTCTACATGGCTTTCTATTCTTCATCAAACCTACGCATAAACATACAATGTCTGAAGGTTCCCATGTCACATAAAACTTTTATTAAATAAATGTAGGCCGGGCGCAGTTGCTCACACCTGTAATCCCAACACTTTGGAAAGCGAACACGAGCGGATCGCTTGAGCTCAGGAGTTTGAGACCAGCCTGGGCAACATGGTGAAACCCCATGTCTACAAAAAAATACAAAAAATTAGCCGGTGTGGTGGCACACACCTGTAGTCTCAGCTATTTGAGAGGCTGAGGTGGGAGGATTGCTTGCACCCAGGAGGTGGAAGTCGCAGTGAGCTGAGATTGCACCACTGCACTCCAGGCTGGGTGATAAGCAAGATCCTATCTCAAAAAAAAAAAATTAAAAAAGCTTTTAAGAATTAAAAAAATAAATAAATGTGTTATGCTGTTCTCTTGTTAATGTCTTCTGTTATAAAGATGTTGGCTCTGGACTTTAAATGGGTGAGGAAAAGGTATTACACCTTTTCACCCTTATGTTGTTTTAGTGATAAACTTAATACAAACTCAGAAAACAAGGGGAGTATGTGGACTCTCTAGAAAAGGTAGAATTTGGAAATGAAAATGTAAGAACTTTTTATCAGATGAAGGGAAAGGGAGTATTTTCCAGTGAGGGAAAACAGCATAAAGGTCCAATGAGCTAAGTGTAATAGAGTTTAAAACAAAAAGAAAATAGAAAAAACTTTACCTCAAATGAGCCTCTTATAATTTTCTTTTTTTTTTTTTTTTTTTTTTTTTTTTTTTTTTTTTTGTGACGGAGTCTCATTCTCTCGCCCAGGCTGGAGTGCAGTGGTGCGATCTCAGCTCACTGCAAGCTCCGCCTCCCGAGTTCACGCCGTTCTCCTGCCTCAGCCTCCCTAGTAGCTGGGACTACAGGCGCCCGCCTCCATGCCCGGCTAATTTTTTTGTATTTTTAGTAGAGACGGGGTTTCACCGTGTTAGCCAGGATAATATTTTGTTTGAAATCTAATCAGCTTGCTAAAGACTGGCATTTGATAGATTGCCTAATAAATCTTAGAAACAATATCTACATATGCATGGAAGGGGCTATATAAGGATATACATATGAAAGAAGATACTAGTCTGCTTCATCAGATAAAATATGATAATAATATTGGTTAAATAAGTTTGAATACATTATGATAATGGTAATTACATAATAATTAACATTTATTTGGAATAATCAGTATGCTAATTGCTTCATATGCATCATTACACTTAATACCTGTAGCAAACCTACAAGATACTTAGTATTCTATTCACAGTTTAATAACAGCATGGCACAGCTTAGAGAAGTTAAACTACTGGTACAGAGCCTTACTTAAATGAAAGAATGGACTGTGGATTCAATTTCAAGATTGCTTAATTTCAATGTTCATGTTCTTAACTACTACATGAGGCTGGAGAAATAAGGACAAAATTCAAAACTAAGTAAAACAGTTTTAAACTAACAATCGTGGAAGGATAGAAACTAAAGGATTGAAATACCAGAATTTTAATCATAGATCTGCCACTTTCTAACTTTGAATTTTTTCCTAGCATTGATTTTGACTTTTCTAAAATAAGGGTTGTTTATTTCAGGGTCTGTTTCTTCCCTGTAAAATTCTACAATTCTTGAAGGACATCTGATGTTGACTTTCTGAGAGTGGTATATTAGGAATTTATGTATCAGAGTTTTAGTTTATGTTATAGATTGAATTAGAGGTTACCCACTACGTCACATTACATGATGATTTCTTTAACCACCAGATTTTAAAAACTAGTTTTTAGAATGTGAAGAGGCTCGCATATATATGTGTGCTGATGTGAGCACAGAAGACAGGAGCTCGAAGTTGCAGAATAAGCAAGAAGGGATAGCTCTGTTCCGAAATGTGAGGGGGCTCAGAGGGACATTACACTTTTATTTATTTATTTATTTATTTATTTATTTATTTATTTTGAGACAGAGTCTCGCTTTGTCACCCAGGCTGGAGTGCAGTGGCACAATCTCGGCTCACTGCAACCTCGGCCTCCCAGGTTCAAGTGATTCTCCTGCCTCAGCTTCCCGAGTAGTTGGGACTACAGGCGCCTGCCACCACACCTGGCTAATTTTTTGCATCTTTAGTAGAGACAGGGTTTCACCACGTTGGCCAGGCTGGTCTCGAACTCCTGACCTCATGATTCCTCAAGGCCTCCCAAAGTGCTGGGATTACAGGCGTGAGCCACCACGCCTGGCCAGGAACAAGGACATTGCATTTGTACAGAAGAGGAAAAAAAAAAAAAGACATTTGTGCCTGGTTACCCAGAACTAGAATTCCTAATCAAATTATTGTTATTAAAAATAATGTGGCCATTACCGATGCTTATGTAATGTCATTGCAATTTTGGCTGCTCTATGTAAAGTCAGCATTATATTAAGAATTGGAGAAACTAACAAGAGATTAGAATGGCGAAAGGCAGGCTAGGAGAAGGCTTTTCAAAATTTAAGGTGCATAGGGATCATGTGGGAACCTTGCTAAAGACTATACTCTGATTCAGGAGAACTTGGATGGGCCCTAAGATTCTGTATGTTTAAGGAGTTCCTAGGTGATCCTCATGTTGCCGCTGTTGAGCCACACTTGAGGCAGCAAACTGCTGGGAGTCTACTACAGCCATCCAACACTGAGATGCGAAGGGCTTGAACAGGGTGATAGGATTAGAGTGGAGAGTTGTGGGTAAGACTGAAAGGAAGAGGAATGATGATGTTTAAAAAAAAATAAAAAAGTTAACCTATGGTGTCAGAAATATTTGTTTATAAGAACCCATGCAGTAAAATTATAACTCTAGATTTTAAAGCACATTTATGTATTTGCTGTTATTGAGAATGACATCCACTGAGTACAACTGAAAGAGTACATAGGAGATGGGTTTTACCCATGGTTTCAATGAATTCGAAATATCCTAAGATGATGTGGCTTGGCTGTGTGTCTCCTCCCAAATCTCATGTTGAATTATGATCTTCCGTGTTGGAGGAGGAGCCCGGTAGGAGGTGATTGGATCATGGGGTTGGATTTCCCCTTTGCTGTTCTCATTATAGTGAGTGAGTTATCACAAGATCTGGTTGATTTAAAAGTGTGTAGCACTTCCCCCTTTGCTCTCGTTCGCTCTCCTACCACCATGTGAAGATGTGCTTGCTTTCCCTTTGACCTTCTGCCATGATTGTATGTTTCCTAAGACCTCCCAGCCATGCTTCTTATTTCTTAAACAGCCTGTGAAACTGAGCCATTTAAACCTCTTTTCTTTAAAATTACCCAGTCTCAGATAGTTCTTTATAGCAGTGTGAAAACAAACTAATACATAAGGTATCTTATTAAAAAAAAAATGTGAGTATGCCAATGATCTTTAAATTCCTTGAACATGAAACAGGATTCTTTTGTGTGTGTCAACCAGGCCCTATTTTTCTAGGGAACCTCGGCACCGTCAGTTTTTTTAGCTTTTCACTTGGAATGATGTGTTTGCTCTCTATTTAGACTCACAGGCAATTTTGTTAGTTTCTGCGAGATTCCTGCCCACACTAACTCAACATTTGAATCTGCACAGCTAGTCCTGCTATTTCTTCCTAAATACTAGATCTACAATCTTGGTAACATTAACCAGGTGAAGGGGTTATATGTATTCTTAGGGATCGATGAGCTAGATTTCTACAATAATTTAACAATTTACAGGAAATAAACCATTGAATCAATGATACTGGGTGTGTCTTGTGCATAAAATAACCACATCAAAATAACAAAATGTAACATATAACAGTTAATTCATCATCAAAAACTGATATTGTATAATTTGGTGAACAGTCACACATTTGGGAAGACTTAAGAAACTCAGAATGATGGGCATGTTTGGACTTTGCATATTAAACACAAATTTTAAATAACTTTTGCCAAAATAAAACTTTCTTTCTCTTCTTCAAGCAGATAATACTAATGTTTCCTAACATATGAAGTTGTTGGTGTTTACTTGACATTAATTGTTGCATTACTTTCTTGTCTATCTCCTTTCCTTCTTCTTAGAGCACTTAGGTTAGGAAATGTGTAATGTTAAATTCTTTCTTCATCCCTTTGAAATGTAAATCTTTTGAAAACCTCTCACCAGTTTTACAACCCAGGACTGTCTTTCTCAAGGACCTGGGAGCTATTCCTTTGAAAGTCATCATCAGGGAAAATAGTATCCCATCTTCCTGGCTCTGTGGGAGGGTAGGAGCCTATAGTCAGCCTAACTTGGAGCTTAACCACCTCCTTTCAAGAAGTTAGGAGAAAGTTTACTTTTCTTGTTTTTAATTAATTCATTAATTTTAAATTAAAAAATAAAAATTACATGTATGTATCATGTACAACTTGAAGTTTTAAATATGTATACACTGTGGAATGACTAAATTGAGCTACATTATGTTAGCATATATATTAACATATGCATTATCTCACAAACATCATTTTTGTGGTGAGAAAATGCATCACAATTGCACTTGTAATCTACTTTCATCAATTTTCAAAAATATGATACACTGTAATTATATAATAACTCTATATAAATATTTATAACTTTAGTCACCGTGTTGTAGAGTGAAGCTCTTGAAATTATTCTTCTTGTCTAACTGAAATTTTGTATCCTATAACCAATATCTCCTCACCCCAGCACCGAACCCCCAGTCCCTGGTAACCACATTATATTCTCTACTTTTATGAGGTCAACTTTTTAGATTCTACTTATGAGAGAGATGGTGAGGCATTTGTCTATTTGTGTCTGACTTTTTTAAATATACTTAGCATAATGTCCTCCAGGTTCATCCATGTTGTCACAAATAATTAGATCTCCTTCTTTTTTAAGGTTGAATAGTATTATTCCCTATGTACTTTTCCTTTGGGTAAAACCAATTAGCAAACATAGAGAAAACACATTTGCAAACTCAGGAATAACTTAATGTGCTGGATACATCCCATTGATCAACCTCCCATCAAAAGTCCTCCGATACTTTTCCACTAGCTCCACTGAGCATTTACAAATGCTCCTGCCTTTTGCATTTCAGAACTGAGTATCCAGGCCTGCTCTGTGCTCTCTTCCCTATTGCTGGCAATGGTCCGGGAATAATATAAATTTGTTTGCTCATCTTGTTCTATTTTTTTAACATACCAGATAATGTGACATAAAAGAAATATATTCACATAAGATTTCTCTGATAACAAAATCTAAAGAATATAAGAGATTATTTATATTAATTCTACATCCTGATATTGTGAATATTCTACCAATGAGACATATTTTTTCTTGTAAGTGATCTCTATCTGAGATATTTCTGTATTTCTTAGTTATGGATATTGTCTATTTTTGCATTTTACTAATATAGAGAGCTTAAACTAATACACATAAAAAGGTATGAAAGTTTAAAAAAAAGATATTCTGTTTTCACTATGGTTGAAAAGTAAAGTAGAGCATAAATATTGGGCTATATTCCTGGGGTCTCCATTTTATTGCATGGATCTACATGTCATTCATATGGTGGTACCACACCGTCTTGGTTATTGTAGACTTTTTATAAGCTTTCAAATTGTGAAATGTGAGTCTTGCAGCTTTTTTCTAGTATTCCAGGATTGTTTTTCTTTTTTCTTTGAGACAGAGTATCGCTCTGTTACCCAGGCTGGAGTGCAGTGGGGAGATGCCCACTCACTGCAACCTCCGTCTCCTGGGTTCAAGCGATTCTTGTGCTTCCACCTCCAGAGCAGCTGGGATTACACATGAGCACCACCACACCTGGCTAATTTTTGAATTTTTAGTAAAGATGGGTTTTTTCCATGTTGGCCAGGCTGGTCTGGAACTCCTGGCCTCGAGTGATCTGCCCGCCTCGGCCTCCCAAAGTGCTGGGATTATAGGCGTGAGCCACCACACTTGGCCTCCACATGAAATTAAAGATAAGTTTCTATGAAGGCATCTGAGGTTTTGATAGAGATTAAATTGAATCAGTAATCAAGTAGAGGAATGTTATCAATTTAACTATTTTAAATCTCCATTCCATGAATATGGGATTTTTTTCCATTTATTTAGGTCACCTTTAGCTTATTTAAAATTTTGTTTTTAGTTTTCAGTGTGTAAGGTTTGCAATTTTGTTAGATATGTCCTAACATACAGCAGATTCCCTTGAATAATTTTTTTCTTCATTTTCTTTATGTCTTTAGGACAGTTTTCATAGACTTTGAATGTTTTCAATTTTTAATAATTTTTACCAGTTGTTATATCATTGAAAAGGGTCTGGGAACAGAATGCCATGACTTTTTGTTTTATTTACCAAAGTTTCATCCTATAATGGCCAATTTCAAAGGTCAGCAAATGCATTAAAGGTAAATTTCATGCACAGTTTGGTTCTTACACCACTTGTGATTTCTCTACCCTCTGAAATTGCATTATTTTTTGTCAACTACATTTCAAACCTGTTTCTTCAGTACAGAAAGACACTCATATTTTCTGTTTCATGTCTGTGCACTTTTCTGCAAATTGAAAATTCCAGAAAGTTCACTTTAAAGATATGGCTATTTATGTTCAGCCTTTCTTGATTGTTTTCCATGTAGCTCTCCTTTTCTTCTTCCTGCTCCCCTTCCTTATCTTCTTTAATTTCAATACATTCCCAAAATTACACAATACTTTCAAGGGTGGTATAAATAACTTATCTTTTTGAACCATTTGAGTGTACCTGTCCAACATCATGTCTGATCACTCCCAGGAACAAACAAGGACATTCTCCTATATAACCACAATATCACTGCCTCTTTCCATCACAGTTTTAGATTTCAGGTGACCTTGAGCCTTCAAAGGCCTTTGGGTAAGATATGTATTAAGCTGTTTATCCTTAGTGGGTAATATTCTCAAACACTTCATATATGACTAAGCAAGGTAATAAAACAATGAAAGTAAACATTTAGGGGCAAGTATCATAGAGAATAGTGAAAAAGTTAACTCCTTGAAGAGATAATCAGTACAAACAAAGAACATTCAAATGAGAACATTAATTATGTTGGCCTTTCCCTGTCCCATCATTGCACATTGGATGTGAGTAGGCCAAAAACATTGGTTTTGTATGATCTAGCCTTACTTATCAACCTTTTATGGATACTACTACATACAACCCAGACTCTCTGGATTTTAATTTCAAGACCAAGCATAATTTCAATTTTGTGTTATCTCTCATGGAACAGGGTTAATGTAGTCTACATGGAGAAAGAAAGAAGAAAAGTTTTCCCTCCATCCCCTCACAGGTGTGATGATTAATATTGAATGTCAACTTGATTGGATTGAAGGACACAAAGTGTTGTTTGTTGGTGTGCCTGTGAGGGTGCTGCCAAAGGAGATTAACATTTGAGTCAGTGGACTAGGAGAGGCAGACCCACCTTCAATCTGTGAGGGCACCTTCTAACCAGCTGCCAGGGTGGATAGGATAAAAGCAGGCACAGAATGTGGAAGGACTAGACTGGCTGAGTCTTCTGGCCTCCATCTTTTTCCTGTGCTGGATGCTTCCTGACCTCGAACATCAGACTCCAAGTTATTCAGCTTTTGGACTCTTGGGCTTACACCAGTGGGTTGCCAGGGACTCTCGGACCATTGGCCACAGACTGAAGGCTGCACTGTCAGCTTCCCTCCTTTTGAGATTTTGGGACTTGGACTGACTTCCTTGCTCCTCAGCTTGCAGATGGCCTATTGTGGGACTTCACCTTCTTATCATGTGAGTCAATACTCCTTAATATATTCCCTTTCTATCTGTCTATCTCTCCCATTTATCCTATTACTTCTGTCCCTCTAGGGAACCCTGACTAATAAATACAACAGGAAAGACGGATTACACGTTAGAAACCAGCACCCTGCAAATATATCATGTGTTTTCTCACATTACTCAGGCCTTTTTCACTTAGAAGGCCAAGTGAATAGTTATGAGTTAAAGTGACATGTGTTACTTTGAGAAGCCTAGAGTAATCAGCACTTATTTCTTAAACAGTTTTTTCCTCACCTTCACAATTAAAAACTGCATGTATTCCAGGTTATGCTACTACAAAATAATGGCATATTTATCAGCCTGAGTATAAGAGATTTTGTTTCTATTGCTGTGCAACAAATTTCCACAAACTTCATGGCTTATAGCAACACATGTATTTTGGTTATTTACTCTTTTGTTTGTGTATATGTTAATTTGTTTTATTTTTATCATAGCATCCATGGGGGAAAAGCTTGCATAGGTCTTACCTGAGTCCTCTACTCAGTATATCACTCTGACTATGTTGAATTTTATCACACACTTTTTCATCCTCTATTGAAATAATCATGTAATTTTGTTCTTTATTCTGCTAAATATGTTATATCACATTAATTGATTTTTGCATGTTGAACCATCCTTGCATCACAGGAATGAATCCCAAGGTAAACAAATGGCCATGGTATATGATCCTTTTAATGTGCTGCTGGATTTTGTTTTCTAAGGTTTTGTGGAGGATATTCACATCTATATACGTCAGGGTTATTGGCCAATAGTTTTCTTTTCTTGTGGTACCTTGGGCTTTAATATCAAGGAAATGCTGACCTCATAAAATAAGTTTGGAAGTATTCCTTCTCCTTTAATTTTTAAGAGTTTGAGAAGGATTGCCACCAATTCTTTAAATAGTTGGTAGAATTCACCAGTGAATTCCTATGGTCCTGGACTTTTTTTGAGAGCTTTTTGATAACTGATTCGATTTTTATGCTAATTATAGGTATATTCATGTGTTTTACTTCTTCTGAACTTAATAGCAATCTACAGATTCAATGTAATCCCTATTAGACTACCAATGTACTGATGACATTTTTTTTTCAGAAATATAGAGAATATTTCTAGAACTCTTATGGAACCACAACAGATCATAAATAGTCAAATCAATCTTAAGAAAGAAAAGCAAAGATGGAGGTGTCACATTTTCTCATTTCAAAATATGTTTAAATCTATAATAAAAACAGTATGATACTGGTATAAAGACAGACATACAGACCATTAGAAAAGAATAGAGAGATCCCAGAAAAAAAAAATTGACACACATACAGTCTACTGATTTTTGACAAGTGTTCCAAGAATATACCATTGGAAAGAATAGTCATTTCAGTAAATGATTTGAAAACTAGATATTCACATGCAAAAAAAGAAAATAATTAAAAAAAGAAATTGGACGCTTATCTTATACCATGCATAAAAATCAATTCAAAATGGATAAAATACTTAAATATAAGATCTGAAACTGTAAAACTCCTAAAATAACACATATGGAAAAAGCTTCTCAACATTGGTCTTAGTAAAGATTTCCACACAGCGGAAATAAAAGAACTCCTACAAATCAATAGCAAAAATCAAACAACCTGATTAAAAAAATGAGCAAAGCACTTGAATCTACATTTCTCCAAAAACATACAAATGTCCAACAGGTATATGAAATGATGCCGAACGTCACTAATCATCAGGAAATGCAAAGCAAAACCACAGTGAGATTTCACCTCATTTATGTCAAGATTGCTATTTTCAAAAAAAAAAAAAAAAAAGAAGTGTTAGCGAGAATGTGGAGATATTGGAGCCCTTGCATGCAGTTGGTAGAAATGCAAAATGGTAGAGCTGTTATGGAAAACAATATGGAGGTTCCTCAAAAAATAAAAAATATAACTACAATATGATACAGCAGTTCCATTTCTGTCTATTTATCTGAAAGAATTGAAATCAGTGTCTCATAGAGATATTAGACTTTCATGTTCTTTGCAGCACTACTCACAATAACCAAGATGTAGAAACAACTTAAATGTTCATCAAAGATGAATGGATAAAGAAAATGTGGAATATACATGCAATGTGTTTTTATTCTGCTTTAAAATAGAAGAAAATTCTCACATATGCAACAACATGGATAAACCTTGAGGACATTATATTAAGTGAAATAAATCAATTGTAAAAAGACGAATACTGCATGATTTCAATTCATGGTTCTATAAATCTGAAATAATCAAATTTATAGAATCAAAGACTGAAATGATGGTTGCCAGGGACTGGGGGATAGGGAGAAAGGAGAGTTATTAATCAATGGATATAATATTTCAATTAATTAAGACGAGAAATTCTAGAAATCTGTTGTACAACATTCTATCCATAGTCTACAATATTGTAATATACAATCAGAAATTTAAGAGTGTAGATCTCATGTTCTTACACAAGAAAATAAAATAAAAAGACTTGTATTTTGATGGGTTATTTTAAAGAGAAATTAAGCAATATTCTCATTTGGGTTGGGTGCTGTCAGAACAAAGGGCACAGTTCTTGAATGTGTGCCATATTTATTTTATTTTTTTAAATTGGGATTAAAGTGAAGCTAGAGTTATCATACGTAAAGGAAATTTTGTGAGCCAGGAAAACATTTTTCACAAACAATCAGTTTGTACTAAATAACCAGTAAAATAAAGTTTGTATTTTTACTACATTGATAAGTATGGTTGGCTGTCTTTTTTTTTATTTTTGAAAACTGTTTACTATTATATTTGTGGATTATAATTACATTTATTTTATCATATAAAATAATAAGCCAGCCATTTCATTGTATTGCTAAAATAAAAAGAAATAACAAAAATAATGACAAAAACTAAAAACTATGTTTAAAATTCAAGAAATCAAGTCAAAAATTTGTTGACTCAATCATATAAATTGAATCATTCTTGTCATACTAAACTAAATCAGTCAACTGGCCAGTGGAAAAAGCACTCAGGACACACAGCACCTGTTCCAACGATTAAATTTTCTGCAAGTCCAGCTGCTGAACCTGCCTGTCGGAACTTGAATTTTATCTAATAGCGACTGAACCAACATATTGGGACTCTGAGGCTAGTTTTACCCACTGCTGTCACTCACGAATCAGAGCTTGCCAGTTCCCCAAAACATTATTGGTGCTGATCAACTTTCTTTCGAAACAATATATAACATTTCTTTCTTTTTCTTTTTTGTTTAATTGTTTGTTTGTTTCTTCCTTTTTTTTTCTTTTTGTTTGTTTTTAAGATGGAGTCTTGTTCTGTCGCCCAGGCTGGAGTGGAATGGCGCACCTCCGCCTCCTGGGTTCAAGCTATTCTCCTGCCTCAGCCTCACCAGTAGTTGGGATTACAGGCGTCTGCCACTACACCCGTCTAATTTTTGGTTTTTTTTTAGTAGAAACTGGGTTTCACCATGTTGGTCAGGCTGGTCTCCAACTCTTGACTTCAGGTGATCCACTCACCTCGGCCTCCCAAAGTGCTGGGATTACAGACATTTCTCCTTTTTATAAAGCCTCCAACCTTCCTTTTGTCCTTCAGACGTACCAAAGACCACCTGATCTGTGTATACCCCAAATTGCAATTCTTGCTTCGAAATGAAACATTAAATTTAGAGATGTATCACCATATTTTATTTTGACTTCAACATAGTAAAATATAAAATAAATGTTTTCTGAAATACCTTTCTTTTTTTATTGTTTAAGCTCTTAAGGTGTAAGTCTTGACATATATTGTATATTTGGAAGAATATTCCAGTTGCCTGTTTGTTTGATTTGCCACATGTATAAGTGACTAAAACACAATGATACAAAACAAATAAAACATCTTCCATGGGTTAAATTAGGTGAATGAATATTTGGAAGACAGTTGGATAAAGTATGGTGACTTTTACAGTGTCCTTCCACTCTAACTTTGAGAATCAGAGCACATTGTGTGGGCCTAGGTTCCTGGGGGAAGACCAGAAGGTTGAAATATATCAGGGAGCTGTCACACACACTGACTGTTAGATATCCATGCAGTACAAATCTTGGTGATTGTTCACTGTGGAACTTTGGGACCTTGGCCCCTTTACCCTCTCACTATAACTCCAGATTTCAATATTGAGATGACTTCATGGAACAACTTGGTATATAGACCTGGGGTCACCTCATGAAAATTCCTCAAGTAGCCCATGTGGACAGTTCTGAATACTACACTTTACTGGGGAAAGGAGCTTGATCCTACAGCAGACTGCTTATACTTGGATATTTAGTAAGACGGTATAACATACTTCTTTTTATAGTGCGGTGTAACATCCTTGTTTTTATAGTGCTCAGAAATAGTTAAGTTGCTGTCATCATGGTAAATTATTGGCTTTTGTTCAGGTTAACTAAAATCTTTTAGGTATTTTTTTCGAATTTTTTCATTTAAAAATATTTTAGGGCCAGATGCAGTGGCTCACACCTTTAATCCCATCACTTTGGGAGTCCAAGGCAGAAGGATCACTTGGGACCAGGAGTATGTGACCAGCCGCCTGGGCAAGATAGTGAAACACCATCTCTACTAAAAATTTAAAAAAAACTAGCCCAGTATGATAGTGCACATCTGTAGTCCCAGCTACTACGGAGGCTGAGGCAGGAGGATCACTTGAGCTCAGGAGGCTGAGGCTGCAATGAGCCATGATGGGGCTATTGCACTCCAGCCTGGGTGACAGATCAAGACACTGTCTCAAAAAAATTTTTTTTTTTACATGTGAAAACAGTTTTACTTTAATACTATTAGGTTTTTTTCAATAAGTATCATTTTTGATAATTCCATGTAAGTAATAAAACCATATTAGAAAGGAACAATGTTCTACCATTTACTTGAAATAAATTTTTTTCTTAAACTTTTAAAATATATTTTGTTTCTTTGCTATCCTGGCAGATATTTTAAAAATATTTTATAGTTTATGTAAATACTATCGGTCAGGTTCTGAGTACTGTGTTACCATAAAAATTTATGGCGATTTTTAAGTCAGATTAAGCATCCCACTCCAGCCCTACATAGGCATGTGTGATCAAGGCAGCATTTCTACCACAAAGAGGTAGAATTAGTAAATCTAATTCTTCCAAACACAGTTTATGTTAAGTAACACTTTATCTTTACCCACATCAGTTCTTTTTATTATCAATTTTGGCATGATTATTAGGACAAGATTTTGAATTCTAACGTTTTATTTTTTATTTTTATTTTCTATCACCAGTTTTGTGGCCTGTATCCAATCACCAAAGTCATGTTAAGTAATTTTTCATTATCTATAAATGTTAAAAAAGAGACTTCTAGCATAATTTGTGGCGAAGATTCATAAGCAACCTGCCTACTAATAAACAATTGTGCTTTAGAAAGCGACTTTAGAGTAAATTGAATATTTATGAAAATGGACTAATATCTGGAGCTAAAAAAAAATCCATGAAAGAGAAATAATCTATTTATACATAACTACTCTAAAAACAGAATTATTTTGTAAAGAAATTATTTATTTACTTGGATATCAGTTTATTAGTAATAGAAAATGCCAACTAAATCAAACCTTTTGTGTGTGGAAGTTTATTATAAAATATAAAAAAATAATAAATAGAGATTTTCAAACATGTAAACAATAGGAATAATATTTCCTTTTCTGAATATTTTTAATATTTTTCACTTATTCCAAACTTAAAATTTAAAAATCCTTAATATTATTTACAGGGTCCTAAATAATTGCATATATATCCATTATCCCCTCATGTTTGCTAGGCCATAGCCTTATATATCATTACAACTCTTGAACTTGGTGTGTTTGTTGCTGCCTCAGGATTCTGAATACTGCTACCTTAAAATAGAAATGCCTGTCATTTTCTCCATTTGAATGACTCCCATTCATCCAGTTACATTACAAATAATTATTTTAATGTCATACTCTTAGAAAAGACTTGTCTGAGGCCTTAGGCTAGTTAACTCTCCCTAATATATTTGGCATTGTATGCTGTTTAGAGTAATATGTATGTATTATGTATGTAATATGTATGAACAGGGCAAGATACAGCAACAATAAATTATTTTGGAGACCAAATAATTTGGAAAACACAAGATAAGCATCTGATATATATTTAAGGAATTATTGACTTTGCACATTTTATTCCCACTAGTCTATAACTGTAAAACCCAAGGACAATGTTTTCCTTGTTCACTAATACAGATATACCACTTCCATACCAGTACTTTACACATAGTAGGCTTTAAATTATAACTCATTGAATGAAAGAATGAAAGAAATGGATATGTAAAACTACCTTTCTGGTTTTCAATCTGCTAAGCAAAAATAAGAGTTTGAAAATCAAAAGAAACATAGCTTACTTAATTGACCCACATACAGCATATCGAGTAATCCATTTTTAATACCTAGATCAAAATAATAGTTTTATAATAAACTATTTTCCATTTTCAAATAAATATGAGTCAGTGATATAAGTACAACCTGTTACATAAATACATTGCCGTTACATGTTACGTAAATGCAATCTTTTACACACCAATTGAACAAAAAAAATTAGGCTAGTGTTAAAACATATTGAAATTCAAGTTAGAATTCCTCCACATTGCATGTATATGCTTTAAAAAATGTATTTACAATAATTCAATATTGAGAGCCAACCTTAAATTGTCAAACAGGAAGATTACTTTTTGATTTGTTAAAAAAAACTTTATTTAAATTCTAAGATGATAAATATGTATAGAATCTCTTAATCTCTGTGATTAATGCAATAAATGTTTACAGCCTCTTATGTAGTTAAATAATATGTTCAAAAACAATTGACCTGTGACACAATCAACATAATTTATACCGTAAAATTCAAATAGATGATTGAAAACTGTAACTTAAGCATCTTAAAGTTTATTGATCCATTATTTTATAGCCTTGTCTTTGTCTAGGGAGATTTCATTTCAACAGCTAAAACATAGCAGTGATCATGAATTACATGTTTACCAGAAAAACCTCTGCTCAGTTGTTCCCAGAGGAGTGTTCATTTCTCCCTCATTGTGCTCTAGTTCACATGCAGAGGAATTAACCAACCTGCCACATGTCAGTAATAAGATCTGAGAAGCCCCAGAGAGAGACAGAACCAGATATGGAACCAGTGACAGAAATATCTTCATCATCGTTTATGACCAAAACTTCTATATTACTTTACTATCGGGGGGACTAAGGATCATGAATGCTTCCTGAATATTTATAAATACCATGACGAAATGCGTGTTTTTATTATACTGAGAAAAAGACTTTTTTAGGTAAATTTATTTATCTTTTAATATCAGCTGTTTGTTTTCAACATGGAAAAAGTTTAGTTTTATGTATAATGTTGTTTTGAGTAGAGGTAGAGATCATAAAGTAATCTCTTACAAAATAACTCTGGAAATTAAACTGTTTTAAATATGCAAAGGAAAACTAGCATATATCTGTGCAGTTTCCTAGTATGTGATACGTGTTAAGGTTGCACTTACATAAACACCTGTTGTGAGTGTACTCCCCAGTTTAATTGCTTTTAAAGGTTTATGTCTCCGCACTGAAAATAGTTCTATAGTTTTGACATTTAACTTTGTTTCTATTTTATAAACGTCTTATAAAAAAGAGAATCAGCTGGGTTCTTATTTTTTATCTAAAATCTGTCCTTGTTAGACACTACAAGGAAAGTACATGGATTGATTTAATTTTTGCTGTGGAGTTCTCATTCACATATTTTTAATAAAATTTAAATGAACAAATTTATATAAAGTCCATACTCCATCTATAATGTAACATCAATTTACATAATAATTCTAAAAATATACAGAGAAATTAAGCTGGAAGCATGACCAAATTAATCAAGAAAATTAAAAGGTGTTCTTTCTATTAGAAACAAGCAAACAAAAAGATATTCTTTCATCCTTTGTGTTATGTCTTAAATATCCATCTCAATCAATTCATGACAGGTTTTTAGATATGTAATTGGATCTTGCCTAAACTAACACAATTTACATGTATTTTAGCCCAATACCCTATATTTTATTTCAGAGTTCATACAATAATATAAAGGCACACGTATGTGTGTACATATATACATACACATGCGCATACATATGTGTATATATAATTTCTCCTAATTCTATTTTTTGAACCTCTCTGCTCTGAATTTTTTTTTTATTTTAAAGATTACTGGTCATTAAATAAAAATCAGCTAATGCCATTTAGAAACTTAAATCATCGGCTTAATGTCTTCCTCAATTCACACGCTTCAAAATGTACAATCTATAGGATTAGTTTAACCTTTACACAACAAATATGTAATGAGCCAAATTTCTGCCACTCAGGATAATTTACATGAGTTTTTGATTGGGAAGTAAGTTACTCAAGAAGTGAAATTCCGACACAATAAAAGCAACTTTCGGGTCCTGATTTCAAGAACAGCCTGATTGCAAAGATGACCTCCTGGCACAAAAGCTTCAACAGCAGAGACTGTGGCCATGGCTGCATCACCTCTAATGTTCGGTGAGGCAGTGGCGACCCCAACAGAGTACAGATGGCCAACTGTTCTTAATGCTTTCGAGCACTGTACCTGGAAGACTAGCTTGAAACTGTTCTGGAAATCCAGTAGCATATGTCTGTCATTTCTGGGAAATTTTCTTTCATTATTATTTTGACATTTTCTCCACAGTTTTGTTCATCCTCTCTTTTAGTAATTCTATTAGCTGGAAGTTTGATTTTCTTGAGCGATCATCTAAAGTTTTTATGTCTTCTCTTTTACCTACTCTTATTGAATGATTTTTGTCCCATTTTGAAGGCTTTCTGAATTTTAACTCCAAAATATCTATTTAAAAAATTATAATTTTGAGGCCAGGCAGGATGGCTAATGCCTGTAATCCCAGCACTTTGGGAGGCTGAGGCAGGCTGATAGCTTGAGCCCAGGAGTTTGAGACCAGCCTGGGCAACATGGCGAAACCCCATCTCTACAAAAACTAAAAACTTAGCCAGGCATGATGAGGCATAGTCCCAGCTACTTGAGGGTTTGAGGTGGGAGGATTGCTTGAGCCTGGGAGGTGCAGGCTGCAGTGAGCCATGACCATACCAATGCACTCCAGCCTGGGTGACAGAGCAAGACTCTGTCTCAAATAATAATAATAATTAATAATAATTATTATTATTATGCCATCATATTATTTATGTCATTTTCATGCATGGTATTTATCTCAGAACACTGTATTTCATATTTTTGCATATTGATTTATGTAGTAAAATTTACATAAAATGAAATGCATGTAGTTTAACTGTACAATGTAATAAATTTAAATAAATGTGTACACTTTTGTAATCCATATTCAAATCAAGATATAAAATACTTCCAATAGACTACCACTTTCTTCCAGTCAATCCCTCATTCCAAAAAAAAAAAAAATCTGTCCCAATCATATCACCATGAAATGGTTTTGTCTATTTTTGAGCTTTATAAAAAATAAGTCATACAATTTGTACGTTATTGGGTTTGGCTTGGTTTCCTCAATAAAACATTTTTGAGATTTGTGTTATTTCAAATATCAGTATGTATTGTAATATTTTATACTGCTGAGTAGTATCCATTGTATGAATATAATACACTTTTTATCTATTTTTTCTTAATAAACTTTTGTGTAGTTTCCTTGTTTTTTAAAAAATAATTTTGGGGCTGGGCATAGTGGCTCACATGTATAATCCCAGCACTTTGGGAGGCCAAGGTGGGTGGATTGCTTGAACTCAGCAGTTTGAGACCAGCCTGAGAAACATGGCAAAACCTCGTTTCTGCAGAAAATACAAAAATTAGCCAGGTTTGGTGACACATGCCTGTGGTCCCAGCTACTTGGGAGGCTGAGGTGGGAGGATCACTTGAACCTAGGACGTCAAGGCTGCAGTGAGCAGTGACTGTGCACTGCACCTCAGCCTGTGTGACAGAGGGAGACCTTGTCTCAAAGATAAAAATAAAAAATAAAATTAATTTTGAGAAGGTATCTCTTATGAATAAAGCTGCTGTAAACATTCCTCTACCAGTTATTATTTGGGTATTCTTTTTTATTTATCTGTGGGAAATTCTTAGAAATAGAATGGTTGAGTCAGCAACTAGGTAAATGGACAGTTTTTCCAAAATTGTTTAAACATTATATACTCCCATTAGCTGTGTATGACAGCTCCAAATCCCATTTATCTGCAACAGATTTGAGATAGAGATTGTAATTTTAGTCATTCTAGTGGGTGTGCAGTGATATCACTTGTTGGATTTAATTAGAGTGTTCCTGATAATTAATGATGTGGAGTATTTTGTCTAGAGTGGGAACTAGAGGGAGGCGGCTCTAGGGTGTCCTTGGTTACATCTATGCAGAGTAGAGCCTCCGAAGCATGGAAGTGGAAGGCAGTGCGATGGTGCGATCTTGGCTCACTGCAACCTCCTCCCCTGGGTTCAAACGATTCTCTTGCCTCAGCCTCCCAAGTAGCTGGGATTACAGATGCACACCACCACATTCAGCTATTTTTTGTATTTTTAGTCAAGACGGGGTTTCATTATGTTGGCCAGGTGGGTCTTGAACGCCTGACCTCAGGCATCCACCCACCTCAGCCTCCTTAAGCGCTGGGATTGCAAGCGTGAGCCACCACAACCAGCCTGGTTAGATTTTTTAAAAAATGTAATTCTTACTAGTAACTGTTTTGCTAAGGAGAGGGCCTGTCATCCTCTTCACACAGCCATTCCAGAAATCCCACATCTTCCCCTTCCTTTTTGAAGGATACCTTTTTGAGATATAAAAATCTCAGTTTACAGGGTATGTTATTTTTGTGTATTGTTTCCACTAATTTGTTTGCTTACAACACTTTAAATATGTTGTTCCTTTATTGTATGGCTCAAATTGTTTTTTTTGTCTATTTATGTAACGTGGTTTGCTTATTTCCTAGAGTGTGCATACACGTTTCTCTGTCTGACAGGGTGAGAGTGATTGGTGATTCAGATTCCTTCTGTAAGTCAATTCGAGCCTTAATAGGTTTTGTGCATTGGTTCTTATTCCAACTTTTCACCTCCAGTGGCACCAGAACATTTTTGTTTGAAATATTTGAATTGTAAATGAATTGAAGTTTTGGGTTTTTCAGTTTACAGTTGATTCAACTAAATGCCCCCAAGATGGGCAACACTGCATTTTTTTCTTCCTTATAGCCCCTCATCCAATGCCCCTTTTAAAGCAAAATGGGAAGAGACAGCAAACCAAGTGCAAATCTAGAAGTATGAACCTACCACAGTTCTCTTCTCAATTCTACAAAGCTTGATTTTAATCTAGAATTTTTGTTAGTGAGGCTCCCTTAAATCTACTATTATTTTACAGCTCTATCTTAGACTTTGCTGCCTGGGTAAATCACACTTCCATATGTCCTATGTTGTTTGAGGTCAATCAATATTTGTAAAATACAATTTAAACTATTTTAAATGACTTCTTTTTAATGTGAAAGAATCAAAATAAAATTTGTCTGTATAGATTTTCTTTATGTTATGTCATTTTATTTTACTTTATTTCAATGAGATAGGGTCTCACTCTGTTGCCCAGGCTAAGTGCAGTGGCATGATCAGGGCTCACTGCAGCCTCGACTTCCTGGGTTCAAGCAATCCTCCCACTTCAGCCTCTAGAGTAGCTGAAACTGCAGGCATCCACTACCATGGAAGTCATGGATTTAAAAAAAAATTTTTTTTAAATTTTTTTATAGAGACACGACCTTGCTTTGTTGCCCAGGCTGTTTTTACATTATTTAAAACTCAATGTTTTGAATGTCTCTAAGAAAGCCATACTTTTTTGTTAATATATCTATATTACAAAAGATATATGCATGCATACACATACATACATACACACATATAATCACAAAAAGATGTGTGTATGTATAGTGTGTCTATGTGTGTGTATATATATATAGTATATACACATGCATTAAAATGTATATGTATTTTAATTATACCATGGAAGAAAAGAAGGGAAAATACATATGTATTCATTAAACATGCATACTTAGAACATATTATGGTCTTGTCTTTATTGTTAGATTAATTTTTATGTATGACTGTGTCTCACTTTCAGTTCTGAAACCCTGGAATTAACTGATTAACAATGCCAATGCAAATATATGTTTCTTACTGTATAATTATAGCTTAAAATTAGAAGTCCCATTTGTTATTTTTAAATGCAGAAATTAGAGTGTGCCAGAAAAGTCATTAAATATTAATTCGATTAAAACAGAGATCAGTAAAGAAGAATTTTCTTATATCACAGAAATAAGGCAGTGCTGATAGAAAACATACAGAGAAGAAACCCAAATAATTCTTAATAAATTAAAACAAACAAAAAAGAATGTAACTCTCCTTTTGATCTTCAGAAAAAGAGACCCCCTTCTGTGGTTGAAAGGAGAGATATACTTTTAACTAAAGTCAATTATAGATAATAATTCATCATCATAATTGAGTTTTTG
This sequence comes from Homo sapiens, assembly GCF_000001405.40. NCBI lineage: Eukaryota > Metazoa > Chordata > Mammalia > Primates > Hominidae > Homo > Homo sapiens. The sequence continues at coordinate 24,612,003 of NC_000021.9, forward strand.
ATGAGAGGCAATGTGTTAGTTTTCTATGGCTGCTGTAACTAATTACCACAAACTGGGGACTTAATAGAATAGACATTTATTCTCTCTAGCTGTGGAGACTAGAAGTCTTAAATCAGTATCACTGGACCAAAACCAAAATGTCAGCATGGCCATACTGCCTCTAGGTGATCTAGGGGTAAACCCATTTATTACTTTTTTTTTATTTATTTTTTTAACAAAAGAAGGAGCTTTAATGGACTTACAGTTACACGTGGCTGGGGAAGCCTCACAATCATGGAGGGGCAAGGAGGAGCAAGTCACATCTTACATGGATGGCAGCAGGCAAAGAGAGAGCTTGTGCAGGGAAACCCCCATTTTTAAAACCATCAGATCTTGTGATTTCTTGCTCTTTTTAGCTTGTAGTGAGTACAGGCATTTACACTACTCTGGTATCTATCCCTGTGGTCATGTTGCCTTCTCCTCCTCTGTCTATATCAAATCTTCCTCTGCATTCCTCTTATTAGGATAAATGTGATTGTATTTAGGACCCACCTTTATAATCAAGGATAATCTCCTTCATCTCAAAATTTTCAATTTAGTAACATCTGTAAAATCATCTTTTCCATACAAATTAGCATTCAAAAGTCCTAGAAATTAGAATGTGAATATCTTTTGGGAGGTCATTATTTCAATAATAATGGTAAGAATCAATTCTAGAACACAGATTGTAAAAAGGGACTATTTTTTCAAAAAACTTTGATTCACAAAGAAAGTGAATCTTTTTCCTTTCCCACATATATAACAAAAAGTGGACAATACTGAAATAAATAACAGTTTTGTTTAAAAGGCAAACATAAGAACCATTCATGTTTTTCATTTTTTTTGTAAATTGGAATGTTTAGATGGCAATGTTTATGCCTATTAAGGTGCAATTTGAAGGAGTATATCATGATGCTATGTTGGAGAATTATGGGACTTCTTTAACGCAATGTTCCAAAGTGAACATCATTGCTATTTCTAGTTTCTATATCTTTGCTGTTGTGCTACATAGGCAAGGTTGTTAGCATATATTTTAATATTAATAAACTGCTTAGCTTACATTTGTAATGGGTACAGTGTCAAGCACTGTAGTTCAGAGCACTTAAAATATCACTGATTGATTCACAAATGCTAGCAAATTTCTGTCTTGCATGTAGTATCCGTGTGTGTGTGTAAACAAATCAGATGCCATATTTTTATTATTTTTCTTAAGTTTGGCTAAGAGTCTTCCCCCTTTTAAATATTATTCTCATATGAATTGCCTGAGACTTCTCTTAGAGGAAAAAAGTATCATGTTTGTTCACTGCGGAACATTCTGTTTTCACATTTTGAGCTTAAGAAAAAAAGTACTAAAAATAATTTGAAACTACACATTTGACAGGGGACTAATATTCAGAATTTACAAGGAACTCAAACAGTTCAAAAATAAAAACAACAATGAAAACAACACCATTAAAAAGTGGGCAAAGGACCTGAGTAGACATTTTTCAAACAAAGATATACTTCTTAAAAAGACAAAACATAACAGATTTTGGAAGGGAACTCAAATAACTCAACAGTAAAATAACAAATAATCTACTTTTTTAAATGGGCAATTGTTCTGAATAGACAGTTCTCAAAAGAAGACATGTAAATGACCAACAAGTATATGAAAAAATGTTCAACATCATTAACCATCAGGGAAATGCAAATCAAAGCCACAATGAGAGATCATCTCACACCAAATAGAATGGCTATTACCAAAAAGACAAAAAATAACACATGCTGGTGATATGGTTTGGCTGTGTTCCCACTCAAATCTCATCTTGAAATCCCACATGTTTTGAGAGGGACCTGGTGGGAGGTAATTGAATCATAGGGCAGGTCTTTCTCATGCTGTTCTCATGATAATGAATAAGACTCACGAGATCTAATGGTTTTGAAAAACAAGAATCTCCCTGCACAAACTCTCTCTTTGCCTGCTGCCATCCATGTAGGACATGATTTGCTCCTCCTCACCTTCCACTATGATTGTTAGGCTTCCCCAGCCACATGGAACTTTAAATTCAATTAAACCCCTATCCTTTGCAAATTGCCCAGTCTCAAGTATGTCTTTATTAGCAGCGTGAAAATGAACTAATACAGTAAATTGGTAGCAGCAGAGTGGGGCATTGCTGAAGAGATACCCAAAATGTAGAAGCAACTTTGGAACTGGGTGAGAGACAGAGGTTGGAACAGTTTGAAGGGCTCAGAAGAAGACAGGAAAATATGTGAAAGTTTGGAACTTCCTAGAGACTTGAATGGCTTTGAGAAAAATGCTGATAGTGATATGAACAATAATGTCTAGGCTGAGGTGGTCTCAGATGGAGATGAGGAAATTGTTGGGAACAGGAGCAAAGGTGACCCTTGTGATAATTTAGCAAAGAGACTGATGTCATTTTGCCGTGCCCTTGAGATTTGTGGAACTTTGAACTTGAGAGAGGTGATTTAGGGTATTTGGAAGAAATTTCTAAGTGGCAAAGCATTCAAGAGGCGATTTGGGTGCTGTTAAAGGTATTCCATTTTATAAGCGAAGGAGGGCATAAAAGTTTGGAAAATTCGCAGCCTGACAATGTGATAGAAAAGAAAATCCCATTTTCTGAGGAGAAATTCAAGCCAGCTGCATAAATTTGCATAAGTAACAAGGAGCTGAATGTTAATCCCCAAGACAACAGGGAAAATGTCTCCAGGTATGACAGAGGTCTTCATGGCAGCCCCTCCCATCACAGGCCCAGAGGCCTAGGAGGAAATAAAGGTTTTGTGGGCCAAGCCCAGGTTTCCTGTGCTGTGTGCAGTCTAGGGACTTGGTTCCATGAATCCCAGCTTCTCCAGCTGTGAATAAAAGGGGACAAGGCAAAGCTAGGGCCATGGCTTCAGTGGGTACAAGCCCCAGTCTTTGGCAGCTTTCATGTGGTGTTTAGCCTGAGGGTACATAGAAGTAAAGAATTGAGGTTTGGGAACCTCTGCCTAGATTTCAGTGTATGTATGGAAATGCCTGGATGTCTAGCCAGAAGTTTGCTGAAGGGGAGGAACTCTCATGGAGAACCTCTGCTAGGGCAGTGCAGTAGGGTAATGTGGTGTCAGAGCCTCCACACAGAGTCCCTACTGGGGCACTGCTTAGTGGAGCTGTGAGAAGAGGGCCACCATCCTCCAGATCCCAGAATGTTAGATCCACTGACAGCTTGCACAGTGTACCTGGAAAAGCTGCAGACACTCAATGCCAGCCAATGAAGCCAACTGGGAGGGAAGATGTACCTTGCAGAGCCACAGGGGCAGAGCTTCCCAAGACCATGGGAACCCACTTCTTGCATCAGCGTGACCTGGATGTGAGACATGGAATCAAAGGAGATAATTTTGGAGCTTTAATACTTGACTGCCCCCTTGGATTTCAGACTTGCATGGGGCCTATAGCCCATTTATTTTGGCCAATTTCTCCCATTTGGCATATCTGTATTTACCTCATGCCTGTACCCCCATTAGCATCTGGGAAGTAATTAACTTGCTTTTGATTTTACAGGCTTATAGGTGGAAGAGATTTGCCTTGTCTCAGGTGAGATTTTGGACTGTAGACTTTTGAGTTAATGTTGAAATGAGTTAAGCCTTTAGGAAACCCTTGGGAAGGCATGATTGGTTTTGAAATTTGAGGACATGAGATTTGGGAGGGGCCTGGGGCAGAATCATATGGTTTGGCTATGTCACACCCAAATCTCATCTTGAATCCCATGTGTTGTGGGAGAGATCAGGTGGGGGGTAAATGAATTATGGAGGCAGTTCATTCCCATGCTGTTCTTGTGATAATGAATAAGTCTCACAAGATTTGACAGTTTTGAAATACAGGAGTCTCCCTTCACATGCTCTCTCTTTGCCTGCTGCCATCCATATAAGATGTGACTTGCTCCTCCTTGCCTTCCACCACGATTGTGAGGCTTCCCCAGCCACATGGAACTGTAAATCCAATTAAACTTCTTTGCTTTTTAAATTGCCCAGTCTCAGGTATATCTTCAGCAGCAGCATGAAAACCGACTAACACAGCTGGCAAGGATGTAGAGAAAAGGGAACCCTTATATACTTGTTGATGGAAATGTAAATTGGTACAACTACCAATAGTATGAAAATTAGTATGGAGATGCCTCAAAAAGCTAAAAATAGAACTACTACATGATCTAACAATCCCACTACTGGGTATATATCCAAATGAATGGAAATCAATATGTTGAGGAGATATCTGCCCTGTCACATTAATTACAGCAATATTCACAGTAACAGATACATGGAATCAACCTAAGTGCCTGTCAACAAATGAATAGATAAATAAACTGTGTGTGTGTGTGTGTGTGTGTGTGTGTGTGTGTATGAATACTATTCAAGTCTAAAAAATAAATCATGTTTTTTGCAGCAACATGAATATAGCTGGAGTTTATCATATTAAGTGAAACTCAGAAACAGAAAAACAAATACTACATGTTCTCACTTATAAATGAGAGCTAAACAATATGTTTACATGGACATAGAGTCTGGAATAATAGACAATGGAGACTCAAAAGGGTGGAAGTGTGAGAGGGAAGTGGATAATAATAAATTACTTAATGGGTACAATGTTTATTATAGATATACTGAAAGCCCAGATTTTGCCACTATCAAACATATAAATGTCACAACATTACAGTTGTACTCCTTGACTTTATAGAAATAATAATAAAAAAAACCTGAGGTAATGGTGCATTTGAATCGGAAAGTTTACTGCAGTCAGTATAATTTCCAAAGATGAAAAGGTTAATGGAGTGTGTTTCTTTATTGTAGTGCAGTAGTTCTGTTCTTTTTTTTTTAATTGAAACACCTATAATCTTTCTCTATTTTGACCTACAAAAGTACATTTAAAAGAAAAATGTAATCATTTCATTATAAATATCATTATAAATCTGTTAGAATATACAAATCACAAATCTTAGAATATATAATGATAAGTTTCTGTCTCATAATGTAAACATAATACAATGTTCAATATTGTTCTTATTTTCTAAGTGAAACATTGTCATGACTTCAATCTAAATATATTTAATGAGAGACCACAAACAATGTATTTTGACAAGTGGTAGTTAGTCTATTCCATTATAGCCATGAACATAAAGGGAAGAATTTTAAATCTAGCTTCCCTCTAGATTGAATTGGAAAAGTGATTCCAAATCATGTCAATGGCCATTTATTAACCCAAATGCATGTTAAAAAATCATATGACCAGAAAACGGAGTGTTAATATTTGCAAACTGAATCTTGCCAGGGCAGTTTATAAAAAGCTTATTCTATTCTGCCTAATGTAGCTATTAGTAATGTAGAACTGAAAAAGAAACTAGAGGAAATATCAAAATATCAACTTCTTATGTACATCGTTTAAGAGTTAAATACTACTTTATGATTTCAACATTTTAAAGCCATTTGTAATTTTCTAATTGAAAAAGTAATATAACTTCATTATTTATATTTTTTATTCGACAAAATTTACTATATACCTTCTGCGTACCAGGTACTGTCATAGGCCCTTAATATGTCATGAACATAAATATTCATTTTCCTGAAAATTTCTTAACTTACATTTGTTATACTCTACTAAGTGAAATAGAGAATAAACATAATAAACAAATAAAATATATAACAGACTAGGTAGTGGTAATTTTAACTCAGTTTAATCAATTCAGTTGGATCCACAAACAATTTTTTGGCATTCTTGTCAGGAAGCACATTTACTATGCAGAGAAAAAATACAGTCTTCAAACAATTTTAAATATTTTTATTTGATCTTATGGGACAAAAAGCATGGCAATCCTAAGATTTTGCATTACCTTCTCCAATGCAAAAAAAAAAAACCCACTCTTTTTATGATAAAGTATAAAATAAATAAAATATAATTCAATTATTTTGCTGGACTTAATATTTAATATGAGAAAATGCACTGTGTGCAATGTTGAAATAAGGTTACCATGGCAACCATGTGCTTTGTGAAATACAAAAATTATTTCTGTTGTAAAATTCCATAAAACATAGACCTTAATTCGAGGCTTCCCAAGAATTTCTATGTTGTGCAACTTCTTATTATTAAATTTATTTTTTATTATAATGACTATATACATTAAATTAGTGCCATCTCTTCAGCGTTTACAGCATTCATAGCATATTTATTCTCTAACGAAGAGGCCAAGGCACCAGAAGAAGTAAACACATTAGAAACAATAAGTTAAAAAAAAAAAGAAATTGTTCTTTATACGGGAATTGCTTTTATAATAATTTTTTCTATATATTTTTAGATTTTTTTCTAGCACATCCATAGACAATAATAAAAAAAAATTAGTCATCTCAAACAACATGCCTAATATTAACTGAAGTAATAATATAATTCACTTTTTAAAAATTTAATGGAGGTAAGTAATATAGCTGTGATGTAAGTCACATGAATTTATTTTACAAAGTTTTATAATCTCACAGAGGTGACTGGCGCTTGTTAATAATTTGTAAAAATGAACTTTTAAAGTTCTTATGACAGTACTTAATGTTTTTCTCCTTAAACTATGGAAAGACTGTCCTATTTAATAAAATAATCCAAATCTGAAGACGTCCATATATTTCCAAAACATACTTTCTTGAAAACCTCCATTACATTTCTTATAATGTGACAATTTTCTTGAAAAGGGGTGTGTTCTCTCCTTTTTATGATTCTAACTACTTAAGTGGAATAGTTTTCAGAATTTTCTTCCCATTGTTAATAACTGTATATATATAATTTTGAATACAAGATCAGTTTCTCTCACTACTTTGACCACAGTGGTGACTAGAAAATAATGTAAATAGATCATTATTCTAATTTGGCAAGAGTATGCTTAACATATTCCTAGATAATTTCATGCATATTTTATTAGTAAAGTAACTTGATAATATCTTTACATTTATCTTGGTTTTTGTTTTTTTTTTTTTTTTTTGAGACAGAGTCTTGCTCTGTGGCCCAGGCTGGAGTGCAGTGGTGCCATCTCTGCTCACTGCAAGCTCCACCTCCCGGCTTCATGCCATTCTCCTGCCTCAGCCTCTCCAGTAGCTGGGACTACAGGCGCCTGCCACCACGCCCAGCTAATTTTTGCATTTTTAGTAGAGACGGGGTTTTGCCATGTTGACCAGGATAGTCTCGACCTCTTGACCTTGTGATCTGCCCACCTTGGCCTTCCAACGTGCTGTGATTACAGGCATGAGCCACCGCGCCAGGCCCCAAATTTTTAACATAAGCAGTTTTAGCTTTATGGATTTCAGAAGTGGTTGTTAGATACAAAAAGTGATTAGTACAGCATGACTATAATTTTATTATTATTATTATTATTATTTTGAACACAATAGCTCTAAAATTCTCCAAATTTTTAAAGCATATCTTGTTGCTTAAGGGTACATGACATGGACTATATTCCTAGATGCATTTAGGGCATTTATACTCAATTTTCAGGGCAACGAATACCCTCTCCTTAAACGCTTTCTGGAATCCTCTGTCCCAAAAAAATGAATAGTCAACTTTTAAAAGAAGTAACAATTTATTTTATAAATTGAGACTTCCTGTGAGTCAAGTTATTTTGAAATAAAATCTTAAAATTAGAATTTAAGTGCACAGTCTTAAAAATACTAATGTACAGTTTTTAAAAGCTCTCTTATGAAACTTTTCTGTGAAGTTAAAAGAAAATATTTTCTGTGGCATCAAAAGGTATTAGAAGCCGTTTGATTTCTTTTGTATTTTCATTTATTTTGTGCTTATATTTTTGTTCTGCTTTTAATGTACCATGATAATCTAACATACAAAATACTCATATCCTTAGAGAGAATTCAATAGTAATAACTGTGTATTTTACTAAAATTTAAAAAAACATACAGGCCAACAAGAGCCTAATCTGATCATGTTATTTTATGGAGAATTCATAAAGGTGACACTTTGAGAGGTGTACTTTTCTGAAATGACAGGTATTGTTATCCTCCAAAGTGGTTCACGAATGTAATCAAGGATTCAGTTACTTAAGAAGCCTTTTAGAATTTACTAAAATAACAGAAACCTGCGTTATACCTCTAAATTCATGGAAAGTTTCTTTTTATTTATCCTAGTTTTCTTGTTTTTATTCTAAGTTTATAGCTATAATTTTTCTAAATGTCACACTGACATTATCTGTCTCTCTCTAGAAGAAACCCCAGGCTCCATGAAAAAGTGCTCTGTCGATTTCTCTCATCATTGTACTCCGATGACTAACGCAATGCCAGGCAAATCAGAATAAGCAATAAATATTGTTGGGTGAATGGTTGAGTGTTCTCATTACCGCAAACAAATTAAGTTGATTTTTCACAGAATTCTTCAGGTATGGAAATCATTCTATTTTAAGGTCAGAAACCAAGCAGAAAAACAAAATCTAATAAAATCTTAGTTATATTTCTTATTAAGGTATAAAACTCAGAAATGTGTTTTCAATTCTACACGGTTACCTCATTTTAGAATTTATTGTGATTCAAAATTTTAGCATTTGCACATTTGTACAATATTGCCTCCTGCATAATCACTGTAAATGCATTTAATTACATTCAAATCACAACATTAAAAAGTATCATAAGTGTATGGTAGTATGTTAGAGAAAAAACATAATGAACTGACTGGAAATTGTTAGGAACAATGTAGATTACATTTTAATTAATCTACTATTAAAATTTGTTTTCTCTCACCATGTGTTGTGAAACACTGCTATGTATTTACTTCATATTGGAATCACAATTTGCTCATGATTTCAAATCTATTATTACATGTGTTACATGAGAATATTTAAACAGTGCAATCTACCTTAATTATTTATTGTCCTATATGCATATTGCAGAAGATCTGAAAATAATTCATTTTTTACATATGTAAAACAATCTCTAAGTTAGATAAACAGCATAGCCATCCTGGGTAGCTTGAGGAGTGATAAAAATAAAACAATCACCTACTATCAGCAACAATAAAAGCCTATTTGTTCTTAAAGTAAATTCCAGTTTAGATAAAATAACTTAAGGTGCAGTGTCACATGGGCTATGAACAATCTTGCTTTTGAAATTACTGCTCTTTTATAAAACTGAATCTATATGCAAGTGAGGACTGTTATAACAGCTTAAGTAATGGGCTCATTTAGTGATGAAATGTTTCTATAGTTCAAATATTTAGTATTTTACACAGCATCTGTTTTGTCACATAAATGTTCTCCAGTCATTAACGTACGTACTGGACATAAATCTTTTTTTCTGGGGATTATATTACTTGATTGTTATTAAGGTCTTCAGTTAATATGTGCCCTGTGAATTTGTTAATATTATCCCAAGCCATAGAGCAAGTCAGCCAAGCCAAATCCTAAGCAGGATACTAAACCCTTCTCACGTTTAACCCCCATTTTCAGTCATATTCCTATTTAATATTCAATATTCATTCTAGTACACTCATTATATGTCACAAATTACTCCACGTCTCTCCATATCAACTGTGACTGTCTTTGTTAAATTTCTCATTGTTTAAACTAGATCATTCAATAATCTGATAGAGTCATACCTTACTTTATTGTGCTTTGCTTGATGTGTTTCACAGATACCATGTTTTTTTTTTTTTTTTTACAAATTGAAGGTTTGTGGCAATTCTGTGTCAAGCAAGTCTATGGGTACCAATTAGTTCAATAGCATGTGCTCACATCATGGCTCTTGTGAAATTTTGGTAATTCTCACAATAAGTTAAACTTTTTAGTTATTATTACATCTATTCTGGTAATATGTGATCAATGATCTTTGATGCTACAATTGTAATTGCTTTGGGGCAGTGTGAACTGTGCCTATAAAAGACAGCAAACATAATTTATAAATGTTGTATGTGTTCTGACTGCTCCACTGACCAGCCGTTCCCCAATCTCTCTCCCTTTCATCGGGCCTCTCTGTTCCCTGAGACACAATCATATTGAAACTAGACCAATTAGGTCAGGCGCGGTGGCTCACGCCTGAAATCCCAGCACTTTGGGAGGCCGAGGCGGGTGGATCACAAGGTCAGGGGTTCGAGACCAGCCTGGCCAACATGGTGAAACCCCGTCTCTACTAAAAATATAGAACTTAGCTGGGCGTGGTGGTGGGCGCCTGTAATCTCAGCTACTCAGGAGGCTGAGGCAGGAGAATTGCTTGAACCTGGGAGGCGGAGGTTGCAGTGAGCCGAGATCGCACCACTGCACTCCAGCCTGGTTGACAGAGCGAGACTCCATCTCAAAAAAAAAAAGAAAAAAAGAAAAAAAGAAACTAGACCAATTAACAACCTTACAATGGCTTCTTAGTGATCAAGTGAAAGAAAGACTGGTATGTCTCTCACTTTAAATTAAAAGCTAAAAATGATTACGTGTAAAGAGGACGACACATTGATAGTTAAGATCAATGAGTGCTAGACCTCTTTGGCCAGTTAGCAAAGTTGTCAGTGTAAAGGAAAATTATTGAAGGAAGTTAAAAGTGCTACTCCAGTAAACACATGAATAATATCAGCTTTGTTGCTGATACGGAGAAAGTTTGAGGGGTCTGGATAGACGATCAAACCACCATAACATTCCCTTATGCCAAAGCTAATCCAGAGCAAGGCCCTAACCCTCTTTAATTCTATGAAGGCTGAGAGATGGAAGTGAGCTTCAGCAGAAAAGTTTGTAGCTACATGAGATTGGTTAATTAGATTTTAAAAAAATCTAAATTCTTTACGCAATCTCCATAACATAAAAGTACTAGGTGAACTAGCATAGTAAGGGTTAATGTAGAAGCTCAGCACATTATCCAAAAGATCTAGCTAAGATTGTTGATGAAGGGGGCTACAGCAAACAATAGATTTTCAATGTGAATGAAACATTCTTCTATTGGAAGATACCATCTAGTACTGTCATAGCTAGAGCCAAGTCAATGCCTGGCTTCTAAACTTCAAAGGACAGGCTAACTTTCTAGTTAAGAGCTAATACAGCTGATTAAGTTGAACCCAGTGCTCATTTATCATTCTGAAAATCCTAAGGCCTTTAAGAATTATGCTAAATCTGCTCTGCCTGTGCTCTATAAATGGAACAACAAAGCCTGGGTGACAGTACTCCTCTTTACAGCAATGGTTTACCTAATATTTTAAGTCCACTGTTGAGACTTACTGCTCAGAAATAAACAATTCCTTTCAAAATATTACGGCTTATTCACAATGCACCTATTCACTAAAGAGATACCAGGAGTTTAAGGTTGTTTTCATGTCTACTAATACAACATCCATTTTGTAGCGCATTGATCAAAGAGTAATTTCAAATTTCAAGTCTTGTTATTTAAGAAATACATTTTATGAGTCTATAATTGGCATAGGCAGTAATTCCTTTGACGTATGTTGGCACGGTACGTTGGGAAGCTTTTGAAAGGAATTCATCATACTAAATGCCTTTAAGAACATTTGTGATTCATGGAAAGAAGTCAAAACATCAACATTAATAGGAGTTGGAACAAGTTTGATTGCAACATTCACACATTACTTTGTGGGGTTCACAACTTCAAAGGAGAAAGTAACTGCAGATTTGGTGAAAACAGCAAAACAACTAGAATTCAAAGTGGAGCACGAAGATGTGACTGAATTGCTACAATCTCATGATAAAACTTGTACAGATGAGGAGTTATTTATTACTCTGGGTAAAATACTATCAAAAAGCACTGCATGCTACAGAGAACTTTTTTTATAAAAGGAAGTGTCAATTAATGTGGCAAACTTAATTGTCTTGTTTTAAGAAATTGCTACAACTACCCCAATCTTCAGCAACCATCATCCCCATCAGTCAGCAGCCATCATCACTGAGGCAAGACTCTCCACCAGCCAAATGGTTAAGACTAGCTGAAGGGTCAAATGATTGTTAGCATTTTTTGGTAATACATTATTTTTCTTTAAGGTATATACATTATTTTTGCAGACATAATGCTATTGCACACATAATAGATTATAGTATAGTGTAAATATAACTTTAATATGCACTGGGAAACCAAAAATTTGTGTTACTCTGTTGCAATATTTACTTTGTTGAAGTGGTATGGAACAGAACCGGCAATATCTTCTGGGTATGCTTGTAATTGATTCTTCAACCTGAAGTTTGTCCTAATTCCATTCTATACTCCTCCATGCTTTCAAATTTACGTACACATACTGAAGTGCACAATTATGATCTGAAGAGAAGAAGGACATTTAAAATCATCATCACAACAATAAGAGTTGACAACCTGGCAAGACTGAGATCACTGAAATCAACGAGTTGATTGCAAAGAGGATCAAGCCAATTATAAAGCAAGTTTAGAAAGAGGAGATTGTTTTGAGTGTGTGTATGGAGACTAAGAATTGCCTCCTGGAGGAGTGAAATAGAAAAATAAACCAGGCATGGTGGCTCACTCCTGTAATCCCAGAACTTTGGGAGGTGGAGGTGGGAGCATCACTTGAGATCAGGAGTTCAAGACTAGCCTGGATCACATAGTGAGACCCAATATCTACCAAAAACAAACGAACGAATGAACAAACAAACAAACAAACAAACAAACAAATAAGCATGATGTAATGGCATGTGCATGCACTTGTAGTCCCAGCTACTGGGGTGGCTGAAGTAGGAGAATCGCTTGGGTTTGAGGCCACAGTGAGCTGTGATCACCACTGTACTCCAGCTTTGGTGACACCGTGAGACTATTTCTAAAAAAAGAAAAGGAAAAATAATTCAATTTCCCAGGAAACGACATGGATTTTTTTAAGAAAGCAGAAGTCAGTACAGCTATTGTCATACTTTAATTTTACCACTTGCTAGCAAGTATTATCTCAGGTGAGTTAATTGCCTTATTTATTTAGCAAATATAATTGAATTTCTACTATTTATCCGAGTCCAGGCCCTGGTCTAAGATCTGGAGATTCAAAGATAGATTTCTTTAGTTTGGAGTATTTTTCTCACTTAAAATGTTTAGTGTGATTATTTCAATTAATGAAATATCAAATACTATATACTTCCCTCAAATATAGTGAGGTCAAGTCATATATGTGTATACATCTATATCTATCTATCTATCTATACACACATGTATATATGAATTTTTAAAATTTTCATTATACGAAAGTTGTTTTCTCTTTTTGTGTTGTTCTTTCTCTCATGTGGCCAGACTATAAGGTTGAATGAGGCAATGAAAACCTGTGTGCTTGAAGGATAATGGTAAGAAATCACTGTTCTTATCCCTGGCTTTTGAGGGATATGTTGGTATGTTTAATATCCCACGAGATTGAACTGGCATAATCAACTTTAATTATCAACTCTTTGTCAGGTATCCCAATTCTTGTAAAAGGCATCAGTACCTAAGAAAACCAGAGGGAAAGACACGTGGAAACAAAAATACCCTGCACAGCTCTAATCTTGCTTCCCAGGTCAAAGTGTGGAGGGGGAGAATGATTAAAGTGCCTAGGAATCTTTTAAATATCAGTTTGTTTACCCAAATTAGAAAAATGATAAATAGGTTATTGAGACTAGCGTCTTGATCTGAAAATAAACACACGTCTTTTTGGAATATACCTTTTTCTACAGATTAGTTAACTGTTCAATCCGAGGTTACAGATTTTGTGAACATGAAGTATGGTGAAAGAAAAGAAACAAACCAGAGCTTCAATCTAATTAGTTATGGTTAAAATGTATGCAAATTTGATTTTACTTTTGTTTAGGTGTTTTCTTTCAGTTCTCTGTAATGAGTGATACAAACCTAAAAGTAATCTTTTCAATCTCCCATAGTGCCTCAAGCCTTCCCAATCAGCGGATGATCTTGTCTTCCATGTCAGATATTGTTGCAAACTTCTTAAAAAACTTTGGGATCACATGGGCCTGAATTAAAACTCCCATCTTCGGCTTTGTAATATAAGATCTAGGGCAAGTTATTTAAACCATGTGTAGCTTAATGTCCTTGTTCTCTTAACCCAAGAATAGAAAGTTCTAAAAATTATTATTTGTTTTTCCATTTCTATATCTATATATATCTTTACCTTTTCTTTTAATTATAGAAAGTGGGGAAAGGAACTATATTTATTCTCTCTTAAGACCTCCCTTTGTGCTCTTGATTTCTTCCCTTGCTGCTTTCTAAGAAATGTTGTTTTCTATTATATTTTTGTTTTCTTTTTAAAGATTTCTTCATTCTCTCTTGCCATTTGAAACTACTTCTTAGTCTACAATATGGTCAGGCATCCTTCCTTATTTTCTATTGATTTATCACCTCACTATACTATAGCCAATCTCTTTATTGCAAAAATGATAAAATATTAATATAGTCCTACCATCTCTATATTCTCACTTGTTAGTGTACTTTATCGTAAATTCTGCCTAATACATCTTTTCTAGAAACTGTCTTGCTCAGTTCACCAATGGAAACTTAATATCAAAACATAATGATTTTTTATTTTTCTTTATTTACATTTACCACTGATTATAAGTTAAGCATCTTGTTCTTAAAATTTTCTTCTTCTGTGTCCAAGACTTTGATTAGTTCTGGACTTATATTTTACATTTTCTAAATTAATTTACCCCGGTGTCAATACATTTTATAGTCCAAATGCATCAGCATATTAGTTTCTCTAAATTCTAATCTTCTTCAGTTTAACTATTTCAAACATTTTTTCTCGCATAGAATCTGACTTCATGGTTTTAAATATTATCAGGAAGACTGTTACATAAATATCTCAGTTTAACTCTTTTCTCCGTATTAGATGATCTACTTATCTATTGATAATTTTTTTCCGTGATCCATAGGTGCTTTAAATTTACCTTTGGAGTTTCTATCGGAAATATCGATATGAAATAGCTGTTATGATAGTAACATAGATATGTCTGTGGTAGAATAGCTGTCCCCAGAGATGTCTGTATACTAATTCACAAAAGCTATGAATATGTGGCCTCATGTGGAAAATAAGTTGTATACAGGTGTGATTAAGTTAAGGGAAATTATCCTGAATTATACCAGCAGGCCCTGCAACCACAAGCATCCTTAAGAAGTGAAGGCAGGAGTGTCAGAGTCAGACGAGATCTGATGATGAAAGCAGAGGTCAGATTAAGGCCAGGAAGGACTGACATGGCAAGAAATGCAGATGATATATAGACGCTGCAAAAGGCAAAAATTTCACAAAGGCAAAATGATGATATATAGAAGCTGCAAAAAGCAAACATTTTGCAAAGGCAAAAATTTCCAGAAGAAACACAGCATACGCGACGCCTTGATTTTAGAACTGCTGATCCCTGAAACACTGAGATAATGAATTTCTATTGTTTCAAGTCACTGCATTTATGATAATTAGCAATAAGAAACTGGTTTTGATACTGAAAGTGGTATGCTGATATAATAAATGTATACTTAGCATATGATTTGCATTTCATAATAAATATAACAAAAATGTGGATGTAATTGTGGACTTGGGCAGTGGGCAGAGGCTGGAAAATCTTGAGAAACATGACGGTAAAAGCCTAGATTGCCTTAAACAGATTATTTGTAGAAATGGTTCACAAATCTGCTGGAGTGCTCAATGTGAGAAGCATAGTAAAGATAAATACATAAGTAAATAAATAAGGGAGTGTGTGTGTGTGTGTGTGTGTAGATTATAAACTGACTGTAGAAATATGAACATAAAAGTAACCACTGGTGAGGGCTAGAGGAAATGGTGATCATGGTATTGGAAATTGGATGAAAGGAAATCTTTGCTATACAGTTGCAGAAACTTTGGAGAATTGGGCCTTACAGCTATGCAGAAAGCAGAAATTTTTCACAGTGAACTTGTATATTTAGCTAAAGAGATTTCCAAGCAAAGTGCTGAATGTGTAGACTGGTTTATTCTTGCTGCTTCTGTGAGAATGTGAAAGGACAGAGGTCGTTTGAGGAAAGAACTGAAAAGAAAACAAGAAACAGAGGCTTGATAATTTGGGTAATTTTCACATTGCAAAAGACACTGCAATTAGAAAACTCACTGTTAAGAAAGTTGGCTGTGAAGAGAAGGCCAGGGTGTGGCTCTACAACCTTTTGCTAATGTGTAGAAAGAATCAAAAGGCCAGAATATTCCATCACACAGAGGGTTTTCTGAAGAAATTAGACATGTGACTTACAGATCCCTCAGCCACTAAGCAGAGCCAAGAACAGAGATGATCTTATGCAGAAATATCTATAGTGAAGCCTATTGTCCAGTGGAATGAATCCCCAAAACACTTATTGGAAAAACACATGAATCTTAAGGCTGTTGCATTAGCAGAAACATTGCCAGCTGAAGCTAAAAGGAACAGAGAGAAGAAACAATGAAAGAAGGCTGTTGAACTCTCAAAGTTCTGTAGACAGGAAATAGGTAGGTAAAATTATTTAACTGTGAACACATACTATCCTTCATTAAAAAGGAAGGATGACTCGCAGGACAGAGCAACAGACCCAAAAGCTCAGAGAAATAGCTGAGACTTAAAGAGGATTATTTGTAGACCATGGAACCTAATGAAGTTTTCCCTGCTGGATTTTGAAATTGCATAAGAACTATGATTCCTTTTTTTCCCCTCTATTTTCTTCTTTTTTGAAAAGAGAATGTCTATAAGTGTATCCTGTGCTAGCCCAAGCATTGGATTTTGGAAGACAACTTGCTTTCTAATTTTATAGATCCACAAGAAAAGAGAAATTTTGTTCCAAAATGGATCATATCCAACGCCTCACATATTTCATATTTAGATAATTTACATGATGAAATTTGAAACTTTTGAGTGGGTGAGATCTAGATGAAATTTTGCACCTTTAGTTGATGTTGTAATAGGTTGAGACTTTTGAATATGTTTGGATAGGTAAATAGAGTTTGCATGTGGAATGAATGTGAATATTTGGAGGTCAGAAGGCTATGTGTGAAAAAAAAGTGCCCCTTGTCCCCCAAAAGATCTCCCTGTTGTAACCCTTGACATTTTTTAATACATTAACTTACATGGCAAAATGGACTTTGCAGATATGAATAAGAAAGTATCTTGAGATGGGAAGATTATCCTGGATTATCTGGGTGTGCATGGTATAATAGAAAACCTAGTGTAAACCAAAGAGGGTGGCAGAAAATGAGAGTCAATAGGAGATGCGAAGATGGAAGCAGAGATCAGAATGATGAAAGAAAAAATACAGGAGACTAGGAATGCAAGTGACTTTTAAAATCTAGAAAAAGCAAGTACACTAATTCTTCCCTACATATTGTAGAAGGAATAAAACTTTGCTTACTCATTTTAAACTTCTGACCTTCAGAACTGTAAGATGATAAATATTAATATGTTTAGTTTCACTATAAAGAGTTTATAATTTACTATAGCTGCAATAGGACACTAATACAACTTACACTTCATTACTTATACCTCATGGTTTTGATGATCACCTGTCAATCAAAAGACTACATTAGCTAAAGCATTAGTCCTAATTTGCTCACCTATACCCCAAGTGTAAAGACAGGTCTTACCTCCTCAGCATACATTTTAATTTATAAGGCCAACCCAGAACCTACCCATGAGAGAGAGCAAAAGTTAATAAGGTCAGTAGCAATTACCATAAATTTTATTAAGAAATTTCTGTGAAGTTGAAATCATTAATTCCATTAAGTGGAAATTATTCTAAAAGAAATTGAGTCAAGGGTTGTCTTCCTTACCCATGTTCCAGAAAATAGATGATCATAAAGACGTCCATTTAACAAATTACTTATGTATACTTATACATATGTAAGCAATATACAAGTATTTTATTATACATAAGTAACATATACATAACATTTATCATAAAAGTATATTTTATAACATAGTATAAAAGTATATTTTGTAGCATATTACAAAAGTAATTTATACAGTATATAAGTAACATATATAACACATACATTACATAAGTAACATATATAACATCATGAAAGTATATTTTATAACAGTATAACATTTATTATGTTATAGCATTATTATATATGTCATAACATTTATTATATATTATGACATATACATTTATTATATATTATAACATATATAATGTTTATTACATGTCATAACATATATAACACATATATGTTATAACTAACATATATAACATTTATTATATACATTATAACTAACATAGATAACATTTATTATACACATTATAACAGATATAACATTTATTATATACGTTATAACTAACAGATATAACATTTATTATATACATTATAACTAACATATATAACACTTACATATAACATTATATGTAATGTTAACATTATATATGTTATATATATAACATACATAACACTTAACATATATAACACTTATATATGTTACTTATATAATGTATACATTACATTTATAATATGTATATAACTTTTAATATGTATATAACTTAATATATAATATGTATATAACTTAATGTTTAAGTATTTTATTTGGGGGATGCTAATATAAATAAATTTTTTCTCCACTTATAAGTTTTGATGAGAATGATGGGGATAATGAAACCAACATCTTCTGTGAAAGTTTCTTTGATTAATATCCCTTTGGAATAAGAAAAAATTAATTCATATTGGAATTTCTCAGTTATTTTTAATCTATTACATCTTCATATAATATGTAATTTAATTTGAAAATCAATCCCAAAGGTTTTGGAGTCAATCAGGCACATACTCGGCATCCAAATTCTTAAAAGAAAAAAAAATTGTTTCCTATTTGGCTGGTTGTTTAATCAGGGGAATTAAGAATATCTATCAAAACGACACATACATGTATCCTCTGATCACAAAATGTAACTTATAGGATGTTTTATATCAAATATACACACTATTATTAAATGCAACACTATTTGCAATAACAAAATATAGAAAATAAAATAAGAATTCATTTCTGTAAAATATTAGGGTTCTGTGGAGACTGGAGAAACAGTAGGATGTGTGTGTGTGTGTGTGTGTTTGTGTGTGTGTGTATTATGAAACTGAGTTACATAATTATGGAGGCTAAATCCAAATCTTCGGTCTTGCACAGATAGGCTAGAGACCTAGAACATCCAATGGTATAAATGAAATCCACAGGTACTCTGCTGGAAAATTCCCTCTTTCTTGGGGAAGCCCCAGTCTTTGTGTTTTGTTTAAACCTTAAACTAAATGAGGCCTACCCAAATTAAGAAGGGAAATGGGTACTCAAAGTTTAAAGGTCAGGGAACCAATGGCGGATTCTGCTGGTTGCTGAGCATATCTGTTCCAACTATATGCTCTGGAACCAGAGAAATAACCACAGATGGGCTCAAGGACAGCTAAACCCACTGTGACACAGACCTTAGCTGAAACTCCATTGATCACCTGAGCTCTTTAAGCACCTAACTCTGACTAGTGGACCACAGCAGCATTCTGGGTCTCTTAAAATTTGTGTCAGTTCAGAGCCAGTGTCTAGGGGTCCCTGAAAGGTCCGATTAGTTCCTTTTCCAAAATGTGCAGTTAACCCACAAAAAGCCTTATATGCCTTTGGATAAAGATAGGAGAAATAGTATACATTTTTGGCAGTATACTGAGGTCCCTCATCCAAACAACTTGGCCTCCCATTCATTCAAAGGGATCTGGGTCTGAAAGCTGGCTCAAGCCTGGGAATTGATAAGAGGTTGTTGTGACTCTGTTTTATGATTCAGCTTAGACTATTTTTCACTTGACCTAAAAATTTTCTGCTTATACAGATCAAGTAAGAATGTAGTAAGCCTCCTATTTCTTTCATTTCTAGAGGCACCGTGATTAACTTACCAAAGCTCTAGGTCTGCTCAAGTCAGATTATTCTGATTGTTGCTTTCACTCTGCTTTCCATTATGGTAACAACACCTGCCATTTGCAGTCGAGAGCTAAAACTTGGCTCTTGTGACACTGGAATCCAATTATTCCAATTACGTTTACATTTCCAAATCAGTGAATGCAGTTCCCACTGTAAGGTCTGACCTACAGAGAAGAACAATAACAGCTTTTCAGTGGAGCTAGAACACCCCTCAAATATTTGTTTTTTACAATTGTAATGAAAGGTATGTTATGATGGGTAAATGGGTCTTAAATAACCTTAAATAACCAGAGTAGGAAGGCAGGTCTTAAATGACAAATCCACTCTAACATTCCAATCTCATTAAGTCCTTGAATCTCTCCTCTCTATTAAACCAAGGCAGGTCTGGGCATTTCTCAGGTAATTACTGGGGGCTACCTTTTGATCTATGTTTTGTCTAATCGACATCCCCCCAAAATAAATCTGGTGGAGCCTCTTCTATTTCCTTGAGCTGCAACGTTAAATGCAGAATCTCTGCTTAGTGGGCCCATAACAATAACGTCGGCCTGATCCAACTTTAGGTTTCCCCCACCATTATCCCACACTCTTAATATCTACTTTCACACCTATATCCCAGATTTCTGTCTGCATAAATTAGAAAACTCAGGTAGTTCTTTTGAAGTGTAGCATACTTCTTCGTAGGTCATACTTTTTACCTCACCTTTAGGGGACTGCTGGAAACTGAGTCTAGTTGTAGGTCAAAGTGCAAAAGGAATGTTGGATTAAGTCTCGAGGAGAATAGCATGTCTTGCCAGGTAATAGCCTCAACAAAGGCCATTACCATTTTCTCAGGCATTGCCCTGAAATGGAGGTTAAGAGACTGCTTCTACTGGCAAAAGAAGACCAAACAAATTTTAGGGGGTAAATGTCACCTGCTTTATCACTGTCTTTCCACATATCCCCATTCCAACTTTTAGGATCCCATTTCTTTTTTCTTTCTTTCTTTTTTTTTTTTCGAGATAGCATCTCGCTCTGTAGCCCAGGCTGGAGTGCAGTGGCACGATCTCAGCTTACTGCAACCTCTGCCTCCTGAGTTCAAGTGATTTTCTTGTCTCAGCCTCCCAAGTAGCTGAGACTACCATCATGCACCACCATCCCTGGCTAATTTTTGTATTTTTAGCAGAGATGGAGTTTCAACATGTTGGCCAAGCTGATCTTGAACTCCCAGGATCCCTTTTCTTCCCAATCAACATCCTTACTTTAATAGTACACACCATGAGAGGCTGGGAATTTAATTTGCATTGTAAGTCAGCCACTCACAGGATGAGATTCTGGGTTTTGTTTTCAGCAATCTCAGCCCTGTGGCTTCAGACTATATGAGACTCTTTTACTTTAGACGTAGAAGCTTTTGCTGTTTCATGCAATATTTTAGCTAGAAAATTTAATACCTGAGCTCATCCTCTTATTTCTCCTACTTTGTCTAGTGACATTAGGGGTAACCAGTCAATCTCATTCTACTCATTAGTTTGACACATATATGTGTGTGTGTGTGTGTGTATATATATATATACATATATATATATGTGTATATATATATATACATATATATATATGTGTATATATATATGTGTATATATATATATATACACACACATATATATGTATATATATATACACACACACACACATATATATATATATATATATATATATATGGCCAGATTATACCATGGACTATGAGTGGTTTCTTTACAACTAGAAATAGAGTCATAGTGTCTTAAAATCTGATTATATTACAGGACCAATTTCAGACAATTTAATATTAAGATGCTATTTTTTAGGAGTGCATAATACTTATTGGAAAATAAAAATATTTTTAAAAGGTTCTATTTCTTAGGGCACATGGAAGAAGGAGGGATGAGGGCTAAAATAATCACCTATTAGATACAATGTACAGTATTTGTGTTACGGTTACAGTAAAAGCCCAGAGTTCATCACTGTACAATTTATTCATGTAACCAAAAACCACTTGTAACCCTAAATCTATTGAATTTATTTTTAAAATTCTATTTATTTAAAAAATATTTATGGATACCAAATAGTTTTATGAGGTACATATGATATTTTAATACAAGTATACATTGTGTAATAATCGAATAAAGATAATTGGGATATCTATCACCTCAAACATTTATCATCTCTCTGTGCCAGAAACATACCTCATGACATCAAAATCTGTATTAATAAGGATTCTCCAGAGGAACAGAACCAATAGGATATGTGTATATATAGAAAGAGATTTAATATATAAAAAAACTTGCTCACGGGAGTGTGAGCAGGCAAACCCAGGAGACCTAATGTGCAATTCCAAAGGCTGGCAGTTTGGAGACCCAGCAAAGCAAATGGTACAGACAAAGTCTGAAGGCAGTGTTCTGAGGAATTGAATGACTGGGGAGATGCCTATTTTTTTGTTGTTCTATTCAGGCCTTTAATTGATCTGATGAGGCCTACCTACATTAAGGAGTACAATCTGCTTTACTCAGTGTTCACTCTCTAAAATGACATTCTCATACAAATACACATCCCAATTTATCACATAAAATTCACTGTCATAGGTAGAAGATGGATGCTAAAAGAGTTGGATACAACTTGTTGAATACAAGGTCAATGTGTCCACATGTAAATTACTTCCTAAATACAAAAGAAAAGCAATGATATCAGAGAAATTTAAATTATCTCATCCAAGTGACCAGAGTATAATAATACAGTAATAAGTTATACTGGCTGCATGTGGTGGCTCAGTCCTGTAATCCCAGCACTTTGGGAGGCTGAGGTGGGTGGTTCACCTGAGGTCAGGAGTTTGAGATCAGCCTGGCCAACATGGTGAGACACAATCTCTCCTAAAAATACAAAAAAAAAAAATTATATGGGTGTAGTGGCACACCACAGTAGCTGTAGTCCCAGCTACTCAGGAGGCTGAGGTAGGTGAATTGCTTGAACCTGGGAGGTTGAGGTTGCAGTGAGCCGAGATCACGCCATTGAACTCTATCCTGGGTGACAGAGCAAGACTCTGCCTCAGTAAAATAAAATAAAATAAAATAAAATAAAATAAAATAAAATAAAATAAAATAAAATAAAATTAATAAATTATACTGATGATATGTGTCACCAGATGTGACAGAAGATCATCTAGGTATTACTCCTGATAGTTATATATAGCCTAGAGTGAATCATGGGAAAGCAATCAGACAAACTCAACTACCGTCTATTATTCTTCAATAATAGAAAATGCTGAGAAAATGTTGCCAAATTAAGGAACACTACAATATATGACAAGTATTAATAAATGCAATGAAGTTTCCTGAATTTGAGAATAGATAAGAAAATATGAATATGACAGTACCTTTTGACAAAAATGTAAAGGGTCTTAGTGAAACTGCCATTGCAAAATTAGAACTGAGACAGTGACAGAGATCTGGCCTAACCAACTCTATCTTGCTTGTAACCTCCAAGCTGTCCTTGTTCATTCCTGGACCTAGGCTGAACTAACCTTAGGAGGAACTCAGTTTACAGTTTATAGGTTAAAACAAAGATAATAACAGCTCTTTCCCAAAACAAACTTCCATCTTGTCTGGGACTAGACTGCCTTTGTAGGACTAACAAATTAACCAAAAAAATAGAAATTATGATTGAGGAGTCATGCAGCTGAAGGCTACAAGATTCTGACCTTCCCCAAATTGTTCCTGGGGATAACATCACTGTTGTTTTTTTGTTTGTTTGTGTTTGTTTGTTTGTTTTTGAGACAGAGTCTTGCTCTGTCACCCAGGCTGGAGTGCAGTGTCACTGTCTAGGCTCACTGCAACCTCCGCCTCCTGGGTTCACACCATTCTCTTGCCTCAGCCTCCCCAGTAGCTGAGACTACAGGCGCCTGCCACCACGCCCGGCTAATTTTTCTTTTCTTTTTTTTTTTTTTTAGTAGACACGGGGTTTCACCATGTTAGCCAGGATGGTCTCTATCTCCTGACCTCATGATCCGCCCACCTCAGCCTCCCAAATTGCTGGGATTACAGGCGTGAGCCAACGCGCCCGGCAACATCACTATTATAAAGCTGAAAATCAGTGCTTGAGATATTTTGCAGGCCCTTCATTAGAGGAATCAGCTGGCACCACTCGGGTGGATAAAAGGTCTCATCTGATCTTGTGTCCCCCACTCAGGAAATGACTTAAGTGCAAGATAGCTATGATTCCCTATAACTTCATCTTCGACTCAACCAGTGGGCACTCCTGACTCACTGGCTGCCCCCGACACCCACCAAATTATCCTTAACAACTCTCATCCTCAAATGACTGGGGAGACTGATTTAAGTAATAGTAAAACTCCAGTCTCCTGCACAGCTGGTTCTGGATGAATTACTCTTTCTCTAATGCAATTTCCCTATCTTGATAAATTGGCTCTGTCTAGGCAGAAGGCAAGTTGAACCCAGTGAATGGTTACAATGGTACCTGCAATTTATTCACAAACTGTTGAGCAAATAGTAATGTTAATATTTGTGGAGTAAAGGTAAAGCAAGCATGGAAAACTTAGTAGCATATGTAGTTGATCAACTCTAGGGCTGGAAAAAGAGGGCCCTAACATTGCTGTCAGCTAGACCAAATTCTAGGCAGACTTCCTCCTGCACCTAGGTCTCTGATCTCTTATCCCTTAAATGATTTATTTTTTAAAAAAAATACTTGTAATTATATATATATATATATATATATATATGTATGTGTGTATATATATGTATGTATGTGTGTGTGCGTGTGTATATATATATATATATATTTTTTTTTTTACTCTTTTGAGATGTAAATCTTTTAAAAAGCCTCTTGCCAGTTTTAAAACCCGGGAATGTCTTTCTCTAGATCTGGGAACTGTCCCTTTGAAACGTAATCATCAGGAAAAAGCAATCCTAATTCTTAGTCCCTGTGGGAGTTTAGGCACATATAACTTCAGTGTAACTTGGAGCAAGGCTACAAGACATTCTGTCATAAACATAGAAGAAAATTTACTTTTTGCTGGAGTAAAGCCAATTAGCCAATACGCATGACTAGTTTACAGAAAAATAAAACACATTTGCAAATAATGCAAACATAATGTGCTGGACATATCCCAGGGATCAACTGCCTACCTCACGTCCTCCATGACTTTTCTACTAGCTCACCCCAGAGTTTAAAAACCCTTCTCTCCTGACTTTTCCAGGAAAGACTGACACTTAGAGTGAGAGAAATCACTAGTAAGTGTTCTGTGATCATGATGAGGAAATCCATTGTGAGGGCCTCGGGAGAGCTTTCTCCTTAGTCCTCTGAATGTTTGCTAAAAAAAAAAATCAACTCCCAAATGGCAGATTTATACACGAAAAGGCATACAAATTCTATTTGGCATGTCTACATGGAAGCCTTCAGAATGAAGACCCAACCCCACAACAAAGTACAGAAGCTTATATACCATCCTGAGGTTATAGAAAGAACGCAGGCTCAGAGCATGGCCCAAAAACAGGTTCTAGTGTTAAGGCAGTTTAAAGGAGGGAGAAAAGAAGAGGTTTGGCTAGCAAAGGGGGCCTTGTTGTGTAGCCTCACAGTAGTAGCCCTCAGAGAGAATAGATGGTGAAAGTTTCTTTTCAGACTTTTGAAAGTGTCAGACTGTCAATCTCTCCTAGATGTGGAAAAGGTCCTGAAAAGCAAGGCCTGGCCGCATTAATGGAGATTCTCTATAATGCAAATATTCCCCACAAAAGATACCTCTGCAAGGCCACTCTGGTGACTCTTCAGCAGCCATTTAAAAATATGTCAAAAAATGCATTTTGGGGTAAAATATTTTGATTTTCTTCACCATTATGGCTTTAGTCTTTATTTTTGGTAGCTAGCCTAGCAGCAGCATCTCAATAGATTTAAACCAAAAAAACAAGAAGCATTTCAACAATTGCTATATATTCATATTATAACTCTGAGAAAGCAGTCATTTGCCTCCTGGGGAAGTTTACTGACTGTATATTGTGTATTACAAAATGCTTTTATTTTTTATTTCTTTCAAGTTGTTTTGAAGATATATTTTTCATTTAATGTATTCAGTTGGCTGCTCAAATTTTCTCTTACCATATTTCTATTTCTTTTCTTTCCCCATGTATAGTTGTTTTGTATATTAACTTTGGCTGGAGACTTGACCGGTGACGAATCTGTATTTTTTTAATTCAGTCAATGTTTAAGAAAACTGCCCCCAAGCTACTCTAACACAAAACCTTTTGATGTAATCTAATCCATAATCATTATCTGGAAAGAAGTTAACAGTTCTGATAAAATGCTTAAAGAGTCACGTGAAATTATATTGCATTGAAATTATATCAATAATTGAGAAATTTAAAATGTAATAATTGTTTTATTCACTATTAACATTTGAGAGGATTGCTTTAGTTTGACTTTTTAGTTCTGTCTACATGAATCAGAAAGGGATAGGGTTTTTTCTTTCTTCTCTCAAAAAACATAGGAAAAAATTTAAGAAAGAGAATATTTTATATTTTAATATCGAATACTAAAATCTGGACATTTACACCTTACATAGTCTGCTTTATCTCAGCTACCAGCACTTGGAGTAAAAATTTAAAAGCATTTTGACATTCTTCTGCTGGGTCAGGGATTCTGTGGTAGTATTATCCTATCAGGGGATGCTGGAACAACATAACTGTCAATCATCCCTAGCTCTGAACAATCAAATCCATTTTCACAAAAGCTAAAGAGTTACTAAGTACCCCA
Organism: Homo sapiens; assembly: GCF_000001405.40. NCBI lineage: Eukaryota > Metazoa > Chordata > Mammalia > Primates > Hominidae > Homo > Homo sapiens. The sequence continues at coordinate 24,638,621 of NC_000021.9, forward strand.
GAGCAGTTCCACTATTCAGTTGGCTTTTTCATTGTTCTTTTTCCATATCCCCATCTTCCCCCCATGTATTCTCATTTTGCATTTTAACTTTACCTGCATTCCTGACCTTGGCTACCCTATATTTCATTATCCAATCAATGTTTTAAGAAAAGGCCCCCAAGCTAATCTAACACAAAACTTTTGGTTCCATTTAATTCATAATCACCATCTGGAAAGAAGTTAACACTTCTGATAAATGCATAAAGATTGTTCTTAAAATTTTTAAAGCTATTTAAACTTTTTTTGCAGTAACACTAAGGGGAAAGAGAAACCCTCTCATATTGTTTTATATTGTTTTATATTCAGTACCTGTTTTAAGAAAAAACAAGGAAGTAAAACCAAAGACCAGCAGCCCGGCACTAGGCCCAAAACCAGGCTTGGGCCTGCCTGGCCTAAACCCAGTAGTTAAAAATCAACTCATAACTTAGAAACCGATGTTATTCATATATTCCAGACACTGTATAGAAGAACATTGTGAAACTCCCTGCCCTGTTCTGTTTCTCTCTGACCACCGGTGCATGCAGCCCCTGTCACATACCACCTGCTTGCTCAAATCAATCACGACCCTTTCATGTGAAATCTTTAGTGTTGTGAGTCCTTAAAAGAGACAGAAATCGTGCATTCGGGGAGCTCGGATTTTAAGACAGTAGCTTGCCGACGTTCCCAGCTGAATAAAGCCCTTCCTTCCACAACTCAGTGTCTGAGAGGTTTTGTCTGCAGCTCGTCTTGCTACAATACCACAATCTACTCTATCAGCTGTCCATCAAGAATTCAATGACTACTTATTGGTCAGTACTTTCTCTTTTGATGTAACCTAAAAATGAATACTTTGTTCCTGTAAAATGTCTCTTTCAAGATTAGATTGCAGAACTGGCCTATTAGATGTCATTTCCTTTAAAGCAAAATTATAATAATTTTTTGTATATATTTATAAAGTATTTGAATGCTTTTGTATAATATGATGCAAATATTCTATTTCATTTTAAATCTCATTTCAATTACTTTTTTCAGATTAACGCTATAAACCTGAGTGCATACGTGTGCATGAATACCTTTATATAATGCATTTATCCCAAGTTCTTACCTGCCTTCTTCCTCAAAGAAGATTTAGAATCTTGACTTCAAAACCCAACTCTTGGAGGCATTCTTCTCAACTCCTAAAACAACAGAATAAAAATTGGGTGTAAGAGACTAGAAATGTCAATTATGGGAAGAAGTGTTTACTTTTGAAAGACTAAATTCATTCTGAGTGCAGGATGATTACAGAAATAGCAAATTCCACACAGCTTGGGGTTGGGGCTGAGGAGAGGTATGCTGGAACAACCAAGGTTTTTAAGAAAAGATGATAGATGTGGGGGAAAGAAGGGCTGATCAAGAATTAGAATTTGTATACCTTTCATGTTTTGGGGGAAACACAAGAAAGAAATTGTTTTCTTTTGAAATTAGTTCAAGAGACGTAAACTTTCTAGTAGATGTAAGCATTTGATGTACATAGATACAGACGTTTTGTAAGAAAGGTGTACATCAAAAGTAAAATTCTGTGCCCTCTGACAGACTCAGTGGATCCTCCTCTTGGCCAAGGGGATCTCAAACCTGAAAAACATGTTTAGTTCATGATGGAAAGGAAGATCAGACATGTCTTATTGTAACCCCTGCCTTTTGGAGTTTATGCACAATTGACCAGCATTAACATTAAAAGACAGATGATGACACTGACAAAATGGATTATTTATAGTAATAAGATACCAAATTCCAACCTGACTCTGGTATAACATCTCATGACAGATAAAAGGTCATGAAAAAAATCAGAGTATTTTACCCCAAAATATATTTCTTTGAAATATGTTGAAATTGCCCTGCAAAGGCATCCCTCATGTGGGAAATTGCATTCTATAGAGACTCTACTTCCCTTTCTTGGTCTTTTCTGAATCCAAGAGAGATTTAACTAAGGCTTTAACACCTTTTAAGATCCAATAAGAGAAATTTACCATTTATTCTCTCTGAAGCCGGCTACTTAGAGGCTTCATCTACATAATAACAACCTTGGCTTCCACAACTCCTGTAATCTTAATGCAAACATTTCTTTCTGCTGATTTAATGAGGCAAAGCTTAATTCTTTGAACCAATTGCCAATCCAAAAGTCTTCAAAGCCACCTATGTCCTGTAGCCTCTTTCACTTTGAGATGTCCCCCCATTCCAGGCTGAACCAATGGATCACTTACACATATTGATTTATGTCTTTGCCTGTAACTCCTGTCTCAAAAATGTATAAAACCAAGTTGCAACCCATCCACCTCCAACACATGATCTCAAGACTTCTTGGGACTTGAGAGGTATGGGCCATAAGTCACTCATATGTGGCTTAGGATAAATCTCTTTAAATATTTTACAGAGTTTGACTTTTTTGTCAACAATGGATTTTCTAAATTAATTAATTGCTTCTTTCATAAATAAAAGATTAAATATCGAAAACTAATAACTGACTGCTTTCAAGATATAAACAAGCTCATACATTTGTGGAGGAATCCCTCTTGTGAGCATGGCTATTTTATGGTAGATTTGGGGTCAAGTGAAGAAAAGATGATTCACCCACTCCGAGTGGAGGACTTTAATGAATGTAAAGGAGAGAATGTAAAGGAACCAGTTCATACAAACTTTAAGAATACACAAGGTATTTTAGGGAGAACAGAGGGAAACACACACAGAAATAGGTAGTATGAGAACATGATTCTTCTCTGCTTCGTAATCGGTGTGTTTGGGTTATATTGTTAGGGGAAAAGGGTCCTGATCCAGACCCCAAGCCATGGTTCTTGGATCATGAGCAAGAAAGAATTCAGGGCAAGTCCATAGAATAAAGTGAAAGCGAGTTTATTAAAAAAGTAGAGAAATAAGAGAATGGTTATTCTATAGACAGAGTAGACCCGAAGGCTTCTTGTTGCCCATTTTTATGGTTATTTCTTGATTATATCCTAAACAAGGGGTGGATTATTCATGCCTTTCCTTTTTAGACCATATAGGGTAACTTCCTGACATTTCCATGACATCTGCAACTGACATGGTGCTGGTGGGAGTGTAGCAGTGAGGATGACCAGAGAACACTCCCATTGCCATCTTGGTTTTGGTGGGTTTTAGCCAGCTTCTTTACTGCAGTCTGTTTTATCAGCAAGGTCTTTATGACCTGTATCCTGTGCTGACCTCCTATCTCATCCTTTAAGTTAGAATGCTTAATCATCTGAGAGTGCAGCCCAGAAGGTTTCAACCTCATTTTACCCAACCCTTACTCAAGATATTTGTTGCTCTGGTTCAAAGGCCTCTGACAGTACTAGTTTGTTTCTGTTTTTGTTTTTTTTTTTTTCTATTCATATTGATTTTAGAATTAGTTCATAGATTTCTACAAAAAAAGTCTACTGGGATATTGCTTGGGATTGTGTTGAAGCTATAATATATATCAAATTTTGACAAATAGCGCTCTTAATAATATTAGGAATTCTCATCCATAAATATATATTTATTAATATTTAAGTCTTTAATTTTTCTTTGTAACATTTTATTTGTAGTATACAATTCTTTCACACCATACGTATAATCTCTTAGTATGTATTTTATATTGTTGGTGCAGTTATAAATGCATTTTTTCAATTTCTGATAGTTCATTGCTAGCATGTAGATATACAATGTTTGCACATGGATTATTAATTTTGATACTATGCTAGTAGGTTTCTAAAATAGAATTTATAGGATTTCTTATATAAATGATCAAGCCATTTGCAAATAAAAACCATATTGATGTATATTCCTTCTCGCATGCTTTTCCCACTTTGAGATATTGGCACACTCCATTGAGTGCAGGGTCAATATTTTCAGCCTTTAAATATGTGAAACTTTTCTAATGCATTGACCAAAAGTCAACTAAATGATAATTTCTGTTTTTAAGAGTCTTAAGATCTGTGGTAGTTTGTGATATAGTAATATCAGAACAGATTTAAAACAAATTGTTTTATTTTATGCCATACTGCACTCTTTAGAAGGCATGACACTATACACAATGCACATTTGAAAAATAGAGAGTTACCTCTGCTTTCTTCAAGGAAGAATATCTACATAAATTATTCAGAACTTTTTGCATGGGGGATTTGTTTATTCTCACTCTACTTATTCAACGATTTTTATGTCAGTATGGACTTAAGGTTGTTTATTATATACTTGGTGTAACACCTGCTAATCCATCTGCTCGTAACTAAAGGCACGCAACATATGCTTTTAATTGATTTGATAAATATATTTTAAAGAATGTCTTTAAATGTTCACTTATCATATATATTCTCATGATTATATTCTGGTGATGCATCCCCCATACACACATATACATAAATTTCTGATAACTAAGAAATTTACCTTTCTTGCCCTTATCTAATGAATTTTCACTTGAAATATTAAGGGGGTAAGGAAAGAAGGAGTGATGAAGAAAGATAAAGGAAGCCAACACCATAGTATTTAATTGGTCCATTAGGCAACTCATTCCTTCACCAATTTCTTAGCAAACCCAGGTGATAAATAGTTAAATTATAACTTATGAGATATATTACTTAAAACAAAAATCCCGGCCAGGTGCAGTGGCTCACATCTGTAATCCCAGCACTTTGGGAGGCCGACGGCGGTGGATCATGAGGTCAGGAGTTCCAGACCAGCCTGAACAACATGGTGAAACCCCGTCTCTACTAAAAATACAGAAATTAGCCGGGTGTGGTAGCTGAAGCAGGAGAATCACTTGAACCAGGGAGGCGGAGGTTGCAGTGAGCCAAGATCGCACCACTGCATTGTAGCCTGGGCGACAGAGCGAGACTCCGTCTCAAAAAAACAAAAACAAAAATCTCTAACCCAAATTAACCTTTTAACTTTTAAGCAAGTCAAGGTTTACCAGACTAATGATAAATTCAACTTCAGTCATACGTGGAATTCGTTTTCTCTGTCTTTTCTAGAAATAATTAAGAATGTTATTTATATTCACACAGTTTATTTTTTAAATGGCTCTCTTGTTTCCATACACGATGGGTTTTTATGTCAAAATAAAATTACTACAAAATTTTAATATGCCAAATACAGACTATATAAGCACCTGAATTTTTTAATTCTTAGTTCTGTGTCTTTGTTTCACCTAACATTTTTAATCATTAGTTCTGTGTCTTTGTGGATTTTGCTTGAAGTTATGTGCTTTAGATGACATCAATTATTTTTACTTTTACGTTTGTGTAAACTAAGGTTTTAGCTATATTTAGCAGTTGTCGCTAACACATCTCCTTCTACAAAGACAATATCTTTTTATACTCCCTGCAAGGGTCAAACGAACTCAAACTTAACTAAACTAAATTAAACAACATGGAACATAGGTTTGTTTGTATCTACCACACAATGCTCTCCTTTTAGAATAGGTCTTTTAGTCTTATTTCTCTTTTTTTTTTTTTTTTTTTTTTTGAGACGGAGTCTCGCTCTATCACCCAGGCTGGAGTGCAGTAGCGCGATCTCAGCTCACTGCAACCTCCGCCTCCCAGGTTCAAACAATTCTCCTTCCTCAGCCTCCTGAGTAGCTGGTACTACAGGCCCCCAACACCACACCCGGCTAATTTTTGTATTCTCAGTAGAGAAGGGGTTTCACCATATTGGCCAGGCTGGTCTCGAACTCTTGACCTTGTAATCCACCCACCTCAACTTCCCAAAGTGCTGGGATTACAGGTGTGAGCCACTGCACCGGCCCTCTCTTCTTTTTATAATAATATTTGCTTTTTATAGTTGGGCTAATAAAATTGAAATTCAAAAAAAGAATTAACTATTTATGTAAAACCTCACCCTTTTTTCCCTCTCTGATAACCAAGAGCTTGTGCTCTCTGATAAAGTAGTAGCATGCACGTTTTCTCCCCACGCTGTGTCCTCAGAGGTTTACTGCTAATTTCCAAAGTTGCTACCTAATAGGAAAGAGCACAGGACTCCCCAGCCCAGACCACCAATTATGTTGTATAACATTAATACTAAAAATTAATTAGCTTACTATCCTCACCTTCAAAACTATAGCATCTCAATTCCACTCCACCTCCCAATGTTTCCTCTTAACTCTTTGTGTTCACGAATGAGAATGTCACACACATTCTATTTTTAGATGTCTTTCATATTCCATTTTCTTTAGCACCAGGATGTAATTCCATTGCTTAGTCCCATCACCACTTATGCAAACAGCGCCATCTTTGAAGATGTGTTGAGTTGCTCCTCCACCAGTACTATTAGGCAATGAGTTGTCTAATGGACCAATTACATGCTGTTGTGCCACTGCTTTGTACCACTCTAGTGCTGTTGTGACACTAGATGCTCTGCCATGTTCTAGGCAAATATGGGGATAAATACCTATTCCAAAAGAAGTACTCTCTGTGACTTAAATCTTATAACACATTATGTAACTTTAACCTCACTTCAGAGAAAGGGACATCTTTCAGCCTGGGCAACATAGTGAGACCCCATTTCTACAAAAAAAATAGAGTGGCGGTACATGCCTGTGGTGCCAGCTACTCAGGAGGGTAAGATGTGAGGATCTCTTGAGCCCAGTAGATCAAGGCTGCAATGAGCTGTTATTGTCCCACTGCACTCCAGCCTGGGCAAAATAACTAGAAAAAAATAAAATGATATCTTTAATTTATACCTCCACACATTATTTTAAAAGGATCTGAGACAGTCAGGATTTGGTTTACCTGGGATAGGTGGCAAAGGCTAAGTCATGTGGCTTAAAAAATATAGAATACATCTTTGTATCATGTAAAAGATGTCTGAAGGGAGATGTTCCAGGGCGGGTACATCCTTCTGTCTTGGTATTCTGCCATCCTGTTCTCAGCAATGACCTCATAGTCCAGAAAGGCAAAGATGACACCCTGAGTTCAAGCCATCATATCCACATACAAGCCAGCAAGAGGAACGCCTGATTAAGGGTACGATAGTGTACACATGGACATACAAAGTGGAATAATAGACACTGTTGACTTGGAAAGGTGGGAGAGTGGTGGGAGGAGGGATGAGAAATTTAATTTAATGGGTACAATGTACACTATTCCAGTGATGGCACCACTGAAAGTCCAGACTTCAGCACTATATGATATATCTATGTAACAAAACTTTACTTCTACCCCCTAAATATATAAAAAATATAAATACAAATGTAAAATAAAAAGACAAACACACACAAAATAAAACCATTGAACTACATTCTTAAAAAAAAAAAAAAAAAAAAGGCCAGGCGAGGTGGCTTACACCTGTAATCCCAGCACTTTGGGAGGCCGAGATGGGCGGATCACAAGGTCATGAGATCGAGACCATCTTGGCTAAGACAGTGAAACCACGTCTCTACTAAAAAAATACAAAAAAAATAGCTGTAGTCCCAGCTAATCGGGAGGCTGAGGCCGGAGAATGGCGGGAACCCGGGAGGTGGAGCTTGCAGAGAGCCTGGATCCCGCCACTGCACTCCAGCCTGGGCGACAGAGCGAGACTCCGTCTCAAAAAAAAAAAAAAAAAAAAAAGGCCAGGCGTGGTGGCTCACGACTATAATCCCAGCACTTTGGGAGGCTGAGGTGGGTGGATCACCTGAGGTCAGGAGTTCCAGACGAGCCTAACCAACATGGTGAAACCCCGCCTCTACTAAAAATACAAAAATTAGCCGGGGTTGGTGGCACGCACCTGTAATCTCAGCTACTCGGAGGCTGAGGCAGGAGAATTGCTTGAACCTGGGAGGTGGAGGTGGCAGTGAGCCGAGATCGTGCCATTGCACTCCAGCCTGGGCAACAAGAGTGAAAATCCATCTCAAAAATAAATAAATAAATAAATAAAGACAAAGTGTTCAGTAAATATTCATTCTACCATGGTGCCCACCGCACTGATGGTAGGTTTGGCTGTAGAACGTGCTACGGTCAATGGAATTCTAGCAGATGTGAAGACCAGCCTCAGATGGCCTCTGTTCTGAGCTTGGCCCCCAAAATAAATAGATGTGTAGCAGAAAACCATAATATCTAGCCTAGAGCTAGGACCAACTGAAGAAGAGACACCTAAATGGGCCCAGCCCAGACCCGAAGTGGAGACCTCTGGTGAAAAGAAAATTTCTCCTTTTAAATATCATGAAGACTTTGAAGTTGCCTATTATAGACAGAGGTAGTTGACTAATGCAGATTATTCTGCCTCCAACAACCTGCATAGATTTTCTTCATCCAACATTACGTTGGTAATACCACCAAGGGGTATGTTTATCCGCAACCATAAATCCAAAGCAGTTCCCAAGTCCTCTAACATAAGATACATTTCACATAATTCAAATTGCAAATTTCAGAATCATCATCCACCAGGAATTGTAATTTCTTTAGGAGGATATGCATTTTACCTGCAGGAGGAAATTTAGTAAACAAAGTATGTACTTATAATCCTTTCTTTTATTTTCTGTGCTTTTATTCATGATCTGCTTTTACACCTAATCTTTTTTTCCCTTACATTTCTAAATTTGTCTGGGCAAAGGTTCAAGTTTTATAAACAAAATGGCCTTACAACTTGAACTCTTTACTGAACATCCTTATCTTTATTATTGTTGCTGTGTCTCTAACCAAAAAGTACCACTTCCTTTACAGCTTTCTTTACTATGGCTCTCTCTCTCTGTGTGTCTACTGTCTATGTTATTAATGATAATCTCTGGATGGTCAGATTAAGGATAATTATATTTGTCTCCTTTATATGTTTTTCTGTACTTTCCACATTTTCTACCTTGCATATGCATTGCTTATTATTGTAAGAAGTTATTAAATAATTTGGAAAAACATGCAAAAATAGTTTAGCCTTTTCTATTTATTGAGGTCATAAAGCAATTATTGGAATTACTTTGGTGGCATTAACAGGCAAATTGATTGAGGCTTTAAAATAGCTTTTGCTGAATCTGTCATGGCATTTTAATATTTTTAGATAAAAAAATAAAGCCCAATAGGATCAGTAAAAATTATTGGGTTTTAATTTCTAGTATCATCAAATTTGCTGAAGGCAAATTAGAATGCCAACTTAAAAAGCTGAACTTTTAAGAGTTAGTAAAAGATATATTAATTAGGAATGTTCAGTTCTTGACCCATTAATGCTATTCTTTATAAATGCATTGGGATATATTCATTTAATACTTCAGCAGTTTTACCATCCTTGCGATCTCATTTCTCGTTTCATGCTGAAGGGCTCTAATTTCTTCCTTGATTAAACTTTTGCTATGATAATAATGAAAAATTATTTTAATTATGAGAAAACTTCATCCACAAGGATTTGATGTCTTTCTTATTGTGATCTTTATTGCCTCTCTGGATCACTCCAACACGTTTTTGCCATGTCCTAGTTAAATGTTTTCTTTTCCTGAAATGGAAATTAACGTCTTTTATTTTATCTTAATTTGTTTGATAAAGTGCATTTATTATTTTCCCTTTTTATTAAAATCAGATGTACAATAATTTACCAATTTAGTTTATAATTAATGGCTATGCAGTGATATACAGAACCAGAAATTCAAATCACTTATTTGCAAATAAGGACATTTGAGTTTCCTCACTGTAATGTTCAATCATATCATAAAATTGTGTGTATATCTACATAGTCATCTCCTTTTTATACATGCTATTTTATGTCAATTGTTATAAATTAGATATGCATCTATTTGTCTGTATGAACAAGAACATTCTCAAATTAATTTTTAGTGCCCAACAGGACAGAATGTGAAAGAAAAAAAATCGGGATAATTTGATTCTACTATTTCCTAGCTCTTTCATTTGCTCTTTAAGCCTCTATCCTTGGCCCCTGCCTCTATTGCCAGCCTCAGTTTCTTGTTTTTCAATATAGGTATTAAGTGATAGTTACTTTAATATGGATAATTTTTTTCCTTCCTTCCTTCCTTCCTTCTTTCCTTCCTTCCTTTCTCTCCCTTTCTTTTTCTTTCTTTCTTTCTTTCTTTCTTTCCTTCTTTCTTTCTCTCTTTCTTTCCTTCTTTCTTTCTCTTTCTTTCTTCAGATCACTTGTTCAACTTTGTTGTTCAATGTTGGGAATATCATTTTTTTTATTCTATACTCTCACCCATGGCTATGACCCCAATACTATACATCAATGCTTCTACACTTATATCTTGAGTGTAGACCTTTTATTTTTTCAGATACATATATGAAATTGCTTGAAGTTGTTCTTCAGTGATGCCATAAAGTCATCTTAACTCAAATGCAACTTAGCCCTCTCCCTCCCCTCTACCCTTAATGTTAGTAAATGACATCACCCTCCAAATCTTGAGCAGCCTTTTAAGTTTCTCTTTCTGACACCTATCTTTTCACAGGTGCCATCTGAAACTTAATCCATTAAGTTTCCAAAGTCTATACTTTAAACTATTGTCATCTCAAATTTGTATAAAAGGGACATTCCCCTTCAATCCATTATCTTCATTGCAGACCGAATTTTTTGATTAAAAATCAAACCAGATTAGGATTTTTCCCACCTTTAAACTATTTTGCTGGCTTTCCGGTCCTCATATGCCATGTAACAACTTTTTTTTGTCATGGCTCCACAAACTTTGCTATATCTTCCACTTTCCACACTATACGATTGTTCTTCTATTGCCCTGTCTGTTCCAGATATACTGGCCGTTTAAAATTCGTATTTTACCATGCCACATCCCGTCTCGCTTCAAGTATTACCCATAATTAATCTTTTCCTAGTTAATTTGGATTCCTTCATCAAGTCTCACCACAAAATCGCTACCTTAGGGAACACAAGAGAACAGGAGAGTATGCAAGGACATGGTCGTCATAACTTTGAACTGAAATATTAATGAATGATATAATTTAAGTACAGCATTAATGACTGTGTAAAATTAGCAATAATAACAGTTAATATTTGGAGCACACTTGTCAGGTGCTGACTTACATGCATTAGCATGGATTATCTAGCTGCTCCTTACAAAAGCCCATGAAGGCACTATAAGTAGCCTCATATTTTACAGATATTGAAAGTGCAGCTCAGAGACAGTAAGTAACTTGTCCAAGGTCACACAGTTAGCAGGAGGTGAAGACAAGGGGCAAATTCAAACAGCTGAGTAATAGAACTTCTGTATGTGTCCCACTACTATGTAGTTTCAAAATCTGGATTCCATTGCAACTCAAAAATCAAGAAAACTTGCTCTGTGTCATAACAGCTATCTGAACTATTGACACTGCCAAAGCTAAAATGCACTGTAAACGTTTCTTCAATCACCTCATATTTCTAAATGTCACTTCTGACTTTGATTAGGCAATCTTTTCTTGTGCAGATTTATCATCATCTTTGTGTTCTGGAATAGTAAAAATCATGTCAATTTACATCTGAGAAAAGGCATTCAATTAAAATTTAATTAGAATAACAGCATGCTCAATTTTTCTTGTAATATCTTTGGTTTAATGATGGAACAAAATGAGTTATTGACAGAAAAAAACAATGAAAGTAGTTTTGCATCTGCAAATTAAGATTAAAAATTTAAAAGACAAATATTTATATCCTCTCTTAAATGATAGTGCTAAATCATAAACAAAAGATGATTTAAATTAAATGTTTGTGAAAAAAGTTATAAAAATGCTTACATTTCCTCAGATTATAATACATGTATACAATTAACAAACTAAACTAAAAAAAGAACCTGACCATGCATTTTTAATACATCTCATGGAACTCATAATGTTTTTCCCTATACCCAACACAGTCTATTCAATATTCAGAGAAAGGAATCTACTGCTAATGCACTTGGGTATTGCCACAATAATATATTGACATAAAAGTATATTCTCAGCTTTTCTACTTATCACATTGTAGCCTGGCAACAAAGCGTATTTTGAGTAGCTCTGGTTTACTTTGTTGTGGAGTAAATCTGTTCGTGGCACAAAATTACAGGGAGGCTGGTAGTGCCTCTTTACTCTGCAAATCCAGACAACTAAGACATTTGGGAAAGATTGTATGATCATAGGCTTGTATATTAAAACCTTTTAAAAATTACGTTGAAACCTGCAATTTTATATGTTAGACACACTTCATCAATCATAACACTGGAAACAGTAGAATTATTATTCCTCTAAAAGCACCTGCCGCTAACTTAGTGATTAGGGTAAGTGAGGGATTCTGATATGGTTTGAATATGGCCCCCAAAATTTCATGTGTTGGAAACTTAGTCCCCAGTGCAACAGTGTTCAGAGGTGAGACCCTAAAGAGGTGATTAGGTCATGAGGGCAGAGCTCATTCTTACTGTTGATTTTACCAAGAGAGTGAGAGTAGCTTATCACAGGAGTGGGTTCCTGCTAAAAATATGAGTTTAACCTTCTCCCTTTCTTGCTGTCTTTCTTGTACATATGTGCATGTGTGCTCTCCCGATCTTCTACCTTCCACCATAGTATGACATAGCAAGAAGGCCCTCACCAGACACAGGCCCCTCAACTTTGGACTTCCCAGTCTCAAGAACTATAAGGAATAAATCTTTGTTCTTTATAAATTATCCAGTCTTAGGTATTCTATTATAGCAGCACAAAACAGAAAAAGACACTCTCTATAGCACTTGACAAATTCAGTGAAGCCATATGGTCTTAATTTCTAACAAGGTTATATTGTGCAATGGTCAAAGGGAAAAGAACTGGAGTTTATGGTTTGAAAGTAGACAGGTAGATTCACAATATACCAAAGTTTTCCCTTCCCTGACATTTAGTCACAGCAGTGACTCTTTGGTGTTGGGTAAATATTTAGGGTTTTGAGTCAGTTTAGAGGGTCAGAGAGAGGAGATGTAGCAGCAAGAGAAGAAAATAGGGGGTTTCAAATTTTGCTAATGGGAACAAATGGGGTCACCAACAAATAATTTGAGAAAAAGTGTTATCATATTTTGATATTAATTAGTTTGATATACTATTGACTTTATACATTATCAGGTAACATACACATTACTTACTACTTACTATAGGTTGCAAATAATATTTTCTTGCATGAACCATAGGATTCAAATTCTTCGACAATTCAAGGGAGTTAGTTTTCATTTGCAACTAGAATAAATCACTTGACTTCATAAGAGTGAACAGGGAACAGATAGACACTGATGCTTATGAAGAAAAAACAGCACTATATAGAAAAACAAAAGGAATATTCCCAGGGTGGCATTCTGACAGAAAGTATCTTTGAATGTCCCCACTGCACGCAGTGAAAAACATCTTTTAAGACACATTGCAAGTAGTGCTTAAGTAATATCGTTATATCAAAACATGCCATCATTTAAACTTATCTGAATCAGCTACCGATATACAGACTTTCAGTTATATATAATTTCACCAATTTAGTCATTTTACTACAGTCTATGTCAAACTGAATATTAATGTCAAAAAAACCCCAAAACTTCATAAAAGATGCTTGAAGATGCATAAACATATTTTAATGAATATTTTGACATTATCTAAAATTCCAGACATTTATAAATAATGGTTTGGCATTTTGATTTAATTTAATTTATTTGTATTTAAATATTTGTTGATATATAATGTGCATACAGGTGTACATGCACAAAGCATTAATGTAAAACTCAATGAATTATTATAAGGGAAATACATTTCTGCAACGATGAAATAGAATGAGCTCTGTTCTGCCCCTGAAAACCATTTTTTCCCTCTTCCTTCCCAAAGGTAACCACAATCTTAAGAACTAATGTTGTAGGTAAACTGTCTTTTTATACAAGTGTTTTTTAACAGAACATTTTAAACATATATAAAATCAACAAAATATGATAATAGACCTGACCCCCAGCCTTGGCAATTACTAATCATGTACCATTTTTGTTTCATCTATAGTTCAACCCATTCCCCGCCCCTGTTTTATTGTTCTTTCTAGTCATTTTTTGTGAGATAAGATGTATATGCATCAAATGTACAATCTTAACTGAACATTTTTAACAAATTAATATGCCCCCATGACCTTTTCCCCTTTAAAAAATAGAAGTACCTCTATTAACAATCATTAATGTGCTTGTCAATCACCTGGAAATATTGAAAATCCAGATTTTGATAAAATAGATCTAGGTTTTTTTCTGAGAATTTGTATGTCTAACAAGGTACGGATCCATGGAGCACATGATAACTAAAAGGTCTCTTCTATCTGAAGTACGTATAATTAAGAACAATTGACCTCAGGTGAAAGGACAAATCGAAACACATGTACAATATGCCATCTGTAGGAGCATGTGGTTAATAATAACATGAACTGATGAAACAATTTTATAATGATTTTAATCTAAAATTAGCAAAATCCCTATTATGGTTTCCATAGAAATGCTCTTTCAGAGTAAAAAAAAATAGTATGAGAGGGCAATAGTTAAAAACAGCAAAGATTTGGATGTAGGTGTCTTATAAAGTAAGCTTCAGATTTGGAAGTAGATGTCTTATTAAGTAAGTAGTAGACCCCTCTTCACACTCGTAGGTGGTCTTTGCAGAATTACCTCAAATTCAGTCATTTACACATCAATTGCACATACTTCTCATAGCTTCCCTTTAAAATGATATTTTAATACCCTTACAAAATTTAACTCCGTTTCTTTATCAAATTAAGTAACAAAACTTTTATATGATATTATGCATTCCATTTATATTAAACTTAAACTTACACAACTTTATTAGGCAGTGTCTCTGTGTCTAGTACCTGATATTCCTTGGGGTTCCGCCATTTGCACAGGCACCACAGCTGAGAAGCAGGGATTCACCAGACAGGATAGTCCTTGCGTCTTTTTCTTTCTCAGGGCATGAGTTAATCAGTCAATCAAGTCATGTGAGAATAGACCATACATTACCTAGCATAAAAGTCTCATTCCTGGGCACTCTTCTCAGAGGAGGAAAAGACCAGAAAATCCTCTTAGGGGCCATTTCCTGAAACAAGAGCTAAGGGCTCTAAGGGGTCGGGGCTCCGATCAGAAGGTACAAATTTCTCAGGAGGGAGGAATGAGGCAGTCATTCTGAACCTGGATCTCCATCATCCTTTGTCCCATCTCATCCAGGCATTTCTGAGGGGCTGTTCTGAAGCATGTCTGGATGGTGGAGGTTGGGGAACAGTGTGGGCTTTGATGGGACTCAGGTAAGGTATTTCAAGGGGAGGCAGAAGGTCAATGCTAGCCATCTGGAATGGTGTCCTTGTAGGTAGTGGGTTGCCTCTTTGGGTTCAAGTCCAATTTCACTAGAGAATGGGCTGGAGAGTCTGGAAGATTCCCATCTCTGATGCTCTGGGGATGGGGTCTGGAAGGAGCTCAGTCTCAAGATCTTTGGGAAATTATGGAAAGTCTGTTTGGGAACTTGGGAAGACCTGGTGTCTGAATGTTTGATTTGCTGTCCTGGCCACATATATCCTTTGCAGGCAGAGAGCTGGGTTTGCATTCACATCAACACAACCGTGAGCCAGAGGTTGAAGTGGCCATGGCCCGTATCTTGGTGGCAGGCTAGGGTACATCAAGAGAGAAAATTTCAAGTCTGTTGACAGCCTTGTTCTCCTGAGCTCGAGTGATCTTCCCACCTCAGGCTCTCTAGTAGCTAGGACTAAAGGTATGTGCAACCACACTTGGCTAATTTTTAAATTTGTTGCCCAGATGCCGGTCTCACTATGTTGCCCAGGTTGGTCTTGAACTTCTGGGCTCAAGACATCCACCTTCCTTGGCCTTCCAAAGTGTTGGAATTACAGGTGTGTGCCACTGTCCAGCTGCATTTTAAATATAAGAAAGTTCTTTTTATATTTGTGTTTTAATGTTTTGAATGTGTTCAGTATTTAATTTTGTATCATATCACATAGCTATATTGTGAGAAATAATGAGAACCAAGGAATAACGCACAATTTGGGGGAAGTAATATTTCCTTTTCAAGTTAATTTGTGTAATCATATAGAATGAATAAATATTTATGTAATGGTTAGAATGACAAAGGAGGTAACATTAAGCGTAAGAAAATAACTTTGATTTTTTTTGGACCCATTTATCCTTTTTGGGTTTATCACCTACTTCTAAATCTCTTTCCACCATATTCAGATAATTCACTGTGGGTTCTGTTGCCCATTCTCCAAAGTATTTTTTTATTTTTATTTTTTTGAGACAGAGTCTTGCTCTGTCACCCAGGCTGGAGTATAGTGTGTGATCTTGGCTCACTGCAACCTCCACCTCCTGGGTTCAAGTGATTCTCCTGCCTCAGCCTCCTGAGTAGCTGGGATTACAGGTGCATGCCACCGTGCCTGGCTAATTTTCGTATTTTTAGTAGAGACGGGGTTTCACCATATTGGCCAGGCTGGTCTCGAACTCCTGACCTCATGATTCACCCGCCTCAGCCTCCCAAAGTGTTGGGATTACAGGCATGAGCCACAGAGCCTGGCCCAAAGTTTTTTGTATGTGCAATTGTCACTCCTACCTTCTGCTCTCAAAATTATTGTTCTTTGAGTTTGATATAGCCAATGCTGCTTCATCATGCTACTGAAACCTGTGCCATTAAGTGATGTTCTTGGAGCTGTAGCTGACCACTGTCACAGCTTTTACAAGCACTAGCTCTAGGTATGTAGGTATGACAGGCCTGGGCCTGGAGTTTTGTTTTTTTTGTTTTTGTTTTTTGAGACATGGTTTGGCTCTGTCGTTCTGTCACCCAGGCTGGAACAATGGCATGATCGTAGCTCTTTGTAACCTTGATTTCCTGGGCTCAAGCAATCCTCCTGCCTCAGCCTGCTGAGTAGCTGGGATTATGGGCATGTTACACTATGCCAAGCTATGTTTTTTATATTATATTTTATATTTTTTATAGAGATAGAGTCTTACTGTGTTGCCTAGGCTTGTCTTTATCTCCTGACCTCAAGCAATATTCCCACCTCAGCCTCCCAGAGTACTTGGATTTTTTGTGTAAACCATTAGCCCCAGCTTGAAGTGTTCTTAATACTGATGAAACCTAGCATATATTTACCAACTGGACTCAGTTTCTTGGAATTGCAGTTTGCAGAGACCATTCTGTGTTTTGTGCTTAATAAGAAATAATCCCACTCTCCTTTAAGTGTATTTCTCTTTGACCTTATTCTCAAAACAATCCTACCTTTCAATCTTAAATTTTCTAAACAATCTTTTCAATTGTTGGTCTTTTATTTTCTGGAGCCCCGAACCCCAGCTTCCACCACCAAGTCAGATAAAAGTTCATTGAGGCTGGTCTTGGGAACAGTTTTAGTGATATTTTTAAACTTGTTACTTCCCTCTGATGGCCAAGTTAATATTAATGAAAAAATTGGTAGGTCTTATTCACTCTTCTCTAAGGTGATTTATTACCCAAGAAACATTCTCTTAAAGCCCTAGACATTTATTATCCTGTGAATTATCCATCTATTGTCAAAGAAAAAAGTATAAATACCAGTGACTATTAGAAAAATAAAATCCCTAGGCAGTATTGAGACACAGCTGAGATGGCTAAACATGAAATAACAAAAGAGGAAACATCTCCATTTTTACCAGATTTTTGTTTTGTCAGCCCATCATCATCTTTTTTTTTTCTAAATATGAAATATGAAGTACATGCTTTGGTTAATCTAGACCTGAATTTTTTTTTTTTTTTTTTGAAACGGAGTCTCACTCTGTTGCCAGGCTGGAGGGCAGTGGCGCCATCTCGGCTCACTGCAACCTCCACCTCCCTGGTTCAAGCAATTCCCCTGCCTTAGCCTCCCAAGTAGCTGGGATTACAGGCACACGCCACCACGCCTGGCTAATTTTTTTGTATTTTTAGTAAAAATGGGGTTTCACCATGTTGGCCAGACTGGTCTCGAACTCCTGACCTCAGGCAATACGCCTGCCTAGGCCTCCCAAAGTGCTATGATTACAGGCATGAATCACTGCGCCCGGCTGCCTGAAATTTTTTTCAGGTAGTTTTGACAAAGGAAAACAGAAAAAGCAGTTGAATGTTGCCAAAAGATTGCTTGAATCAGTGCATCACAGAATTTAAAATATCAGATGCATAAAATATAAGCAAGCAAATTCAGAATTGTCTTGCTAGGTAAGGAGTAAGCATTCAGTGCTTAATAAACCAGACAAAAGGACAGATTTCAGCAAAAAAGATGGAGTGTTAAGAAGATATGGTGAGACCTTTATATTGAAAGTTTTACAGTTACAAATTATACCAAGGTTTACGGTATACAGACAGTAACTGATGTGGATAGAAAATCATATTTGATAACTAGAATGATCACACATGTTCAAAAACGTGGAAGAGTTCACAGACTCCACAGAGGATACTCACATAAGACTTCTAACAAAGGCAAAGAATATGGTAGAGCTAGAGGAAGAGATTACAGGTAAACATCTGAGATGTGAGGGATAACCAGGACTGACCCACCCCAGAGGGTTTTTATTCACACAAGAACGTACATAGGCTCTGAAATGAATTGTCAAGATGAGTTGAAAAGTTGAAAAGGGTTGGTTTTGGAGGACTTCTGGCAAAAGCCTCCAGCTGACTCTTTCATGTGTCTCTTGTCTAATTTGTAGGTGAATACTATCCGTAAACATAATGGGCCTGAGTGTCACCAAGAGAACTTTGGACTTTAAGCGGAACATGATGAATCATTAATCAATTAGTAACTTAATTAATTAAACTAATTTTAGCCAAGCATCAAATTCTGATGAGAAATTCTGAGAGACAAGGATAAATATCTTCCAGTCCAACTGTTAAATAACTGGCTTACACAATATCCTGCCCCCATAGTGTGAATTTGTTGAAGTAATTTGTGTTAGACAAAGAGTTGAGTAAAGTTGTGTCAGCTGCTAAATTTAGGAAGGAAGTGCCTAGAACTTGGAGATGAAATTAATGAGGAGACATTAGGATTAACAGATGGTAGTGGACTCAAAGGTGCCAGTATTTTTATGCAGGCATGTAGTCATATATTGATTCACAAGAACTCAAGGAAAGTGACAAGAAGGCTTATTCTAACTTCCAACCTTAAAGCTTATTTTTGAACCTGAGTCTGCCTTTGTAAGGATTATTACAGTGAGATTAGTTTAATTGCCTGACTCCATCTTGCTTCTGGCGTTGTAGGCTGATTGTCCTCGCTCATTCCTGGGCATAGGCCAAGCTAACCATGGAAGAAATTTAGTGTTTGATTTAATGTTGAAGCAAGAATAATAGTCCCTTCCTAAAACTGATTCTCTCCTTGTTTGGGGACTGAGACTGTCTTTGCAAGATTATTGAAGTCTACAAGGTTGGGATTACAAGAGGAGCCTGAATTCAACTAAAATGTAGATATACAATAATCAGCTATTGCACTGCGCCTTGCTTTTCTATAACCCCTTACTGCTCAGGAGTCATGTGGTCAGAGGTCTCAAGTTTGTGACTTTTCCAGTTGCTCCTGTAGATAGCATCATTATTGTGGAAGCTAACATTGGTCTTTTGAGATGTTTTCCAGACTTTTGTGCTCTGGCTCACTGATTCCACCTGGACCCAGGACTCATGACTGGACTGGTTCTGTGGCCCCATCCAGAGGATGACTCAGCCACAAGGATAGTTTTCCACATGCCTATGACTTCATCCCCCATCCACCAGCAGCACCCATTTCCTAGCTCCCTGCTAGGCAAATTATGCACGAAAACCCTAGACTCTGAGTTCTTGGGGAGATGAATTTGAAAATTAACTTCCATTCTTCTGCTTGGCTGGCCCTGTGATTATTAAACTTTGTCTTTGCTGCCAAAAACCTGCTATTCTCAGTGCATTGGCTTTTCTAAACAGTGGGCAAGATGAACCCATCAGGTAATTATACTTGCTAGTCAATCATTCATTTGTTTATTTAATACTCTCTTTACAATTATTCCAAAAAAAACCAGCTAAAAATTCCCTCTTCACAAAAAAATGCATGCCCTTGAGTTAGAAATCATCAAGATAATTCTAAACAGTTGCTTTATGTAGAATTGCCAATATTAAATCATGAGCTTTCAGTAAACTACTTGGTAATCTAAAACCTACTTTGATAATTGCAATTTTATAAATATAGGCAGGCAACAGTCACAAGTTTTTAAATTAAATGGCAAATACAGTGTGCTTTATGTTTGGTTACTTAAAGTATGAGCTCAATGTCTATAGCTTAATAAAATCTGAAATTTAACTTAAAGTGCAAATATACCTTCTCCATATTATGGATGATGCACTGCTCACCAATACATTTCACTTAAATCACAAAAGATTAGGTAATATTAATGCCATGAGTCTTTCCAAATAAAGAATTTTCCATATATATGTTGATTGATAGCCATGAACTCATTCAAACCTCAGGGAAAAGCTGAGTGATGTCAAGCAGTTGCCAACTATGCAGATTGATCAAAGTAATACTTCATTGCTCTGGAGACAATGACAGGAACTCATGTTGAATTTGACAGGTTCACTGACATTAGCTCTAATAAGACCACATTTCAGTGCAGCTGCATTAGGCTACAAACTGAACTGCTCCCTGCCAGTAGTCCTGGAAAAGGAGAAATGATTCATGCTATCAGATACTGCACAGACAAGCAATGAGTGTTTACTACTTGAATGAGATAGAGTAGACATGCTTTATTTCCTCCATAATCTTCTTTGAATTGCATTTGCCCAAAACATCCCAGTATTTCAAACAAATAAATACTACCCAAAGTATGTCTCCATGCTCACGGATCTTGCAGAGATATTTGTGTCCAGGCCTTATCTGTTATGGCCCCAGAGCTTTAGCCTTTAGATCCATGACCCATGATAGCATTGGATACTCCTAATTAACTACACAGCTTTTAATCAAATTAATATGCTCAAATGTGTGATGTCCGAAGAAAACAGTAGACAGAATTCTGAGAACAAAGATTCCTGCGTAAATGCTGCATAGTGAAGATTGTCATTGAGTTCAGCCTTAATTTGATGATTTGACTGAAGAAGGGGCAACAAAAGGAGCAAAGCATTTCAAGGAACAGAAAATGAAACAAAATCATGAAAATATTAAAGACCGGGGTGTGTTAAATGTTCTAAGAGATGCCTGCTCCAAAAGGAACTGTTTGCAATTTAAGGCTACAAATCACACTTAGGGAGGAACACAGTTGGGTGACTCAATGAGAGAGATTGTTAAAGCCTTGGGAAGGAGGAGGAAAATCTCAATCTCAGCAATGCATACGTTTAAAAAATAACTGTGAATATTTTTAAATTGTGGTATGAAATAAGAGAAAAGCTTATATTTTAGGAAAAGTTGATCATTTAGTATTGTGAAAAACTGATTGGAGATTAAAGAGTCAGGAGGAGTTAAGATGACTATGACAAAGCCAGTTTGCCAGCCTGCTGCCTCTGGGTAAATTTTTATTCCAGTCTAAGAAGTTACTGGTAGAAATGGAAATTATGCAAGAGACATAACTGAAATTTCAATGAATAATTAATGTTTGATGATCTATTTAGCAAAGGAGAGAATAATAAGGGAACTTTATTTTTATTTTCTCAAGGGTATTTTAATTATGAAACAAATATTAGCAAAACGTGAAATGATTGTTTTTCTTAGGTTGGACAACATTGAGAAACATGTTTACTTTTGTTATTGAAAGGCTGCACATGCCCTCAGCTTAAAAAATCTATTCAGGATTTTTTTGTCAGATTTTTAATGTATATTTTATACAATTTATTTCCGATCAAACATTTAATTATACTACCTTTCTATGCTGCTTTTTTGGCAAATTTAAATATATATTGTAGAAATTCTAAAGAGTATCATAAATCTTAATTTCTCTATCATATATCTTCAATAATTACATCTATTTTGCCGTTTTGTATAAGTTATATCTCCACTCAATCCTCTCTCCCTATCTTAATTATTAATATTTTAGATGTTTTTCTAGGTGAAATTTATTTAATTAAATTAATTGATTAATTATTTTTTGAGACAGGATCTTACTCTGTCTCACATGCAGTAGTGCAGTGGCGTGATCTCAGCTCACTGCAACCTCCGCCTCCCAGGTTCGAGTGATTCTTCCACCTCAGCTTGCCAAGCAGTTGGGATTACAAGCATGAGCCACCCCGCCTAGCTGATTTTTTTGTATTTTTAGTAGAGTCCGGGTTTTGCCACGTTGGCCGGGCCGGTCTCGAACTCCTGGCCTCAAGTGATCTGCCTGCCTCAGCTTCCCAAACTGCTGGGATTACAGGTGTGAGCCACCACCCCTGGCCCTAGGTGAAATTTAAACATCGTATCTCTTCCACCAACTTTTAGCCTTCTATGATGATTTTTATTTATCTGGCATATTTTTATATATTATGGATATTGAAAGAGGAAATAAGTTGTATTAAATTTTGGCAAGGAGGAAAATAAGATGTTGAATACAAAGATTCTCTGAGGAGAATGTCTACTGATAAATAAGAAAACCGTAAGGTGAAAAGATGTTGTTAAGGGAAATAAAATCAAAGGCCCACTCACACTCTTCAAAATGTCACTAAAACATAGCGGTATTCATCCTCTTCCTAGGTAATTTAAGCCAGGCTAATCTACTTACAGAATTATGGATCGTTAAAATAAATTGCCAGTATTTGCCAATTTTCAAGGTGACCAAAGAGGACTCAGTTTGTCTCCTGTTGCTCTTTTTGTCCTTGAGGTTGTATGATGTCTCTAAGTCTTGATTGTTCACTATGAGACCCAGTCCCAGCCCCTTCTTCACTGCTGATATTGTTCTCCTCATATGTTCACATTTGATGGGTAGATATAAAATATAATGCTGCCTGCATAAGCCACTCCTGGTGGTTTAGACCTAGTGGAGGCAATTAGGTAGGTAGCATTATATTTTCCTAGTAGAACTTTTGTGCACCTCAGTGATTCCTAGGAGAGAATCTAGCATTACTACTACTAGCAAATTAAGAAAAAAAGCAATATAAGGACAGAATAAACATCGACTTTCATTAATTTACAATATAGCACTGTTCAGAAAAAAAAATATCTGTGGTGGATACATGTGAAGATCTTCTATAATTTTACGTGATAGCCTCCAAACTAACATTTAAGCCACTCGAATTGTGAGGCAATATGATATTCATTAG
Organism: Homo sapiens; assembly: GCF_000001405.40. Taxonomy (NCBI): domain Eukaryota; kingdom Metazoa; phylum Chordata; class Mammalia; order Primates; family Hominidae; genus Homo; species Homo sapiens. Next base: position 24,661,741 of record NC_000021.9, read on the forward strand.
AAGCTGTGCCAGCTGCAACAACCATTAGTTTGCCATCACATGAAAAGGCATTCAATGTTTCCACTGATCCCTCAGGCCCTAACACAGTCTTTAATGTACAAATCTTCTTAGTTATTCATCCTTTAGAATGTTTAGGTCAGGGAAATTTTAAAAGATTTTGAAAGAATATAGTAATAATGATCTTGCCTTCTCTATGTAAAATTTTGAATATTTACTAGATGTGTGGCCTGCTTAAGCACTGAAATATTTTTTAAGCCATGTGAAATCTTCGTGAAAACGGGTGAGAAGTATATTTTTATAGACTTTGAGATGTAACAAAAAAGACTCAAACTGGCTTAAAATATAGAGAATTGGCTTTAAATATAGAGAACATATTACCTCTAATTTCAAAAATTGCCAACGTAGATGATAACTTCAGAGGTCCAATACTATTTACTTAAAAAGAAACCCCCAAGTTGTTTTCCAGGACAGAACAGATTTCTCCTCTTATTTTAATGACGAGAATGTGTTCACTTATTCTTTTCAATCGATTTCTGAGAGGGAGCCTTGAGTTAAAGATAAAGATGGGATGAAAATCAAATATAAAGATGGAGTGAGTAGGCACCAAATGGTGTGTGAGTGCTATGGTAAATTTAATCATCTTCACCTACAAATAAACAAGTTAAAACTTACAAAAGTTCATTCTTACCTAAGATCTACCAATTTATGACTGTTAAAGCCAAAATTGAGAATGATTTTAAATTTTATCCATATTTCCCCAGTATAATCTATTTTTAATATATTCATTAAGTTTAGATGTATTTAAAAGCTACTAGATAAATTATGTTAGACCTTGAGGTTTAAAAATGAGTGAGATAACCCCACAATGAATGTCATCCAGAAAGGCCAAACATATAATAGATTGCATATTAACGAATGGATGTTAAGTGAAAAGATACAAATATGCCCTCACATGAGACTGCATAGGGGAGGTGTTAGCAGCAGTGAATCCATACAGGTATGCAGCAACTCAATTATAGTCTCCTCAAAGGAAATAATTCGTCCAAGGGGCATAAGGCAGAGTGAGAGACTGAGGCAAGTTTTTGAGCAGGAATGAGAGTTTATTTAAAGGTTGCAGAGTGGGGTGGGCGTGGTGGCTCACACCTGTAATACAAGCACTTTGGGAGGCCAAGACAGGCAGATCACGAGGTCAGGAGTTCGAGACCAGCCTGGCTAACATGGTGAAACCCCGTCTGTACTAAAAATACAAAAAATTAGCCGGGTGTGGTGGTGTGCACCTGTAGTCCCAGCTGCTCAGGAGGCTGAGGCAGGAGAATCGCTTGAACCCGGGAGGTGGAGGGTGCAGTGAGCCGAGATCACACCACTGCACTCCAGCCTGGGCAACAAAGTGAGACTCAGTCTCAAAAAAAAAAAAAAAAAAAAAAAAAATTGTAGAACAAAAACAAAAGGAAATAAAGTACACTTGAAAGAAGGCCAAGTGAGCAACTTTAGAGATTCAAGTGCCTCGTCTGACCCTTGACTTGGGGTTTTATACATTGGCATCATTCTGGGGTTTGCAGTTCTTCCCCCCAAATTCTTCCCTTGGAGTGGGCTGTCCACATGCACAGTGGCCTGCCAGCACTTGGGAGGGGCTCCATGAACAGCGGGTTTTCTGAAGTTCTGCACATGCTCCTCTGAGGCGTTTTTCCCTTACCTGTCAAGCGTTCCTAAAGGAAGGTTGTATACCAGTTAAGCTCTGCCTTTTTGTCTCTTAGTGCACATGCTTGAGCCCACTCACCCAGCTTCTGCGATCTTATCAGGAAGCTGCTGATCACCAGCTTCAGTTGTTTTCTTTTTTCTTTCTTTCTTTCTTTTTTTTTTTTTTTTTTAAGACAGAGTCTGGCTCTGCCTCCCAGGCTGGAGTGCGGTGGCGCGATTTCGGCTCACTGCAAGCTCTGCCTCCCGGGTTCACGCCATTCTCCTGCCTCAGCCTCCGGAAGATGTTTTCTATCTGTTGAGAGACTGCCTTTCACTGGCCCTGGCTGCGACCAATTATTATTTTAGAAGGACAATTTAACAACGGACTGACCATCACGTGATGGTCGCCTGACACTCCTGGAGGGGCCCTTTCCCGCCGTGCTCATGTCTGCCTAGCTACCTACTCTAACAGAGGGACATATAACAAAGTGCAATGGGACTTGAAGGAAAGGAGACAGATGACCTGAATCACAAAGAATGAGACCCCACATTTATTGAAGTCACTGGGAATCATCTAACAGAAAAACATGTGCATCTACAGCTAATGAAAATGTTATTTTCTTTCTCTATCCCTATTCCTGATTTTACGTACTTTTGTTTTTCATTGTTCTTAATATTTGGTTTAGTTTGTTTTGAGACTTACGTAAGAGCTGGGTTTTATGGCTTTAAAATCTCTACATTAACCATGGACATTTATATAAATTTATCATATGCATAAAATCCGAAGAAGAAAATTTATGTACTCATGAAAATGAATGATCTATTTAAAAAGAAAGCAAATTGAAAATGGAAATGGCTATAAAATTATTTCATTGGTCAACTGGCAAAATACTCTCAGCAATTTTTCTGACCTATGAATCTAAGCATTTTTAAGTATCATTGCATTGTTATATAAATTCTACTTGTATTATGCCAGCAGATTTCAAAAGCCTCTCTTTTTTTTGCCTATTGTGAAGGTAGGAATAAGATGTTGTATCAGAAATCCACAGTTGCTTCTGTAGGGAAGGAAAAAAAATCTTTTTTCTCTACCCATTTTAGTTACAAGTTTGAGGCTCTGTAATGTAGACTAACAAAATGCAGATTAACAAAAAAAAATCCACCATGAAGTTTATTAGTGTGCATATTGCAGTTACACATGGGAACACTTAGTGATGAGGAACTCAAAGGGTGATTATAATTGGAGTTTATATAGCATCTTAACAACAAAAAAAAATGTAAATTTTTAGGGAAGTGACAAGATAAAAAAATCAAGACTGAGTTTTTAGGGTAGCAAACAGTAGAAAGGTAAATACATGGAGGAAACTAATGGAAGAAAGGGCTTGTCATGCAGGCTCTTCTAGTGCTATATCTGGGCTGATAGGGTTTAGAGTTGTCACAGATGACTGGTGATTGGTGATTAACTTCTTTCCTTCTACATAGAGAGTAGAGGACACCTTTATAAATTTTCATCCTGCTTTTAAGCAAATGCGGGAAGGCAGACTTTTCTTGTATCTATGTCTCAATTGCCTTTAGCTCAAAATAAACCTATGTCAAAGTGGTATATTATTTTAAGATGGTGTATTCTGCTTTCCTTCACTTGAAACTACTCAGTAATCAATTACAAAACCAGTAAGAAATTGAGAGTAAGTTTTCATTATAGACCTTGCCAAATATAATAGCTCATAAATCAGCTAATAATATTTATCTGTGTTATATATTATCAGGTACAGTTAACTCTTTTTTTTAGAATCTTGTTCATTCAAATAATTTATTTAGAAGTAAACAAAAGTAAAAATTTCAAAGAAAAGTCAAACAAAAGAAAAGAAGAAGAATTTTCTCCCAGGATATGTAACTCATTTATTTATAAAACCATTCTCTCAAAGTATCTAGGATTCTTGAAAGACCTTGTTTTGCTTTCTTTGTTTGAAGTGAAGAGCTGAAAATAAAATCAATAGGATTACTCCTCCTCAAATTATTCTTGGAAGAGGCAAATAAGTTCTGCCTACTCTTCAGCCTTAATGAAGAATTGAAAGCATCAAAACTAGTCAAAATTTGAGGCATTAATCTCTAAGGAATGTTCTGACACAGTTCATATTCACAAGTTCCTATTATACGGTTTTATTTTAAAATGGTGAAAATTATTGAAACTCAGATGATTAAACAGTCTTCAAAGCTTGAGTACCTTATACACTTTATATAACTGCTATGAATATTCTCTTGAATGCTAGTGGAGGAAGGGTTATCCACAGCTATTGTAGAAGTTTTAGGGAATCACATTCTAAGGATTGCACAAAAGAAAATTAATAAAGCAACTGCTAGAAATAAACCCACATCTTAAGAACAATTTGACAGAAAGGAGAGTCTCCCAACAATTGATGTAGAATATCTAAAAAGGGAATAAAAATATAGGACATAGATCTTGGGAAAACAGTATTTCTCAATTAGCGAGATCCAGGGAATGTGCAACTTCATTCTTTTGTTTTAACATGAGGTCTTCTTAGCAGGCATATATTCCCAAATCAGAGACAGAGGCATTTAGCACCATTGACAGCCAAATGTCGTTAAATGTTATATTAATATAATTTATTTCCTTTTACCTGATGTCATCCTCCCGCAGGCAAACTTCTGCTTAAACTGTATCTTTCATTTGTTTTCTGTAATTAAGACATTTGCTGGTTATCCTAATAGATTTTATACTACTCATTATAATTCAGCAAACTGATAGGTTTTATATCAATTTTTGAATTTTCCTAATATGAGCCAACTTTTGAGAGACTGAAACTATCTTAATAGTGCCATAACAGGAGAGCTAAAAAAAATACCCAGACTATGAATAGTGATAACCACTTTTACATCAAACCAGACTATTCAGTAAACTTCTGCCAGGAAAAAACCAAGTTCACAGTCCCCTTTCAAATCACATTATTTACACAATGGACAAATCAAGAGGAAGGATTAGGCAGAGTATAAGTATACATTATGGCAGTCAAAAACACTCTTTTTGAATGCTTTATTTCTCTGTAAAGTTAATGTGTAAAGTCACACACAAAGACACACCCTCATTCATCACCCCCATGTGATTAACAGAGATGTTCATCACAACAGTATTATCTTTTATTTTTAAAATGCAAGTAGATTATCTGATCTTTACTATGGAAAATTCTCATAGAATAGTAGAAGGAATTTCAATTTGATTAAAAGATGAAGCAGATTCAAATGAATGAGAAATGTATAAGAGGCAGATTGGGAAATTGGAGGCAGCAGGTTCAACTTCTTAGCTGTCAAAATCTGCCCCAGTTCTGACATAAATTTAATCATTCATAGACTAATAGAGCCATGGCTTCAAGCACTGAAAAGCAGCTACGACTTTATCCTGCTTCCAAGCTAACAAGGTAGTTTTCACAGCTTCATACATGTTGGCAAAGGACACAAGGCTCCTGGGTTAGACACAATGGCCTTTTTTACATTAAAGCACAGCACGTAGCATGAGTTTCACGTTCTGGTTGACTCCTGTTATCCCCATGTCCCACTAAGCAACACAGAGCAGCCCAGGTAGCTACTGCAGACAAAATAGGCTTATATTACTAATAAGAAACCCCCAATCTTTCAAAAACAGATGCTAACAAACGTGGCCAGCCATGCACCTTAAAGAAAGCCGTTTTCTTTTTTATTCTGGAGGAAAAAAAAACAAAAACAAAAACACTTTTCCTCTGTCCTGAAGGAAGATACCATTTCTATCCTCTAAGGCTGTATGAACATATTTGAACATACGTAATAGGATAAATGCCATCAATGACTCTGTTTAGAAGACATGCAGAAACACAAGACCGATTGAGATTTGTCTCTCAACTCATAGTCAATGTTCATTGACCTTCATTGTAATGTAGACATACAATTCAGGTGGAACAATAAATACGTAAGGGAGGTTCTACAGAAAAACTTCATGTATAATGATATGTTTGCCTTCAGTGGTCTTTTTTTATTTTCTATCTTCTAATATATATATATATATAAAATATATATATTCACTAAAAACTTTGTGATATATATATATATATATATATAAATTTGGCAATGCTATCTCTGTTTTCTTGTTAGAAAAATATTTAGAAATTGAAAATTCAAGTCTGTAGACTCCTAGGTGACTCTTCATATCGTCAATGGCTAGTTTCATGACTCCTATTCTTGTAAAAATACACGGCACCATGCCATCAAGGCATAATTATTAGAAAAGAGAAATAACACCATATGTGTCCAACGGGTTATTACAAACTCATGCCTGCATCCAAAAAGTTATTTAACTTCAGTTTTCAGGATCTCCTTTACCTGAACATGGCTCTGTGTCATAGAGTGCCTTAACCTTGGTCTGTCTTTTTTTGTCACAAATATACAATGTATAAGATGAGATACTTTTGACTGCAGTTGCCAAAAATTTTGGGTCAGCTAAGATGCGGTGATATTTTTCATGATGTCCACTACGCCACTACATCCCTTCTGTTTCTCTTCCCTATATCCTATCTTTTCTATTTCCAACACCATAATTTTACAGTCAAACTTATCGTTGGCTTCTTTAAAATCCAAATTCCTGAATGTCAGGGGCTGTAAAATTTGTTTGAGAAGACCTAGCTCCATAAAGTTCGGTCAGTGTTCATTAAATTCAACCTAATGATTATGCAGTTTTTAAGTACAGCTGTTTTCCATAGTAACCTGAACATTCGACTAGCAGGAAGGCAAACATATTCTATTTGATTTATGTTTATTTAAACTTGACCATGGTTTTGCTTTATAATAAAAACAGTGCAAGGCTGCTATAGTCCTTTCAATTTATAATAGAGTAATTTTACCTACCAATGTTAAATTAAGTATTTGACTGCACAAAAAACAAGGAAAGATCTTTGCTTCCCTACAGACTGCAGGAGGCTTGTTGGCTGAAAGCTCAGCACAAGAGAAGTTTGATAGCATTGATCACTGACTATCAGCAGATCATTCCAATATTCATGGTAACCAGCAACTAAAACAGTAGGGGATGTCCAAACTGTATCTTTTCTCCTACTTATTTATCTTATTTTGTGTCCCAATAGGATATTGCAGTCGTTGTGTTCTAGACTAAATCTGATGTTACTGAGGGTCTCCTCATGTATCTGCAGGTGTGTTATAACTGAGAGAAAATAGAAAGCATTTTTTTTTTACTCTATACTGGTTTTTTTATTTTATTTTATTATTGTTATACTTTAAGTTTTAGGGTACATGTGTACAACGTGCAGGTTTGTTACATATGTATACATGTGCCATGTTGGTGTGCTGCACCCATTAACTCGTCATTTAGCATTAGCATTTCTTGTCATTACTCTTTTAATTGGATCTCACTGGGTGAACTATCAGTAAGCCAAAACCATTGAAAAGTCTCAAGACAGTATATGCATTATGAAATGGCAAACCAAAGTCATTATTGGGTGTAGAGTATTTTCACTAAAAAACTTTGTAATTAGAAGGAACATAGTGATTATCTAATGAAGTTAACCTATTTTATAAATATAAGGGATTATCTCATGAACTTAACCAATTTTTAAATCTGAATTTAAAAAAAGATTAATAAAATAGTTACCTCACCAAAAATTTAAAAAAATAGCAAATGCCATCTAAATCCTTTATATTCCACAAAAATTGTTTTTCTGAGTTATTTCCATGAACAGTTCTCTGACTGCATTAATTTTTAAGTGTTGATATATTTAACAAGATAATACACTTATATATGTTGAAAACATTAAAAAGTTAAATGGCAAAAGATCTGTTTGGGATCTATACTTTTCATCTGTCCTGGTCCCATTCACATACACTAGCCATTGTGGCAGCAGCTCACTTTACTAGTTTCCTTGTGTTCATTCAGAATTTCTATGTAACGTATTTGATGTTCCCATTCTTCTATGCAAATGTAGCTTATAATGCCCAAAGTTCTGGATATTTAAACCCTACCAAAATATGGTGGAAATGGTTCCTTAATTCATAGACTGTGTGTGTAAAATATACACACATATATGTATTATGTATCAGATATGAGTATATATGTGTTTTATACAACACATACTCTCTCTCTCTCTCTCTCTCTCCCTCCAGCATATCATTTAATTGTATGGATATCTACATTTTATATAATTATTCTACAAGTCTTAGATTTGTAAATGGTTTCCTTTTTTTTGCTATTGTAAGCATTACTGTTTTGAACATCTTTGTACACATATTACTTTCTTTGTGTGTACATATTAACCCTAGGGCAAATTATCACAAGCGAGGGTGGTACATCAGTTATGATATATTTGTAATTTGGTTTTATACTTCCAAATTGCCCTTTGCATGGTCAGTTTTGCAACACAGAGGTGTGTTGGGGGGGGCACATGTGCACATACATGTCTTAGTTTCTCATTGTATCTTCTCTAAGTTTGGGTTTAGAATGTTTCTGGCTTGTTAGTTTTTGCACAGACTTTCATGACCATACATATCCATTGTGAATTTCCCCATATTTCTTTATGAATTCTACCTTATAAAGCCCCTTATAAAACCATCAGATCTCTTGAGAACTCATTCACTATCACGAGAACAGCATGGAGGTAACCACTCCCATGATTCAATTACCTCCTACAGGGTCCCTCCCACAACATGTAGGGATTACGGGAACTACAATTCAAGATGAGATTTGGATGGGCTCATTGCCAAAGCATATCACCCGGGTTTTCTGAATCAACTTTTTAAAGAAGTATCCTTTTATTCAATGCATAGTTGAGTTTGGCTTTTTGATTCAATCTGAAAATACTGTTAATTTAGTGAGTTAAACCACATCATAGTGACTGAAAAGAAAGTTATAGTTAGCTTGAGTTGTGCCATATTGTTATGAATTATGTTTTCTGTTTATATGTCTATCATGTTATGTATGTTGTTTTTCATTTGTTTGTTATTGTGTATAGTTTTTTCCTGATATCTAAGAAAGTTTAAAAGTTTGATCTAGTGGTTACATTTATAATTACAATTTCAATAATACCATTAGTTAATTTTTAGAAGATATGTATTAAATAATTAGTGAATAAATTTTCTCTTTTTTTCTTGTTCCTCATTTTTCTCCACTACATGATTTTAGTGGATTTAACTATCTTTATATACTAATAAATATGATTATATTACTTGACTTTTCAACTGTAAATAGTCTTCAACTTCCCATTCTATCAGAGGAAGGAGGAATTATTTACCCAGTAGCCTTTTTTTTCCTTCACCAATAACTTTTACAGTTACGTTGTATTTACATTCTTATTCTTAATTCCACGGTAATGCTTAGTTCCATGGTAATTTATTCTTAGTTCCATGGTAAATATATATGTATTTTTTGTGTGTGTGTATATATATATATATATATGAATATATATACACACGCACACACACACATATCTTAAACTTACTACCAGTATTTTTGCCTTGTTTCTCCAGACATTCCTTGTTTGTCTTATCTAGAATTGTAGAAATTTCTAGGAACCCGAAAAAAAAAATACATATATATATATATTATTTGAGACCAAGCTGCTTTATTTAAGACGAAGTCTCGCTCTTGTTGCCCATGCTGGAGTGCAATGGCACAAATCTAGGCTCACCGCAACCTCTGCCTCCCAGGTTCAAGCAATTGTCTCCTGCCTCAGCCTCCCAGCTAATGGAAAAAAATATTTTCTGTATGCTCACATTTTTAAATCACTTTTTCCCTATGATTTATACTTGAAGAGCAGTTTACTTTGATGAAAAATTATTGACTTATACTTACTATTTTTGTGTATTTTCTTGGTAAGTGTGTCTTTGAAGAAATATGTTAGTGTATTTTATTTCAAGGGAGGTTTAATGAATAATTTTAAATGATCATTTTCTATTGCTGCCCTGTTTTCTTCATCTGGAACTCTGTACATTAATCTTTTCCTTCTGTCTTCTGTAGACTCTCTTTGGTATTGAACGTCTGTGTTTCAGGTTACAGTATATTATATGACAATAATACTCTGAGCATTTTATTAATCTAAAACAAATTATACTTTTTTGACATTCTGTTAGCTCTTACTTTTTCAAGTAGTTGTATTTTGTCTTTGAATTTTTTAATTTCTGGTTTGCTCTGCTCTTTCAAAGCTGTAATTTTATACATAGTTAAACATACACATACACATAATATGTATTGTATAACTAAATATACATTGTACATATATGCATATGTATATACAAATGTGTGAATTCATATACATGAATTCATATACATGTGTATTCATGTGAATTCATATACATGTGAATTCATATACATGTGTGTTCAAACATAAATACACATGGCTACCTATTTTCATATATATACAGATATTAATACTGAACTGTATATGTCTTTATATGTATGTATGTATATGTGTATGTATGTACATACACATTTATGAGTTTATTTCACATCCACAGAAATGTATATGTGTGTGTGTAGCTTACATACCTTAAATGTGTGTATATGTCTACAAACACACACATGCACACACTAATACTGTTTCATCTCCTCTGATACATGATAGAAATAATTTGTAAGTACACTTTGCCCCTTTTTTTTCTGAATGCCTCTATGTGTCAGCACAGTCCAAGTTCCTTTCATGTTGCTCATTAGTGATGAAGCTTCAGTTTGTCAGACTAGCAAAATGAGGAGGACTCCTGGAGTATGAGCAAGGGTCATATTAACCTTCCAATCTTCACTACCTAAACACTCCTTTGTTCTCCGTTGCACAGAGATTGCTTTCAATAAACTTGGCCTGTGAGATTGATTGAGTGGCTCCATCTTCCTGCTTCTTGAACCAAAACAAACGTAGAGAGCCACTTCCACTAGCACAATTCACCCCAGTTTCTATGGTCAGTTTTGCAAGAGAGATTGCACTCTGAAGTCTTCACCTCCAAGACCATCTAATCAATTTTCAAATTGTGTATGTGTGCAAACAAACTCTTTTTCTGTAAGGGTTTCTCTTAATATCTTAGTTATGGCAATCTTTATTTGTATTCTGCTTGTTGTACATTGAACATTGTATTCATCCTTTGATAACTGATAAATTCTACTTTTTTTGCATTGTCATAGTAACAAAACTTTGTCATGGAACATTGCTTCCCACAACTCTAACTGTATATTATTATTTTTAAAAAACTTTATATTTTGCCATAATTTTAGTTTTCAGAAAAGTTGCAAAGATAATCCATAGGGTTCCCAAATACTTCTCCCCGTCTCCCTTAATATTAACATTTTATGTTACTATGAGAAATTTATCACGACCAAGAAATAAATATTGGAAAATTGCTATTAACAAAAGTTCAGATTTTATTAGAGCTTCACCAGTTTTTCAATGATTATGTTTTTCTATTCCAGTATCCAGTCCAGGACACCACACCTTGTCTCCATAATTTATTGTACCTTTGACATTTCCTCAGTCCTTACTTGTTTTCAAAGACCTTGACAATTTTCAGAATCACTGGTCAGGTATTTTGAAGAAGTCTCCTAAATTTGAGTTTGAGAATTTTTTTTCATAGTCAGACTGCATTTACGGAATTTTGTGACAAATATCACAGAAAGAAAGTGCCATTTTTATCACATCTTATCAGGTACACATTATATCAAAATGATTTAACACAGATTGTGTTAATCTCAGTCACTTGGTTAAGGCAGTGTTTGTCAGGTTTTTTCCAATATAAAGCAACCTATTTTATCCCCTTACTCTATGGAAGCAAATAAGCAAGTCCAGCCTATACTCCGAGTGGGAGGGATTCTAGTCAATCTCCTGGAGGAGAAAGTATCTACACCTGTTATTTGGAATTTTCTGTAAGGATCATGTATCTTTTATCTTCATTTATTCATTTAAAATCATATAATACTATGGACTTATATATCTTAATTTTTTATACTGGGTTATAATCCTATACTTCTTTATTTATTTTGTTGCTCAAATGTCTCACGCTTTTGGCATTGGGAGCTTTTCAGGTTGGCTCTGGTGTCCGTTTGACATACTCTCATCCTTCCGTCTCTTGATTACTTCCTTGCCTTCTGCCATTACAGGATATGCCATGTTCATTCTGTATTTTGTCTTCCCTTGCTATAGATTTGACTACTTCTCATAAGCATCTTTGATTCTTTGACTGAAAAGGTATGAGAATCAAGATCTGGTCTCTGGGTTTGCCTGTTGAGCAGTTTATAAAATAGGAGCAGAGGTCTGGTTCTGATGATCTTGGCTTTTGCTATAAATCTCAATCTTCAAAGATAAAGATTAAAAATATCCTTATTGTGGAAGTTATATTAAGTATGTTAATCTGCTTGGGCTGCCACAAGATACCATAGGTTTGGTGGCTTACAAAAACAGGAATGTATTTTCTTGCAGTTCTGGAGGCTAGAAGTTCCGAGTTCAAGGTGCCAGTAGGGTTTCTCCTGAGGCCTCTCTCTTTAGTTTGCAGACTACTTGCTATGTCCTAGGATGGACTTTCCTTTGTGTAGTCACACATGGAGAGAGACTGGGAGATCTCTGGTGTCTCTTCTTCTCATAAGAACATCTGTCCTATTGGATCAAGGCCCAGCCTTCTGACCGCCTTTAACCTTATCTCCTTAAAGATTCCATGTGTAAATACAATCTCAGTGGGATAAGCATTCAATATATGAATTCTAGGGGACACAATTCAATCCAATATGACAGGGAGAGAAGGCAGGGAAATTCTGGGCAGAAGAGGGCAGGTCCCCAGCAAGGGCCCCACCCTCAAGCTGAAAAGCCTGGAACCATGGCCTGAAGGGAGAACTTACAGCCCTGTTTTTCTGCTTCAATGTTGTCTTTTCCAAAACAACCCATGGCCCTGCCCTGCCCCCATCCTGTGCCCATAAAACCCTCGAGCTCAGACAACATGGAGAGGAGAAGGAACTGGATGTCTGAAACTACAGTCAGACATCAGAGAGAAGCAGCTTGACTTCAGAGGGACAGCTTCACAGTGTAGCTTCGAAGAGGAGCCAGGCTGGTGAGGGCCGGACTCCAGGGGAAGATTATTTTCTGGTTACATCCTCTTTTCAGCTCCCCTTCCTGCTGAGGGCCAGTTTCACTGGCAATAAAATCCCCCACAATTACCATCTTCAATTTGTTCATGTGACCTCATTCCTCCTGGACACAGGGCAAGAACTCAGGGGCCACAAGTGTGGGTGCTAACGTCTGTCACACTGACTCTCTCCACTGAGCTGTTAACACTGAAGCCATCTGTGGATGGCAAAGCTAAAGGGGCAGTGTAACACTTCCTCTGGGGCTTCAGGGTTGGTGGGCACTCTCTCCTAGACACTGCCATGGGACCAGCATGAAGTTCACTCTTGCCAGCACCCAAAAGCGCTTGGCTTGGCTCCTGCACCTGCCCACCTGCACTGCCCCTCCCGCAAGGAATGGAGCAGCGAGTGAGTGGAGTTCATCCCTGCTGTGCCCGTGCACTTCAGTTCCTGCCTGCAAAGAGTTCAGGGAAATATTCAGTTTCATCAACATTGGGAAAGGCATTAAAGAGTTGAAGAGCAATGCACTTTTCCATGCCTTGCAAAACACCATCTATACAGGAATTGATAACCAGGGAATTTGGCTGCTTCAGCAGTAGAAAAAACTAACAAATAGTCTGAGTTGAAAATATGGCTTTAACTTTTTCTTCTTGTTCTATGTGAGGTCCTTAATACATTAACCATAGTTTGACATATAATATATGACCAAAATTTTATTTTATATTTTTATTTTTTGAGGAAACTTTCCTCTGATACATCAATGCTACTGTAGGAAATGAAAATGCGAATGAAAAATTAAACATTATCTACCACTGAGGGCCTTGAGATTACTTTGAAACAGATTATCAGCCTGTTTAAAGAAATTATGAAAAAACATCAAGTTATTTCTGTTTTCTTTGGCAATTATATTGTATTATGTGTGCTCTTCAAAATACCAGTAGAAGTGCTTGCCTTTCCCTGCTACAGTAGGTAAGAAAGGCACCAAATTGAATATAAAATGTGATCACTTTTTCTTTTACTCTCCTTCTTTCCACAGACTTTCCAGTAAAGTCAAAACAAACAAATAGATGTTTCATTAATAATTTTATGAGTGCTTTTGTAAAATCTGATAAACATTTAGAAACAAATTAAGGGAAATGAACAAATAATGAGACCAACAGATGCACACAACAATAAAAGCAATCAACATTGATTCTAGTTTTGCATGATGGTCCTTGGTGTCTTGTCTGTGTTTTCTGATGATTAATGCCTCAGGAAAACAATTTACAGAAATCAGTATTGCAATTATTTTCTGTATCTTTTTAGGGGTTAGAGACATTGCTAAACTGTAACTGACAAAGTGATAAATCTGCACACTTTACAAATCTATCAATTCTTATGTTTTATTTAACTATTTTCAAATGCAGCATTGTGTGAAAGCTACTGCAATAAACATTTTATTGGAAAAAATTCAAACACTTAAAATATGTGCTATATTTTAAGAAATAATTCAGTGATACATATAAGTCAAATGATTATTTTCTGTTAAAAAGTTAAATACAGTACAGTATGTACTTATTGTACTAGTAGTCAGGGGCAGAAGTGTGGGTGCTAACATGTTTCAGGACAAATGTCACTAGAATATCTTCAAGGCCTAGAGTCTGATTAGTAAATTAAAGGACATTTACTTATGAATGTTTGTAATATGATATCTGCAAATTTCCTTTTACATGAAATTTGAATTATTTTTAAAGCAAAACTCAGATAAAGTTATTTCATGCATATACTATTTAGGAAATTTGCTTTGCTTTACAACATCTGTTTTAAAGACAGTATACTACACATTTTGAGAGACTGAACATAGGTAGGACACATAATCTATCCTCAAATTTTTGAAGCTTCCAAACAAGTTTGGTAAGGTCATGTATTTCACAATGCATTACAAATTGCATATTTGATAAACACATGTGCTTATAATTTGTCAGACATTATTGTAAATATTTTACATCTATGCCCTTAAAATGCCCTACACAAAGGGACAAAGACATGGAGTCACAAAGCTAGGATGCAAACTCAGACAAACAGCTGAGCCTACTTTCTTAAACTCAATACTATTGTTCAAAATCTACTCCAGAATAGGCATTCTAATGGGAATATATAAAGCATAAGGTATTCTTGAGTGATTACTAGAATTATCAATAGAACCATAGACAGAAAATAAGACTGGAAATATACTGTTTTTATAGCTATGAAAGTCAAAGAAAAGAATTTGAGTTGAATCTGTCATCACTAATAAAAATTTGGTGGGGGAAGAAAAGTACAAGATGATTTCTTAGCACAGTATAGGTGTAAATTTATTCGGTTAATTAATTAAATATTTGCTTATTAGCAAACTATGTATTAAATGCCTATCATAGGTTCAGGCTTTGGGATGAGCCATGCAATAAAAATGAGAAAACAAAAAACACTGGAATCTATGGAATACTAAATATAAGTAATATTGGGACTCATTTGTGCTTCTGGCAGAGAGAAGAAACACAAACCAGGATTATGTAACCATCATACCCAGGATTAAGTTTACATTTATATTCATCTTCTGACAGGACACATGAGATGTCTGGATCAGAAAACAGATGTTTTATTACTCCCAGCAACATAAGTAGCCAGAGTAGCATCTTGCATTGCATTGGTTCTTTACACTCAAGTTTCTCATTAGGTGAAAAAATGAAGATATTCACCTGTGTATGTAGTGGGGTTTGCACTACCGGGAGAAAATTTGAAATTATGAGACCTGGAGTTTATCTAGGGAAGCTGGCACATTGGCCTGTCCTCACTTCTCAAGAAAGAAGGACAAAGACCTTTGAACGAATCATCTCTGTGAGGGAAAAGGATAATCCCTGGGTTTAATTAATCTCATAATATAAACAAATGTCTCCAAAAAAGACTGGGAAGACATCTATGGGTTTATTGCTTTAGAATATGATATCAGGAGCTCCAGGATTCTCATAGGCAGAATCCATGGGGATCTTTGGCTCAATGTTAATCTGTATATGCATAGAATAAAACTATGTGGCAATGAAGGAAATACAGAAATACCATAAACTGAAGATCCTCAGAGTTCACACTTTGGTAGATATTTGACTTTTTCCAGGCAGAGGAGAGAGAACATTTAGAATAAATGGGACAGGCCAGGATTGGTGGCTTATGCCTGTAACACCAGCAATTTGAGAGGCCAAGGAGGGTGGATTGCTTGAGACGAAGAGTTTGAGACCAACCGGGGCAACATGGTGAAATCCCTTCTCTATCAAAAATACAAAAATCATGCAAATCAAAACCACAGTGAGATACCATCTCACACCAGTTAGAATGGCAATCATTAAAAAGTCAGGAAACAACAGGTGCTGGAGAGGATGTGGAGAAATAGGAACACTTTTACACTGTTGGTGGGACTGTAAACTAGTTCAACCATTGTGGAAGTCAGTGTGGCGATTCCTCAGGGATCTAGAACTAGAAATACCATTTGACCCAGCCATCCCATTACTGGGTATATACCCAAAGGATTATAAATCATGCTGCTATAAAGACACATGCACACGTATGTTTACTGCGGCACTATTCACAATAGCAAAGACTTGGAACCAACCCAAATGTCCATCAATGATAGACTGGATTAAGAAAATGTGGCACATATACACCATGGAATACTATGCAGCCATAAAAAAGGATGAGTTCATGTCCTTTTTAAGGGCATGGATGAAACTGGAAATCATCATTCTCAGCAAACTATCCCAAGGACAAAAACCAAACACCTCATGTTCTCACTCATAGGTGGGAATTGAACAATGAGAACACATGGACACAGGAAGGGGAACATCACACTCCGGGGACTGTTGTGGGGCTGGGGGAGGGGCAAGGGATAGCATTTGGAGATATACCTAATGCTAAATGACAAGTTAATGGGTGCAGCACACCAACATGGCACATGTATACATATGTAACAAACCTGCACATTGTGCACATGTACCCTAAAACTTAAAGTGTAATAATAATAAAAAAAAAATACAAAAATCAGCCAGGTGTGGCTGCATTTGCTTGTGGTCCCAGCTACTTGGGAGGCTGAGGCAGGAGGATCGCTTGAGTCTGGGAGGTTGAGGCTGTAATGAGCCATGATCACACCATTGTACTCCAGCCTAGATGGCATAGCAAGACCCTGTCTCAAAAGAAAAAGAAAAAGAAGAAATTAGAATAAATGGGACAGTCAATAAAGAGGCTAAAGGCATCTAGTCTTAATAATAAAGTTAAACAATTGCTAGAATTAAGGCCACTTTATAGTTGTTCTAAGTAAAAATCAAGCTGCTATGAACTGAACGTTTGTGTTTCTTCAAATTGCGTACATTGGTGCTTAAATCCCCAATGCAATGGTATTTGGAAGTAGAGCCTTTGGAAGATAATTATGTCATGAAGGTGAAGCCCTAATGAATAGCTTAGTGACATTATATGATGAGACAAAAGAGAAGTGATCTCTCTCTCTACTCCCTGCCACGTCGAGATACAGGAAGATGGCTATGTGCAAACCAGGAATGGGGTCCTCATCAGTTACTAAGTGCCTTGATCTTGGCGTTCAAGAATCCAGAACTGTGAGAAATAAATTTCTGTGGTTTAAGCCATCCAGTCTATGGTATTCTGTTACTGCAGCCCAAACTGAAACACATGCTGATCTGCAAGAAATTTAATTGACTGGCAAGATAAACATGAACACTTCTTAAAGGAAGACAGTTAAATCTAAAAACTCAACAAAGTAACACTCATAATATGTGGCATGAAATAAAGTTTAGTTGACATGTGAAGAAGTAACAGTGTTATCCATAATTGGGAGAAAAATCTGTCAATAGAAATTGACACAGAAATGTCAGAGATGATGGAATTAACACACAAGCTCATTAAAAACTTATTAACGCAAAGCTTTTAAGGAAACACTGAACATGATGAGAAGATACATTTAAATTACTTTTAAAGGGAAGTTTGTGAGTTGATACATATAATGCAATAAGGAAATAAATCATCAGATTAATTTATAAGCAGATATACAAAGGAGAATAAAATGTTAGTTAAGTTAGAGACATAACAATAGAAATCACAGAGAAAAAATATTTTTTAAAAATGAAAGAGCCTGATGGTATATAAAGGAATATTATAACACTGAATATAAACAGAAACTGGGAAAGAAATGGATGTCAGAAAATATTTGAATAAATAATGGCAAAACATTTCAAATTTAATGAGAGTTATAAAACCATGAAAATTATAAAATCTATTAAGCTTAAAAAACAAGGAAACACTAGAAATATATTAAAAAATCCAATCAAGACACATCAAAATCAAATTGCTGAATACCAGCATCAGTGAGAAAATTTTATGATCATGGCTAGGAGGAAAACACATACATTCACTAAAAAATAAATACAAGTGAGATCAGAAACATTGCTGCAACATGTTAAAACAGAAGACAATAAAACAGCAGTTAAAAGAACCAGAGAAAGACTGATTCATCGAGATTGCCTTTCGATTAAAATGTATTTCAAAAAGGAAAGAGACAACAAGAATTAAAAATATGGAAAAACCCCTAAAACTGGACACTAGAAAACTTTCATATCAAGAAGAGTAAGTTCTTCAGATGAAGAAAATAATATAAGGCAATCTATGCAGAAGGGAAACAGAAAGTCAATAGTAAATATGTAACCAAATATAATTTTTTTTCACAACTTTGTTTCTTTAAACAAGAAAGAAACAAATCTATTACAGGATTTTAAACAAATTTAGAAATTAAAGATACCATAAAAACGTCAAAAAGGATGAAAGGGATGTTTGTATCCATTAAGTTGTATAATATTATTTGAAAGTAGATGATAATATGTTAAAGATGCAGCTGCAGTCTGTAGACAAACCACTAAAATGTGATATAAACAGATATCTCTAATAAGGCATTAGTGGATATGAAATGAATACTAAAGAAAATAATCAAAGCAAATGCTGGAAGAAAATTGAAGACAGAAATATGACAGAAGATAGATTTTTTGGTAATAGATTTTGGAAAATAGATTTTATGTCAGAATAGATTTTTTTTTTTTTAATGAGAGAAAGATGCCCAAGTATTTATTGTCTACAAGAAGCTCACTTTAGCCGAGATTGTGCCACGCCACTGCACTCCAGCCTGGGCGACAGAGCCAGACTCCGTCTCAAAAAAAAAAAAAAAAAAAGCTAACTTTAAATATAAAGATTCAGATAGGCAAAAATGAAGCAATAGAGAAAAATATATATTCTTACATTAACTTCAAGAAAGCTGGAGAATCTATATTAATTTCAGAGAAAACAACTTCAGAAAAGGGAAAATTATGAGGAATGAAGAGAGACATTATATGACAAAATGATTAATTCTTAAAAAACTCATAATAATTAATAATGTGATTGCACTTGAATAAAGCATTAATAATTATGATGCAAAAACTAATTAAAAAATGGAGAAGTAGATAAAACCAGTATTGTAATTGGAGACTTCAACAGTCCTCTAGTAGTAATTGATGGACAAGCAAGCATAAAATAGGAATACAGTTAACCTGAAAAGCACTATTATCAACTTAATTTAATTGATACATTTAGAACATTCCACCACAGGAAAAGCAGAATGCACATTCTTCTGAAGTTCACATGGAACATTAATTAAGACAGACTAGTTTCTTGGCCATAATGCACACTTTAACAATTTTGTATAAAAATAGAAGCCACACGAAGTATTTTCTCAAATCTTAATGCAATTTAACTAGAAATCTATAATGAAAGGTAGCTGAAAAATTCCCAGGTATTGGAAGTTAAACAGTTAGACTTCTAAATAATACATTGATCAAGGAAAAGATCTGAAAATAAATTTTAAAATATACTGAACTAAGTTAAGATAAAATACAACAACTCAGATTTGTGGGATGCAGCAAAATCAGTGCTTTGAGGTAAAGTTAAAGCATTAAATGGCTGTATCAAAAAAGAAGTAAATAAAATAAACACTCTAAGCTTCTGCCTAGGAAAAATAGAGAAAGAAGATACATTTAAGCCTAAAGCAAACAGAAAAACAGAAAAGAAATAAGTTAGAGCCTGGGCTATAAATGCATATGTGTGTATATATATGTGCATAAATGCATATGTGCACACACACACACGTGGATTGCCAGGAAGAGCCTTTGTAACTGCCTTTGGTCAGGCCTTAAAACAAAACAAAACGTACACACATAAATTTTTGGCCATAAACTGGATTCCTCACAGGTCTTAGAAAAAATGAATAACTGTAAATATTCATTTTAGAAAAAAATTAGAAACCTAAAATTGATATGCTAAGAATATAACTCAAGGAGTGATCAAAATTAAAATAAAAAAATCTAAAGACTGTAGGAAGAAAGATATAAGTGTAGAAATTAATTGAAAAGAAATGGACCGAAAACATAAAATATTTAGAGACACTAAAACATGAGAAAATCTCTTGCTAATGGTTCAGTGTTCTACTCCAATTAGTCTTTTTGCAGTAACAAAAGAAGAACAAATCACTTTAGAAATAAATACATACATGAACATAAAACATACATACTAGTAAAATATGTCCATGAAGAAGTAGAAAATATGGATAATCCTTTAGCTGACAAAATTTTGGAATCATTAAAAAGCTTCCCACCAAAAAAAAAATGATAATGCATAGATGGTTTTCTAAATGAATTTCAGCCAATACTTAAGGTATAAAAGTTTTTTTTAAAATTTTTTATTTCCACAGGTTTTTGGGGAACACATAGTATTTGGTTACATGAGTAAGCTCTTTAGAAGTGATTTGTGAGATTTTGGTGCACACATCACCTAAGCAGTTTACACTGAATGCATGTATTAGTCTGTTTTCACGCTGCTGACAAAGTCATACAGAAACTGGGAAGAAAAGGAGGTTTAATTGGACTTAAGAGTTCCACATGTCTGGGGAGGCCTCAGAATCATGGGAGGAGGTGAAATGCACTTCTTGCATGTCAGTGGCAAGAGAAAAATGAGGACGAAGCAACAGCGGAAACCCCGGATAAACCCGTCAGATCTCGAGACTTATTCACCATCATGAGAATAGCACGGGAAAGACAGGCCCCCATGATTCAATTACCTCCTCCTGGGTCCCTCTCACAACACGTGGCAATTCTGGGAGATAACATTTAAGTTTAGATTTGGGTGGGTACTCAGCCAAACCATATCAACACAATTTGTAGTCTTTTATCCCTCACCCCTCCCACTCTTTCCCTTGAGGAAAAGAAGTTATTATACAAAAAAGATATGTGCGCACGCATGTTTATAGCAGCACAATTCACAATTGTAAAAACGTGGAACCAACCCAAATGCCTATTAATCAACAAATCAATTAGTGAATAACAAAATTGTGGTGTATATATATCTATATATATAATACATATACATAGACACACACACACACACACACACACACACACATATATAGAGGATGGAATACTACTCGGCCGTAAAAAGGTCTAGAAAATTTTAAGTTCTGTAAAATGCAGTAGAGAATAAAACAAGATGGGAAAGCCTCAACTAATTTTGTAAAACTAGTCCAACATTGTTATCAAAATAAGCCAAGAACACTATGACTTAATAAAGTTACAGGTCATTATCATTTAAGACCATATATGCAAAAATTCCATGTCAGATAAAAATAAGACTAGGTTACAACTAGATTGGAATATTTTATAGAAATAAAATATTAATGCACTTTTTAAAAATTAGTAAATTAATCTGATAAACAGAATATATAAAGAGCCATATGGTTATCTTAATAAATATCAAATAGTTCTATAAAATCCAATATCTATCATAATTTTTAAAATATAAACATTTTCAATTTAGTAATAAAAGGTAACAGTCTGAATCTTGTGAAAGGTATCTGTAAAACCAACAGTAAATGTCATACTGATGAAATATTAAGAACCTTTCTGTTACGATCAGATAAAAAATAAAATGCATGCTGTAACCCCTTCTATTCAATATTCTTCTACGATAATTTTGTATTGTTGTAGTAATATCGAGGAAAGAAAATCTAAATTCCATATGGATAATTAAACAAAGTGTGATTTAGGAACACAAAGTGAGCTCTAATGAAATAAAATAATGTGTTTAGCACAAAGTCGGAATATTGGCTTTCCTGGGGGAAAGAGAGGAAAAGAGACATGATGATACAAACAGGAATCGAAACAGGAGATTTTAGAAACATGGTAACATTCTGCTTCTTAAATTGGATGGTGAATGTGCTAGTATGTATTTTATTGTTTCAAACTGGATATAGAAGTTATCTGTACATTTGTATGAATAATATATTCCGTAATAAAACTTTTCATTAAACTAGGAGACAAAAATAAGTCTAAGGTTACACAATGTCCAGTTCTGGGCTTTCTTCATCTGAATTGTATTGCCTATAAATTATAATATAATTCCAATCATTATTCTCTTGCTCATCACAATATTTCATTCAAAGATAAAACCTTTTTAGATAATCCATCCTTCGATATAGCTAAATGCCTGCGCTTATGTATTATGCAGAACCCGACATTTTCAGCCTGATCATAGGAGTTGAACTAACTCATTCCAGGTCAGAATTAGTGAACATTGTGTCTATCCCTATAATTACCATTTTTAAAAATCTCATTAGGGTAAATTTTTCAGAAGTTGTGAATACTGCTCTTAGAAACAATAATTTTAATTTAAATTCTGGTATGTAGGATGAAGGGGAGTGAACATAAGGTGAAAGAATATGTAAATTGACCCCAGCACTACTTTAAAATTAAGTAAATGTCTTTACTAAAATGCAACAAAATCTTAAAGTATCTTAATTGTATTTTTTTTATATTTTGCTAGAAAAATCACTGAGCATTCTGTTGACTAGATCAGTATTTAATTTTTAACCATTTTCCAAAGTCAAACGTCTGTCTTAAACTTTAAGTACTGAAGTTAACACGATGCTAAAACAATTTTAGAAAAAATAATTTCTGCCTTTAAAAGGTACTTAAGCATGTTCTTATAATACTCATTATATTCCAATTAATTTATACTCCATGAATCTCAAAGATTGAAATTAAAAAACATATGTCGATCTATATTAGTGAAGACATACTGCCCTCTTTTGAACAAAGTAAAATTTCAGGGAAAAACGGTTTTTTTACAAAGCAAAATCAGAGTGCATAGAAAAAATAAATGCAGAGATGATGGTAAACAAAGAAGATTAACTTGCACATTTTATAAAGATTTTAAGAATGCTGAATTTGATTTTACTTTCTCAAACTTTTAGTATGTGTGTTTGTTTACTTTCATGATAATTCTTAAATGCATTTGAACACAGTTTGCAGTTTAAAGAATATATCTATACATATGGAAACCCTTGTCTTAAAGATATCTAATGATTGTTTTAAGTAATAAAAACTCTGATATTCTCTGCAGATTCCACCTGAAGTAATTTATTACCATTTTGTTATTGCTATTATTCACCTCTATGAATGCTTTTTTACTTGACAAGTCTGTATCCGTAGTTTAGCAACGAGGCCAGAACAATAAATCTGTCACTGTGTGATACACTCTGGGTACAAGTTTATGAGATTGTCTCCATGTAGATGGCTACCTAAAATTATTCTAGAATGTCATAACTCTATTAACTTTTTCTCTAATTTTGTAATATTTGGATATTCTCCGTTAAAAGAATAAATGTGGAAATTTTATAATTTTCATGTTTTTTAAAGAAATGCCAACACTTAGCATGACAAAGGGAGCTAAATCCTCATTCTCTATTCAATATTATTGCTATAGATGTTTTAATACCTGAATTTTTGAGTGAAAGTCGATGAACACAGAATGGATATTCCTGTAATAAACAAATTTATTGCAATCACTAGCTTAAATAGTTATAGTACTCACTTAAATTGATTTTAAAGATGAATTTAATTATTTCCATTCACTAAGCCCTATTCTGTGATGTGAAAGTATGTTTCTCTGGAAGAGTGAAAAAAACAGTTTTTTTCTGCCCTTTGATTTTTGCCCTCCCTGGTAATGGAAAGTTAAAAAAGCATATGCCTTTTTGTGGTCAAGTGTGAATGACTTTCTAAGATAGCCAACAACTAAGAAGTTTCATTGGTAAATAAGAATGAAAATGAGATTTCAATGTACAATGAATCATCACTACTTCTATTGAACGATGGGCACCTTTAGTTCCTGAACAGGATGATCAAGAGAATCATCAACGGGTTGGGCATTTCAGAAAGAAGATGAAGTGTGTGTTAGTGGAGGAAGCTAGCCAAGAAAGCAACGATCTAATATAATTAGGAAGAGGCTTTAGAAAAGATGGGAATGGAGACAGTCTGTGCTCAGAATTCAAAGACACAAATAGGAGCTAAGGTACAAATTGGTTATTTATCATGCCCTCTAGAGAAGAAGCACAGACTGTACTTAGTGCATATTCCCTCACACTTTACCTGTATCTCCAAGAAAATCAAAACAAAACGAAACTTAAACAATATGATGATGACAACAGCAACAACAAACTCTAATATCCGTAATTTAGGGCATGACCTACCCAACAAGATAAAAATAGTTCCTCCTGACAGACTAAAGCCTCCAACTTTACATTAGACCCCTCACGAAATGACAATCAAAAAGATTCCTAGGTTTAACTGGATATTGTGGACACGAAGGCGAGTATTTTTCTGCAATTCTAAAACCCCTTTTTCAATTTTGACTAAGTCCGCAGTATAAGACTCTCTCTTTTTGAAATCCAAACATAAACAGGACCACTAGAACCTGGAGAAAGCTCTTCAACAGCCTTCTTTTCTAGTCATCTCTACAAAAAAAGAAGTTTTTTTTTTTTTCTATTTATACATATGTGATCTGGAATCCTTGGAACTTAAACTCAACTTCATGGGAAATGTAAAAACATACTTTTAAATTCTAACTCCATCTTTGACCAGATTGCAAAGGTTCATATCCCTTGCTTTAGGGCAAGAGCTGCCACTGCAAAACCTACTGATGCTCTTACTGACTTAGTCCTAGGCTGCCCATTGACTTCATGGCTCCTTATGCAGTGCATATATTATTGATACTTCTAACTGAGAAAACACTACACTTTTAAGACAGTAGATTAATGTCTTCTCAGAATCTCTTATCCTTTCTCTTCCACATCACTATTCCCTGCTATAACACCCAAAATCCTGCCACAGTGGGCCTTACCGGAAGGGAATTCTCACTATTGTCTTACTCAGGGAAGTTTCTGTATTTTACTCAAATTTATTAAAGATTCCCATTGAGAACCCTGACCTAATATTTTTTGTTGAAGGATCATGCCTCAAAATTGAAACTGGAAGTTAACCAAAAGGATATGTTATCACTAATAAAAGTTCTCCTTTGTTTTACAGTACTTTACATTAGGTAAAATCAGCCCAGATGGCAGAAATTATTGCACATACTAGGGACTGTCAACTAGTCAACAGTCATAGACCAAGCCTATATACAAATAACAGATAACCTTCTCAAGCAGTACTTGGCTTTGTTATGTTTTGGAAACAAAGGATGTTGCTTCTTTTGCTGGAAACTCCATCAGAAATAGGCAAGTTAAGAAACTTTAAAATTCATTTCTACTTCTTAGTGAGGAAATTATTACAAAAGTTGAGACCAATGCAACAAATTTCTGACACAAGTAGTAGTGGACAATCTCATTGTTCTCTATTTCTTGATGTCTAACCATGGTGGCTTCTCAACTATTAATAATATGTCATGCTATTATTTGGAGGTACAGAGATAAAGCATGCAAAGTAGAATAGGCTACACATTTTCTTTTAAAAAAAGTTACCTGACTGTCTACAACTGATTTTTATCACATTTGGGACTTACTATCTTGGCTTGTATTGGGCAATTGGGGTTCTTGTTCCAAATTATCTTTGAGGACCTATTGATTATTCTCATTTTTGCCGTAGTGGTCATGATGTTAGCTCATTGCTTTACATCCAGAGTCTTAAATGCTTCTCTGTAGTTTCCCTCTTATCAGAAAATCACCATCATAATACAATAGCAAAAAGCTGGAGAAGATCTATTGATACAGTTGATTATGGAGACAACTGAATGATCTCAAGCAGTAAAGACCTGGATCCCTAACCTTTCATTTATTGGTAAATCTCTTACAAATGACAGTAACGAAAAGGGAAACTGAGGGACTGAATATACAATGGGCAATTACGAAATACTATAGGGTAATTGATCTCTGACTCACAATTTCTGCAGTAACCAACCCAGGAAGTCAAAGCATATCCTCTTTAGCAGTCAGCACAGAAGGACTAAGAACCCGTGACAACAACTGCTATCTTCCCTATTTTTATCCCACTTCCAACTCAGGGACAATCATAGAGAGCCAATTATGCTTTCCAAAGTAATCATATATTTCAAGTTAGCCCTCTTCAGCTTCTCCAGCCAAAAACCTCCCATCAGAGCATTCCTGAAACTTTCTCCTGTGTTCATTATAGAGCTTTCCCTCTCCTCTCCTTGCATTTGAGTCTCCACCGAAGGCAAATGATGGCAGCTGAATCCCTTGTTACATGAAGTTATGACTACATGGCTTTTGTGTTTCCTTATTTACGTAGACTTCATTTATTGCTATATCTGCACCGAATAGCATCTCTTTCTAATCTATTCTTCTCTAAGGATACAATTGTTTTTTTTTTTTTAAATAAGTGTCTTATTTTGACGGATCACTCTCTTATAATTCCCTTATAATACTCACACATAAGAGAAGTCTTCATCTATGTCCCATTTAGTATTAAGGATTCACAATTCATTATTTGATCATCGGTCACAAGAATAGTGGCTGGCTACATTATTTCTGGGGCCCAAGTCCCAACACTCATTAACTGTGTGATCTTAGGTCAGTGACAACTCATCTATCTTTATTTTATTTACTTATATTTACTCATCTATGCCTTATTGTGTAATGGGAATAATGACTCTATTTTCTTGATTGTCTTGAGATAATTAAATGGATATTCTTGAGATATTAAATGAGATAATTAAATGAGAAACAGAATTTAACATGATTCTCTAATGCACAAAAAGCGTATAAAATATACCTATTAAAATGCTTATAAAAAGTAGCTATTTTATTGGCTATTATTATCAAGTTTAAATATCTGACAACAGATATCCAACATTATAAGAGGTTTCTCTTACAGCTAAAAGCATTACATTTCATCATTTCATGAATCAACTTACTTTTACTGAAAATAATATTATAACATAAACTCGTATAATTCAAATATTTTCCCCTTGAATTAAGTACCTATAGGTAATGATCAAGATTTGAAAGTAGAAAAACAAAGTATTAGTTTTCTGTTGTGCTAATTATATAAAATCCCCTTGAAAACCAAATCTAATTTACATATTGTCATTGCATCAGTGACTTTGGTTTCAATACAACAATGGACAACTTATTTTTTTTAATCCACCCTGTCCTCTACTTTCCCCACTTAACTAATCTGTAGAAAAAAATACATATCATAAAGTGCATTGTAATAATACGCATCTCACCTATCTTACCTTCAGTTCTGTGTCTCTGTTCATTTTCATTTTCTGCAGTAACCAAGTACTACTTAAGAAACTTTGAAACTATGCACACCAAAACTCTTTCAAGAACCAATTTTAGTGTTTACAATAGTTAATAATAACCACAGCTGTACTAAACATTCCTCTTGATCACAATCTCTTTTTGTTTGTTTTTGTTTTTGTTTTTTGTTTGTTTTTTTGAGACAGAGTCTTGCTCTGTCACCCAGGCTGGAGTGCAGTGGCGCGATCATGGCTCACTGCAAGCTCCCCCTCCCGGGTTCACGCCATTCTCCTGCCTCAGCCTCCTGAGTAGCTGGGACTACAGGCGCCCGCCACCACGCCTGGCTAATTTTCTGTATTTTTAGTAGAGACAGGGTTTCACCAAGTTAGCCAGGATGGTCTCGATCTCTTGACCTCGTGATCTGCCCGCCTCGGCCTCCCAAAGTCACAATCTCTTTTTTTAAATAAGTAGAGCAAAAGTATTATTGAAAATCCTCACTAATTTTTAGAACTTACCATAATCTTCAGGGATGTTTGTACATAAATTTTAAATCACATCGCCATCACAGTTTCTTGACAATTATCAAATGAAAATATAAGAGACCAGAGTATTTCTACCTTAATAAATGTATTTAATTGTGAAACTGGCAACTACCGTGTAAAGCTTGTTATTTGCTTCACTGCAGAGTAAAGAAGTAGTTATATTAAAGAAAAAATAGTATACACTGAAAGCTTAGTGTATTACAGAAATATTTGATGACTGACACCAGCAAAATCCAGGGTGACTCTATCTACACAATAAAAATAGGCACTTGCTTTATATGATCATCCCCAAGAATTTCGGTTCTTATTAAGTGATATAAGAGTATGCTTCTTTCTGTTACCTGGAATCAATGGTTATTTCCAATTATCATTATTAGTCTTTTGGATAAAACTGTATATCATAAGTGCTTTCTCAAAAAAGAATATATTTTACATATGAATATAAAATTACACGAAATTTAAATTTAATAAGATAACATAAAAGGGCAGATGGGGCCGGGTGCCGTGGCTCATGCCTGTAATCCCAGCACTTCTGGAGGCCAACGTGGGCGGATCACCTGAGGTCAGGAATTGAAGATCAGCCTGGCCAACATGGTGAAATCCTGTCTCTACTAAAAATACAAAAAAAATTAGCCGGGCATGGTGGCGGGCGTGCCTGTAAACCCAACTACTGAGGCAGGAGAGCTGCTTGAACCCAGGAAGCAGAGGTTGCAGTGTCCTAAGATGATGCCATTGCACTCCAGCCTGGGCAACAAGTGCGAGACTCTGTTTCAAAAAAAAAAAAAAAAGAAAAGAAAAGAAAAGAAAAAAGACAGATGGAAGTCAGGAAATTTTACATGCAGAATTTTTTACCTAAAATTTAAAAAATGAATGATGCCAAGGTTTATATCAATTTGAATTATACCTATTTCCACTCAAATGTATTAAATAAAAGAGAAAGATAAAAAACTTAAGCAAGAGAACACAAACTTTATATTCAGAAAGGTAAACTACAGCTGTCTTTGACAGTTTTAACTACAAAATTTTATAATAACCACATTTTCAAAAGATTAGGTGTAATTTTATATAATACATAATTTATTAGTCACAATTTATAGGCTATTAGAAGTTTGACATGGATAAGTGTACTAAAAGCATTTTGAAGTTGCGAAAATCAAAATATCATGTCCACCTTATATTTTTATCATGGTAATAAGATAATAGGTTCTTTGGGTAATGGAAAGAAATCATAAGTGTGTAATAGGTTAAAATGAGAAAATGTATACGTTGTGGATGTAAGTAGGAAAGTTATCTTTCCAGTATTATTTCTATTCCATAATATCTCAGAAAGCTTTGCCCAGTTATTTGAATTTCTCTTTCATAAAACAATAAGCTGGATAGTTTTATTGGTTGGTTGTTGATTTTGTTCTTATATGACTAGTAGAGAATATACTGTACTAAAAAGTTTTGGAGAGAGGCAAGCTCAGTTGGAGGTTGATGTTATAGTGTAGCCTCTATTTCCAATAATTCATACAAATATTTATAACAATTGGTGTTATAGTGCAGCCTCTATTTATTTCTAATAATTCATAAAAATATTTATAAGTATTATGTTTTCTTTCCAAGCTTGAGGAAATACTTTACTATTTAATTGATTAATTGAATAAAATACAATACATAAACTTCTGTTCAAATCATGAGTTGTATGTTTGTTTAAATGCCAATAAACCAAATTATCAGCCCACAATAACTCACTAAGTAATAAATTTATTATAACTAATGAATAACTGAAGTTTATTATAATTTTAATTTAACTGATTTCCATTTGAATCATATAGATTTGTCACTTTTTAATGGGTCCTGCTGTTTTGAATAGAACTCACTATTCTCAAAAAGATAAGTTTATCTGAAAATGTCCATATTTGAATCATAGAAAAATGTAATGCTATTTTTGAAGTGTATTTAATTTATCTGTTCATAAGCTTCACTGAGATAAATTGTGAATGGATTAAAAAATATTCCTTTTACATTAATTTTTGGGGGATTGTTGAGTGCAATTTTCAAAGTATAAGTAAGGAATTTCTGCAGCTGTTTAGTGTGCTTTTTATGATATCAGAAAAATTGTTCATCGTAATAAACAAACCCTGTCTTCAGCCCTGTGTCTGAAGTGCTCTTCCCCAATCAACACTAGGGATTGAACAAAATTGAGAAAAGACAAGGAAACAGGAAAAGGAGACTGTTGCTCAACTGAAGATTTTAGAGGTGTGACCTTCTATAGATGAATTTAGAAACAAATTGCTATGGACTGAACTGAAAATTGTTGTCTTCCCAGAATGCATACATTGAACCCTTAATCCCCAGTGTGGTAAGTTTTGGAGGTGGGGGCCGTTGGAAAGTAACTGGGGGGTCTAACTGGGATCATAGGGGTGGAGCCCCCATGCTGGGATTAGTGTTTTTATAAGGGATTGAAGAGACCAGAGTGCTCTCTCTTTGTGCCACATGAGGAGGCAAGAAGAAAGCCAGCTGGACCACCAGATCTGCTAGTACATTGATCTTGTACTTCCCAACCTTCCAACCTTAAAGAAATAAATGTTTGTTGTTTAAACACCCAATAAATGGTCTCTTGGAAGAGCACATCCTAGTGACTATGTCACAAACAAATCAAACATGTAAATCAATATTTTGATTAAAAACAAAAACAAAAATATGAACCCTTATAATTGTCACAAGTTCCATCATCACTAAATACATTTAATTTTTTCATCAATAAAAAGAGGATTATTAAATTACTTTAAGACTCTAAGTCATAAACAACATTTAATTCTTGATAATATAAATCTAGAAAGCAATAGATTTAGTCTAATAATTTAACTACGTTGAAATGCTATGAACTTGGATTAAAATTGAATTTAATAATACAATTTTTAAGGTAATCTGGAAAAAACTTCCACAGTATTACTTTTTGTAATTTCCTAATTTTTAAGTCATATTAACTCTAATAAAGCTAGATATAGCAGTCTAATGAATGTAAATAAAATATAACCCTGTAAATACAAGATATTGTTAACACTTAAAATAACAAATGGTAACAGTGGAATATATAGTTGCCCAGATTCATCATTTAAGTCAGATTTTAGAAAATTTGAATATCTCAGATTCCTAAAACAAATCTTATACTTGGGATTAGCAGTAGTGATTCTAACGATCCATGCTAAATGAAAACATTGTATTGTAAATAAAACCATAGAATTTTAGTTGGGATAAAGGAGCTAATATTTGCACAAAATATTATTTCCTACATTAGCAACATTGAAAGAAAAACTGGAATTATGTTTTTCTAGACTAGCAGTATTGGTTAACTTTTAACAGCTTAGGTCTTAATGGAATGTCATCAACTTCATTTAGCTGTTTTATTTTGCCGTTGTTACTGGAGTCCACTGCTCTTCCTCGATTTGTTCCTGACAATTTTTTTCATGAAAAAGAAACTAAGAAATATGTAAGAATATTTAAGCAAAGCACAGGATGTATCTCTTTGCACATGAACCTAATGCTGTAGTAATATAATTTCACTAATGTTTATTTTGATATATCAATCATCTAGAGTTATCTATAATGAATACATTTTAGGTTTGCAAGACGGTGATGATGAACCATTATGCAACAGTGAGTATCTCACTTTAAAATTTAAAGACACTACCTGGACAAATTTAAAATGCAAATTTCACATCCTAGGAATTTAGCTCATGGTTAGCTTTCCTGAAATAATTACTTCCAAAAGTCCTGAATAACTTACTGAAATATTTTTTCCTAGGCAAGCATTATATTCTCTTTTAATTTCAAGGTATTATTATTTATATATTTTAAAAGCTATTTAATTTACCGAAGTTGAATTACTCACCAGCAAGCTTCTAGAAGGTATTAAATAAACGAACGCATCTAAAGCTCTTACTGCAATGACTAGCCAATAATGACCATTCGGTATACATTAGCCATTATTAAAATTACTCATTCACTTGTAATTTAAAATATTCTGAAGCCTGACTATAATAGAGCCAATTTTGCCTTCATTTTTTCCTCCACCTTCCTACACGTACTTCTATTGCTACATTCTCAAAATGGCATCATAATTCAGAGATTATTTTAAACTCTGAGATATTCATCACTTCTAAAATTGTCAGGTCTTTTTTATCTCCTCTAGGTTAACAGTTAATGAAGATTCTCAGCAGGGTGTTAAGGTAGCAATTACAGCAGAAGTTTTGAGCTGCCAGAGCTCAGTTGAAAAGCAAATTCTATCTCAATCAAATCCCTATTGAGAAAGTGAAAGCAAAGGAAAGTGTAGTCTCTACACTGGCATGGTATCTGTAATGAAAAGATTTAATACTGCTGCTCTTATACCCCGGCAACACCTATTCTCAGGAAATTTCAAATAAAAGTATCCATTTTTAGATTTCCTACATATTCTGTTCTTGGGATATGATCTACTGTACTTAACATTTGATTAAGATGAGATAGGTACGATTATTCTTTTTTGTTTTTATTTTTCTAATCACTACAGTAAGTATAGTAGCTGTATACAATTTGAAAACGACTGAAGGTTATAAATAAAGCAGTAAAAACAGGTTGCATATTACATGCTATAGGATGACATACTTATTCCAGCTAAGAGCAAAGTCGTCATAAAATGTATGTTTAGATTTTGCTTGTATCTAAATGTTTGATAATACTCTTCGGGTCTTACAGATGAACAAGCCAACTTCCATCAGTTAAATAGCTTCCCAAAGATCTGAGTAGCAAAAATACCAAGGTGCAAATTGTACTGATTCTAAGACTGATTTATACAATGTGAAAATTATTTTTCAAATGGAGAATAATAATAGTAGAATAAACAATAAGAATAAATGATAAAAAGGGACAGCCTTCTACGTAGATACCCTCTAAAGTAGAATTTACCGTTGCCAGATGTCTCATTCGCAGGCCAAATATTGGACAAGCTTTAGCATATGACTCACTCACTGACTTAACAACATTTTAATTACAATTCAAATTGAAGTAGTTTAATTTATAATAAGGTGATGACAACCAGGTAACGTTTTCCTTAATACAAAATGAAAGTTATAAAGACTCTGGAATAAACTACTTGATTGTCTCCAGACTTGTAACTGGAGCAAAGTATACAATGTAGTTTTATTGATATTTTCATTTACTTTTAAAGAAATTAACACTTAAAACTTCATTTTTCTCAAATGAAAATAAAAGGCTCTCATGATGTTGAAAGTGTTTCTGTGCTTTAAATATTAAAATGAGAATTACTTACATCAAATTCATATCTGAAGAGACTTTGAATAACACGTCTGAAAGGTTTTCATAAATGTTGTAAAATCATGAATCAGAGATGAGGTGCAGCAGGGGCCATTTGGGCAGGCGAAAGTACTGTAAGTTAAACTTTTTTTTTTTTTTTTTTTGAGACGGAGTCTCACTCTGTCACCCAGGATGTAGTGCAGTGGTGCAATCCTGGCTCCCTGCAACCTCTGCCTCCTAGGTTCAAGTGATTCTCCTGCCTCAGCCTCCTGAGTAGCTGGGATTGTAGGCACCTGCCACCACGCCTGACTAATTTTTGTATTTTTAGTGAAGATGGGGTTTTGCCGTGTTGGCCAGGCTGGCCTTGAACTCCTGACCTCAGGTGATCCACCCACCTTGTCCTCCCAAAGTGCTGGGATTACAGGCGTGAGCCACTGCAACCAGCCAACATTTTTCATGAATATATTAATGAACTAAACTGTAAAGTAAAACTTCCATGGTACACAGGTTGGTTTGGAACTCATCCCTGCTGCTTCTTTTTCCAGATGTTTCTTCAAAATAGTTATATCACTTGTACTTTCAGTTGGTCATTGAAAACTGCTACATTGTGCTGAATACAGGGAATATTCAGTGCTCATTTATAAATTTTCACTTAGAAAGTATCATTCATATTACATTAGATAAATTTCTAAATATTGAGAAAACTTGGCTGTTGAGATGTAATTCTTATCTATTTGTAAAATTGGATTCTTTCCCAGTATTTATTTCCTTATCTACAGGCATGGTCAACAACAACAAAACACAATCAGATTTTTTAAAATGAGCAAAGGACTTAAATAGACATTTATCCAAAGAAGATACACAAATGATCAATAGACACATGAAAAGATGTTCAATGTTGCTACTTATTAAGGTAATGCAAATCAAAATCACAGTGAAAGCAATCTGGTGATTCCTCAAAATATTCATATGATTCAGCAATTCCCCTTATGGTTACATACTCAAAAGAAGTGAAAGCTGGGACTCAAACAAACATTTCTATGCACATGTTTATAGCCAGATTATTCTCAATGAGCAAAAGGTCAAAACAATTCAATGGACAAAAGGTAGAAACAACCCAAGTGTCCACTGAGGAATGAATGGGTGAACAAAATGTGCTACATATAATACATAAAGGTGAACCAAATGTATTATTACACATAAATGCTATATATTATATATATATGTATATGTACACATATATACATGTATTTATATATAAATATGTGTGTATGTGTGTGTGTGTGTGTGTATATATATATACACACACACACACACACATACACACACACACACGTATTTTTTTCCCAAGACGGATCTTGCTGTGTTGCCCAGGCTGGAGTGCAATGACGCTATCTCAGCTCACTGCAACCTTCACCTCCCGGGTTCAAGTGATTCTCCTGTCTCAGCCTCCTAAGTACCTGGGATTACAGGCATGCACCACCATGCCCAGCTAATTTTTGTACTTTTAGTAGAGACGGGGTTTTACCATGTTGGCCAGGCTGGTCTCGAACTCCTGACCTCAGGTGATCCTCCCATCTCGGCCTCCCAAAGTGCTGGGATTACAGGTGTGAGCCACCATGCCCGGCCAACATATGTGATTCAGCCTTAAAAACGAAGACAAATTCTGACACACGTGATAACATGGATGAACGTTGATGACATGCCAAGTGAAATAAACCTGTTAGAAAAGGACAAACAGTGCATGATTCCACTTGTGTGAGGTTCCTTGAATAGTCAAAATCATAGAAACAGATAGAATGGTGGTTGCCAGAAGCTGGGAGAAGAAATACGTGGGCTTAGTGTTTGATGGGTACAGAGTTTCAATTGGGGAAAATGAAAAAGTTCTAGAGGCGGATAGCAGTAATGGTTGTACAACGATGTGCCTGTACACAATGTCACAGAACTGTACATTTGAACATTAAAATGGGAAATTTAATTTTATGTATATTTTAACACTGCACATATACAGAGACATGGACTCTGTATGACTTTAATTTACAGTATAATTTCACCCCCTCCAAAACCACAATATTTTTGGTTTTATTCTAATAATCAGTAAAACTATTCAGCAGGCAAATATATTTATTTTTTCCATGAAGAAAACTACATAGAAGTATAATATGGGAATAATTGTCCTACAAAGTCCCAAAAAGAGGCCATTCGATTGTCCTCTCCTGAAAAGGATTTAAATGAGCGTTAGCATCTTTATAAACCAAAGCAATTAGTATCGGTGCGGTTTTGTCCTTTCCTCAATATGTGATTAAAGCTAGATTTATATTCTTTCAGCTGGCCACATTTCTTAGTCAAATGAAATTTTTCATGTAAATGATTCTCCAACTTGAATTGGACCCACTCAGAAAAAAATTCTTGTCAGAAATGCAAATTGAACAGCGTCTTAAACAGAAGCACTATCTTGGGAAAAAAAACTCAGAATGTATATTGAAATCTAAATGGCCGCCTCTTTTTACAGATAAGCTCATTCAAATGTCATTCAAATGTCTTTCAAAAACTGTTGCTTTATCTGTGAAAAAAAATACCTGTGCTAGCTGGTTAGCACTGGAGTTTTCCTAATGTTTTGCTCTGTCAATATTTCCTTATCAACAAATGAACTCATGCGATGGTAGATGCAGAATTGAAATACTGCAGTGATTATGCGTTAACATCTAGTATAGTTTTATTTTTCTAATTTTAGCTTCAGTAAAGTAACGACACATCTAATTTTTTTAATATTTGACTCAAAATAAAAGGATCTGAGTTCAGGAATTATTGTCCAAAAAAAAAGATTGTCCTAAAACTAACATGACATAATGGGAACAGCAGTGGCCAGGAAGTAGAGACCTATAGATTCTTTTTGCCATAAATGAGCTTTGTGGTCTTGAGACTGGCACCCTAATATCTCACGACGGCAGTGAAACTTGTTAAATAAGAAGAAATTGAATGGAAGAGTGTAAATTTAATAGCAAGGTTTTCTGGTTTTGGCACTTATTATAACACCTTTTAAATATAAGAACTTGGAGGAAGAATCTTAAAGTCTCTCAGCCATTTTATATAATTAGGCAAAGATACACAGTTGAAATAGACAAATCTGACCCATTTTTTTCACAGGTCAAGACGTTATACACTATTTCTACATCAAATGTTCTAGACAGAACACCCGTTAGGAACAAGCAGGGAGAAACTATTTCTAGGCATTTTAAAGGTCCTGGTTTAATCTGTGGAATAAGATAAAGGCCCTAGTTGCGCAGTCCAGGAGATGGCCCTAGCCTTGCCAGGGAAACCTTGCAGGTCAGCACTAACATTCCCTGAGATGTAATCAGGGCTGGGAATAAGAAATCGCCCTAGTGCCTTACCCAGTTAAATATTACCTGAAGCCCAAGGTTGGAGTTACTGTTACAATAAACAAGCAAAGAAATAGATAAAGCCGGAGAAAGCGAAAGAAAACAAGTTTAAAGGGATGCGATGATATTTTTTCCTCAGAGAGTTTATTCCCATAAAACCTACATTTCCAGGTATGACAAAGTAAATTAAACAGTGAAAAAAATAAAAAAAAAGGTCTTTCTCTAAAACTTTGTGGCAAAGCTATAAAACAACTTTAGGCTTAAGATTTCTTGCAGCTAAACCTGATGAGAGAGAGACATCGGTCAAGGTGAACACACTTGTTCTGTCTCCACTGGGAATCTGAGTGAGATAGTCAACTCATCAGGATAAAAATCAGCAACCAGCAATAGGATGAGATGATTTTATAAAAAGCTTAGTTCGTTAAGGAAAGCAAACACATTTCTTGCTGTTATTTTCTTCTTGTTTTAAATTATTATACTTTAAGTTCTGGGGTACGTGTGCAGAACGTGCAGGTTTGTTACATAGGTATACGCGTGCCATGGTAATTTGCTGCAACCATCAACCCGCCACCTACATTACGTATTTCTCCTAGTGCTATCCCTCCCCTTGCCCCCAACCCCCAGACAGGCCCCAGTGTGTGATGTTCCCCTCCCTGTGCCCATATGTTCTCATTGTTCAACTCCCACTTATGAGTGAGAACACGCGGTGTTTGGTTTTCTGTTCCTATATCAGTTTGCTGAAAATGATGGTTTCCAGCTTCGACTATGTCCCTGCAAAGGACATGAACTCATTCTTTTCTATGGCTGCATAGTATTCCATGGTATATATGTGCCACATTTTCTTTATCCAGTCTATCATTGATGGGCCTTTGGGTTTGCTCCCAGTCTTTGCTATTGTAAATAGTGCTGCAATAAACATATGTGTGCATGTGTCTTTATAGTAGAATGATTTATAATCCTTTGGGTATATACCTAGTAATGGGATTGCTTGGTCAAATGGTATTTCTGGTTCTGGATCTTGAGGAATCACCACACTGTCTTCCACAATGGTTGAACTAGTTTACAGTCCCACCAACAGTGTAAAAGTGTGCCTATTTCTCCACATCCTCTCCAGCGTCTGTTGTTTCCTGACTTTTTGATGATTGCCATTCTAACTGGCGTGAGATGTTATGTCATTTTGGTTTTGATTTGCATTTCTCAAATGACCAATGATGATGAGCTTTTTTCATGTTTGTTGGCCACATAAATGTCTTCTTTTGAAAAATGTCTGCTTAGATCCTTCACCTAATTTTTGATGGGGTTGTTTGTTTTTTTCTTGTAAATTTGTTTAAGTTCCTTGTAGATTCTGGATGTTAGTCCTTTGTCAGATGGATACATTGCAAAAATTTTCTCCCATTCTGTAAGTGGCCTGGTCACTCTGATGCTAGTTTCTTTTGCTGTGCAGAAGCTCTTTACTTCAATTAGATCCCATTTGTCAGTTTTGGCTTTTGTTGCCATTGCTTTTGGTGTTTTAGTCATGAAGTCTTTGCCCATGCCTATGTCCTGAATGGTATTGCCTAGGTTTTCTTCTAGGGTTTTTATGGTTTTAGGTCTCACGTTTAAGTCTTTAATCCATCTTCAGTTAATCTTTGTATAAGGTGCAAGGAAGGGATCCAGTTTCAGTTTTCTGTATATGGCTAACCCGTTTTCCCAATAGTATTTATTAAATAGGGAATCCTATCCCCATTGCTTGTGCAAAATTACCAGCCAGCATCATAATGACAGGATCAAATTCATACATAACACTATTAACCTTAAATGCCTCAGTTAAAATATACAGACTGACAAATTGGATAAAGAGTCAAGACCCATTGGTGTGCTGAATTCAGGAGACCCATCTCACGTGCAAAGACACATGGAGAAATATTTACCAAGCAAATGGAGAGCAAAAACATAACAAAAAAAGAGAGCAGTTGCAATCCTAGTCTTTGATAAAACAGGCTTTAAACCAACAAAGATCAAAAGAGACAAGGAAGACCATTACATAATGGTAAAGGGATCAATGCAAGAAGAAGAGCTAACTATCCTAAATATAGATGCACCCATTACAGGAGCACCCAGATTCATCAAGCAAGTTCTTAGAAACCTACAAAGAGAGTTAGACTCCCACACAATAATAGTGGGAGACTTTGATACCCACTGTCAATATTAGATCAATTTGCTGTTATTGTCTATCTTTGCTACCACTGGGCAATTTTCTTTTTTTCAGAAATAGAAATTAGAAAGCAGTAACTCTTTCCACAGAGATTATGCTCAGTTCTAGGTCATGTGTCTTTTGACCCTTTTGCCTAACATAAGAAGTCTGTTTTAATGCACTGGAGATCAAGTTTTCACAAAACAACATTGTGATTTCACAAATGCTTTACTAGAAAGCTAAAAATGAAGCAGTGTGATGGTATTTTATTTTAGATCAATTCATGCAAGCATAACCTTACATGGTAGACTAAAGCTTCATGAAGTCTAGTTTGATTTCTATAACCTGGATATTTAGAGCTGCTGATTTATGAAGACTAGTTAGAAACCTGAATTTTAGTTATTTTCCCCTCAGGCATTTTGTGATGTACTTGTTTCATGCAGTTGACGTTCCTTGCTTTGAGAAGCACAGAAATAAATACCAATCAGTCAAACAGATAACCCTGGAAAAATGATATAGATATTTCTCACACAGAGAACAGTGGCAATTGGGTTTCTGCCCATTACTGTGTCACAGGTTTTCTGAAATGACTTCCTATGCTGCTCTCCCACCAATGACATTTATAATGGTCTCTATTCTTTCTGAAGGAAGACGCCTGGAGGATGTGAGTCCTTTGATTCGAAGAAGCTCACAGTACTCTGTAAGATTCTAATTATAAATACAAAACATTAAAATGTTTTGCCCATTATTTTCCACTATTTTCACTCCTGTTTATTGAAAACTAATGAGATAATGCGTTTTCAAAGCACACTTAAATTATTGAACTTTAAAATACAGTAACCAAATTATCATACTCCTAAAGCAATTTTCAATCTTTTTAAAGTATAAAATAGTACCTGAAAAGAGCATAACACTTTTTTAAATTTAATTTTTATTTATAATTAGCACACGGTATTGTACATATTCATAGGGTACAATATGATGGTTCAATGCATGTATAGATAGTGTAATGGAATCCAGCCATTCTATTACTGGGTATATCCAAAGGAAATGAAATTGGTAGGTCTAGCAGACATCTGCACACCCATGTTTATTGCAGCACAATTCACAATAACCCATATATTGTATAAACCTAAATGCCCATCTAATGATGAATGGATTAAGAAAATGTCATACATATACACAATGAAATACGATTCATCTACAAAATAGATTGAAATCCTGTCATTTGCAGCAACATGGGTAAATCTGGAGGACACGAAATAAGCCAGGCACAAAAAGACAAACACTGTATCATCTCACTCATATGTTGAATATAACCTGTTACTTCTTAGGCAATAAATAAATGGAGATTTTTTTTTTTTACTTACAGCTTTGATAGAGCATCAATGTTGAGCCATTGAAAAATCTGATGGAGCAGAAAGTTTAATACTAAATCTAACCTCTGGCAGATATTTAGGACAAAACACCCAGGGTTCTCGAGCTACTTTGGTCTCATAGTGGAATTATAGAGATTATTCTACGTTCTTGAAAAAGGGATTTCAGATGTCATTTTTCCTTTCTTTGTCTGACATAGAAAGTTATAAGCCAGGTATGGTGGCTCATGCCTGTAATCCCAGCACTTTGGGAGGCAGAGGTCGGCGGATCACGAGGTCAAGAGATTGAGGCTATCCTGGCCAACACGGTGAAACTCCGTCTCCACTAAAAATACAAAAATTAGCTGGGCGTGGTGGCTAGTGCCTGTAGTCCCAGCTACTCAGGAGGCTGAGACAGGAGAATCTCTTGAACCTGGGAGGCAGAGGTTGTAGTGAGCTGAGGTCAGGCCATTGCACTCCGACCTGGTGACAGAGAGAGACTCCATCTAAAAAAAAGAAAGGAAGAAAGAAAGAAAGAAAATTATATAGGTGGCTAAACTGTCTCATCCTGCTCAACTTATTGATTAAATCCTCCTCATCCTGATTTTATACTTCAGCTGTCAGTCAAGTTGGGAATCACATGGTTATTCTTTCACTCTACCATGCTCATGATGACTATGTGA
Source organism: Homo sapiens (assembly GCF_000001405.40). Taxonomy (NCBI): domain Eukaryota; kingdom Metazoa; phylum Chordata; class Mammalia; order Primates; family Hominidae; genus Homo; species Homo sapiens. The sequence continues at coordinate 24,702,531 of NC_000021.9, forward strand.
TTACTGGGTCATTTTGTCAGGGAAATTACAATCAGTAAGGGACAAGGATTCATCTTAAATAAACTCTTACATTATTATTTCAGATATTGGTAATAAGCATTTTAAATCTGGTCATTTTGTGTTTGTGTGTGTACCATCCCCTAATATAATAGATTTCTATTCTAATTATATAGTTAGGTATAATTTTGACAGTGTTCACCATAAAAATATATTTTTAGGTATTTTTAACTAAAATATTTATATGAATACTGTTACAGCTGGAGGAATCAGGGATAAATCACTTAAATTCTACAAGAAATATATAGGCTTAAAGAATAGAAAGTGGGGATAATGAAGACTACTTCGTGGCTCCTTCCAACTCCAAACAAATATTTATAAATACATTATCATAATATATTATAAACATCATATATGACATTATAAATAAAATGCACATTAAATAAACATATATATACAGTATACAATACATAATAAAACACAAAATTATGTGTGTCATATATATTTATAATTCTTGATAGGACTGTGAATTTTGAGGAGCTAAATTAGTGAGTTGAGGATTGTAGGCTATGAAAGGACCCACTCTACGCAGAATAACAAAACATACATTTGAGAGGCCTTGAAAATGTTTAATTTTTATGGAATGATATTATAGTGGATTGCTCAGACTCAGAAACTGATGTGATGGGAACTTGCCCAATTATATCTAAAAAGGATAAAGAAAATTAAAGGACAAGTGTAAGACCTCTAGAAGAGATATTTTATAGTCTTCTTATGGCAGAAGTGGTATTAAATGCCAAAGAATGACTGATCTTTTGAAACTTTTGTCATTTTTTACAATTATCACTTTTAAATAAAAATTTTATAACAAAACATTTTGAACTTGACTTTGAGGAAGACAAAGTTTGTCAAAAGGCCATATATTTTGCAATTTATTTTCAATCCATGACATAAAAACATAAAACAACTACTGTGATATTAAGTAAATTTAAGGAGAATCTTGGTGATTGTAGGTGAATATGATTCAAAATATTTAAGCCACATGTCTTCAAAAGATTATAAAATAAAAGATTTAATAAATTAATAAAGTATTAAGTAAATCAAATTCAAACAAGAACATGATTTCAGTTTTTTTCTGTAATAAGACAAATTAGAATTGATTAGTGTATTTTGTTGGATGTTTATTTAGCAGGTATCAGAGTATTGGAGGAGAACTAATATCACCCAGTCCCCAAATAAATATTTTTCTATACTAAGTGTGAGATTAGCTTATCTCTCTGTTACTAATGGAATAGATAACTAGAGGTTCCTATTTCATCAAGCATGTGTAAGAAAGAGAAATCAGAAAAATAAATTCTCCAATGTTTTTATTACTGAAGTAAAACAAGTTTATATTTAACAACAGCATAATCACAGCAGAAACTATGCCAAATGCATTTTACTTTGGACACATTGTAATTTTCTATATCCTCACTGGATGAAATCATACTCATCGTTGCTTTTTTGAAACCCCATATGTTGAACTTGCATATGATGATTCAATATTGAACACACATTTCTTCATAATATATAAATATGATTTCAATATTTTGAAGAAAACACATTTTTTTATTATTTGCATTTGTCCAATGAGCTGGATACTTGGCATTTGACAAATGTGAAAACTCTATTAAGAAAAGGTAGTAAGCGTGTGTGCCAACAACACACAAAATTATTTATTTAGAACTGAATATATGTTAGTCACTGTACCAAATACTTTATGGTTTCTCATTAATCTTCAGGCAATTACATGGTGTACTGCAAAACCCATTCTGCTCAACTAGCACTAACAAACTTGAATTCAGATTAACTATGAGACTAAGCACATCAACACAATAGGCTTATCCCACCACCATATTTGCTTAGACTCATGAGAGATATAGGTCAGTCAAGAACACAGCAGAGTAAGAGCTCAGGATTTACGAATCCAGTTTCAGATTCCCCAGTCACTCCTAATTTGGGATCTGTGTGATCACCAGAAAATTGTGCACGTGTACCCTAAAACTTAAAGTATAATAATAAAAAAAAAAGTAGCCAGAATGGGCATGGGTGAAATAGAGTAGTCATCCTTTCTAAGACTTTGCTGCTTTCAAAAATACCTAATCACTTAGTTCTCCCACTGGTACCAGGCCAGTTCTTATTTTCTAGGGCAGGTGCAGCTCAACAATAGAATCTTGCAATGAAGTGCTGGTATTTGATCCTAAACATAGTAGCATAAGCTGGATTCTTATTTATTTTGGGTCAGATATGATGATGTTCTTATAGAATACATTCTGTAAATAAAAATATAATAATATGCAATGCAGATGTTACAGAAATATTAAAGCAGTGTTTAGCTTACCAAATATCAGTAAATATCATTTTGTCAACCATGACAAGAAAAACAGCCTTTTCCAGGTACCCTAAAGGAAGATAGCAAGTATATATTGCAGTCCTTCCAATGCAAAAGGAAATTAAGTTTCTTCCTCCAAACATAGGAATGGGAATAGAAAGCATGAATCAAGTTGTTTTAATCACCTCGTATTGGAACTGTTGCGGAGTGGGGCTCCTACCCTGGGGTTTTGGTGAGAGCAGAACACATGACCACATAACTCTGGACAGGTAGGTTGACAGCAGTTTATTAGGCACTAATAACTCACAGCCTTCTGGAGGAGGATGCCACATGCATGCAGGGCCACAGAGGACTTGTGCCCAGGAATAGAATAACAACCAGGGGTTGTGAGAGGCAGGCTTTGTAGAATCAAGAGACTGAGATTTCCTCTGGTTTCTGCAGGAGAATGTGAAGAGCTTGCTTTAGTGACACTGTGGGCTGACAGGGAGCCAAAAACTGCTACTTGGCAATAAGCTGGAACTGTGCCTGATTGCCCTGGTGAGGAGAGTCGTTTGGCTAGAAGACCTTATCCATGGAAGCAGAGTGGAGAGGGAAACTTGTGGTTAAGCTATCCTAGGCCCTTCCAATTTTACCAGATGTCAACACAGCACATGTATTGAGCTTTCCTTTTAGGCCATACGTCACACAAGTTTATGATGGCACATCTGTCCCATAATCCCACTGGACATCATGAACAGCTCTCACCATAAGTGGCACAACAGAGGCTATTGGTGGAACCAGATTATTCAAGTCATAATAATCAAGTTAGCATCCAGGATCCATCTGCTTTTCTCGTAAGCGAAGCATGGTTGCTGGCAATTAATTTTCCTCATTGAATCATTAGTTTTATTAATAATGTTTGATATTTGTAATGGAAGAGATTTTGGGGTATTCTATAGCTTTCTATTACACATGATCAATTAAAATTGGCAAAAGACATAAGTATTCACTGTCTAACCATAGGTCAGCTATAGCAAAATCCTCTATTCTGATATCTATTTCAATTATGAATCTATGTACAGATATTTTTCTGATTTTCTAAATTTTCCTTTCATCGTAGCTATTACTTTCTACCACACAATTACCACACCTTGCATTTTGACTTTCAGCCCTCTATTAGTACTTCATGTCCTTCTACAGACATTGCAGGTCATCATGCCCCAGTTTCTGATTCTCCCATCAGGCTGTATTACCTTCCTTATACCATTCAGTTGCATTCGTTTTAGAAGCTTTGGCTCCTCTGCTGAAAATCAGCAATTATATTCTCCAACTTCTGCTTAAAATATATATATATTTATATATTTTAATTGTCAAATAAAAATTGTGTGTCTTTATGGTATACAGCATGATGTTTTGATATATGTATACATTGTGGAATGGTTAAATCCAACTTCTATTTTTAACATGATCTCCAGAAATTTTCAACAGAACTTTCCCTACAACTAACCAAGAATAATTTATTTAATATCCTTGCATCACAATTTTGTCCGAACTGCTCTCTCCAAGCTTTCTCTTATGCAAAATTGCCTTTGACATATTGGTATGAGGATGTGGCGGTCACTCCTGCTTCTAACACCCCTGTGCAATAGGCTCTTCACTCTACAAGCATCAGTGGTCTTTAGTTAAAACTGACAAACTAAACAAAACATGCTTCATCTAGTATCAATTTTTTTATTTATTTATCTTATGAAAGCATGTAGACTAGGAAGAAAAATGCGCTATCCATAACAACAGTGTATTGTAATTTCTGTAATTTTCAAACAAAGTTTCCAAATGTTCCCAAATTACTAAGGTTGGGACACACATCATCAAGAGGGAAACTGAGTGGGCTCCCAGAGATCAACACAGAGAACTCAAGAGACATTTTGGTTTTTGAACCTCACTAGTTATGAAGTCTTTCAGGAATACTGACTATCTCCTATTTTCTGATGCAGATGTATATTATTAATATGAGTGATATATCATCTGATTAATACAATTTGCAACAATGAGCACATGTTTATGGTAACCTAGACCAGATTCTTACTTATCTTAGATCCCTTAATTAAGAGTTGAAAGAAATGTGTTATCAAGGACCTAATTTTTAGGCATCGCTAAGAAGAAACATAAAAGTATCAGAAATATTTGTTAGTCACTTCCCTCCTATAATTTGTTTGGCAGTTTTTAATCTTATTTTTGTTGCTTAAGAATTTCCTAAAATAAAATTAAATATACATATATGTTTTCCCTGAATAATTCTGTCTGAAACTCAATAAAATCTTTCAATCTGCTATTCAAATCTATTATTCACCCAAAAACCAATCAGAAAACACATCTGGTACTTTTTTGTACTCATTGCCTCTTCCCATCTGACTTATTTTCTTTCTTGATCTTTCAATACTCACATATTAGATCTATAATACCACTTGTTTTCCAATTATTTCCTCTACACCATTGCCTCTTTTTGTATTTTTACTTCAAATTATTTCTTTTGTTTGGTTTTCATCTCTTTATTCAGATCTCAACACTGGCCATTTCCTTAGTTCATCTACAAAAATCTCCTTCCATGATTTATTTATTTATTTATTTATTTTTAGAGCTGGAGCCTTGCTCTGTTGCCCAGGCTGGGGTATAATAGTGTGATCTCGGCTCACTGCAACCTCCACTTCTGGGGTTCAAGCAATTCTCCCGCCTCAGCTTCCCAAGTAGCTAGGACTGCAGGCGCACACCACCACATCTGGCTAATTTTTGTACTTTTAGTAGAGATGGGGTTTTAACCATGTTGGCCAGGCTGGTCTCAAGCTCCTGACCTCGTGATCCACCCACCTCAGCCTCCCAAAGTGCTGGGAGTACAGCTGTGAGCCACTGCACCTGGCCTTCCTTTCATGATTTATTAACCTACCCTTGATGAAATTGATCTGTTACTTCAAGGAAAGCTCAAATAGTCAGCATCTGCCTGTAATTGTGAGAGACCTAATTCTGAAGTCTGTAATTCAGGATCTTTCCAGAGCCTCCCGTAGAGCTTGTTGCTACATCTCCCCAGGTTCCCCTCTGGCCCAGAGAAGATAGTTTCTGCACTGATCTTCTTTTTCAAAGCTTTTCCTTATCACTAAACTCAATGAAACAGTCATCTGGCTTCAGAGACTTCCTCTGTTTCATGCAGAAAAGTGATTATTAAGTGATGTGTGCCTTAAAGAGAATTTTATATCTCTCCTTTTATTTACAAAGTATAAGAACAGTGATAGATGTTGTTTGTTATTGTTGCCTTTTTGTAATTTACATCCTTGGGCCTTTTATTTTCTCTCCTTAAACATCATGTATTTACATCAAGTAAAACCAGGCACCAACCTTGAGACAGTATTGTAACATAATATTTAATATTTAATTTAGGGAATATGAAAAGAATCTCCACCAAAATCTCAGTCACTAGTTGACCTAATGGACACAATTATCTTAAGAAGCTAACTTGATCAATTATTTAACCATAGCACTCTTTTTATAGATAGCTGAGGTATGGCATTTTAATAATTAATCAGGAAGGATACATATAATTTAATATCTATTTTGGAAAAAGCTTTCATATGGGTCTAAAGATCATTAAGCAATAAAATTTAAGTTGAGTTGGTACAACATAAATACATATACATGCTTCAAAGAAGATGGGTGAATTTTTACAGTACAGTGAAAAGAGGAACTGGATTAAGGAATAGTTAATATGTTTTTCTGCTAAAGAAAGTTATTTGGTTCCTATACCCAGAATACCCCATATCTTTATCTTTCATGAAGGCATTTCATCTCTTACTGACAAATCCCAAAGCAACATGTTACGTTCCCATCAAATTAAAGCGAAGACCAGAGCTTCATTGACTCAAGAGAGAATCTGTACCTGATCAATGAACTGTCATTTGTATCTTCTAGAGCATATTAAAAGAAAATAAGGATTCCAACGTGTGACATTTCATAGATTTGTGCTTTTTGTTATAATGTATGTAGATTTTATGAGTTGTATGTACATTGTTTAACATATGCTTTGGAACATTGCATTAATTCTGAAATTTAAAATCAGAAGACATGGCAATGGATAAAACATTTATATGCCTTTATATCATGAAGATACAGTTCCAGCTTTGTAATTTGGGTGACAAATGAGTAATAACTTTTTAAGTCAGTAAAAATATTTCATCTCTTTAGTCGGTGTCTGTGAAATAGAGTGATAGAGAGAGAGAGAGAGATACAGAGAGAAAGAGAGAGAGAGAGACAGGGGCAGGGAGAGAGAGGGAGTGAGTCATGTGTTGCTATATAAGCTATATAACTTACTGTTTCATATATACCAGCTGGGTTTCTCATAACTACCAGTAGCTTCCATGGAAATTTCTTTTATAGGTTAGTGATATCAGACCACTGCAGTATAACAGTTTTCACTCCCAAATTATTACATGACACACTAGAATTTTCACTGGTAGATGTTATAATTTAAGTCAGTATTGATTGTTCTATCCTTTTAAAGATCAGTTTCTTTTTCAATTTTTATTACAGGTTCAGGCAGGACATGTGCAAATTTGTTACAAAAGTATATTGTGTGATGCTGAGGTTTAAAGGACAAATGAATCTATCTCCTAGGTAGTGAGCATAGGTAATTTTTTAGTTCTTTCTTCTCTCATTCTCTCCCCACTCTTGTATTCCCCAGTGTCTATTGTTCTCATCTTTATGTCCATGTATACTCAGTGTTTAGCTCTCACTTATAAATGAGAACATACAGTATTTGCTTTTCTGTTTCTGCATTAGTTTATTTAGGATAACAGAATCAAGCTGCTGCAAAAGCTGATTATATTCTTTTTTATGGCCGCATAGTATTCCACGATATATGAACTACTTTTTCTTTATCCAGTCCAGAGTTGATGGGCACCTGGGTTGATTCCATGTCTTTGCTATTGTGAATAGTGCTGTGATGAATCTACAGATGCATGTGTCTTGTTGGTAGAACAACTAATTTTCCTTTAGGGATATACTCAGTAATGGAATTGCTGGATGGAATGGTAGTTCGACTCTTTGTTCTATGAGAAGTCTCCAAAGTGCTCTGCACAATAGTTGGACTAATTTACATTTCTTCTGACAGTGTATGTGTTCTCCTTTCTCTGTAGCCTCACCAGCATCTGTTGTTTTTAAACTTTTTAACAAAGGCCATTATGACTGTTGTGAGATGGTATCTCATTGTGGTTTTGATTTGCATTTCTCTAATGATTAGTAATAATCATCTTTTTTATGTTTATTGGCAGCTTGCATGTCTTCTTTTCAGAAGTGTCTGTTCATGTTCTCTGCTCACTTTTTAATGGAGCTGTTTTTTGCTTGTTAAGTTCCAAAAAAACTGAGGAAGAGAGACCCCGCCTTAATTCATTCTATAAAGCTAGCATCATTGTGATACCAAAACCTGGCAGGGAGGCAATGAAAAAGAAAAACTTCAAGCCAATATCTCTGAACACAGATACAAAAATTCTTAACAAAATATTAGCAAACTGAATCTAGCAGCACATCAAAAGTTAATTCCCCACAATCAAGTAGGCTTTATCCCTGGGATGCAAGGTTGGTTTCCACATATACAAACCAATAAATGTAATTCACCACATAAGCATAATTAAAAACAAAAAAATGATCATCTCAATAGATGCAGAAAAAGCTTTTGATAAAACTGAATATTCTGTTATATTAAAAACTTCAACAAACTAGGCATCAAAGGAACATACCTCAAAATAATAAAATCTATTTATGACAGACTCACAGCCAACATCATACTCAATGGGCAAAAGCTGGAAGCATTCGTCTTGAGAACTGGAACAAAACAAGGCTGCCTACCATCACCAATCCTATTCGGTGTAGTACTGGAAGTCCTAGCCAGAGCAATTGGGCAAGACAAAGAAAGAAAAGGCGTCCAGATAAGAAAAGAAATAGTCAAACTATGTGTCTTCACTGACAATATTATTCTATAACTAGACAACCCTAAAGATTCTACCCAAATGTTCCTAGACTGATAAGCAACTTTAGTAAAGTTTTAGGATACAAAATCAATGTACAAAATCAGTAGCATTTCTATATACCAGTAACGTTCAAGTTGAGAGCCAAATCAAGAACGCAGTTCCATTTACAGTAGCCAAAAAAGAATAAAATACTTAGGAATCTAGCTAACCAAGGAACTGAAAGATTTCTTCAGAGAGAAATACAAAACAGTGCTAAAAGGAATGAGAGATGATACAAGCAAAAGGGAAGACATTCCATGCTTGGGGATAGGAAGAATCAAAATTGTTAAAATGGCCATACTGACCAAAGCAATTACAGATTCAGTGCTATTTCTAGCAAACTACCAACAAACTTTCCACAGATTTAGAAAAACTATTCTAAAATTCATATGAAACCTAAAAAGATTCCCAATAGCCCAAAGAGTCTTCAGCAAAAAGAACAAAGCCGGAGGCGTCACACTGTCTTTCTTCAAACTATACTGCAAGGCTGCTGTAACCAAAAGAGCATGATACAGGTAAAAAATAGACACATAGACCAATGGAACAGAACAGAGAACACAGAAATAAGGCCACTCACCTACAACCATTTGATCTTCGACAAGTCAACAAAATAAGCAGTAGAAAAAGGACTCTCTAGTCAACAAATGGTGCTGGGATAACTGGCTAGCTGTATGTGAAAGAATGAAACTGGACCATTACCTATCATTATATATGAAAATTAACTCAGGATAAATTAGTCACTTAAATGGTAGAACTCAAACTATAAAAATCCTAGAAGAAAACCTAAGAAATACCCTCCCTGATATCAGCCTTGGCAAATAATTTATGGCTAAGTCATCAAAAGCAAGTGCAACAAAAACAAAAATTGACAAACAGAACCTAATTAAACTAGAGGACTTTTGTCTAGCAAGAGAAACTATCAACAGAGTAAACAGATAACCTACAGAAAGGAAGAAAATATTCTCAAACTACACCTCCAATAAATGCTTAATTTTAAGGAAGGAAACATCCTAATATACATATCTTAGTTTTCAAATTTCTATTTTATTTAAATATGTTGTATTAGCTCTGCAATAAAATTACAAATAGTATTTCATCCTCTATTTTATCTGAAATCTCACATTTACAACCAACCTCAAAGGCCCTGTTAAAATGTATCCTTTTAATTTATTTTCTTTTATTCCCATTGGATCTGCTGTGAAACACTATGCCTAAAACTATTTGGGAAGGGAAAAATGCAAGTAACAACTAACAAATATATAGAATCTTTATTTTTGTGGTTAGGAAATTTTATTGCCAACTTAATGTTCATGATTCTTGTTTTATTGTCTGTTAACACACAGAAAGAGTCTTTAAAATGAGAATTTCTATTTTCATTGAAAATCAGTATTAACTGTACTTTGTACCATATCGTGGCAGTCTGTATTCAACTTACGAATGCTCTGCCTCCTGAGTGTGAGAGATAACAGGAATCCTACTGAGCTCATTATACTACTGGCCAGAGTGATTTGCTTATGGCCAAAGCAGATAGATAAAGATATGCAATGCAAAGAATTGTCAGAAAGTCACACAATTAAATAGACTATTGTCATAATGTTATATATTACCAATGATTTTTGTTATAAATGTAATAATTACTTATTAAAACTATACTGATATACCTGTACACATATTTTTAAGTAATGAAAGCTTTACTCTCCCCACCACACAGACTTAAGAAAGAATTACTGTTAAAAGTTTGTTGAATATTTGTACAAACTTTATTTAACTAGTCACCAAGAGAACTAGAGACATAGACATAGAATGACTAGGTAGTTTTAAGACATATACACAGCACACATTTAGGGTATGAATAAATCAACACTTCGGCCCATAACATGGACCAATTGGGGACAATTTTAGGCCATTGTTGCAAACACACACAAAAATGAATCCCAGATAAATTAACAATTCTAAAGCAGTAACCATAATAATACAATAAAAAGTCAATAGCAGCTAACGTTTGTTTTCTTCTAGATAGTATTTTATTGTATATGTATTAACTCATTTAATACAAACCCACTATGTTTTAAGTGCGATTATCTTGGTGCCATATTTAGTTGAGAAAACTAGGACATGTTAAGTAACTCGTCCAAGTTCATACAGCTTATAGAGGGTGAAAGCTGATTTAAGAATGATGACACCATAGAAAATTTGGTTCCCCCAGTTTTTGGCCCAAGGAAGAGCTTCTGTGATGTCTTGCATTTCCCTTTTTGCAACATTCACAACACTTACAGATATTTTACTATATCAGGTCAGCACCTGTTGTACAGATGGTCCAAACTCTGACACTCAGAACAATTTCTAACTTATTTTTGATCCCTAATAGTGAGTGACTGATTTTCTTAGTCCCCCCCAAAATTGGCTTTCTAAATTGCCAATCGAAATTTCAGCAGTATCTGTTGGGCTGTTTATGATTATTCTTATTTTTTACTTTAAATAATGTCTTCTTTTTCTCTCATTTTTTTTCATAGCAATATGATTTTTCTTCACATATGAATCAGGCTTAGGAATCTTACTAATAAAATATTTACTTCATGTTAAAACTACTTTCCTTTCTTAAAATCATTATTGTTCATTTTGATCCTTTTGGCTCTAATAACTTAAAAGTGTTCCCATCACATTTTTCGGTATGTGAGCAAATGTTAAATGACATAGTGGGGTCGGTATTTGCAGCCTGTGGACTACACCTGTGTATTGTGAAGTCCACTGAATGGACTTCTGGAAGATTCCAAATCCTGCCTCACCATCCCTTAGCATAAACTTAGTGAGGTGGGGAGCTCTGGTGATCCGAGGGAAGTCTTCATCCTTTAAGGAGCCGGCAGTTGGGAATGGAGATCATGTCGACTTCTTTTGCTTCCATAACAAAGCTAAAAGATTTGGGGCATGAGGGTGCATCCAATGTGGCATGTATTGCCAACTTCATAAATGCTGATTATTTCCCAACAGCATCCCAAGAGTTGATGTTCCAGTCATGTCATCTGGGGAGAGAACTCTGATGAAATTCCGGAAGTCCGTTGTGCTGTGCGTTCTCTTGTCCCTAATTCATCTCTTCATCAGCCTCTGCCAGTGAGATCTCTGGATAACTGTGCCTTAGAGCTACGGTTGCCTGTGGGAAACAGAAAAGGGTTATCATTAAAGGAGCATCTGTTAGAGGGGTGTTCTTGTTCTGTTTTTGTTTTCTCAGCTTCTCTATTTGGTGTCCATTCATCACAAGGCAAATTATATTAACTATGTGTTCTTATTTTCTGTATTCTTTATGATCTGGCATTTGGGAACATCAGACCCACTATAGACGCAGGGAGAGACTGCCCCTTCCAGGGTTAGCTAATTGTTAAATACAGCAACTTGTGTAAAAGCATGCCTTTCATATGCAAGCCAACCACTCTCTTTATCTCACCCTCACACACCAAGCCAATATTCTTCTGCTCTAAATCATCCCAAGCCTAGGTATCAGACAACTAGGGACAGCCTCTATCCCCCGAAGCCCACCAGAATTACTGAATCTAACCAATCCTAACCCATGCACCTTGTCCTGTCCTGCCTTTTCCACAGGAATCCCAATACAGACTCCGACTAAGGCTTCCCTTTTACTCTTATCTTCTGTCTCTGGACCATCTTGTGTCCCTGTGAGGTCTGACATGTACCCTTCGTTTGTGAAATGTAAGCAATAAGTTCTTCTCTTAATGGAATTCGCCTCTTCATGTTGTCACTCAGTCATACTTCTATAAATTAAAACCTGGGTATAATTTTAGAACGGTTATATCTTGTGGCTTCCTCAAAACACTCTGGGGGATATATTTGTTTGTTTCTAGCAACATAATACAGTCCTTGGCATTCTCTTAATTTGGAATATTCAACATTGTGTTGTGGTTAATATTGCATCACATTTTCCTGATATGATTGGGGCTGGACTGGCTTTTCCTAAAACTTGTTATCTAATAAAGACTGCTGTTTTGGAGGAGAGTTTATATACACTAAGTTTGTAACTAATTCAAATACAATATGTCTGATGTCAAATTTTGTGCAGAAAACTACTTCCTTAGGGTGTCCCTGCCTGTCTCCAGGGTTGCAGCATATGTGAGTTCCACATCTGGACATTCTTATACTGTCTTCTTGGAAGGAAACCCAGCCTCCCAGCCACTTCTCTCTTAACTGATCTCTCTCACTTCTCCCAATAAGTTAGTCTGGGCTTATCACCTCAATAGCCATCCCTGATGTGGAGAGCCTGGGCAGCAACTGCAAATATAACAATTACCAGACCTGACAGCAGTTAGCACGATAAAGTACAAGTAGAGACTGGTACTAAACTGATGAAGGAGAAGCAAGATCAGGAGGAGACTTGTATGGGCCTGTGGTTCTCCAGGAAATATAGCTGGATTTAGTTAGTTTCAGGATGAAAGGAAACTGGTAGTCAAGGTGAGGAAAAAATTTAGGCTAAGATTAGAAATTTGAGCAAATCGGTGTTTAAGTTAATATTTTTAAATGAGTCTCATAACTTTGAGTTCCCTAATCCCTAGGATCGCAAAAATTTTTTGAAAGCATTAAATAGAATGGCTTGGGCTGGGCACGGGGGCTCACTGCTCTTTGGGAGCTCACAGCACTTTGGGAGGCCAAAGTGGGTGGATCTCTTGAGTCCAGGAGTTCTAGACCAGCCTGGGTAGCATGTTGAAACCATGTCTCTAAAAAAAATACCAAAAGTAGCTGAGTGTGGTGGCCTGTGCTTATAGTCCCAGCTACCAGGAAAACTGAGGTGGGAGGATCACCTGAGCCTGGGGTTGTAGAGATTACAGTGACCACTGATGGTGCCACTGCACTCCTGCCTGGGTAAGAGACTGAGACCCTGTCAAAAAAAAAAAAAAAAAAAGAAAGAAAGAAAGAAAAAAAAGAGAGAGAGAGAAAGAGAGAGAGAGAGAGACAGAATAGCTTGGACTGTATTTTTAAATGTTAAGAAAGCACATTTTCCCTGTTTTATTGTCTCTGAAATTTATCATCATTGAAGTGCCTACTGAGACTGCTAAATGCATATTTGATTGAGCAGCATTGAATTTAAAAATCAGGAAAAATCTCCCTTCACTAAGGAATATTTTGTTGTCTGAGCAAAGTCCATTTTGGTGTATCATTCTAATTTATTTTTTACCAAGTTTATTTTTGTTTCCTTTTGGTGTTAATTATGCTTCTGATCCATCCCTTTTATTTACATTTATATTTAAAATCAATGTTGTATATCATTTTAAATTGCATGTTTTACAACATCTGGTTTAATTACGCTTTCTCTCTTATTGCCATCTTTGCTGCAGCTGTTTCTCTCATTCACTGCTTGCTACCAGAAGTTTATTTTGCCTTATTTCTCAATTTCATTTTCATGATGTATGCAACATTTTTTTTTCACATTAGAGAAACTATTTTTTTCTGTATTTCATTTTTATAATAACAAATTAATCATGCCACAAGAAACACAGTGTTGACACAGACCCACAGGGAGAAACCAACGGTGTGTGAACTCCACACAGAGAATAGCTTTGCATGCTCGGTTGCAGAGCATGAATTTGGCTGAGTTTCTTGCTTGCATGACATCTCCAGAGGCAGGACTCAGGGAGCAGAAGGTTTAAAACTGTGAGCACAAGAGATAGTGAAAATCTTTCTCATCTAACACTTCCCAGAATCCCTAAAGGAGACCCATAATAACAGTGAGTAATACTTTTGAAACAGATAGACATAGAAGTTTCCATCTTTAGAGGAATAAATTTTTATTTTGCTGAGTTGGCAATCTAATGCTTAAGAAGAAGCAAAGAAGTCAAGGAGCAGGATATTATCTATTCCAGCTCCAATAAGATATAGTGTTTAAATCTTAATACAAAGTTCAGTTTTAAACCTATGAAAACTAATATGATTTTGAGATATACATAGATCACATGAGCTACCGCTACACTGATACATCTAAAATTAAAATGTCATTAATTAAATAAGACACTGAGCAATACTTCCATATTTTTAACTGTATGTGAGAAACCTATACAATAGAAGAACATTCATAAAATTGAAGCAATTGATTCTCAATGTCATTAGAACAGTTTAAAAGCAGTTTCATATATATTAAACCACCAGATATCCATAACACTAAATAATTACTAACATACCCACTAAGTAAATGAGAAAGCTGAAATTCACAAAATATAATAGACCTGCTTCAGTTACAAATATATTAAAGAACAGAAGTGGGACTGGAATTTGAGTCTTTTAACTTCAATTTTAGGTTTCTTTTCTCCTATATACGTGTATAAAAACAAACAAACAAAAAACAGGCTGGGCGCAGTGACTCATGCCTGTAATCCCAGCACTTTGGGAGGCCAAGGCATGTGGATCACTTGAGGTCAGGAGTTCGAGACCAGCCTGACCAACGGGGTGAAATCCCTTCTCTACTAAAAACACAAAAATTAGCTGGGCACAGTGACACATGCCTGTAATCCCAGGTACTGGGGAGGCCAAGGCGGTAGAATTACTTGAACCTGGGAGGTGGAGGCCGCAGTGCACCGAGATCGCGCCATTGCACTCCAGCCTGGGTGAAGAAGTGAGACTCTGTCTCAAAACAAACAAACAAACAAACAACAAATTTCACCAGTCTAAGGTTCAGAAGATTGAAGTTCTAACTTCATTCACACTCTGCATTCACATCGTCATTCACAAGATGCTTCAAAAATGGAATGTTATTTTGCCTCTTTGCAATGTAGATCCAGAGATTTGGATGTAAAGTAAGGAATCTAGGGTTGCAAATATCTCAACTTCTCTCTCTCTCTCTGTCTCTCTCTATATATATCACACACGGTATTGAGTTAGGCATTAACATAAATAAGTTCTTCCAGTGTTTTCTTTTTAACAGTAATAGAAAATAATCTAACAATATTAATATGTTGCAAAAAACTCCACAGGGCCATGAGGACCATATACTTTTAATATTTGTGGCAAGACAACAAATATTATAATTCTGTGATAATCAAAACTTCAGAAATACATTTCACTTTACCTGCCATATAGATGAATAGATTAAACCATTTATTTTATTTCAGAAAATGGTAATTTCAAGAAGAGGGAAATATTTAAGTGGAGATAATGAAATGTTCAAACTGAAATGATATTTTATTCACTTATTTTATACCAACCCAGTAAGAGTTCAACCTTTAATAACAGCTATTGTAGGAACAGAGTTCTCAAATGCATTTTCAGTTGGGATTATTTTGGTTAAAGTAATTTTTTTATATTCGACACTTTGTTTTGTTGCCATGGCTTTGTGCTGCTAGAGTTTTAACATGGATTTCAATATGAGAACAAAGCCTAGAGAAATATGGTTTTAATTGTCAGCTTATAGATAAAAAGGATGTTGAAGAAAAATAAAACTACTCTCCTACTATATATATGTATATGTAGTATATATGTGTTTATATATATGTGTGTGTGTGTGTGTGTGTGTGTGTGTGTATTTGGATAGTTAGCGTATTAGAAACAATGCATCTATTTATTTTTACAAGTGTAGAAATCCAGTTAGAACAGCAAATCATTTCACTTTAGACAGTTTGAAATCCATTTTATCATTTATATAGAACCATATTTTGAGGTTTATGTTTATGAATTCTGAAGATAAATAATTCCTCTTATAAAAGTAAGAAGGGGAGTAAAAGAAATTTATCATAACACAATATTCAAATAGAACTAGAAAAATCTTACTTGAATACCTACAGTAATTGTTAGGGTAATTCCTTCCCAAAAGAGCTATTAATCAAATACACAATGACAAAATTAGTATTGCTTTAAAATTCCTTGGAAAATATTAAAATAAGTTTTTTATATCATAACCAGATGGCAAAATGTAAAAAGAAGTCCGATTTTTTTAACTGAGTACAATTTCACTGAACTAAATCTATATTTCATTTTTATATGAATTACTGGGATGATGAACATTTTAACATTTTTAGGTATGAAAGTACTGAGAAATCTTGGTAATAAATTCCATTAAAAATTTAGGGCAAGTTTAAAGGTACAATTTATAAAAACATCATATTCGATATTATGATTTTGTGGCTGTAGAGTAGAAATGTGCCAAATGTTTATAAATAAAAATCAGATCATTTTACATTCTTTTAATATTTGACATGGGGTTATTAAAGGGTTCCATAGTTTTTAGTTCCCCTGGTTGCAAGTAGTCAAATGCTCTTGAATTAGAGCAGTTTTTATTAAAAACAAAAATTATCATATTGATGGCCTATTTTCTTTTTTGTTTCATTTTATTTATACTAAAAAAAATTCCGGTAGGTAGTGAACCGTAGGTCTGTTATATAGTCTCCTAGGACATTAACATTGACTAGGTGATAATATTCATGTTGATGTTTCTGAAATAAAAGCAATATGATGGAGTGAAATTTACTAAACAGAGACAAATGTGTTAAAAACTGCCAGTGTCATAAATATGTTTTAGGGTTTATCATTTGCAGTCTTACCTCTTTTTTTTCACACAATTTCTCTGTTATTATTTTTAACTCTTCACCCTTATGCAAACATATTGTTTACAAATTATGTTCTAAACACAGGAGATAATGAAGTTATTTTGTTTTTGTGTGATTTTTAGGGGCAGTAAGTAGAACTAATGCAGGAGAGACTTCAGGTAGGCCTAAACTCTGAACCTGGTAGGAATATACAATATTCAAGAAATTGTCTTTGGGAGACAGACCTTCAGCTTAGCCATTTTAGCAGAGATAATACCTAAAAGCCAAGTGCTTTCATCCAAGCTGTTATAACAAAATACCTTCTCCTGGGTAGTTTATAAACAACAGGAATCTATTTCTCACCATTCCGGGGACTCAAAAGTCTAAGAGCAAGGTGTAGGTACATTTGGTGCCTGGCAAAGACCCCCCTTCTTGCTGCATCTTTACGTGGTGGAAAGCAAACAAATTCCACTGGGTCTCTATTACAAGGGCACTAATCTCATTCATGAGGACTCTGCCTTCATGACCTAATCACTTCCCAGAGGCCTCACCTCTTAATACTATCACATTGGGGATTAGGTTTCAACATAATTGTTTAAGGGGCATGCAAACATTCAGACCATTGCAAGCAGCATATGGAATGCGGCACCTGCACTGCGTTAGATGTAGGTGTTTTGGACTCTGATCTCTGATTAAAGCCTCCACAACTACTTTCGTATAATTCCCATTAGAAAATGATCTTGGCCTTCTGGTTGTGATGGTAGCTCAGAAAAGTTCCAGAAAGTATTATTAGTCATGAATCATTCAACAACCTCAGGAAAGGTCCATTAATGAATCTGAATTGACTAGGACTAAAATCTTTATCCCCTTTACCTTGAGCTGATTGGAAGAATAAGAAACTATTTTTAATAATTAATTGCTTTTGAGATACAGGACAGGCTTATTACAATGACACTGATGGTCCCTCATAGGACAGGCTTAGAATTTCATCAGTAAGTATGCTGTTAAAAACACACATGCTGAATTATTTTTCCAGACCAGTAGCGTGTGCATAATAGGCTGCATAGGAAATGGGTCTCCCTAACTAACTGCAGTCTCTGGAGCTAAGATTGTGTAGGAGTTGTGGATGGGGTTGGCCCATGATTGAAAAAACTGAGCAAGGGAACCCCCAAAGCCTTCATTGTGATGAGGGTCACCTCTTGAAATAGAATAAAATAAGAGTATAGCAATAGATCAAAAGCCAGATGATAGCAAATCAAAAGTTGGAGAGCTGTTGAGGATTACAGCATTCACCTGCTGGGAGTGAGGGAAAAGACAAAATGAACACGTTGCTAAAATTCTAGCTTACTAAACTTAATAAAAGGGAATGTCTTGAACCAAAATAACATGATAAGAAGTGCTCTTTAAGAGATGTTGATGAGGATGAGCTTACTTTCTGAGCATATAAAATAGAACATTTTCCTCTAAGTCAGTCAGGATACCATAGTTAAACACATGCTGCATTCACATTGAGAATGTTGCGGAGAATTTAATATTCAGACTATTTACAATGTGTCGGAATGTTTAGAGAAGCCACAGAGAATAGTGCAGTATTTGGAGGAACGGAAGATGGGTTAGGGCAATATTCAGAAAACAGAAATAAAGATTGTCTTATTTTTTTTTTTGCCTGGCCTGAAGTTAATTGTCAGTACTAAGTACTAGGAGGAAGAAGAGACACAAAAAGATTCAAAAGTGGTATGTGTATGCATGCATGTGTGTATGTGCGTGTGTGCATGTGTGTGTGTGTTCCCTATGTCCTGGGGCAGAATTTAAAATATTATGCCTTTGCTATGATTTAAATGTTTTTCACCTCCAAAACTTATGCTGAAATTTAATTGCCATTGTTACAGTATTAAGAGGAAGGACCTTTAAGAGGTGATTAGGCCATGCATGAGGCACCCTCATGAATGGGTTAATGCAGTTATCATGGGACTGGATTCATTATAAAAGCAAAAGCTTGGACCACCTTTTTTCCTTCCCTCATTCTATCTTGCTCTTCCTCCACATGAGGACACAGCAATAAGGTATCATCTGGGAAGCAGAAAACATCCCTCACCAGGCACCGAACCTGTTGACACCTTGGTTTTGGACTTCCAAGCCTCTAGAATCATGAAAAAGAAATTTGTATTATTTTTAAATTACCCAGACTCAAGTATTCTGTTATAGCAGCAAAAATAGATTAAGACAACCCTCTTCCAAAAAAAAAAGCGTCTTAGAAATTAGCTGCTCCAGACCTTTTTTACATATAATTCTTATAGAAACACTTCATATAAATTACAATTCTTAATATGTTTACTTAGGTCTGTTCTCAATAGCTGATTTTATTTTATTTTTTGCTCTTATCTCATATGTAAATTTTAACTCCTAAAGGAAGCATACAAAATATACTTGTTTGTGTGTCTGTGTGTGTGTCTGTGTTTGTGTGTGTGTTTGGGGGAATACAAAGTTTTGAAGTTCTAGATTTTTAACTTACAGTATAAAGTGTATGGCTTACTCCTCAGAACATTCTTCTATATTTTAATTGACTGTTTAACTTGTATATTTCCTCAATATGAACACATTCTTTGTTATATTTCCTGTGTGTCTCATAGTTCCTAGAATACATTTGTCTATGTTGAGATAATGAATGAATTAATCAAATAGACATTTATGAAGAAGATTGGCCATGAGGACAAATGTGTACATACTATCAAATAGCATATGCGAATAAAATGGTAGATTTTAGATTAATCAGCATCATTTATCACTAAATTTACCAACATAGCTAAAGTTTAATTTTACCCAATTTTGTCAGACTCAGTTTATAAACAAGAAATTGGCATGCATTTTGTTGAATTATCTAAAGATTTATCTTTAACTCCTAGGCATCACCCCAGTACCAACAATATGAAATTTGAAGCTTTAGTTTTTTTAAACACTTTGTAATAAAATCTAAATTTCTCCTTTAAAAATTACTGACTTGGTTATATTTCCACCCCAAAGTGCACACTTCCGTTTCAACCAGTGATTTATCTTTGTCACCTTTTAAAGTAAATATCCTTGCTTTGTGTCCTCTAATGATAACCAAGAAGCAGTAATATGTAAATAGCTATAGACATTATCTCAGGTGAAACAAATATGTGAAAGCTGTCATGCATGGACTTAACACAAAGGAACCTTATACACTACTCTAGGTAATTTTTCCTGCAGGACTAACAGAGAGACATAATGCAGGAAAATATCAGGAAAGAGGTTCAAGAACATTTTAGGGTGACCTCTTATCAACCAGTTCTTTACCATTTTATGAGAACACACTCCACTCTCATCTATAATAGAACAGCTATTATGGATTATAATTTGAATGTTTCTTTTGGAGTATAAATGAATTGATTCCTACTCTACTGAAATTGAATGTTGTTTTCCTCTTCTCATATGGTGAATGTACATACGCCGCAGTCAAAGAAGTCTGAAGAAAACATTTCAAGGTTTTAGTACAGGTGACATTTGTCAATGGCCTGCTAGCTCTTCATCATATTTAGCAGTGGAGCCTGTTCATGATGTGGGTCACAAATGAGGAGAACTAAAACAGTGCACTATGTGCAAGAATTCAGACCACAGGAAATCATGCCATCTGGAACTGCTAAATGGCCAGCAGAAACTTAACAGATAAGCAAGGAAATACCTTAAAGAAAAACGAAAAAAACCCCCACAACCTTAGTATAATTACACTGTTCAAACAGTAAATAAGTATAAGGTGTAGGTTATGCCTGTGCTCATGATTAAGCAGTAGGTCAAGTTTCTAGAAAATATCTATGAGAAAAAAATTTGCCTCCCAAAACCTGAAGTCTTTAAGTCATTTTAATTATAACAAAATCTTATCCATATATATAGAAAGGTGATTATTATTGTGATAATTTCATTATTTTGACTTTAAGGATGTAATAATAAAAATTTTATGATTTGAATTGATTATGTATAAGTTATGAGCCACATACTCTAGAGATATTTTCCCTAGGTTTTAAAACATCGTTGAAAGGTAGCTTTTATTGTCACCATATTACCAATGAGAATGTAGATCCAACAACTAGATCCAAAAGTTTGGAACTTGTTTCCAAAAGTTTGAGTTGTATCACAATACATCATACAATGTTCATTTTTCAATATCAGACATAAATATGCTCATGTATATTTTTGTCTAAATTATGTTGTATTATTTGCTTCACAAGTTCTTGTTGCCATCTGGATCATTAACAGAAAACATAAGACAGTTGCACAAGTAAATTATAATAGTTTTGAATTGATTTGCAGATTCAGTGATATGCTTTGGGTCACCATGTAAAATAAGTCCGATGTCACCAACAAGCAAGAGAGAAATGGAACACTAAGCTGGAATTTTCACAGGAAATTATAATTATAATCTTAAAATAATCACTGAGTACTTTTCCCTGTTCTATTGAAATATATTTAACTCTAAATAAACAAACCAAACCGAACGAGACAAGGGTAAATTTTGTGATACAGCTATACTACTTGATTTCCATTTGCTTATTTACTCCTTTATTTATTTTTTATTTTTATAGATGTAAGGGGTACAAGTGCAGTTTTCTTACATGGATATATTGCATACTGGCGAAGTCTGGGCTTTTAGTGTTGATTCCTATTTAAATTAAGTGTATATATTAATAATGGCATCAAAGCTCTAAGACTCAGATCTAGTACAACTGCCATTTTTAATGCCATTTCATCATCTTCGTTATCATTCATGCAAAGTATTGACATTAAGACAGATTCAGCAACAGCAAGACAAAGAACAGAACCACTTTGCCAATGTCACATATTAATCACATTTAGTGATACTGATCGCATAGTTGATGCTCAATTGGTAAGGCACAGTAAAGCAGCTATGTAGAAGATGGAGTTAAATGGGAAGACTAAAGACAGAGTGAAGGGATTGGCAGAAATATACCCTGAAATAAATTATTCCCAGAAACCCTGAAATACAACTTAAAGTAATGCCACACATCCCCAGCCTGCCAGAAAACTGCAGGTAGAAAGGACCTGGGCTATTATCAGATTAAGGTTACTTCAACAAAGGCTCTCAAGGCAATTTTGTGTTTTGCAGCCTTTAGCTATGGAAGAAAGAGTGCTGAGAACACATTCTTTCTGGCTATAGCTGCACACATAGGTGAGAATCATTGTCAAGGGAAAGTAGCTATTTTATTCTCACCACAGCCAATGGAGAAAAGAATGAGACTGTGCGTGGGACGAAGCCTCATGATGGAAGTTGTTCCCATCCTGATCGATCGCTGTAACAATCTGCGGAGCTGGTTAACTGTATCGATTTATGCCAGCAACCTCCCTTATACTAAGATGGGAAATGGTAGCGAGGATAGTGGGTCCCAGTTTTCATAATGTGTCCACTTGATCTACATTTTTTAAGTTCTCAAAAATGATTTTAACAAAGATCTAGGTTTCAAGGCCACTAATTTATTCTACTTCTACTTTCCCCTATCACCCATCACTTTACACACCTGATGTATTGATATTTCAGATCAATGGAGGCCGATTTTGCCCAGAGAAGTCTCTAAGAAAGAAAAAACAGAGGGAAATAGAAAAATTGCATTATATACCTAGCTACAATTACGATAGTGAATCTGTGTTTCTTTGGAATCACAGACAATTAGTTTTTTTTTTTTATTCTGTATCACCCCATATAAACAGTCCATCTTCAATGCCTTTTTTTCCCCTTTTAAAAATCTCTTTTATTTCTAGTATCCTTTTCTTATAACAAGCAATTAGGTCTCAGTTTCCAGGAAACCATGTGCACACATGCACACATACAAACACACACACATTATGGAACATTCAGATAATCTACAATCAATCCTGCTAATCAAAACTCAATCTCATGGATTTTTGGAAATCCATGAGAAAATGTAAGTAAGAAAATGTCTAAACTACTTATTAAGCTCACATAAACCAATGGAATAGAACCTAATGTGACAGATCAGATATTGGTTTGGGACGAGGTAGACTGGATAATATATATTTGACCTGGATTACTCTTGATTCACTATCATACTTCATGTAACAAAACTTGGCCTATGGTTCTATCTAAGGCAGTAGATAGTCTGGGCATGAAGAAATCATGCTACCAAACAGAATTGCTGGAGGAGACGCTCAGCATCGCAAGGACTTGAGGATGATGACACATTATTCTCCCTGATGGTAAGCCTAAATCAGTGTTTTACATGCCGCTTCATAACAATAAATGGCTTCAGCATTTCTCTTTCTGGTTGTCCCATGTTTTCCTAAGATCCTACGTACCACATAAAGCATCTTGTTTGCTACCTCCTATTACTATAATATGTTAATTTTACTTCTAATAAGTTCAAAACCAAAAACCTCACTACCATCACTAAGAAGCTCCACAAAACAAAACAAAACAAAAAATAAAAACCCTGAACCAATTTCCTGATATTGAGTTTTCTCTATTGTGTTTCAAAAAATATATCAGCTAGTTAAACAACTGTTTTGCCAAATTCGTACACAAAAGTGTTGGATAAAACAGTGAACCTATCTATCTGTATAAACTGAATCTGGAACATAGCTAATAACTATTGTCCCTCTACAATGCAGGAGTAATAATAAAACCCAACTCCTTGGGCTTTTGAAAGGAACAAATCAATCAACTCAAATATGGCCTACAAAAATCATAGCCATCATACATAATATTATAGTTCACATGATTTGTGTTGAAGGTAATTATTTCATGTTGTAATTACTTTAGGTCTTACTTACATTTTTATTAAGACTACTTAATCTATTTCTTCCATTTATTACTTACGCAAATATCAGTTGAATATGTCCTGTATTTCAAGGTTCTAAACACTGGAAATTTTACAGTGACTAAGGTAAAGACCCCACCCTCATGAAGATTACACTCTAACTGGGGATAAGAGATACACATTCCCAAGAAACTAAATATGTGTACTTTCTCAAGAATGATACACATTTTTAAGAAAATAAGACAGAACAAAGGCAGAGTAAATCAGGGTTTCTTGCTAGGTAGGGTGCTCTGGAAAGGCATGTTTGATGATTTGATGTTTTAGAAGAGTCCTGAATATATTGAGGGAACATTGCACATGTCTGGAGAGATGGTTTCAGTGAAATCAGCAAATGCAAAGGCTGAGTTTGTTGCATTGCTAACATATCTGAGAAGAAAATGAGCCAGTAAGGAGGAGTAAGCAGAGGTCAAGAGGCAAGATATGATACTGCAGTTATCCTACAGCCAAATCATTTAGGGCTTTGAAGAAAGTTGTAAAAAATCTGGAGATGCATATAGTAATTTCTTTAAATGTTTCTCTTTCTTCTAACGACATAAATTGGAGGCTATATCTGTTTTCAAATTAGTATATGCAGAATGTTAACTAATTAGAGTTAAAAGCATTTCAAATAATAGAATAAAAAAGAGTAATAAAACACATTTGATAATGTACTATATATTTAGAACAGATGAAATGAAACTAGTTTAAAAATATAATATGCATGGTAACTTATAATTTCATAATTTTAAAGAGAGATTAACAGTATATACATGATTAACTTTTTTATTAAAATGACA
This sequence comes from Homo sapiens, assembly GCF_000001405.40. Taxonomy (NCBI): domain Eukaryota; kingdom Metazoa; phylum Chordata; class Mammalia; order Primates; family Hominidae; genus Homo; species Homo sapiens. Next base: position 24,727,086 of record NC_000021.9, read on the forward strand.
TAACACATTTAATTTTCCTCCTTTTAATTCAATTTCATTTAGTTCACATTTACCAGTGCATTCTTTGTACTCATCACTGAGTAGGGCAAAATAATAGCACTTTTGTTTTTTTGTTTGAAAGAAAAGTAACTTAAAAGGTAGAGGTGCAGGCAATAACACAACTATATACCCCATTCAGAGACAGCACAGCTCATACAACTCATATCTTCCAAGATGCTCTTTTTCACCTACAAAAGTTGATCCTCAAATGTTCGGCTTAAAGTTCTGTAGCAGTACTCATGATGTGAGAATTAGAGAGTGTGCAACTCAAACTATGCCATTTCCTGAACTTCCTGAAGTTCATGCAATAAGTATGGCGATGATCTCAACTGGGGCTTTGAGACTAAACTTATCTTGAGTGCAGATGATTTCTGATCTGAAAGGAAATGTAATTATTCATATAATAAATTATATTTTTGTTGTGTATATATATATTTATTGAAATACATTTTATGTATGCATGTATACATATATGTGTGTGTGTGTGTGTGTGTGTGTTTATAATTTAGGGCATTTTATTGTATATGTGTATATATTCATGCTAGATTCTCTGCCTATATTTTCATTTCCCATAACTTCCAAAAGCAGTGTCTCTTTCTCTCTGTCAAGGAGATTTTTCTTACTAATGGAACCCTCAATCTTGTACGTGGGGCAGGCTAGAAGGACCAGGGAACTAATGTCCTTAGCCAGTGCTGCACAGAAGCACTGAAGTGGTTCATTTCCTTGAGCTTTCTGTTGCTGATTTTGAGGCCTGTGTTTCATGCTGATTCCCAGAGTTCCCAGGCAGAAGTAAGCTGTAGTATTCCACAATTGTGACTTGCTTTATAGTTGAAGCTTTGTTTTCCTTTCATCCCTTACCTGTTTAAACTCCCAATTCCCCTACTGGTGATTCCTGGATTCACTGCCTGAATAAACTACTCATACTTAATTCCTTGTCTTAGTTATCTGCTTTAGGGTGAACCCAATCTAAAACAAATGACATATAATATGAAATGCCTGTAAGATTTAAAAATCTGCGTCAACACTGTGTGGGAGAAATCACACTCACCAGCTATGTACATGTTGCCTGGTATTTTCCATTCTCCCTTGCTGTTGGATTAAAATTGTAAACATTCTTCTGGCCTAAGGAGTGTGAGTGGTAGTGATTCGTGTTTTTGTTCCAAGCCAACGCAGCTCAGAGCCAGTCAACTGTAGCTCAGAGCCAGTCAACTGTTTTCATTTTTCTCTTCCACTGTCACATCAACTTTGGAAAACAAATGTTCCACATGCCATTAAGGGGAGCCACTTGCCTATCTGAATATTTTATTATCGAGGGATACATTATTTTTCAGTGTTGGACCACTGAGGTTTTAAAATTCATTTTACACTAACACAGCCTAACATCATTATGACCATTATAAAATTGGGCAGCAAAATGTTGCTGTCTAATGAAAAAAATTCCCCGATACATGGAATTATCTTTGTTGTTCAGGGATGAGAAATAAGAAAAATTAAAATTATTTCCAATCCCATCTCCAGTCCAGCTTTTAGTAGGTGTGTTGTGGTACACAAGTGAGTTTACTACCTTAATTTATAAAACATGACTACCTACATTTACAAAACATGTATATATAGTACTGTACTGATTTCAACAGCCATTTGAAAAGTCAATGAGACAATTCACATAGAGTTCTTGGTATAGTTTTGGATATATATAGTATTTTCTATAGATATTAGTTATTAGGATAACTTTTTGTCTATATGTGTACATGTAATAGATACACATACCTAATGTGTTTATGTACTTATTCTGTGAGTTTTTCATGTCCTATCATTTTATATTTCCCTCATCAACATATTCAAATTATAGATATTCCACCAACATAAAACTTTTACCCTACCCAATTTGATTTCCCCAAATGCCGAAGAAATCTTGCTTTTGCTCATCATTACTGTTTGACCTGCTTCAGAAATTTATATATCATAGTATGCTACAAATTCAGTATTTATCTTCCATTTAGATCTCCTGCTAATAACATAAGCTAATTAAGGTAAAAATAACAAAAGTTTTTTTTTTTTTTAATGCAGAGCTGCTAACAGAAATTTGAGCTCTAGTGAAAAATAGTTTTAGGTTACTAAATATAAACTTGTTACTTCAAATTTATAATAGAGTGTATGGCTATTGTTATTTAACTATAAAACATTAAGTAACATCTTCCTAGTGTGAAATTTGGATTTTATTATATCATGGCTTTATGCCACTTCAAACTGACTTCAATAATGGAAAAATATTTCTTGTTATTAAAATTCCATTTGTAAGAATTCTGATTAGTTGATTAAATAAAAAAATTAAGGGTATTTAATGATGTTAAGCATCTATGGACTAAATGTTGCTTTGTATATAATATGTAATATACATAAGGCAATGGAGCAGGGATTCACACACATACACACACAGACACACACATACACACACACACACACTTCATGTACATATAGCTAGACCACCGTTGGCCTGACTTGAGAACATTGCTAAAAATGCACAATTTTATTTCCCATCCAGGCCAGGCCTGTTGAATCAGAATCTACACTTTAAACAGGATCTTCAGGTGACCCTTATTGAGAAGCATTGGTTCATCTTACATAGCATGATGCATATTTATCCTTTGATAAACTCATCATGACAAATTCATACTTTTATAATGAAGTCATATTTCCCAGATGAAGTTGTGAGAAGAAAAACGTGTGTGGAATTTTTTAAACTAAGCATGTGGGGGAAAGCTTCTGAACATACTCATCTCCAAATCTCATATCGAATTATGGGCATTTAATTGTGTTCCAAGGATATTTCTTATGGCAATAAAATATTAATTAAATTGTAAAGATTAATTATTACAAATTTCTAAATACTGGTTTTAATTAGGAGTATAACCCTGAAAAAGCATATGTTATTTTAGTTTATGTGTGAGAATAAAATCGATATAGAAGAGAAGACAAGGAAGACTTTCTTCATTTATAAGCAGAATACCTATTTACTAGTGCATTGGGGAAAAACTAGGCTAATATGTTTGTGATATTATGCTAACATATTGTGCATAATATGCTGTTTATTTGAGTATGCTTTCCCTATTAGTTGGATAAATCAGAGTTTTTTCTTCATTGCAAAGGGAATGATTTCTATACAAAAATTTCTGTAAGAAAGTTGAAATAGCTGATTATGCAAGACAAGTAGGATTTTGCCTGAATATAATTTTATTGGACTAAATAATATGTTCCATTTGCTGTTCAAGCTTTAAAAATACAAAATATTGGTTTGCAGAAGTGGAAAAGGGCCTTAGAAAGCAATAGGAGATGATGAAAATCATTCTGTGTGCACTAAAGAAATTTGCTCTGATATGGACTATCCCTTCTGACACTCATTTGTATCCTAAAGGTGGTCTTAAAATTGGTTTGTAGATGAACACAAACATTTTTGGTAAAACTTATGAAATTGGAAAACGTTCTTTTAATATTACAAATCAGCATGCAAATTTAACTGTATTATTAGAGATACACTTCTATTAGAATTACTTAATTTAAAACAACCACAAATATAATTGCAACCATTGTGCTCTATCCAATAATGCAGTTTGTGACATAGTTAACTGTATTTCCCACTGTGTAAACTATACCAGGGAGACTAAGAAACACTTTTGGAAGTTGTGTTCCAAAAAGGCCAGTTGGATATTATTTAGGAAATTAGCTCTCATTGTATAAAAATGATACACTTGGGGCTTGGAAGGTCAACATAATTTTCAAAAATTAGAACTTGTCGACATTATGTCTCCAAAGTGGTCATATTACTTCAACTATATATTATTAAGAATTTGAAAATAAGAATCTTATTAAGGATAAGAAAAGTAAATATGCTTGGATTCAATGACATCAATTGCTGTAAAGAAGATTGAACATAACTAGTTATGTGAAGAAAATAAAATAAATGAAATACAACACTAATCTTTGCACAGAAATATATTTCTATGTACACTAGAAGTAAACTCATGAACTCATTCCAATTTGGCCATATATGTTTAATGGAGAAGTATAATCATTTATTATTTCATCAGCACCATCATGAGTCCTATTAGTAGTCCAATTCTATGCTTATTTTGTAGAGTCAGAAAATTTTTGAATATTCAAACTCTTAGAAAATTATATATTATTGCAACTGCTCTATACAGATATGCAATACATGTCTGGTTTATGAATATTTTAAACTTATAAAAGCTTTAATGCAGATTTTATCATCTATATTTGATAATGCAAGATAATTTGCTTAGAATGTTTAATGTTAGAACGTTCTGCTTAAGAGTCAGAAATTGTTTCTTTATATCTATTCATGCCCCTTTTTAAAGTGACCTTATTATTTTACCCATAGTGATGACGAGTTTTATGTGTTAACTTGTCTGGGTCACAGGCTGCTCAGACATTTATTCAAACATTATTCTGGTTGTGTCTGTGAAGGTGTTTCTGGATGGGATTAACATTTGAACAGTTGACTGAGTAAAGCAGATAGTTTTTCTAAATGTGAGTGGGCCTTACTGGTGGTTCTTTTTCTCTGAAGAATTCTGTCTAATACGCCCCTGTAGAAGTGAACTTTATTGACACCTTGAATCTGCATTTGATCACGGACTTACTTTGGGCAATGGTACAATAGTAAATATAACACAATAAATATTTGAAAAGACTTGCACATCAGTGCTGACTCATTACCACTGGGAGCCCTCAATTATTATTTGAAGATGCCCAAGTTAGTCTGTTGGAAGATGAGACAATGTGGAACAAAGAAGAGCCATTGATGAAGACTTGGATAACCTGTTGGAATGTTAAGCAATATAGATCAGAAAACATTCATCCTGACTAAGTTCCCCTAAACTAACCAGGCTGCCACCTGTCAGAAATAATTGAGGCCAACATTGTTCATCCAGTCATTGATCAACCAGTGGCAGCCATCCTGCCAGGTAATATAATTCTAACCATTATTGGTTAAATTTAAATGATTGATTTTTTTACTTTATAGAACATTGTTTATATAAACCAACATACATAACTGTATATATTATATACAGAATAGCAGACAACATGTGCTCCATGTTCACATTGGTTTCTGACTATATAAAAGCTCTGGCCACATAAAAGTTGCATACAAGTCTTATCTTGAAAATTTTGATATACCTTATAATTTTTTAATATCCATATATAGTAAAGTATAACATTTACTTGATTAAAGCAATGAAACAACACCTTTCTGCAACTGTATTTATTTACCTACAAATAATCCTATAAAATTAAAAAAAATTCCACTTAAATGCACAATATACAAATTCATTAACACTGTCAAAAATAAGATCAATATCCTTTCTGACTATAAGGCCATATAAAAGTTATATACAGGTCTTATATTGAATATTTTGGTATACTTTATAATTTTTTAGTATCCATAAGAAAAACATATTGATAGAAATAACAATAGACTTTTATTTTACTAATATTTTTTAAAAAATAAATTGCAATTTGATAGTTACTAGATATATTGGGTTTTAATAACTAAATATCTTAATTTATAAATTGATGTTGCTTAATATTTTAAGATTATAATGTAATAATATAACACAATAAATATACATTTTGTATGTTGCTATTTGAGTACATTTCATGTTGTTGTGGTGTTGTTGGCAAGACTCTGAACTAATTAATGCTTTAATTTAAATCTCAGTCACTCTCTTTTTGTAATTGCCTTTGAGGGATTTCAGTTTCTTTTTTCTGCACATTTTTTCTACACAGATTCATCGATGCTGGAAGAGCACATGAAACACCTGGGTCAGAGACAAATGGCTTTTTTCCTCAAAGTAGAGCAGAAAACACGAGCTCCATGTTCACAGTGGTTTCTGACTATACGGCCAAATAAAAGTTGCATACAGGTCTTGTCTTTAATATTTTGATAGACCTTATAATTTTTTAGTATGCATAATGAAAATATATTGGGAGAAATAACAATAGACTTTTATTTTACTAAGTTATTTCTGGGACCTCCAAGACTAAGGGGGCCGTGAGAAATGTCCCAGTGAATGCTGTACACAGTGGGTTTGGTCACACCTGAGGGACCCAGAGCTCCCCCCAGATTTTAAAGGGGCTACTAGAAGTTCTGTTCAAGCTTTGTTCCACGTAGAGATAATATTTTCACTTTCCTGATCAGGAAACAAATCTTCCCTCTGCAGCAGGAGGGTGCTGCCTCTGTTCAAAGACTGCTAATCAAAGATTCAGGACAGGTCTCTGGATGGCCTTGGACAACTCAGTTCCCCTCCCTTTCTCATTTGTAATTCTCAAGAATAACTGAAATGTGCTGGGAATGCAACATCTTGAGATAGGGGAAGACTGGCTAGAATAGATCAGGCTCCATTCCAGTCCCCTCTAGAACAAAAGATCCTTCAGTGTTATACACAGCATGTCATTTTGCCCCCAGAATACAAAACTCAGAGCTACTTGCTTTCCAAGGTCCCTCAGCTGCAGTGCAAGTGAGGCACACATAGACAAGAACAGATTAGACTTCATTTGTCCCAGACAGCTTCCTTGAGCCTTGTGGGATGGATCACAGTGAATCCCAGGTTCTCGTTGTTCCTATGAGTGATGAACCTGCCGCATGTAGCTTGTTACCTCTATGTATGTTCTGTCTCATCAAATCCAAACAAGTCGGTAATCAGTGCATGGTGAACCTTCTTCAAAAAGATCCTCGGATATAGAATTCAGAAGAAAATTTGGTAATGTATTTTCATAAGACATGCAGAAATACAAGTGATCCATGGAGAACCGTCTTCCAGTGTGAAATGTCTCCCACATCTTGGGTCCCTGAATGGCTGACTACATAGAACAGAATAGTCATTAAGTCATAACTACTACCAGATATAAAACCTGATGAAGAAACAAAACTTTTTGGCATTATCGTCTAGTCTAAGCTAACTAATATTGACTTTAAGAAGTGGGAATTATTCATAACAATATGGGATAATATTTATATTGAAGATAATTTTCTTTTACACATTGGATTTGCCACAGAAGTAAGAGGGAGGCTGATGGATGTGAGAAATGAATCCAACATTCTGCAAGAAACCCACATGGAGAAAGAGACAGTTTGGTCTTACTATGGGCCGATGCCAGCAACCTAGTATAGAAGATGTAAGTATATCAAGATATGGGCTAAGGTAATATTTTTAGCTGTATTTTCTCTCTTCTCCCACCTTTTTGGGGTTAATCACAGCCTTCAATGTTAAATAAGCAAGCACACAGTAAAGAACAAATAAAATCTTGCTTCTGCTCACAATCTAATTGTATATACTAAGTATGAAACAATACAATCCTAAAATTATTTATGTAATGTTATTTATTTTGAATATAGTTGGATATGCAAATTTAGAGTCATTCCATTTCTATTATTGCAAAATTCTATATTGGAATATAAGTAGAAATCATTGAAAACATGGATCTATCAGTCTAATACATGGATTTCTCTTTCAAATCTATCTAAGATCAAGACTGAGAGGCTAAGGCCCAGCTTGAAGAGATTTAACAAAGTATGTACACACCACAAGTGACATGATGTAGAGAGAAGATCATCAGTAGTTTCCAATTAAGAAATCTCAAAGGGTTTCAGCCAACTAGTAACCTCTATGTGACCTGGTGGATCTACTTACTGCTTTCTGCTGAATTCAACGCAATCTCCATAATCAGTGTCTTGAAATCAGAATCAAGGCTACTGTGAGAAAATTGGTAAATATTTATCTACTGGTGGAAAATCAAAAAGAAAATAATCCCCAACTCATATTTATTTTGATTTTGTATTATGCATCAGATTTACACAGCAACTAGAAACTGGGTATATGGCAAGAAATTAGGAAACTGCCACACACACACTCAGGAGAATTTTGTTTTTAGCACATAGGAATAAAATTAGAAAACATCTTTTTTAATTGGAGGGCTTGGTGGTTCTAGAATATTTATATACTCTGCAGCTGCAATATGGCTCATAATTCAAATTCTGTATAAAATTCCCAAGTCTCAATGAGGACTCTAGAAATTCATATAAGAAAGAGAAATATGTTCCAGGGCAACATAAATTTTTTCATTTTTTATTTAGTTCTGAAGTTATATCTAAAATACACAACACACAAAGTGTTTAGCCAAACATAACTAGAAAGACTGGATATGAAAAGGAGAGTCCTGCCTTCTCCAGACAGGTTTCTCAGGAAGCTCCATATTTAACTTGCCTTCTGGCATAAGCAAAGAAATTGTTAGACACTAAGATCTTGAACTATTTAATTCAGGTGTATTTTTATATTAAAAAAACAAGAAGGAAAATCTCTTTAAGTAGATAGTGAAAATTTATCTTGAAAATTACATTTTCATATGGAAGGAGAAACAAATGAATATGTGAAAATGTAATTCACAGCCTGAAGATCAAGAAGAGTTAACCATTCTTTCTTTTTTTTAAAGACATGGATCTTGTTTTGCTGCTCAAAGCTGGGGTGCAGTGATGTGATCATAGCTCAGCCACTGCAGCCTTCAACTCCTGGGCTCAAGGGATACTCTCACCTTAGCTTCCAGAGTGGCTGGGACTATAGGCATGAACCATCATGCCCAGCTAAGTTTTACTTTTTGTGGAATTGGGGTCTTGCTCTGTTACCCAGGCTTGTCTCAAACTCCTAGGCACACGCAATCCTCTCACCTTGGCCTCCTAAAACACTAGAAGAAGAGTTATTCATTCTAAAATTCTATGGAAGGATTCTCTATTAGAAACAGAAGCACCAACTTCCATAATGGTTGAACTAGTTTAGAGTCCCACCAACAGTGTAAAACTGTTCCTATTTCTCCACATCCTCTCCATCACCTGTTGTTTCCTGACTTTTTAATGATCGCCATTCTAATTTGGTGTGAGATGGTATCTCATTGTGATTTTGATTTGCATTTCTCTGATGGCCAGTGATGATGAGCATTTTTTCATGTATTTTTTGGCTGCATAAATGTCTTCTTTTGAGAAGTGTCTGTTCATATCCTTCGCCCACTTTTTGATGGGGTTGTTTGTTTTTTTCTTGTAAATTTGTTTGAGTTCATTGCAGATTCTGGATATTAGCCCTTTGTCAGATGAGTAGGTTGCAAAAATTTTCTCCCATTCTGCAGGTTGCCTGTTCACTCTGGTGGTGGTTTCTTTTGCTGTGCAGAAGCTCTTTAGTTTAATTAGATCCCATTTGTCAATTTTGGCTTTTGTTGCCATAGCTTTTGGTGTTTTAGACATGAAGTCCTTCCCCATGCCTATGTCCTGAATGGTATTGCCTAGGTTTTCTTCTAGGGTTTTTATGGTTTTAGGTCTAACATGTAAGTCTTTAACCCATCTTGAATTAATTTTTGTATAAAGTGTAAGGAAGGGATCCAGTTGTGGTGATTCCTCAGGGATCTAGAACTAGAAATACCATTTGACCCAGCCATCCCATTACTGGGTATATGCCCAAACGATTATAAATCATGCTGCTACAAAGACACATGCACATGTATGTTTATTGCAGCACTATTCACAATAGCAAAGACTTGGAACCAACCCAAATGTCCAAAAATGATAGACTGGATTAAGAAAATGTGGCACATATACACCATGGAATACTATGCAGCCATAAAAAATGATGAGTTCATGTCCTTTGTAGGGACATGGATGAAGCTGGAAACCATCATTCTCAGCAAACTATCGCAAGGACAAAAAAACCAAACACCTCATGTTCTCACTCATAGGTGGGAATTAAACAATGAGAACACATGGACACAGGAAGGGGAACATCACACACCGGGGACTGTTGTGGGGTGGGGGGGAGGGGGGAGGGATAGCATTAGGAGAAATATCTAATGCTAAATGACGAATTAATGGGTGCAGCACACCAACATGGCACATGTATACATATGTAACAAACCTGCACATTGTGTACATGTACCCTAAAACTTAAGGTATAATAATAATTTAAAAAAAAAGAAAAGAAGAAAAAACAGAAGCAGTTTTAAGGCCTGAGGAATAAATACAAAGACAGTGTAAGAAAGAAGCTGAAGTTTCCCATGGCTTAGGGGAATTAAATGCATTGTGTTAGGGGGCTACATGTTTATGCTTACTCCACCCCAAATTCATTTATTTAAATCTTAACTCCTGCTCTGATGGTAGTAGGCAGTGGGATCTTTCAGAGGTGATTAGGTCTTGAGGGCGGAGCACTCATAATGGGATTAGCATTCTTGTATTAGTACTCTTATAAGACACATAACAGCTTGCTTCCACTCTGCTCTCTGCTTTGTGAAAATACAGCAAGAAGATAGCCATCTATAAACCGGGAAGCAAACCCTTACCAGACACTGCATCTGCCAGCACTTTGATCTTGGACTTCTAGGCCTCTAGAACTATAAGAAATAAATATTTGTTGTTTAAGCCATCCAGCCAATAATAATTTATTATAGTAGCCTGAACTGACTAGGACACGTTGTAATAGAATGGAATGAAAAAGATAAAAGGAGATTTATATGTTTTCCTAGCTAGATTAAAGAAGTGTCCATGAAACAGTACGATATAAAGAACTGATACCAGGATGTGAGCTCTTGGAGGACAGAGGGGTTTGTTAAGTTTTGTTTGCTGCTATAAACAGGCATTTATAGTGGCATCTTGCCAATAACGCCTATTGATGAGTATCTGCTTGAGATTTGAATGCACAAATTAAATTGAAACGGAAAAAAAAAGAATAACCACAAAAGATAAAAATACAAGTTTTAGTTGTAGCAGGAATTAATGTGAAGGTCTCGTATATTTGAAAGAAGCCTTTCAAAAAATGTACAATGAGTCTGAGGAGACCTTAGGGGTGGTAGTCTTTGAGAGATATTATTAGCAACAGGATAGGATGAGCCAAATAACACTACTATTTTCTCATCGTCCAACAGAGTCCCTTGCATGTGTTGCTTTGCAGGGTGCCTTGTATATGAGCCCTCATTTAGTATTTTCTAAAAGACAAAATAACTTTTTAAAGGACCGTGTCTAAGGTATTGTTTTTATTACTTGTTGCTACAAGATATAGCACATACTCGGAGCCATTGTGGCTCTGGCCGGTTGTGCTGGCCCTCGGGGAGGCGAGGGTACGAGTTCGAGGCCAACCTGGTCCACATTGATTGAAAAAAAAATAAAAAAAAAAAAGATATAGCACATACTCATCACTGTTTCACAAGAACCAGGTAGCACATGCATATAGCATAATTCCAGAAAAAGTTTCATTTTCATGCTATTTACAAAAATTTTAGCAGAGTATAGGAAAAACCACAAGGAATAATGCATCAATCCAGAGTTAGAAGGATCAAAGTGTCATCTCTCGTATGTCCTAAATAGAAGGAGGGGAGTGAGCATTACCTAGACCCAGAGGAAAGTCTTGTAGAACAGGCCACCTAAAGGGAAGCACTAATCTTAGTTGAAGGACACCACGGGCCCCAGATGAAAAAACAAGGGAAATACATATTCCAGCTTCCGTCCCCCTCCGGACCATTGGGCAAACACAACTGGAATCCAGAGGGCAATCAATCATTCTAATCTTGCCTGTGAAGAATTTCCCCTCACATTGGGAAGAATTCTGCTCATGTTTAATATTCAGCCTCACGTTCGGAAGGGTGAAACATAGCTTTAGGAGCCAAGTGGACGGTAAGGAAGCATATAGCCCCACACTCCAGAGTGAAGGATTGGTAATTACATGCACCATTCTTTTTTCTAAAGTGTTTGATTACGTATTTACCTTAATAAATTGCTTATTGGCATTCTATAGAAGAGACTCATTCGTGTTTTGATTATTTTAAAAACAATTTGCTTTTCCATAAATCCGGATCCTCTAAATTTAGATCTCTTTAGCATAGGCTGGTGATTGAGTCAGACTATTCACAATGAACAGAACATTACATCACATACTTTAAAAGTTAAAAAATTCAACTGACACACAAGAAAATTCAAAACCTACTTCATTCTGCCCTGAGAACTTCCCTATCTTTTTGTTCTTTTCTGCCTCTACACAAAGAATCTAGGAAAAAAGAACACTAGGTGCTTAAAATGCACTGCCAAGTTTTATATCTTGAAAAGGGTAATTTCTTTTCCTGTAATAGGCCATTATAAATTCATATTTATGAAGTAGTTAGAAAATAATTCAATTAATATGTATTATAGCCATTGGCCATTCATCTGTTCCATTCTAGTCATTCATTTTTATGATCACAGAGTCATAGGGGTTCTATGTGCAATTTGAAATTGCTCTAAAATGTAAAGAATAAAGATTGCTTGTTATTTTAAAGTATCTGAATGATGATTGATAGATACATTTCCTCTGGGAACCTTATCATTTCAGACTTCAGAAGCTGGAAACCATCATTCTCAGCAAACTATCACAAGGACAAAAAACCAAACACCACATGTTCTCACTCATAGGTGGGAATTGAACAATGAGAACACATGGACACAGCAGGGGAACATCACACACCGGGGCCTGTTGTGGGGTGGGGGGAGGGGGGAGGGATAGCATTAGGAGATATACCTAATGTCAATGACGAGTTAATGGGTGCAGCACACCAACATGGCACATGTATTCATATGTAACAAACCTGCACGTTGTGCACATGTACCCTAGAACTTAAAGTATAATTAAAAAGAAAGAAATTCATTAATTGTAAACTCTTAAGAATTTCCACTTCTGTAAGTAATTAAATGTAGATCAAACACTGTAAAAATGTCAACTAGGACAGAATTTAAAAGTCATCTACTTCTATCATCATTGCTTTATCTGAGAATGATTAAGCTGAGAGCCACGGAGACCAATATCATGCAGTTAGCTATGTAGAAGCTATATCAGGATAATGCTGGACTTCTAAATTTGGACCTGGGCCTTATTCACTATCCTAGTGGTTTTCAAAATGACTAGAGAATTTCTTGAGAATTTGGGATCTCCTAGTAGGGAGTTTATTAAAAACAAAATAAAAAGCATAGAGACGCCCAGGAGCGGTGGCTCATGCCTATAATCCCAGCACTTTGGGAGGCTGAGGTTAAGAGTTTGAGGCCAGCCAGACCAACATGGAGAAACCCTGTCTCTACTCAAAATACAACATTAGCCGGGCATGGTGGTACATGCCTGTAATCCTAGCTCCTCAGGAGGCTGAGGCAGGAGAATTGCTTGAACCCGGGAGGCAGAGGTTGTGGTGAGCCAAGATCGCACCATTGCACTCCTGCCTGGATGATGAGAGCAAAACTTCATCTCAAAAACAAAAACAAAAAAAACAAAAAAACACACACACAAAAACAAAAGCATAGAGACTCTGGGTTCTCCTGTCTTAATTCAACCAGAGTTTCTCAATATTATTCTATTTTAGAAGTAAAGTTTATGACTTTATCCATTCTTCTTATTGGTATAGTTTACTATAGTTTTGAGTAGATAACATTTTTACCTAACTAAGCGACAGAAATTTATTGTCTCACAGGTCTGGAGGCTGGACATCCAACATCAAGGTGTAGGCAGGGGTGGTTCCTTCTCAGGACTATGAAGTTGAAGCCTTTTTCTGATCTTTTAATAGCAACAGCTTCAAACATTTTTTTTTCTAATTTCAAATTTATTTTAGATTCAGGGAGTATGTGCGTAGGTCTGTTACATGGATATATGGTGTGATACTGATGTTTGGGGTACAAATGATCCTGTCACCCAGATAATGAGCATAGTACCCAATAGGCAGTTTTCAGTCCTTCCCTCCTCCCTTTCTCTCCCCTCTACTGCCCCCCAGTAGTTTCCAATGCCTATTGTTTCCATATTTATGCCCATGTGTACCCTATGTTTCTCTCTCTCTTATAAATAAGAACATATGGTATTTGATTTTCTATTCCTGCTTTAACTTGCTTAGGATGACAGCATTCAACTGCATCCATTTTGCTGCAAAGGAAATAATTTTGTTCTTTGTAATGGCTTTGTAGTATTCCATGGTGTGTGTGTGTGTGTGTGTGTGTGTGTGTGTGTATACACACACATATATATATACACACACACATATATATGTGTATATACATATATATATATACATTTTCTTTATCCACCATCGATGGCCACCTAGGTTGATTCCATGTCTTTGCCATTGTGAATAGTGCTGTGATAAACATATAAGTACATGTCTTTTTCGTAGCATGGTTTATTTTCCTTTGGGTATATACCCAGTAATGGGATTGCTGGATCAAATGGTAATTTTAAGATCTTTGAGAATCTCTAAACTGCTTTCCATGGTGGCTGGAAATTTACATTCCCACCAGAAATGTATAAGCATTTTCTTTTCTCTGCAGCCTCACCAGTATCTGTTATTTTTATTATTTTTTATTTTTTATTTATTTTTTTTTAATTTTTATTCCTAGTCATTCTGACTAGTGTAAGGTGGAATTTTGTGGTTTTAATTAGTAATGTTGAGCATTTTTTATATGTTTGCTGGCTGCTTGTAAGTTTTCTCCTAATAAATGATTGTTTATGTTTTTTGCCCATTGCATATTTTTTTCTTTTTTTTCTGCTGCCCAGGCTGGAGTACATGGAGTGAGGTGGCACAATCTTGGCTCACTGCAACCTCCACCTCCTGGATTCAAAAGATTCTTGTACCTCAGCCTACTGAGTAGCTGGGATTAGAGGCGTGCATCATCACGCTTGGCCAATTTTTGTAGTTTTAACAGAGACAGGGTTTCACCATGTTGGCCAGGTTGGTCTCCCACTCCTGGCCTCAAGTGATCTGCCCACTCGGTCTCCCAAAGTGCTGGGATTACAGGTGTGAGCCACCTCGCCCGGCCTTGCCTACTTTTCAGTGAGCTTGTTTGTTTTTTGCTTGAGTTGTTTAAGTTCCTTGAAGATTCTGGATATTAGACCTTTGTCAAATGCATAGTTTGCAAATATTTTCTGCCATCCTGTAGGTTGTCTGCTTTCTGTGTTGATAGTTTATTTTGCTGTGCAGAAGCTGTTTAGTTTAATTAATTCCTGACTGTCAATTTTCCTGCTTGTTGCAATTGCTTTTGGGGACTTAGTTAAATATTTGCCAAGGCTGATATCTAGTAGTGTATTTACTAGGCTTTCTTCTAGGATTGATATAATTTGAGTTCTAACATTTAAGTGCTTAACCTGTCCTAAGTTAATTGTTGTATGTGGTGATAGGTAGTGGTCCAGTTTTATTCTCCCACATATGCACAGCCAGTTGTCGCAGCACCATTTATTGAATTGGGAATCCTTTTATTATTGCTTATTTTTGTCAACTTTATCAAAGAGAAGATTTTGTTAAGTGTATAGCTTTATGTCTGGGTTCTCTGTTCTGTTCCATTGGTCTGTGTGTCTCTTTTTGTACTGGTACCACGCTGTTTTATTTACTGTAGGCTTTATAGTCTGAAGTAGGGTAATGTGATGCCTCCAGCTTTGTTCTTTTTTGCTTAGCACATGAAATCTAAGCTGTGTCAGGCAATGACTCTCCCAGGTAAGTACGCCCTGTGGCACTGCAGCTGAATCAGATGATATGGCCACGTGTGCCAAAATATTGTATAGAGATGGTACTGGAGTCTTTGCCTGCGCCAGCCAAAACTACATGTAAGGAAACATTTTGAGAAACTGGTGATTCCACAAGTAACCAAAGGCAGTGATTCCGCAGAGAGAGGCATGAGAATAGAGTAAATGCACAGAAAATGGCAAAGTTGAGAGAGATGGATGGCTCCATCAGAGAGAGTGATTTCTGCTTCTGCATTCAGCTGTATTTCCTGCCCTTGCATACCCATGAGATTACTGGTTTATCTGATGAACGAATACCAGCTTTGTTAAGCTAAAATCTATGCAGATCTATTATGGAAAACAATTATCCGTAATTAAGGCAAGATAATTGTCTCAAGAATTAAGTATATAAATAAATTTTGAGAGAATCTTTAAATAAAGAAGGAAAAATATGTGAATACTTGGAATAAGTAATTTCCAAGACTTAAGATGTATTTTTAGAAAAAGTTCAAGTTGAGAAGGAAGTAAAGCTAATTATTTTTTTAATTTAAAGAATATTGAACAAATGAGCTTCAGAGCAGTAAAGAAATAATACTGACAGAGGCTACAAGGGAGCCAGTCTAATTATGTAACTTACTGTAGAGACAAAATCAAGATGGAGCAAGCTGGTCAATAATTGTTGTTTTATCTAAAACTCTATGTAATTGTAATTAATTGCATTTTAATTAGGACCTTCAATGCAAGAAGAGAAACCAACATTGACTTTTCCTGGAATGTAAGGTACGATTTAACTATTCAGGTAAAGAAATGACAGCTGTAGAACTGGATCTCAGAGGCCATCTGAAAACTCAAAAATACTACGTTCTCTTTATCTCTAGCTTTTCTCTCTTAATCTCTCTGTGTGAGTGATTCTCTTTACTGGCATATTTTCACCACATGGCAAGAAACATGTCAGCCAACAGTTTCCTAATTGTAAAATTCATAGCTGTAGGCACCATGAGAGAGAATGACCAGCAGACAGTCCCAAACCTAAGTCCCATGGAGGTACTCCTTGGCCCAGATTAAATCAGGTATCCATATTTGGATTAATCATCTGCTGTTAGCAGACAGAATAGCAAATTAATTGCCAAGACACTCATGGTTATATGTGTGGGGGACAAGGGAAATATGATAAGCAGGATAATGACCTTAAAGATATCTTTAATCTACAGAACCTGTGAAGGGCCAAAGAGAGAATTCTAGAAGCCGAAAAAAATTACTTTTTAGAGTCTTCAGAAGGGAATGAGCCCTCCCAACACCTTCATTTTAGACCAGTAAGGCCCATGCTGCTTTCTGACTTGCAGAATTTAAGATAATAATATTTTTAAAGCCACTAATCTTGCAGTAATCTATTAAAACAGCAATAGGAAATCAATAGAGAGAGGAAGGGAGAGACATTGTAAAAGGGATGTTGGGATGACTACACCATATCTAATAACAACCATATTATTGTGGTTGATACTGTCAAGCTCTATTGACATGCTGTACAGTTATAAAGCCTCAGAATTAGAGATAGAGAAAGATAACTCAAAGTTGCCTCAAAAAATCATATCTTCAAATTACAAATCTTCATGGTTCATATAATTATTACACTTTTTATGGTTTGTTTTAAGTGCATTAAAACTTTAGGTTTGCATATCTATATAATATTCACATTTAAACAAAATTAGTGAAAATTTATGCATTGATTTAATTATGCATTTTGTTGAGATATTTTTTAAAGCAGGAAAAATTATTTTGTAACATGAAGGAATCATATCTATATTGTTCCATTTGTATTTTTCAATTTTACTATAATGTTCATTTTAAGGGTATAGACTTTCATCTGAATTTGAAATCATTACATAGAAAGTTCAAACAAAATCAATGCAAAGGCATTTGTCTATTTCTATAATAATTACATTAATGATCAAAAGAATATCTATACTAAATAAAATATTGCATTTTTATTTTCTTTTGGTGTATATTGAAAATTGATCTGTGTTTTAGAAGGAATGAAACTATCAAACATATTATGGTAGGCATGGCATAAAACTGGGTAAAAGAAAATCTTCTTTAGTTAGTTAATGGATTATCTGTTGCTAAACTGAAATAATCAAAAAGTCATCTAACATCAACTTGAATTCCTTCAAAAAATAAAACAGGTATGCAAATAGCATTCAAAATAAGGAAAGTTGTCTTTATTAACCATGAAAATGGTAAATTTTATAAATTTAGAATTGACTACTCTCTTCATCTTATGAAAAGTGGTAAAAATATGTAAATGAAATAGAAATAATTTTGAGGTGTTTATTTTCACTTACTTAGAACCATAATCACAAAATCAATTCCTAGTCTTCTTGATGACATAATACTGAAAAAAGGAAGGTGTATTTAGGTTGGAGATTTATATTTTAAATAAGAAGTAACCCTCTGTATAAACAATAGATCCTGGTTTGTAATCCCAGCACTTTGGGAGGCCGAGGCAGGTGGATCACGAGGTCAGTAGATCGAGACCATACTGGCTAACACGGTGAAACCCCGTCTCTACTAAAAAATACAAAAAATTAACCAGGCTTGGTGGCAGGCACCTGTAGTCCCAGCTACTTGGGAGGCTGAGGCAGGAGAACGGCGTGAACCCGGGAGGTGGAGTTTGCAGTGAGCCGAGATCACCCCACTGCACTCCAGCCTGGGGGACAAAGCGAGACTCTGTCTCAAAAAAAAAAAAAAAGATCCTGGTGATGATGATCACTCATAGTACTATGGGCTGTATGAATTGTATGGACCATTTAGGGGCACAGTGAGAAGGTGGGTACTTGCAAGTCAATGAGAGAGGACTCAGGAGAAACCAATTCTGCCAACATCTTGATCTTGAACTTCTAACCTTCAGAACTGTGAGAAAATAAGTGTCTGTGATTTAAACCACCCAGTATGTGGTATTTTATTACAGAAATACTAGTATACTAATATTGTCATGTTAATCACTCTTGTATTAAGATGAAAAGAAAACATTTAAAGCTATAGATGCCTCTTACTGCATCTTGTGCAATGTTCCATTGTGCAATGTCCTTAATACCATTTCTGTGGAATTAGTTTAAAACAATAGTTCAACAGCACAATTAAATGTCATGTATTTACAAGACTCTCGTCATGCCAAAAACATTGACAATGCTTAAAACATTGACTTATTGTGCAAAAAAATGCAACATTATTATGTGCATACGTTGAGAAACAATTTGAGGATGATCAAGAGCCAATATGAATGGGATGCAGGCCTGTTTCTAAAATCTCTGAAATGCTTCATATATTTTAAAAGCTAAACAAAAAGTAATAGACATTAATGGAAAACAATCATTAATTTATATTATTTAAGGACAGTGGATAGGATTCTGTTATTTCTGCTGTCCTTTATCTAAAATAAGCTTGCTTTGTTTTAAACTTCTTATTGCTTCTAAGCATTCTTTAGAAGAAAAGATTTGAGAACAATAATAATTAAAAACTACTAATGAAGTAATATATTTGCCAGCCCAGCCCATGGTTTACTTATAAAAGTTTCCAAAACTGAACATTTCAAAAGAAAGAGTAAGGTTCAACTTACGCTATTTTTTTTAAATAAAACAACAGATGCAGAAGGCAGTGTCACAGTATAATACCCAAACTATTGCAACATATCACTATTGTTAAATAAAGTACCTATAAAGTTGATATTTTAAAGGAAAAATAAATATAAATATATAAGTTTGGGTTAGTATTTTTCTTGTTTTTAGCACAATTAGCTCACTAATTTACCCTAAAACCCTTATGATCATTTATTCACTATGCCTTATAAGTGAAACAGCTTTTTGGTTGAGGTTTTGTCTATCTTAGTTACTGCTAACTATATAGATCTAATAGATTAGTGACCATACTTTGTAAATGTGAACATTTATTCCTCTGGACATGATTTTTGTCCAACTTGGAGTAACATAATCCATTTATTATAAGACTGGGTGCTATGGACTAAATGTTTTTGTTCTCCCAAACTTTATGCGTTAAAATTCTAAACCCCAATATGATGGTATTAGGAAGGGGACTCTTTGGAAGGTGACTAAGTCAAGAGTGGAGCTCTCGTGATGGGATTAGTGCAAATTACTCTAGAGCTCCGAGCTACCATGTGAGTACCAAGCAAGAAGGCCGGGTCTATGACCAGGATTTGGCCCCTCACCAGAACCTGACTATGCTGACACCCTGATCTTGGACTTCCAGGATCCAGAACTATGAGGAGTAAATTTCTGCTGTTTATAAGCTACACAGTCTATGGTACTTTATTAAAACAGCCACAAATTATGACACCGAGAAAAAATATCAGATATAAAATAATACTACATCATTTATGATCTTGTTTTTGTAAGGTACAATAACAGCAAAACCCTTTTAGGAGTGACAATAGCAATTACTCAGTGATCCTTACAGGAGTTGGTAAGTAGTGACTGGAAAGAAAGGGCTTTCTAGGAATGGGTTAATGTGAAAACTCAGCAACTTGCATACTTGCATATCATTAAAATGTTCATATTACCCAATCTATAGATTCAATGCAATCCCTTTCAAAATACCAATGACATTCTTCACATAAATAGGAAAAGCAATACTAAAATTTATATGGAAGCACAAAAGACCCAGCATAACCAAAGCTATCCTAGGCAAAATGAACAAAATGGGGGGAATCACATTACTTGACTTCAGATTATACTACAGAGGTATAGTAACCAAAACAGCATAGTAGGGCATAGAAACAGACATTAGGGACCAATGTAAAAAATAGAGAGGCAAGAAACAAATCCAGACACATATAGTGTGCCCATTTTCAACGAAGTTCTCAAAAACATACACTGGAGAAAATACAGTCTCTTTCAATAAATAGTGCTGGGAAAACAGACTATCTATATACAGACAAATGAAACTAGACCCCTATCTTTTACTGTATACGAAAGTCAAATCAAAGTGGATTAAAGATTTAAATCTAAAACCTCAAACCATGAAATTACTACAAGAAAACTGGGGAAAATCTCCAGGACTTTGGTCTGGGCAAAAATTTTTCGAGCAATTACACACAAGCACAGGCAAGCAAAGCAAAAAATGGACTAATGGAATCACATCAAGTTTCAAAGCTGCTGTGGAGCAAAGGATACACTATTAACCAAGTGAAGAGACAATATTTGCAAACTACCCATCTGATAAGGGCTTAATAACCAAAATATGTAAGGAGCTCAAACAACTATATAGGAAAAAATACAATAATCTAATCAAAAGATGGGCAAAAATTTGAATAGGCATTGCCCAAAAAAAGACATACAAATGGAAAACAGGTATATGCAAAGGTGCTCAACATTATTGACTATCAGAGAAATGCAAATCGAAACTACGATGAGATATCATCTCACCCTAGTTAAAATGGCTTATATCCAAAAGATAGGCAATAAAAAATGCTCGTGAGGATGCAGAGAAAAGGGAACCCTTATATACTGTTAGTGGCAATGTAAATTGGTATAACAAAGATGGAGAACAGTTTGGAAGTTCCTCCAAAAAAGAAAAAATTGAGCTACCATATAATCCAATAATCCCACTTGGATATATATGCAAAATAAAGAAATTAGTATATTAAAGAGATATCTGAACTTCTATGTTCGTCAAAGCACTGTTTACAATAACTAAGATTTGGAAGCAACCTAAGTGTCCATCATCAGATGAATGGATAAAGAATTGTGATACATATACGCAATGGAGTACTACTCAGTCATAGACAAGAATAAGATCCAGTCATTTGCAAGAATATGGCTGGAACTGGAGATCATTTTATTTTTTAATTTTTATTTATTTATTTATTTTTTTGAGATGGAGTCTCACTCTGTCGCCCAGGCTGGGGTGCAGTGGTGCGATCTCAGCTCACTGCAAGCTCTGCCTCCTGGGTTCACACCATTCTCCTGCCTCAGCCTCCCAAGTAGTTGAGACTACAGGTGCCCGCCACCACACCTGGCTAATTTTTTTTTTTTTGTATTTTTAGTAGAGATCATTTTATTAAGTGAGATAAGCCAGACACAGAAAGACAAACACAGCATATTCTCTCTTATTTGTGGGTTCTAAAAATTAAAACAATTGAACTCTTGGAGATAGAGAGTACAAGAATAGTTACTAGAGGCTTAGAAAAGTATTGGAAGGCTGAAGGAGAGGTGAGTATGGTCAATGGGTACAAAAAATACTTAGAAAGAATGAGTAAGATCTACCATTTGATACACAGCAGGGTGACTACAGACAATGATAACTATACATTTTAAAATAACTTGAAGAGTGTAATTGGATTGTTTACAGTCCAATGGACAAATGCCTGACAGGATGGATACCCCAATTTTCATGATGTGTTTATTTCACATGGCATGTCTGTATCAAAACATGTCATGTACCCCATACATATATACACCTACCTTGTACCCACAAATGTTTAAAATAAAAGAATTTAAAAATTAAGACCATATTAAAAATAAGCACAGGCTTTTAACAATACCAGTGATGCAATATAAAGATGTTTACAAACAACTAAAAACACTGATTAAATTATGCTACTACACAATGAAAATTATTATATTACATTTTGTGTTTAATCAAAATAAGCTTATTTTCTTTCCATGTATATTAGTTTACATTTAAACTATATTTTATCTTCAGAAACATTTCGACATAACTTACAAAACTCCCAGTTCGGTAGTGGCAATTTGCTAGTTATTAAAATACATTTTTTAAAATGTATAATTTAATTTTTAGTATCTTTTTTCTCATTCAGACATGATCTAGTATTGTTGATAATTTATAGGGCCACTTTATCTAAATAAGTTACTGAAAGTACTTCCAGTTTTTTACAATAAATAGATAAGAGCACAAAGATAATTGCAATACATTTTTGTAGCTTCTAAACATTTTATCATTCTGTATTTACATTTTAATTTGATTTTTAGTTTATATTTTAGTTATTGATACATATTTGGCCACAAGTACTAAAATTGTGTCTTGATTAGCTAGATATAATTTGCAGTTGTCAATTCTCTTATATAAATTATTTACTTGAAAATCCAATGCTAAATATAAAGTTTTATTTTGAGAATTATGCTCACAACTCGTGTGTGTGTGGGTGTGTGCCTGTGTGTGTATGTTTGTGTGCGTGTTTATTTCCTTTATCCTTCAGCTCTTAAAGAGGAGGGACATTTAAAAATTTTATAGTCATCAAAGTCTTCTTTACTTGAGAAAATGTTTAAGAAACGCATTGAAATATACATATTTTGGAATTATTGCCATCAGAAGGAATGTTTCACTTGGTTCCATGAACTCCCTGAAGAGCATCCTCGAATGTCCAGATCATTAGTAAGACCTTGGAGATTTAGCAGCCTTTCAATAATTCTTAATAGTACTACAGGTGTTTTTAAGATCATATTAAATAAAGCCACTGACAATTTAATTTTTTAAAAAGAAAATAATAAAATATATTTGAAGGGTTTGAAGGATCCACAGGGCAGAATAGATGATGTATAAAATGAGGTTTGTGAGTCGGTCTTCTTCATTAAATTTTAGTTCACTATTTTTCACTAATCAATTCAAAGACTCTAAGTACTTCTTTTTTATAGTAGAAGTAATAGAAGTTGGTACAAGTGGGACAAAAAATAGGACTTCTGATACTGGATCTTGCTGTAAAATAAAAGCTGCAAGTTTATTTTCACTCTTGTTGAAGCCAAAAATGGCCATTTTGGGTTAACATCAAGAATGTAAATTCCAACCAAATGAACATATTGGGGATGAAAAAATATAAGTTGATAAAACATGAAACACAACAATTTAAAGAACAAACATTTTGAAAAAATATTTAATAGTTATATTAATGAATATTTATTTTAAAATAAATTTATAATATTTGTTTTCTTTTTCTTTACATAAAAACTAAAATAGTTTTATAATTTATGCCTATTTTTCTGACACTCATGCAGGAAGTATTTTAAAGTGCATAAATAGTTACTAAAATCCAATCCATTCACAATCTTTTGAAATATTTAATTAATATTTATGTAAATTGTTTTTATCACAAGACAATAATTTTTCTCCATTTTCTTGTGTTTTGATGTTAGAGGGACACATTTTCTTTCTAGTTAATGTAATAAGAAAAGTTAATGAGAATCTATTTTTAATAAACATGTCTAAGAATAAAACATTAAAATCTGTCCCTAAGGGTTATAATTGTGAAATGTTCTAATTGCACACATAATCAATTTTGATGCACCAAAATTAATTTCAACATCAAAAAATAATATTTCTTAACTAGCCTCTTTTTTGTGTATATATATTATGTGCAATTAACTTTGGTAGACTGAGAAGATAGCTAGCTTCTGGTGAGAGTCTATTATAGTGAACTGGTCTCATAGGCACATTCCAGCTACCTGAACTGCTTAAACATCAAAACCCTCAAGGGCCAAATAGAACCAGGTACAGATTATACACCCAATTACTATTTCTAAATAATAATGAGAAGCTGATATGTCTTGCCCCAACATAACTAGTGAAATTCTGGTAACCAAGTATCATTTATATGTAGTTTATATATTCCATGGTGTTCCTCATTGGATCCCCAGAATTCTCCAGGCAGTTCTAGAGATTAGCATGTGGTCAATCCAGGCCAGCAGATACTAACTCATATGTTATAGATAATTTCAGCTGTTTAAAGCATTTCGTGATATAGAAACACTCTGGCCATCACAATCTCTTACCAAGTGGCCCCATCTCCCTCTCTAGCTTGTTGGTTTACTTTCCTACTGCTCCCAGCCCTGGGGCCCGCTGTGCTTTACTCAGCTTTATGATGAAGGCCTTCTAATTCTTCCTCCAAAACCTGGACCTCCCTCACCTTCAGGCCCTTGATACTCTTTGCAATGCTTTCTACACAGTCTTTTTGTGAGACCACCCCTTCTCATCACAGATCCATACTCACCTTCTCAGGGAGACCTTCTTTCAACATTGTCGGGGAGGAAACATTTCTCCCGTATCCTGTTGGCATCTCTGGCTGGGCCTAAGAATTAAACTGACATAAAACATATTAACAGGAGAAAAGAATACAACTTTTTTAAGACGTTGGGTGGCATGTTCTAAACTCCTTGAATATCCTACCTATGAGAGTCCGCCTCATGGCAGTGCACACAGGCTGATATATTATTTCTCCTCTGTTTCTCCCATTTAAATGTAAAGCACGTGAGATCAGAAACAGCGTATTTCCAGTTCCTTAAACTATGTTTGTCGCATGTTATTCTGGCTTACATTTGCGAATTTACATTTGCATTTACATTTGTGAATTCATAACAATGAATTTACCTTATTAGCCTCATCACTTAGATAAGCAAAACAATTAGATTTGAAAAAATAGTTTAAATATTGAAGTCATTTTACGTATATTGGTGGATATTATTTATATTCAGAATGATCCATACACACTCGATCATTGTGTGATAAATGTCAGCTCTACAAAGGTCACCAAAGAGTCACCTAATTTTTAATTACTGTTGATATTGAAAGGTTGATAAGATCAAACCTAGTCTGTGTCTCCAGACTTTCATGTTGTCAATGTGTCATAAAAACATATAGGCCATATCTTGCATTTTCTATTAATGTGACAAACACCATGCTTTTGAAGCCATCTTTTCCCAGTTGCTGGTACAGCTTAATGGCTGTAGAAAGTCTATATTTGTATCATTTTATTGTTTTTTCTTCTTTTTCTTTTTAGGTTTCAAAAATATCTTGAGAAATTACATAGAAACCGAATAATACTCAAAGAAAAAAACATTCCTCACCTTCCAATTAATGTACAAATTATACCTAAAAGGAAATTTTACAGCAGTTGATGTTTTTTATCAGCAATAATATAGCTTATCATCTGCTTTGGGGAACATAATTTGGAGAATTTATTTTCTTCCCCATTTTTTCAGGTTAACCAAGCCTAACTCTTCTTTTCAAATTACACTGAAACTTGAAGAATTAATCATTTGGGGTAGATGATGCTCCAGGGTGCTTTTGAGAATGTGAATCACCTTTAAACCCATGGTGTTGCTCTGAACATGAGGCCACCAATCCTGCCCTGAGCCATAATTCAAATTTTTCTGAGCCTTGACCACTAGTTCTAGTGACAAATGGAACAGATTCTACAAACTACCTTGCACAAATAATGCTTTTGGATTCCTTGTTGTACTCACTTGCAGAGCTAAAAGACCCATTTGTCTTCTAACCCTTAAGGACAAAAATGCATTAGTCTTTCTACTTCTAATCCAATCAGTGCCATTTTTTCTCTTGTGAGTGAATGGTTGTGCGGAGCCTCTGTCTGTCATTTTAACCACTGGCTTATGAAAGCTTTCAGTGTGATTCAGAACTCTATATTCTCCTGTAACCTTCATCACAGGACTTTAGTTGAAAAGAAAAAGGGAGATGCCTCAGAATAAAGCTGTTTTTAATCTTAGTGGTGTCTTAACTTTATATAGCACTTCAAGGAATAAAATCACTATGTTAAATGATCTATATGATAGAATAACAGGTAATATTAATTTTTACAAAATATAAAATATATTTGTTAAATTAAAATGTTCTAATTAGTTTGAATGGAAGCATAGTGTACCGGTCAAGACCATGAACTTAGAACACAGATACCTGGGTTTAAATCTCAACCAGAGCCAAGACCTCACTGTGGGGCTGTGGGCCAATTCTTTAATTATGTTGTGATGATCACCTCTGTTTCCTCAATTACGAGATGTTAATAAGAACAGTAGGTATATAAGTGACAAATTTAGGTATCCTGTGTTTCTGGATACCTCAAATATGTATCTATGTTTTACCTCATGTAGATTTTAAATTATTTACAGAAAATTTTGATGAATCAAACTGTGCCCAACGTTAGTTTGCACATACTTTGTGTCTAACAAATAACAATTGAGTGCTTGATTTTGAAATTTAAAAAAGCTAAATTTATTATTAATTTTGTCATACAAATTTTGTGCTGATCATGATAGCAGAGTTTGGCTAATTGGGAAAATATTCTTTAAAATTATAAGGGAGATGTTCTTGGTAGCCAGCCACTCCCGAACATACTTCTTATAAACTTCCAGGAAATTCTGCTATGACTGTTGCAATTAAGGGTGTATAATAAAGAACTACATTGGCAGAGTATCCCATATGTCTTTGTCTTGGTCTCAACTTAGATGGTATCTCATAATCAGGAGTTCTGATTTTGGATCCAACTTAGTACCCTCCTTAGCACTGGTTACTTCCCTCTTAACACAGTGACCAATACTTCAGGAAGAGGGAGCTAGACTAAGAGGCTATGATACAGTATAGAATGATAATAGCTACTACTGAACTGCCAAGTCAGCAGGTGATTTAATGAAAGATATATTGCATCAGACAAAAAGCAGATGCAAATCAGATTAATTAAAGAGAATGTGGAATGATAAGTTCTAGGCAAATGTTGGCATACAACATTCTAATTTTCCCATTCTATTTTGGGGCTAAAGATGATTTCATGTTTGCTCTACTATTGTTAGATGTTACTGTTCTATAAATGTCAACAAGGACAAGTCAGTTAATAGCATCCTTCTGAGTCTGCTAAGTTTCTATCTACTCTTTCTATTAATTAGAGAGGAGAGTTGAAATCTGTGAGCATGACTTTATATTTTTCTATTTTTCCTTGCAGTTATATCAGTTGTGTGCCATATACCTTGAAGTACAGTTACAAGATTTATAAACATTTAGATGTTCATGTGTTCTTATTGAATTGATAACTTTATTATTTTAAAATGACCCTCTAGGAATGTTCTTTATTCGAAATCTATTTTGTCTTATAATAATATAGCCATTCCAGGTTTCTCTTGATTGTTCTTAGCAAAATTTTAATTATATTTGCTAAATAAAAAGTTCTAATTATACTTAAAGTGAGTTTCTTGTAACAGCATATAGGTAGGCCTTGTCCTTTTTATGCAATATGACAATCTGCATTTTAATGGGCATTGAAACCGCTTAATCTAATGTATTATTGACATCTTCGAGTTTAAATAAATTTACTATCTTGCTATTTCTTTTCTATTTGTCCTACTTGTAGTTTGTATCATCTTTCCTGTTTTTTTTTGTTTGTTTTTGTTTTTTTTAAGTGCCTTATATGTATAAATCAATGATTTTTTTAACTGCTCCTTGCAGAGAAGGGCCACCCATAGGAAGTGTGCTTTGAGTAGCCCCAATGATTTTTTGTGATTCTGTTTTATCAACTTTTTTGGCTTATTAGCTAGGATGTGTATGTGTGAGCTAGGATGTGTATGCGTGTATGTATGTTTGTTGTCTTAGTAGTTGCTTCATGATTTATAATATATATCTTTAACTTTTTACAATCTACATCCAATAATATTATACCGTTTATGTGTAGTGAAAGAACCTTACAAAGATATGTTTTTATTTAAAATCCCCTGACCTTTGTACTGTTGTTCCCATGTACTGTGTGTCTATATGGTCCACAATACAATTATTTTTAAATAGCTATTACCTTCAAGCATATTTAAATAAGAAAATTATTTTACATTTAACTCTGTAATTATCATTTATGCTTTTTGATTTTCTTTATTTTCTTGTGTGGATCCAGATTTCTCTCCAGTATTTCTTGCCTCCATTTCAAACACTTCCTTCTACTGGCTATAAATTCTGTCAATAACCCTTTGTTGAAAATGTCCTTATTTCATCTATATTTTAAAATACATTTCTACTAGGTAAAGAATTCTAGGTGAACAGTTATTGTCTTCAGTACTTTAAACTTTTTGTTTCATTATCTGAAGATGCTCATATTGCATATGATAACAAATGGTTTTTTAAAAAAATTTACTTTGTGTATAATATGTATGTTTTTCTGGCTGCTTTTAAGATTTTCTTAAATATTTTGTAAAGATGTTTAAGGTTTTAAAAAGATTTTCTTAAAATGAACGACAAACACATTTTAAGCACTTTGGGTACGATAGACTTTGGTCAAATTTTGTTCATTTTGTTGTACTTCAGTTTCTTAACCTTCCTTGATTTTGGAGTTTAGTGTTTCTTCCACTTGGACAAATTTTGACTATTATTTCTTCAATTTTCTGTGTGTTTGGTCCTGTTTCTCTCCCTCTCCCTTGAGAGCTTCAATTACATATAAATCAGGCCAATAACCTGAAGTTACTCCATATCTCACTGATGCTTTTCACCTTATTCCAGTCTTTTTCTCTTTGATTTTTACCATAGATTCTATTTATTTTCAGATTAATTAATGCTTCCTCCTTCAATGTTTACGCATTTGTTTTTCCAGATAAGTGCATTTTTTACCTCAGATATTAAAGCTTTTATTTATAAATGTGTGATTTGGGACTTTTTAAATATCCGTGTCTTTAGTTACCATGAGCAGTCTTTTTGCTGGCTTCTGGGAGATATAATAATAACTATTTTAATAATTTTGCTGTTAATATCTTCATCTTTTCTGGGTCATAATTTATTGATTTTTTTCAGTATTATGAATTACCTTTTCCTTCTTCTTTACCTTACTGGTAAATCTCAACTGAATGACATATATTAAGAATTGGCATTTTCGGGGTCCTGGATACTTTGTATTCCTATAAAAAATATTTAGCTTTGCTCCAGTATGTAATTAAGAAATATGATGTATTACTCACCATATTAGTTTTTAAGTTTGTTAAGGACCAGAATAACATTTATTCCACAGTCAATTTGAATAATTATCATATTGTAAGAATATCAAAAAAACTTCAATATATTCTGTATCATGGCTCATGAATTACAGGTTCAGCATCCCAAATCTAAAACAATCTGAAATCAGAGACATTTTTGGTCCTAAGCATTTAGACTAAGGGATATTCAAACTGTATCAGGTCTCCTCTCTAACTTGTAAGAATAGGCACTATGCCGTATATTGACTACATTTACTTTTGCCTGTAATTTTTTTGGGCAGTTCTTTCCATAATTTTCTCTCTATAAAGTACTCTACTCTCTGGTGGTCTGCCCTAGGAACTCTAACTGCCTTGGTCTCTCCAGATTCCCAACTCAGTTCCAGCTCAACTCAGTGATCCTTTGCTTGACCTGGATTGCTACTCCTTATGTTGCAGCCTGGAAATTTTCTCTAACCAGTAACTAAACTGGGCTTTGCTGATGGAAAATCTAGGACATTCACTCTCAGAGATCATTTACTCTTAAAAACTTTTATTGACTCAGGATCAAGTAGAACCAAGTCTCACTTAAGATTTGACAGAGCTATCACTGTACAAAGAAATTTTTAATAAAATGTATTTTCAAAATGAATTATTGAAACTAAATGAAAGTGACAGGCTCCAGAAAAAACAAGAAAAATATGTTATTCTGAAAGCAAATGTAGCTTTTAATAGAAAACATCCAAAGATAAATTAGGATTATTCATTTAGTCAAAGAACTGCTAGGGCAATTTTAATGGCTGTTTAATCTATTAATGGCACTAAAACAGACTCTTGATAATCATTAAATCAAGGTAGTCTCAATTAAACTATAAGGATGTAGAACTAAAAAAAGGTAATATGATTTGTGCAAGGTGATATGATTTGATGCAAGAGTACTTAATTCTGTTTATTAATTCTGGGATCTGGTCTCTATAACCATATTACATAAATTACATAAATAAATGATGTTAGTGAAGACATACTTAAAAATAATCACTAGAAAATATATTATATAGATGGTTACTCAATTTATTCATATGTAGGAACTTTTATTGTATCACTGCAAACTTTTTGGGCCATTTAGAACTGAATTGCCCCTCAAGTCCCATATTTGAAAACTGATCTGACAAAAGAATTATCTAAAAACTGGAAGTAAACGCTGAGCCTACTAATTTATGCCAGCTTCAATTCTCAAAATATGCTATGTTCTTATTGCTAAGTCTAAGTGAGAACAGGTGTATTTAATTTGTATTTATTTCAGAACAGACGGCAATGTAATTTGTCATGCAAAATATCTATTATAGTGTCATTGTGTTATATGGCTGTTATATAGACTTTGTGATCTGGACTAGCTAATGACAGTAGAAAGATTTAGCTAAAGATATAGTCATATACATGATATGTTTCTAAAGGAACTTGACTGAGAAGTGACCTCTTTCCTTTATTATTAGAATTTATTGACATTTTTTCATGCCACATTCAGCAATTTCATTTGTTTAAATGCAAGCTATATTCATACACTTTATTCCATTTTTTAATAATTTGAAAAATATTGTTATGAATTTCAAAAGTTGCTCATAATTTTTATAAATTACTATCATATAGCAGTCTATTCTTAAACAATAGACATAGAATTCTGTATGGACACAAATACTATTTTTCTACTTATTAGGTGTTATTTCTACTTCATATGCTAACATTCTGAAAAACAGTAAATGACCTCTTGATACATTAAACTTTTTTTAACATCAAAGATTTTCCAATAAACTTTGTGCCTCTTAAAGGAATAATTTCAACATGCTAACTAATTTTCATAATTGTAAGCTGTCCAAGATAGCAGAAAGTGCCTGTTAGATTCTCAGAATATATCCTTTGTAGTCTCTGCCATTTATTTGTTATTTGACTTGAGGCTCTTTGAATTGATCAAACTGTATCTAGTTGTTCACAAAAGGCAGTTGGAATTGCATTAACTGTGACAACTCTCTGAAAGGGTGGTTTCTAGAATAAAATTATGTAGAATGGATAAAGATGTATTGAAAGTCACAAAATTTTTTCAAATTAACACTGACTGAGAAAAATGAAGTGTCATTGTTACTTGCAGAGGTTAGTGTATTGAAACTGGAGAGAAGAAAAATGAAAGCAATTGTCATATCACAAAGAGAATTTTGATTCTGATCATTTTATGTTATCTGGTCAAATTTGGGTATTTCAAAAGAAAAACTCTCTACAGTGTCTTAATTATGTTATAAAGTGTACAGAGCAGCTCAGCTTGTTCCCACATTAGTTTCTATTTATGGTGCATTACAGAATTCTGCCATATTATGTTGAAGACTCAAAAAGAGCATTGATAACACATCACTTAAATGTGACACCTTAATATTGCCTTCTTATTGCTAAAAGTGCTCATAAAAATTTGATGAGATTAAATTGGTACCTTTTTACTTACTTTGGCTATTAAATTCAATTGATATTTGATCTTTTTATAGAAAGAAAGGAGGCAAAGTATAACTTTCAATGGTTTCCCCCCACCCGCCGAGGACTAATAACACTTGGAAGAAAGATTCAACACAACTAAACAAATTGGATGCAGCAAGAAAATCTCTTTCCTTGCCTTAATATCAAACACTACTCCAGGTGCAGCAAAAGCTTAAGTGTAGTAGGTTTAGCCCTGTAGCTCCACTTCCACTCAGAAGTTTTAGAGAAAAATTATAACTGGATGACACAGTACTCATTTTCCTTCTTATTCCCTTCTTTCAAAATGTACAGCTTACTTCATCACAGCCTCATCATTAGAGCATTTCCTTATGCATTACCTGTAGTCATCTCCTTGGTACTATTCAAAAGATGAACAGTTTACTTATCTCTCCCTTATAAGATCTAGTTATTCACTGAGAAATGTTCCTTAAAAATACTTACAGGATGAATGAGAACAAGTTATGTGAAAATACATAAGTTTCATTTAACCTCAACATCAAAGGGTATGTTGAAATCAAAGAAATTTTAAACGCCAAATAGTTATTATAAAATACATGTTTGAAAGCCCCTTGAGAACTTCATAAAATCAAGAAAGAGGAAATGGATGAGTCCTTAGCAACTCACAGAGCCAGTTTCACAACCTCCTGGCCTTGTGGCTTAGCTATACGAAATAGATGAAAAATAGAAAGCTTTTATTCATCACTCATGTTGTTCTCCAACTAAAGTCCTTTAAACAGAGAGGAAATGCAAATCCAAGTTGCCTTCTGTAAAAAAAAAAAGTCTGCAAACTGACATTTCAATGTCTTTATACATTGACCTCTAAAACAGTATAAAGTAATAAAAACTGTTGGGTGAAGGATAAAGACAAGCAATAGCTTTATAACATATTCATAAAAGATGCCACAATACTGCCATCTACAGCTTCAGTATTTGCCATTTTTAGATATTACAATGCATGTTTCGTATTTTAAAATAAGAAGAACATGTGACTTGAGTTGTGTGAACATGTGATATGAGTTGAGGGTCATGTTGGGTGAACTGCTGTTAATAAAAGTATAAGTGGATTTCAGGATGGAGATGAAATGTTAACAATGAACAAATCAATTTATAATTATTTACATACAACTGTAATTGAGGTTATTTATAATGTTTAAAATTAGTATGAAATTTACACCACCATTCTACATATTTCAGTTTTGATAATGGTCTGCTTGAAGAAAAGGAAAGAGAAAAAAGGAGACTCCAAAATCTTTTTCTTGTCAAAGAGACACACCAAGAAGATTGTCACTGCTCCTGTTTCTTTCCAAAGTCATTGATTGCCCTTGACCTTAATACAGCCTCACATTAAGATCTATGGAGATGAACAGACTGTATTAGAAACTAATCTACTTTCAGAATTCTAGTGTCTTCTCAGACCCTGTATTGAAGATCTGGGATCAAACCTCACCACCATTTTCAGCTCCTGAAATACAAGGGTAAAAGACCTCGGTGAGAAATCATGCAAGCAGCCTTTCAATTCTAAATTAAACACCCTTTTTTGTTTGCTTTGTTTAACGGACGTGATAGAATAAATTTTCTGGTTAAATCTTATTATTTATTTTTTGTTTTTGTTTTTCGAGATTTAGTCTCCCTCTGCCACCCAGGCTGGAGTGCAGTGGTGCAATCTTGGTTTGCTGCAACCTCCACCTCCTGGGTTCCAGGGATTCTCCTGCCTCAGCCTCCCAAGTAGCTGGGATTAAAAGGCATGCGCCACTGCATGCCACTATTTTTTTTTTTTTTTTTTTTTGGATTTTTAGTAGAGAGAGAATTTCACCATATTGGCCAGGCTGGTCTCAAACTCCTGACCTCAGGTGATCTGCCCACCTTGGCCTCCCAA
Source organism: Homo sapiens (assembly GCF_000001405.40). Classification (NCBI taxonomy): domain Eukaryota; kingdom Metazoa; phylum Chordata; class Mammalia; order Primates; family Hominidae; genus Homo; species Homo sapiens. Next base: position 24,760,793 of record NC_000021.9, read on the forward strand.
AGTGCTGGGATTATACAGGCATGAGCCACCGCGCCTGGCCAAAAATAGACTTTATTTCTTAGAGCAGCTTTTCTATCCAAAGGTAAATGCTATTTTGCTATTTTATTCTTGTTTTGTTTTTAGTGAGAGTGCATATTGTACCACTCTTGCTTTGTTTTATTTGGCTGAATCTAAGGGGCAGATTGGCCTATACTACCCTTTGACTGTGCTGATTCTGTCTAGTAGGACAGGATAACAATGACTTGCTACTATACAGAGAACTCACTAAGGAGAATTCTTTTAACTTGTATTTTAAGTTCAGGGCTACAAATGCAGGTTTGTTCCATAGGTAAACTTGTGTCATGGGGGTTCGTTGTACAAATTATTTCATCACACAGGTATCAAGCCTAGTAACTATTAATTATTTTTCCTGATCTTCTTTCTCCTCCCACCCTCCAATCTCCAAAAGACTCCAGTGTGTGTCGCTCCCTTCTGTGTGTCCATGTGTTCTCATCATTTAGCTCCCACTGATAAGTGAGAGAATATGCGATATTTGGTTTTCTTTTCCCGTGTTAGTTTGTTAAGGATAATGGCCTCCAGCTCCATCCATGTCCTTTCAAAGAACATGATCTTGTTCTTTTTTATGGCTGTATAGTATGCTATGGTATATATACACCACATTTTCTTTATCCAGTCTATTATTGATGGGCATTTAGGTTGATCCTTGTCTTTGCTATTTTGAATAGTGCTGCAATGAACACATGTGTGCAAGTGTCTTTATAATAGAATGATTTATATTTCTTTGGGTATATACCAAGTAATGGCATTTCTGGGTCAAATGGGATTTCTGTCTTTAGGTCTTTGAGGGATCGCCACACTGTCTTCCAGGATTACCCAGCATCTATAAGGAGCTTAAACAAATTTACAAGAAAAAACACACACATTAAAAAAAGTGGGCAAAGGATGTGAACAGACAATTCTCAAAAGAAGCCATACATACGGCCAACAATCATGCGAAAAAAAAGCTACATCACCGATCATTAGAGAAAAGGAGAACTTTTGCATATGCCTCACTCTATTGAAATCTCGTAATGTGGTTAATATTTTGTTTGTTTTTCATTAAAATTTCTATTGCTCTGGTGTTGCTGAATTTGGATAAATAACTTAGACACATCAAAGAGATTAGTCTGACAATTTTTATGTTAAGAATTATGGAATGTATTGATGGTTGATTGTCCATGTATTTCTGATCAAATAGTCAGAACACCTAAAAGACAGGCAAAGTTTCAGTATAGAAAACCAGGAAAACTGATCAATGATGAAAACAATATGGCAAAGCAATAACCATAGAAATAGACCCACTGAATGTTTCTCCCTGTCAGAAATCAGTGTTTCAATAAGCACAGGGCAGCCATTACTCTCCTTTGAAGAATCAGGCTCAGCTACTTCATCCCTTCCCTACTTCTCCATTCCCCGCTCAGAGAGGGTAACATGCCTCTGAAATGGTTAAGATTAAGCAAGGCAATATGCCCTTAGGAACAAATAAGCAGAAGCAAATTGCCACACACTTTGTGGCTTAAAGCAGCAAAAATAACAAATACACATTTCATTGTAGTTCTGGAGGTCAGAAATTCAAAGCAGGTCTCACTGAGCCAAAATCAAGGTGTTAGGAGGCATGGGTTCTTTTTGGAGGCTCTAGCAGAGAATCTAGAGTTTCCTAGACTTTTCCACTTTCTAGAGGCCACCAGCATTCACTGGCTCCTGGTGTATTCCTTCCTCAATTCAAAATGTATCACTCCACTTTGCTTCCTTTGTCATATCTCTTTTCTCTAATCTTTATATTTTTGCCTCCATCTTATAAGGAATTTTATGATTACTTTGGGCCAATCTGGGAAATCTAGGATAAAATCTGGAGCACACTGGTTTGATCATGGCTCACTGTAGCCTCAAACTCCTAGGCTCAAGCAATCTTCCTGCCTCAGCCACTGAGTAGCTAGGACTATGGGCATGCACCCCCTTCACCTACCTAATTTTGTGTGTTTTGTAGAGATGGGATCTCCCTATGTCACCCAGGCTGGTCTGAACTCCTGGCCTCAAGCAATCCTCCTGCCTCAGCCTCTCAAATTATTGGGATTACAGGCATGAACCATTGCACCCAGCCTCAAGATATTTAATTTAGTCATCTGTAAAGTTCCTTTTCCATATAAGGTAACATATTTACAGATTCTGGGGATTGGGACATAGATATTTTTGAAGGAGTGAGTGGGGCAGTGCTGTTAGAAATATTCAGTTTGCCACAAATGCTAGTCACATGCAAGGGACGTAGCTTCCAGTGACAGTTTTGCAACACTTAATAGTCTCGGACACAGTGAACATTAAAAACTCTATTTTTCCTTCACTATCACAATTCTGCAATAACTTCCAATACATAGGAAAGGTGCCAAAATAATTATTATGGAATAAAATATCTTCTGTGAACTCACAATGACTGAAATTTACCATTTTAGGTTATTCTCTTCTGCTTTCCTTGTTTTATTCACAAAAGCATTTATTTTTCCAGTTCTTGAAAAGTGCCAAGTTCTTTCCCTTCTTGGTGCCTTCACATATAATTAATTTTCTGCACCGCCGAAGTCTTATAGCCGAATCCACTTTTTAATAGAATATTTAATGCCTTATGGTCTTCAAGCTTTTGTGTGTGTCTGACTTTGCATCATCACTATAAGGTGGACAAGGGAAATATCCTGAACACTGAGTTAATTGCTGTTCCTCTAAAAACAAATAAATAAATACAAACAAAAAAAGCTGTTTTGTAGTAAATTGTGAATTTGTTTTAAATTTTCAAAATGTGTAAATTCATGATTAATGTAAAACTAGCCAGGCGCGGTAGCTCACGCCCATAAATCCCAGCAGTCTGGGAGGCTGAGGCATGCGGATCACCTGAGGTCAGGAGTTAGAGACCAGCCTGACCAACATGGAGAAACCTTGTCTCTACTAAAAAATACAAAATCAGCTGGTCGTGGTGGCGTACACCTGTAATCCCAGCTACTCGGGAGGCTGAGGCAGGAGAATCGCTTGAACCCAGGAGGCGGAGGTTGCAGTAAGCCAAGATTGTGCATTGCATTCCAGCTTTGGCAAAAAGAGTGAAACTCTGTCTCAAAACAAATTAATAAATAAAAATAAAAAAATTAAAACATCCAAACAATGCGAATATATTTAAATAAAAAGTGTAATATCAACATCAGCCCCTCCAATCCTAACCTCTCTCCAAAGGTTTACACTTTGTAGCTCAAAGCAGGAGTCACCCAGGTATCTCACTTTTTCAGTGGGATTTTACATTGTCTCTGCAATGCTAGGATTGCAGCTCCTGGTTGTCAAAGGGAGAATTCACCAGGAACATGGCAAGGGTTTCAATGAACTCCAAACTATAAATGTTTGCAAAACACTGTAGAATTCTTGTAGCTGGGAAGTAGCCAGCTTGAATAGAAATTGCCGTTCATTGAGGGATAGTTGACTCTGGTCAACAGGTGGTAGTTGGTTTGCTTTTACAAAAATGAGAGCAGAGAGAAATATGTATGGAGCCATGTCACTATTGGTCCCTCCTAGCTCTTCACTGATCCATTATAATGGTGAATGGATATGAGCAGCAACCCTTCCTGAAAGGAACACGGCTTCCATTGACTCAATAATGATGGCTGGTGTCACACTAATGAATAGTTCACTAAAAACTACCAAAGTGAAAGCAAAGGGCAAGAATAATTTAGAATGAATAGTATAGGAGAGAGAGAGAATGAGTACCAGTTGCAAGCTGGAGACCGTCTGCAGAGATGGAGCCTATATTTCATTCTATTAATCTCCCTCTTCTAAATTTTCTTACAGGAAGAGAAGTCTCCAGCAGCCATGGAGGAGCTATTCTCTAACACTGCTTAGAAAGTGGATCTGTGTGGCCCAAGTGGTAGACTGTGCTCACCAGGAAAACAAGTACTCAGATCTACTGCTTCTGGGAAATCTGCATAATTGACCAATGGCCTCAGTGCTACCCCACTGTTATAAAATGCACAGGAGACAAGGACTAGAAAGAGAAACCTTCAACATATATAAGACATGTTTTTCCTTCCAGACATTTGCCAGGTTATGAAGCCACATGTGGTTAAAATCTAATAAGCTAAACTCAAAATATGCAAAGGCTAGAACTTCCAGGAAGATGTAACAAAGATCTGCCAAGTCCAGTGAAGTTGATACCTCAGTGGTCGTGGGCTGGACCTGAAAGGCAGTGTGAAATATTGAGAGGCATAGTCCTCCTTAAAGCAGAACCCTGCAGCATGTATACCAAAGTCACATCTTCAAAGCTAATCGCTGTGACCTGTTATTGAAACAGACATTTTACTATGACATTGAGGTGACCTCTCATGCCTTTCACCTGTTAACACAGGAGTGGACAGATACTCACAGGAAATAAATAATGAACTCAGTAGAAAAAAAGACCTATGAACTGAAAGAGAATACAATAGAAATTATATTTAGTAAAGCACAAAGAGAAAAATGAGTAACAAGAAGAGAACTTTCTATATGATGCATATGGAACACAGTCAAGTAAAGACTAAGCAGAGCATCATAACAGCCTATATGTGGAAACTTCTCTATTCATTTATTACATTACATTTGTTTGTATCCTTTAATTGTACCCTTACTTTTTATCCTGTCAGCTTTATTCTTTCTGGCCAGTATCATTTATGTAAAAATTGATAGGTAGGACTGGCTGGGCGCAGTGGCTCACGTCTGTAATGCCACCACTTTGGGAGGCCGAGGCAGGCGGATCACCTGAGGTCAGGAGTTTGAGACCAGCCTGGCCACATGGTGAAACCCTGTCTCTACTAAAAATAAAAAAATAATAAAAATAAAAAAAATAGCTGAGCATGGTGGCGGGTGCCTGTAATCCCAGCTACTTGTGAGACTGAGACAGGAGAATCGCTTGAACCTGGGAGGCGGAGTCGCAGTGAGCCAAGATCATGCCACTGTTTTCCAGCCTGGGAGACAAGAGCAAAACTCCATCTCAAAAAAAAAAAAAATTAATAGGTAGGACTAACCAGATGTATTTCTATCAATATTATTTTTAATATTTTTCTTTTTAATCAAAATTTAAAAGTAAAAATATGCATAGGGAAAATGAGACTAGTATTTATTTATTAGCTATTTAATTTCTACCAACTCTATTAAATCTTTTGGAATGTCTTAAAGTATAATTTATATTTTAGTTTGGATAAAGACATAGCTATATATTAACATGAATATGAAGTTATATATTGATTTATATTATATTTCCTATAAAATCACATAATACATAGTAAGAATGTATAAGATGATACAAGTCAAATCATGGATGCTTGGAGATCTTGTGATGAAGCCTGTTCTTCCCTTGGTAGCTGGGCATGATGTGGCCCATCTTCATGCTAGGCCAGCATTCCCTTGCTTCTGTATACCTAATTTCTCCTTCTCAGATGCACTCCCAACAATGTATGCAGAAAGCTAAAAAAATGAATGAGTGTAGTTAATAAGATGCTATTGAAACTGAGCCCCAAATCTAGCTCTGAGCACAATGATAGCTAAAACTTAAGGAGAGGCAGATCAAATAGATTTCATCACCAAAGCACAGAAGCATATTTGTTCAACAACAGAGCTTTGCATTTACAAAAGAGAAAAGAGCATGTTTGGGGTAATTTATTTTGAAATTGCTCTGTCAAAAGCTAATTTCATTTTGTTCCATGAGGCCAATTTGGCTCATATGTTTGTGCTTTGATAAAGGCATAGGAATAATATTAAAATTGTTGCAACTCTACGGAGATTATAAAACTTTCTCAAGGCAAATTTCTTGTCTCTGGAAAGAAAGAATGGTGAATAATGAATGACGGAAATTTGAAAATGAATTCGTTCAACAAACACTTATTGAGTGAATGCTGTGTGCCCGATGCGTTAAGTCTAAATCATCTAGTGCTGCAGTGAGTGAGCCAGGGTGAGAAAACAATGAAAAGAGCAGACAGGTTGTTATTCAAAATGTCTTTTTTTTTCTCCATGCAATGTTTCAAATTTGGAGAGTCATAGTTTGTTATTGATCCATCAAATATTATGAACTATAAGACCCCAATATACAGTGGCTTAAAAATAGAGATATATTTACCTCTCACCTAACATACCAGGGCATTTCCAGGTTTTATAGTAGCTTAATCATGTCAGGAAACCACACTTCTTTCATCTTCTACTCCTCTATCCCTATAGGCCTTTGCCTATCATGTGAAAAAGAGTGTTAACCAGTGGGAAAAATAAAAAAGAAAAAAGGGAAGAGTAATTCATATCATTTGAATTAAATAACCTAGAATTTGCACACATCATTTCTGCTTCTATCCTTTTAACCAAAATAGGAAGTTACGGAACACCTACTGAAGGAGCTGGGCATAGAGTTTTGCTGGGTAGCCAGGCAGGTTATTCTTCCCACAAATGAAAAACACTCATTTTTAATGCAATAACACAGGGATCTGTGTTACAGGGTAACACGCAGATCTATTCATTCACTATCGCAAGGTAAATCCCACAATTTTTTTTTTTTGATAAGTAATTCCACTAGGGGTTTTTATTTTGGTTTTTTTTTTTTTTTTTTTTTTTTTTTTTTTTTTTTGGACAGAGTCTCGCTTTTCACTCTGTCACCCAGGCTGGAGTGCAGTGGCATGATCTCGGCTCACTGCAACCTCGTCCTCCCAGGTTGAAGCAATTCTCTGGCCTCAGCCTCCCGAGTAGCTGGGACTACAGGCACGTGCCTCCATGCCCGGCTAATTTTTTGTATTTTTTTTAAGTAGAGACAGGGTTTCATCGTGTTTGCCAGGATGGTCTCAAACTCCTGACCTCGTGATCTGCCCGCCTTGGCCTCCCAAAATGCTAGGATTACAGGCGTGAGCCACCGCGCCCGGACACCAGCAGGTTTTTGACTCATGGGCTAAATCAAATCCTCTCCGATATAAAATATAATAGAGAATAGGAATATGGTCACTACCATAATACTCTCATTTGGAAAATGGAAGAATAAGAAACAAACATCCTCTTTTCTAAAGTAAATTAATACATACATGTGAAAAGTATCTGCTCTGCTACTCAAGAGATTTTCCTTGATGAATATTTATGGCAGTTCTGGGTTTCGCTCTCTTGAACGTTTTTCTCTGCTTAGAAACTTCTTGGCCACATCTGAGATTGGACTGAGAAAGAAAAATTATGTCCTTAAAACCTGCCTAACATTTACCCAAGTCATTGTAGTTTGTTGTTCATTTATTTAGGTAATAATACACTTGCTGCAAAACACACAGCAGGTTTTAAGTTTTCTTGCTTCTAATAAGTTTTGTGTGAAAATGATTAAACAAAGATTATATCTTTACATAGTTGGTTTGTTTTGTTGTCTGTTAATCTTTGAAATCTTGTTTGTTTTCTGGTGTTTACTGGCCACAGAACCTGCCATTTCTATCAATATAATGACAACTACTTTAAAGCAGGGCCTCAAAATGAGAGTTAGAGATGAGACACCACTTTGGAGGGATAGATTAGAAAAATAAACTTCGCTGGTGCTGCCGCGCTCCCCCAGGCATTAACTTAGCGAGTGGATAGTGCTTTTGTGAGAAGTAGATGCTCCTATCTCTAGGCACAGCCAGCTTCAGTACATGTTGAATAAAGCTGAAGCAATGTTTCAGCCCTAGCCTGCTGCCTTCACTGGCAGCCTTTTAACAGTGTAGTTCGGCTGTGCAGACTGGACTTGCATTAAAGCATTCTGGTGCAATAAACCTGAGTGGTTAACGAATGTCCTTAATTTGATACTCGCAGTTGGACTGGCTTCCAAAGTCTAGCTGCAGAGGTAGAAAAAGCTTGAGGAAGAATGTTGGCTTCTGATCATGCTGCCTCTTTAGAAGCAAGCCAACTCTACGTAATAAAAGTTCTTCTCTGGTAGATCTTTACTAAGCGGAAAATATTTCGTGCTTTTTCAATTATTTCTGCTCAACAATCAAGCTATGTTGGTCTACCTTCCAGGGATCACTGGCGACATTTTTGCTATGACTTACCAAAGGTCATCAACTTCAGCAATAGTAGCTGTGAGTCCTTGTTCAGTCTTTTCCCTGTTCTGTTAGGGTAACACATTGTTTTGGGGTTTTTGGTTGTTGTTTTTGTTTGTTTGTTTTTTGCTTTGAGATGGAGCCTCACTCTTTTGCCCAGGCTCGAGTGCAGTGGCGCGATCTCGGCTCACTGCAACCTCTGACTCGCAGGTTCAAGCGATTCTCCTGCCTCAGCCTCCTGAGTAGCGGGGATTACAGGCATGCACCACCACAACTGGCTATTTTTGGCATTTTTAGTAGAGATGAGGTTTGGCCATGTTGGTCAGGCTGGTCTTGAACTCCTGGCCTCAAGCAATCCACCCACCTCGGCCTCCCCAAGTGCTGGGATTACAGGCATGAGCCATCGAGCCCGACTGTTTTTGGTCTTTGTCCAGCATTTTCCTACATCTTTGTACCAAAATCCTTATGGTTAGAATGCAGGCTAAGCTGCTTGTATAAAGGACCACAAAACACAGTGACTTGAACAGTATATAAATTTGTTTCTTTTTTATGTGACAGTCACGTTAGGTGGACAAAGGCAAGCAGGAAAACTTAATGTTGTTAGAGAGGAAGATTATCTGTAGAATGGGTTGACAATCCACCGGGTTAAGGCTAACTCATCACACTATGTTGCAGTCTGTAACAGGGAAACGAAATGTGAAGATACAGCTTTTTCCTCCTTCCTAAAGACCCTTCCCAGAAGTTGCACACGTCTCTTCTGCTTCAATGCAAGACTAGAAATTATAGTCTGTAGTATGTAGTAAGAATATTAAAATATTCTTAGTAATAATAAAAATGGATAGATGTTGATGTAACCAACACCTTCTTTTAATAGAGTTTTGAATGTTTATTTTAAATATTTATAAGAATACAACTGAGGAAGCTAAAGGGTAGTTCATTTTTAAGTTATTTTATAGGTTATGTTGCCAGGTATTACATTAATAAAGCATGTAACAAAGCACTAATGACACTTTTTCTTCAAAGTTATTTTCAAATAGAATTTTGAGGAAAAAGACCATTTTTCATTAAGCATGTAAAGACAAATATGTATAAACAATGAATGATATTCAACAAAATATTATGCAAAGACTTGAATAGAAATGAATGAGATGATCTGTTGGTAGTTGAGTATCTCTAGGCAACCTTCTTTTTATACCTCTCCTGCATCATGCCACCTTTTGTATCCCTCCATCAAAAGAAGCTGATTATCTGATTAATGTCCCATAAATTCGAAGTTGTTATTATAAATGACCTGAAATCAGGCAAAAAATATATATAGAGACAAATTATATTAAACATACTAGCAATGAATTATCTTCTGCTATAGTTGAATGTAAGTTTAAGAAAATATTAAAACATTCATAACAGAAAATAAATCTTTAATTCCTCTTGTTTCATAAAACACATTTTAAGTGCTTAAACTTATAATTAAGCATGTACTTTAGCCGCAGAGAAATATTACAACTACTTGATTATAAAAAAACAAAATTGTAGTTGTGTTGCACTTAAATTCTGAAGCTGATTATTTTTATCGGTTACAATCAGCAAATAAGCTCAAAATGTTTTACAGGAGACTGCAGGTTAGTTTCTTCTTTGTCTAAATAAGAAATGTCTCAATGTCGAGGTCAACTTTTAAATACTTGACTATTGGCACTCTCATGAGTCAAGTATGGAGTGAAAGAAGTGAACGGTATCGTTGGTCTGCATTGTGAATATTTAACAATACTTTTATTTCACATTTGATTGCTAATCATATTTTTAGGTTGAAAGTTCAGTTTTAACTCTTTAGCGTAACATAAATTAGGTGAGTTAATATAGATAGAAGATTTAGAGCAGTGTCTGATACAAAACATTAAATAAATATCAGCTTTTCTGTGTGTCTTATAAATGTTGCTCTATAAGTGTTTACGGAATATATTTAGAATATTTCATTTAATTTGTTTCTCATAAAAAGACAGTATATCTGTAATTTTTTTCAATGAATTATTTTCAATATCAGTTTCAATTAGTAGCTTGATATTTGTCTTACAAAAACCCTTCTTGTTTAGTCAATTCAAAGAGTGAAGTCTACTTTATTACCACTCTACTTCAACTTTACTACTGGTGTCTTTTACTTTGCCTTACATACTTATGGAACCACACTAGTAAGTTGTGGGTAATTGCCTGCTTAAAATGTATAAATTAACTTTTCAAAAGTCATCTTTATTTGTGAAGTTCAGGCCAGCATAATCGTTAATTGCAAACTTTGAAGCCGATTGTCTCAGTTGGCCACTCCCTAACAGGTGAACAGTGCTTGTGTTTACAGGGTGTCTAGAGTAGAGTTAACTTACTAATTTTTCCATTTATATCCAACATATGTCAACCATATGCTAATATAATTTCTATAATGGCTATTTTGGGAAAAGAAAATATATAATACAGAATATAAAACTGATTACTTACCAAAATCTCATAATCATCATCACTTTAGAGAAGCGATTGGTTTTTGATTTCCAGTATGCACTCATCTATTACTAACCAAATTTCAGTGAGGACAATTCCAGGCACTGCCTTAATTTTTTTTAATTAAAATCCTCATTTTACTGGATACCAAAGAAAAGGAAATATGTTGATGTGTTTAGAAGCTTTAAACTAAAATACCTACTTAAATGAGTATGTAGAAAAATGTTATAAAAGAGAGCATCTGACTTGAACTACTGCTTCAATCAATAATCAATTTCTGTAATTACTTTAAATCATTAAAACAAGGAAGAAAAGACACAAGCAACTGTATGTATTACACATTTCAAAGCAAGATGTTTAGTAACAGAAAATAACCTTGTAGTACTAAATTCAGATTGATAATTTTTGAAATGCATTTATGAAACTTACAAAATTTAAAATCTTTGTAAGAAAAATAACCATGTAATGAGTATTAAAATTATAGTCATGATATAAGATAGAATATTTCATGCTGAAGGTGGAAATTTTTTTTGTTTTGTTTTGTTTTGCTTTGAGACAGAGTCTCGCTCTGTCTCCCAGGCTGGAGTGCAGTGGCACAATCTTGGCTCACTGCAACCTCCGCCTCTCAGATTGAAGCAATTCTCCTGCCTCAGCCTCCCGAGTAGCTGGGATTACAGGCCTGTGCCACCACGCCCGGCTAATTTTTGTATTTTTAGTAGAAACACGGTTTCACCGTGTTGGCTAGGCTGGTCTCGAACTCATGAACTCAAGTGAATCCACCCACCTCAGCCTCCCAAAGCGCTGGGATTACAGGCATGAGCCGCCGTGCCTGACCTGAAGGTGGAAAAATTACCTTTTGGGTACAATGTTCACTATTCAGGCGATGGGTACGCTAGAAGTCCAAACCCCGATACTATCCAATATATCCATGTAACAAACCTGCACATGTTGCCCATGAATCTATGAAAATAAAAAATAAAAAAAATCTAAGACTATTTTATGCTATTCTTGTGTAGGAGGCAGAATAATAGTCCTAAAAAATACTCACTTCCTAATCCCCCAAAGTGTAAATATGTTACCTTACCTGGGATGAGGGACTTTGTAGATGTGATTAAATTAAGGTTCTTGAATTGGTGAGATTGTCCTGGATTATTCCTGTGGGTTCAGTATAATCACAAGTGTCTTTACACATGTAAATGAGAGACGGGAGAGTCAGAGGAAGACATGTGAGCACCGAAACAGATTGCAGAGATGTGGCTGTGACCTGGGAGCCATGAGCCAAGGAGTGTCGTGCCTTTAAAAGCCGGAAAAGGCAATGACACAGATTCTCTCCTAGAGTCCCCAGAAGGAATGCAGCCCTGCGGACACCCACTTCAAGTCTAGTGAGACCCATTTTGGACTTTTAACCTCCAGAAGTGTAAGATAATAAAGCTGTGTTGTTTTAAGCCAGGGAGTATATGGTAATTTGTTACAGAAGCATTAGGAATCTACGGTCTCTGACACATTTACAGAATTCAAGAAGCCTGAGGTCTAATTTAAGAAATACTATTAATCTTTTCTCTACTCATTTTCTTCAACTGCCAAGTGAGTATTGTAATGCCAGTCTTACATACCTCACATCATTATGTAAAGATAACATTAATGTTTAAAATAACGCATTACTTTTTCTATAGTTTAAATAGCTTGCTCCCATAACGCATTCACTCAACAAGTATTAATGGAGTTCCATCTAGATTCTCTCGACCCTGGGGATAAAGCACTGAACAAACATTCACAACAAACATTCACAACTTCCTGTGATTATGAAATATATATTCTAGTGGTAGGGAAGTGCATAAACAATAAATATGTAGTGTGTCAGATGATGATTAGTGCACTGGAGGAAAAGAAATGATAAAAAGACGTAGAAAATGGGGAGCTTTAATTTAAGCTGGAGTCATTCTGAAAAGTCTCAGTGATGGGGGAATTTGTGTAAAGACCTCAGTGAGGTGAGAGAGTGTGAGTCTCATGTATATTTAGGGGTAGGTGTTCCAGTCTCCTCAAAGGTCTTCTGACTGACATGTGTCTGAACTATGGGGAGGCTAATGTGTGTGGAAGGAAGTTACAGAGGGAGCCTCCCATGGCAGGAGATGAACGCAGAAGATAAGCAGGAGACTAATGGAGTTACAGGAGATAATTATGGGCTTCCTTTGTCTTTGTTAGGACTTCAGTTTTTACTCTGTGAGAGAATGGATGTCCTTGGGGTATTGAGCAGAAGAGTAACATGATTGGAAATAAGTTTTTAAAAGATGCTTTCTAGCTGGTATGGTAAGAAATACCTGAGGTTGGGAGGAGACGAGGTAAAAGAAGATTGCAAAAATGCAGGTCATTGATCTTGACGGCTACGACCAAGGTGGTATTAGTAGAGGTAGTGAGATGTTGTTCAATTCTAAATATAATTTGGAGGTAGAGATTATGCAATTTGCTGATGCATTGGATGTAATATATCAAAGAAGAAAGGAGTCAAGGATGTTATCAAAGCTTCCAGACTGCACAGCTGAATTGAGGGTGTTTTCCCCAGCTCAGATGGGCAAGACTGAAGGAAGGATAGTTGGGAATGAGCAAGTGTTTTGTTTTGGATAAGTTAAGCATGAAATGCCTGTCAGCTATCCAGGTGTGGATGTTTTGATGGCATTTGCGTATGCCAGTCTGGGTTTCATGAATAGAGTCCAGGCTGGAAATAGAAATCCTCCTGCACAAATTATTGCACTTATTAATTACAACTTTGTCAGATTTTCTAAGTAAAATTTAAATGCAGTAGTATCTATAATTTTTACAGCAATTTTATGTCCCACTATTTAAGAGGCTGGAGCCAATATTGCCATAATGTGATATTATGCAATGATACTCAGGTAAATAAACTCTCTGCAAAAAAAAAAAATAATATTAACCTATAATTATTTTTGAAAATCATTCATATTGGATTTTTCGAAAATGCATATTGATTTCAACATTCAGGTAAAGTGAAACAGAAAGTGAAAGACACTCAAGATATGAACTACTTACTTATTGTAATGAGGATGCTGATTTTGCATATTTTTATAATTAAACTATACAAATCATCTCATTATTTAAATACAGATTCCTTCTTAAAATATGAAGTCCACTTTGTTTTATTTACATTATGTGAGGCTCATAAAACACTTTGGAAAACTACTTCTTGAGACACGGCATTAAAGACTAAGTGGCAAAGTAAATAAGGATTATATCCCTATAATTATTCTGGATATATTTTTTAAATCTATCAAAAAAGGGAGGAGGGTCATCATTAATTTTTTTTAATTTGCTTTTAACATATATTGTCTTTTTTTATTATTATACTTTAAGTTCTAGGGTACATGTGCACAATGTGCAGATTTATTACATATGTATACATGTGCCATGTTGGTGTGCTGCACCCATTAACTCATCATTTGAATTAGGTATATCTCCTAATGCTATCCCTCCCCCCTCCCCCCACCCCACGACAGGCCCCGGTGTGTGATGTTCCCCTTCCTGTGTCCGAGTGTTCTCATTGTTCAATTCCCACCTATGAGTGAGAACATGCGGTGTTTGGTTTTTTTGTCCTTGCGATAGGTTGCTTAGAATGACGGTTTCCAAATTCATCCATGTCCCTACAAAGGACATGAACTCAGCCTTTTTTATGGCTGCATAGTATTCCATGGTGTATATGTGCCACATTTTCTTAATCCAGTCTATCATTGATGGACATTTGGGTTGGTTCCAAGTCTTTGCTATTGTGAATAGTGTCACAATAAGCATATGTGTGCATGTGTCTTTATAGCAGCATGATTTATAATCCTTTGGGTATATACCCAGTAATGGGATGGCTGAGTCAAATGGTATTTCTAGTGCTAGATCCCTGAGGAATCACCACACTGTCTTCCACAATGGTTGAACTAGTTTACAGTCCCACCAACAGTGTAAAAGTGTTCCTATTTCTCCACACCCTCTCCAGTACCTGTTGTTTCCTGACTTTTTAATGATCGCCATTCTAACTGGTGTGAGATGGTATCTCATTGTGGTTTTGATTTGCGTTTCTCTGATGGCCAGTGATGATGAGCTTATTGTCTTACAAGAAGAAGAATGAATTTCAGTATGTTTCCTTTGTTACCATAGCTGCTATAATTCACAGAACAAAATTTAATGTGCAACCAAATAGAGAAAGTTTCAAAGAGAAAGAGAAGGCCTGTGGCCTATGGCCCAAAAGTCAAGCTTGAGAGAAAGCTACTGGAAAGTATTGGAGTGAAATACTGAGAGCCAAGCTATAGATATTACCTCTTTAATCTTCTGTTGAAAATCTTCAGTAAAATCTATATTTTTCTCTAGTGATTTGTGGATTCCCTCTCTTTTTTTGGTGGGTGTTGGAGATGTCTTATTGGTGAAGGAGAAAGCAATGAAGTGTTAAGTCTTGCTTCATGGAGCAGAAATAGAGGCTGCTCTTGAAAGACGGGAGATACAAGATTTGTACTTGCGTAAGAGATAATAATAATAATAATATAATTAGGAACATTGCCATGTTGGAAGGTATAAATTGAGAATGAATAGAAAGGGAAATTAACCCTGGTTTCACATGTCATGTTAATTCTGGAGAAAATGATGTCTAAACTAGAGTTAGAATTAGTTTTGATGGAGTTCAGAAAAAGCTGAAGATGTGAAATGTTTCAGGAGAAAGCAATTACATGTGAAAAGACCTAGGGGCAAAAGTTAAAGTAGCAGGTCTAGGAGCCTAGAGTGAGATGGAAGAAGTAGGAACTAGATACCCCGGAGAGGCACTTAAGGATAGTGTTGTAAACAGCCTTGTCAGATTCATAAGGGAGTTGTTCTTTAGCCTGAGAGCAATGAAGAGCCCAGCGAAGCCGATACTTTAATTACAATGTGCAAACTTTTGGCAACAAAATGGAGAATGAAGCAGACAGTCTGTGCTTTCATTAAGTTTAAGTTCCCTGGGTGCAAAAGGCATTGAACTCTTAACCATACAGATAAAATAATAATGCAATGGCAGCCCCACCTCCTTTTGACAGATCTAAAGAATATGTCCAGAGTGACTATGGGGATACCAATCCTCATTTACCTTACAAGTTTGTCTTTAATGCAGAGTCTCAGCAAAGAAGTTTCAGAGAGATTAGATTACAACTCAAAAAGTAAGCTGTAATGCTCTGACAGACAATGAATTGGAATAGCGATGCCTAGTTTCAGGAAGACAGAAGAGGACTACCATACTTTACTGAGCAATTACTGGTGGAATTTCCACATTTCTTAGTCTACTTATATTGTTTAATCATAGTAAGTGCACATTTTTATTCCTTTATTAATCTACTTCACTAATATATTTAAGTACCTACTCATTAGTAGAAACTGAGCTAACTGGAGAGAGAAAATAGTAAGCAAATTCAATCCATGCTTTCATGAAACAAACTCCCTTAGATGCAGATAAAAATTACTATTTTTTATCAATAACATGGAAAAAGTTATACTGCACTATATCTTTATGATATAAAAAAGAATAAAATGACCAATGAAAGCATAATAAAGCATAATTTCATCTATTCTTTTTTTAAAAAAATGCAGGGTCTCACTCTGTAGCTCAGACTGGAATGTAGTGGAATGACCATAGCTGACTGCATCCTTCAACTTCTGGGTTGAAGTGATCCTCCCGCCTCAGCCTCCAGAATAGCTGAGACTGTAGGTGTGCACCACCACACCTGCTTCTAAATTTTTTTAATTTATGAAATTTTAAAAGTACCAAGAGATCTTTTATATCTCAGTAAGGCATAGCTCTGAGTGATAAAATATTAACATATCAATGGAAGTTCCTAACTTTCCAAATATAAGCCTTTTAACTCCAGATAACTGTTAGGTCACTTTTGATAAGGAAGTTGTCTGTTTTCTTATGTAAGTTCACAGTTTTTTTATTTTTTTTTACACTCTTTACTTTTATTTTTTTTAGCCTTTAACTCTCAGGGAAGCAATAGATATACTTTAACACAAACTATAACAATTGTTTATTTTTATACTACAGAAAATGGATAGATGCTATTCTGAATTGTTCTAGTTTGTCACTATATGTTAGATTTTAAAATGTTTCAACATTTTTTTCTAGTTATATTTAAACTTAGATTTTACACTAAAATTTTCAGATATGCTACTAAAATATCAAGAAAACTATAATTAATGGAAATCTTCCATAGGCAGAGAGACATTAATGTTCACAAAATGTTTTTGGTCTCTATATTAGTCACTTTATTTGCAAGAGGGAATCAAAAAGAATGACCTCTGCACGTATATGTAGAAAAACTCTGACCAACAGTCTTTACTTAAATATGGCACCGAATCAGGAAGATGCTTTATTATAGCACCACTTCTCCTTCTCTAAAAGGAAATCAACAGAGAATGGAGGTTCTAAGAGAACATCCCTATCAGTCGGCTGTCCCTTCTTAAATATCAATGTAATATAATTAGAGTTTTTAATTATTATTCTTACATTAGTTTATTTTTAACTCAAATAATTAAATCACTCAAATCGCTGAATAGTGAATAATGATACACATTTATATTTAAGAGGGGATTCATTATCCCAAGATGATGCATTATTTTTAGTTTAAAAATAACTATTTAATTGTATGGAACAATCAGTTAAGTTTTGTCATTTTGGAGGATTCAGAATTTGCATTATTTTCTGAACAGCAGACTGATAGGAATGTTCTCTTAGAACCTCTATTCTCTGTTGATTTTTTCTTTTGGAGAAGGGGGAAGAAGTGCTGTAATAAAACACCTTCCTGATTCAGTGCGATATATAAATAAAGACCGTTGGTCAGAATTTTCCTACATGCATGTGCAGAGGCCAATCATTCTTCTAGGGTTTAAACAATGTTTGAAATACATATTATTGGGCCACAAAACAGGTACTCAATTATGCTGGATTTCAAATTTTTTCTATGTCCAGCAGGTAAAAGCAACTAATTAAAATTATTGAACCTAGTTCTACTGGAGTTAATTTTCATGGGGAAGCACAAAGTCAGAATCAAAAGACCAATTTCTTGCTGCTTCTCAGATAGCTGAATGATCAACAGTAAACAAGTGGAATTTCTAAGATTTATGGTCCTGTATCTACCTCATTCATCTTGGCTCTTATTGTTTTTACTCATGCCTTCCTACATTTTTCTCTTTGTGCCTGGTGTTCTTTGCATGAAATTTATTTTCCAATATAAAGCTGTTAGTCGACATGCTAGTATGATTAGGAAATAGAGTTATATTGCTCCCGTTGTCAGAGACACAGTTGCACTGGAGAGCACCCCATCAATTCATATGATCAGTCAGTTTAAAGCAAATCTGAATAACAACTACGGAGTCCAGTGAAGTACAGAATAATGATGGTTTGCCTTATTTTACTTCTTTCTTATTTGACTTTGTTTTCTTGTTGTTCGAGTGTCTCTTGGATACCAAATTAAAAATACAAAGAAAGTAAGTAATTACTTGGCAGGAAGGAAGTTAAAAAAAGTTGAATATAGGTGTTTTCTCTATATACATACTGTTTATCAGCAAGCTGAATTTGTTTATTTTATCCTCTTACCTATTTCTTTTGACTAATCTGGATTTATTATAGTAACTTATCTCCTTAGATGACTTTAAAGAAATCTCTTTGTGTACTTTACTCAGTGGGGTACTTTGACAAAATGTACCAATTAGGCTTATGTGAGATGTCAAGTGAGAAGAATGAGTAAGAAAAATTGATCTCAAGTGAATGAACACATTTTATTCAGAGTGATTTTAAAATGTGAGCAAAAACACCACAATACATGATAAAATTAACCACCAGCTGAATTTGAATTATGTTCTTTATAGGATGCATCCTGAAACTTCATAGTATTAATGCAAAGGAAACAAAAGCTGTGGAAAATGATATTCAACATTGAACATCAGAAAAAACAATAATAATTTTTTATTTATATTTATCAATATTATTGTTTATTGTATGGACAGGCTTACAGACTGCAGTTGACAGGGGCTAGAGCTAAAATTCAGGGCACCTTCTGGAACTGCAATGGGACAGAGCCAGCATGCCTTTCGGACTGTCTCTCCCATGAGTTACCTACACGGGTCGGGTACGTCTGAGGCTGCAGCAGAGAAGGGTTGAGGCTGAGACAGGGTCCCATCAGGATCTGCTTTATGATGGATGCCAGCAAGCCCGTCCAGTTGGTGCTCATGGGCATATTTCTCAGCATCTCTCTGTGCCATCAGGATTGTTCCCAGGCTGCACTATAAAGAGGCTAGAGTTGAGCTTCAGGACCACTTAATCTGCTGTAGGATAGAGGCTGGTAATCCTGTCATGGTGGCACAGATGGGAGAGTCTCCCAACTGTTTCCTGCACAGGGAAGATTTCTCCCTGTCTGCAGCCAAAAGGAACTGGAGCTGAAACAGGGTCCCTTCAGGATACGCCATGGAATGAAAGCTGGCAAGCATATCCAGGTGACTCAGACAGGTGTCTCTCAACTGGTGGCTATGAGGCAATATTTTAAGACAACCAGTATAATTTTCGGCAAATGCAATCTGGCATTTAAATATATTTATCAACAATTCTGAAAAGACTAAATATGCTGTAATTTCAAGTGCTCATTTAGTTGATGAATCATTAAGAAGTTATATGGATTAAATGTAGACTGTTGATTGATATCATTTATAGTGAGATAGTAGTTGTGGTGATAAACAAAAATATTCTAAAATTCTTATGGAAAATTAAATGTCCAGAAGACTAAAAGGTACTCCGAAAGGGAGAAAAAAATGGGAACTTGCCATAAATCGTAGAAAATATGAAATATAATATATTTATTAATGTACTGATAAATTTTAGTCAATATTATTACATAAATAGAATGTAATAAACCATTTTTTCAATATTGAATTATAACTTTTTAATATTGAAGTACAATGTTTCCACTTGACTGGTAAATAGTCGTTCATTACAAATGTAACCAGTACTACTATATTTGAAAGAGTTATTATTTTTGTTAAAATAAAATAAAGTATAATTACACTCAGGAAGATAAAATATTGTGATTTTAAAAGTCAGAGACTGCCTTTACATGATTAACATGATTAACTATATTTTGTTTTTTTGTTTACATTGGTCAGAATGTTGTGTTATTAATGCCTTTTTGAATGCTAATACCTAACCTCTGAAATTAAAAAAAAAAGCTAAAATATTTCAGATTAAATATGTAGATCCAAGTTATAAACAGCTAAATTCTTACCTAGTATCTGAAAAAGATGAGAAACAATTATTTTTTCCTAATAATAAGACTAACTTTCAGCCAGGCACGGTGGCCCATGCCTATAATCCCAGCACTTTGGGAGGCCAAGGTGGATATATCACCTGAGGTCAGGAGTTCAATACCAGCCTCGCCAACATGGTGAAACCCCGTCTCTACTAAAAATACAAAAATTAGCTGGGCGTGGTGGCACATGCCTGTAATCCCAGCTACTCTGGAGACTGAGGCAAGAGAATTGCTTGAATCTGGGAGATGGAGTTTACAGTGAGCTGAGATCATGCCACTGTACTCCAGCCTGGGCGACAGAGCAAGACTCCGTCTCAAAAAAAAAGAAAGAAAGAAAGAAAGAAACACAAAAAAACTAACGTTTGATTGGATTTCCCCTTATGTATAGAGAACAAAGCAATGATAGTAACTTCATATCATCATAGATCCCACTGTAATACAATAATTTGCTAACAAAGAAACAGTTTCAATGAAGTGTAGTGTTTACAAACTACATTACAGCCTACAAATTATGTAAATGATTGTTACCCTTCTTATTATTTAAATGCATAAAGATTTTTCTTCTTCAAATACTGTCAGCTTCACAGTGAAAATAATTTTTGCTCAGCTGCTCTGACAGTCTTCTAATGGAAATTTTAAGTGGACCACGTCTATCTGCTGCATGATCTATGAATAAACTAAATATAGGTCTTTAAAGAGCCTTGTGGCGTTGATTGCTTTGACACATCCTGCATTTGCTCACTCTCCATTGTTTAATTTTTCACTAAGAAGAGAAGAAACAAGTACTCTGTCCTTGAATAGAATTAGCTATAGAGAACAGAGTGAGAATATACTTGAGATGACAGAAACTAAACAAATGCTTTGTAGCAGCCATAAAGGACTTGAGAAATAAGGTCTTTAAAAGAGTAAAATTCAATGTGCCTGTACCTTAAAAGATAATTTCAAAACCGTATATAAGAGAAATATTTAACACTTTCAACCTATCAGAAATTTTAAATGTATTTGTTCTTTGGAAAAATATTTAGTGTGGCCAGGTACGGTGGCTCATTCCTGTAATCCCAGCATATTGGGAGGCCTAAGCAATTGGATCACCTGAGGTCATGAGCTCAAGACCAGCCCGGCCAACATGGTGAAAGTCCATTCCTACTAAAAATACAAAAAAAATTAGCCGGGCTTAGTGGCAGGTACCTGTAATCCCAGCTACTCGGGAGGCTGAGGCAAGAGAACCGCTTGAACCTGGGAGTCAGAGGTTTCAGTGAGCCGAGACCATGCCATTGCACTCCAGCCTAGGCAACAAGAGCAAAACCCTGTCTCAAAAAAGGAAAAAAAAAAAAAAAGGTAAGGAAAAAAAAGAAAAATATTTAGTGAGGCCTCCAACATGCCAGATAGTAGTCTAGGAGTTGCTATTAAGGTGGTAATAGGACAGAAAAGCACTCTAATTTCTGGAGGTGATTTCTCCAGGGGCTTGTACGGCAATAGGTTTTTCAAGAAGGTGTTTGTGGAAAACTAATATCTGGGAAAGAAGAAACATAAATAGATAAGTAAGCAATCAGTATTCAAGAAGCTAACATTTGAATCTTATAAGAAAATGGAGAGGTTTTAATATGAACTAGGTATTGATTATGCTATATGTATTGAGGGGTGGAAACTGGATTAGATTAACTGCCCTTATCAGTGGCAAGTATAAAGTTTGCAAAAGAATAAATCTTATGTTTACAATCCTCCTGAGCAAAAGCAGTTAAAGTGTATAAGATTAAATTATGTTGATAGCTATCAGAATAATATGCTATATTTAAGTAAGTCCTTGAAGGCAATAGCTATATTTATCATATCTTTACTATGTAAAATATGTAATGTAAAAATTGTCAAACAAAAAACTGCATGTCCATAACAAAGAAAAGTATGCTTATGAGTTCCACAATTGTTACTGATTAACCTTAATAAAGAAACAAACGAACAAACAAACTCAAATAAAAGAAGCTATTGACCAAGGAGAGCAAGAACAATTTCTCACATGTAGACAGACATTCATTACTTCTAATAATGCTTTATCTACACTTCAGAAGTATTTGGATAATAATTTTACTGTATTTTCGCAGCCATAGGATAGAGGTAGGTGTCTGACTGTGCATGTATTTGTGTATGTGTATATATGTAATTTCTATCACTGTTGACCTCTAAAATTAAAGGGCAGAGTTCAAGAGAAAGAATTAATTATTTTTTGAGAAAAATGGAAGCTGGTTCATTGCTGTTTCTTATATGGAAAATAATAAAGAAAGCATAAATGGCTAATGAAAAATGAATACTATTTACATCAGAAATAGCAACTAATCAGTTTAGGGTGATGGCTTACAATATTGCTGATTATGTAAATGTGGAAAATCAATGACCTAGTGAAAAATTTAAATATAAAAACGGAGTCAATAAGAGGAAAAAAAGAGGTATATAATTTGTGGAAATATTTCATAAGGAAATGGACATTTCTGAAATGTGGACTCTGTGATGAGAGAAAGAATATTTGATATTATTGGACAATTTATCTGTTTTCAAAAATTGCTCACAAAGCACTTTTCAATTGAGTTGTTCACTAAGGCTGCAACTATTTAACAAATAAATTAATGGGTTAATAAGTGACCCCTACGTAATGATTTCTCAGAAATTATTTTCTTTCTTTCTCTTTTTTTTTAGACAGAGTTTCTCTCTGTCACCCAGGCTGGAGTGCAGTGGCACAATCTCGGCTCACTGCAACCTCCACCTCCCGGGTTCAAGTGATTCTCCTGTCTCAGCCTCCTGAGTAGCTGGGACTACAGGCACGCACCGCCACGCCCAGCTAATTTTTTGTATTTTTAGTAGAGACAGGGTTTCACCATGTTGGCCAGGATGGTCTCGATCTCCTGACCTCGTGATCCACCCACCTCGGCCTCTGAAAGTGCTGGGATTACAGGTGTGAGTCACCTCACCCAGCCAGAAATAATTATTTTCAATGCTATTCTCAACAATTACCTAAAAGCTATTATTTATTTTGATTCAATTAGCCAAATCATATTCCTCTATTTCACCTAGGATTTATATAAAAGTTAAGTGTTTGTAAGAATTAAAGAATATCATGAACAGGTCATTATTTGAAGAAGGATTTCTTCATTAAAATTGATTACCTTTAAAAACAAAATTATTGTAAGGTTAGAAATTCTAATCAAACAACTCATTGCACGTTTATAATGAGAAGCTAAGCTTATCTAATTTATCACATAGTATACATATATGTACATACAGTTATATTTATGCGTGCTTATGCATATATTATATATAAATAAATAATGTATATATTATTTCATTCAGGCTGCAATAACAAAATACCATATATTGGGTAATCTGTAAACAATAGAGATGTATTTCTCACAATTCTGGAGGCTAGTAATCCAAGATCAACGTAGCAACAAATTTGATATGGGGTGAGGACCCATTTCCTTGTTCATATGTTCTCACGGGACAAACAAGCTCACTTGTGCCTATTTTATAAGGACACTAATTGCATTATGAAGGCCCACCCTCATGACCTAATCACATGTAAAAAGGCCCTGATACCTGATACCTTCACCTTGGGGGCTAGGACTACAATGTATGAATTTAGGAGGTATATAAACATCCCAATCACAGCACATGAATACTCACAGACGTACACACACATTATTATAAACGCAGATATATATATATATATATATCTTATTTATTACATCAACTGTACTTTAACACATGTGCTTTTCATGTAGAATATATTGTGCTTTCTCTAAAGGAGTTTTAAAAAAGGGTGATAAATTAAAGTACCAAGTTTGAAGAAAAGGAAAGATAAGAAATAGGCCATAGACTATAAACTCCTTTTCATTCATTATGCTTCATAAATTATTTAATTGTATATTTGGAATATATGAAAGGACATTTTAAATTTTGTGTAGTGCATGAAGTAAAAATAAAAATGAGAAATACCTGCATACCCCACTATTTAAAATAATTACAATATTACAAGCATTTTAGAGAAACCTGTGGCTTCTTCCAGATCCAATTACCTTCTCTTCCTCACATAGGCATAATGAATGTTCTATTTTAAAAAGTTTATCTTTCTTGTACTTTCATCTGCAGTTTTTCTTCCTTTTGGATTTTTATGAATAGAATTAAACTGCACGGTGTTTTGACTTGCCTGCATTCTCAACTTTATGTTCCTGAGAATCATCTATGTGGTCATATAAACTGTAGATCATTCATTTTTCATGGATGAAATTCATTTTATGAACAAGCTACAATTTAATTTCTTGCTAATTTTGATGGGCATGTGGGTGGTTTCCAGTGTGGAGGGGTTACAAATAATGCTACTCTGAGGCTTTTTGCATATGTGTCTTGATGCAGATATGCAAGAAGATATCTAGGAATGAAATTGTTTGCTTCGAGTCTAAAGAGAAAAAGTAGAACCAATTTTGAGCATTTAAACCACAGGGAGTAAAATGCAGAAAATGTTTTACATGTATAAGAAGCTACCAGAGGGCAGTGAAGCCAGAAGAGGATAACAAAGCAGGAAGCCCCTGCTACCCTTTGGAAAAGTGACAGATGGGAAGACGGGTTTCCAGATGCTTGGTGCTGGTTACTGTTTGCTGAAGCAGGAATGAATTCTGCCCTGTCTTCCCCTTGAAATGTTTTCCTCTGTTTCCCATGGATGTAACTGAGCAGGAAAGCATCTGACTTTGGGACACGGGATGCACTGTTTTTAAGTAACAAACTCCATATGATACAGAGTAGAGCAGCAAAAGGGTGAGGAATAAATCAGATGAAAAATAGGCTTAGTACCAGCAAGTGTTGAGGTAGTTGTATTATTTCAAATACTTGTCTAAAATGGTTTTACTATTTAAATTTCCACAAATAGTGTAAAAGCATTTGTTTTTAGTTCATATGCACAGTAATATTTAAAAATGTCATTTAATTGTGTGTCAGTCTTATGTACATAAATATCTCATTGCGTTTCAGTGCCTTTATGCAGTTACTAATAAGGATAGAAATTTTCTGTAGTTTTTGACCATCTTTTCTCATTGCGAGCTATTCTGCTTTTGACCATTGTCCTGTTGTTTTTGTTTTGTTAATTATTTTAACAATTTCTTTATAGATTCTGGATATTATTTATTGTTTAGTTATACATGCTGTATCTTTTTCAATGGCCTTAAATTCCAACTTCCATTTTGTGTCTTTCAATAAAAAGATATTCCTAATTATGTGGTTTATTTTTTATCGTTGTTTATTATTTGTGTGTGTTTTGTTTCTTGCTTAAGAAACCTGTTACTCTTTGTTAGTCATGAAAATACTCTTCTTTATTATCTTTTAAAGTTTTGTAGTTTCATGATTTCCAATTAAGCCTTAAATAGCTGATATTTATTTGCTATGTGATGTGAGGGGATACATTTTCTTTCACTGTGTAGTTAGCTGTGCTAGGCCTATTTATTGAAAACTGTGATTATCTACAATAGAAGCTATATCATAAAGCATATTCCCACATATGAACTGCTGGGTTTTCTACTCTGTTTCTTATATCAATTTATATATCTCTTGTCCAGCCTCATAATTACCATTGCTTACATTACCATGTTATTGTAACTGTGTTCTCTTTATAAAAATTATTGATATGTGGAAAGCAAAATCAACTTTATTAGTGAATTTATGATTCTGAGTCTTTTGTACTTAATATACATTACTTTCAATGGCAAAACAGCAATTTACTTTTGCACCAACCTAATAGAACCAGTTTGTCTAATTCCATTAACATTTCAATACAAGTTTTAATTGAAAATAAATGGATCTATACTATCTAGAGAGATTTAGGAGAGATTGCTATTCTTACGGTATTGATTAATCTCTTCCATTAACATGTACATCTCTTTCGTGTTTGTCTGCTTAAATATGTTACACTCCTCTTAAAAATGTTTTTGCAGTTAGGCGTGATGGCTCATGCAATACCAGCACTTTGGGAGGCTGAAACTAGAGCTTCACTTGAACTCAGGAGTTCAAGACCAGCCTAGGCAACATAGCGAGACCTAGCTCTACAAAACAATTAAAAAAAAGTAGCCATGCATGGTGGCATGTGCCTGTAGTCAAAGGAAGTCGGGAGGCTAAGATAGAAGGATTGCTTGAGCCCAGTTGTTCAACGCTACAGTGAGCCATGATTGCTCCATTGCACTTCAGCCTGGGCAGCAGAGTAAGACAGAGCAAGACTCTGTCTCCACATCCCCCCAAAATTTGCATAATTATTGAATATAATAGATATGATTTATTTATTAAAAGTCTATCTGTTACCAAATCATGTTATCTGTTTGTGGCTCATGTCAATGACAAAATAGCAAATTTAATTTTTTAAAACACTGAAATTGCAATAATTGTATGTATACAGATCACCATTTTTTTCACTAAGTAAATTCTCCAGGTAGAATCAGCATACAGATCAAGGATTAAACATAAGCAGCTCCCAAAAGGAATTCATTGCCCGTTTCCTAAATCTAGTCCCAAGGGTTAGCATTAACATAACTTCTAACACCATGGAATAATTTTGCCTTTTTGAGGGAAGTATATGTAAAATGAAGCAACAGCGCCTTTGTATCTATTTTGTTCGACATAATGTTTCTAAGATTCCTTTATGTTTTCATGTAAGAATAGTCTACTCATTTTCATTGCTGAGTTACTTTATAGTCCTTCATAATTGCCATACAATTGTGACCCAATTTATGTATCTTTTCCAATGCTGATGGATACTGGTGTTGTTTCCAGGTTTGTGCATTTCAAACAGTGCTGTTATGTACATTCAGATACTTATGTGGTGAACATAGATACACCTTTCTGTTGGGCATGTTCCTACTGGTAGAATTACTGGGCCAAAAGATCTACAGTCTCAGTAGTATGTGCTGAAAAGTTTTCAGAATTGATATAATAATTTATAGATCCCCCTGCAACATATAAGAACGTTCCATGCACTCACTAACATTTCGTAATGTCAGGACCTTTTTTTTACTGTTGTTATTTTCTTATGTGTTAATTTCTTATATGTTATTCTCTTATTTCTCATATTTTCTTACATAGTAGTATCATTTTTTAATTTTAATTTGCCTGATGGCTAATAAAACTTAGCACATTCTCATGTGTTCTAGTCCATATAGGTACCCTCTTTAGGAATATCCCAATTCTATATTCTATGTTTGGAAGAAATTTAAAAAAGAAAATCAATGAACAACAAAACAATTTTTTCTTCATCTCAAAAAACTAACTTTGGTAAATGAACTAATATCCTTGAAAAGAATATATACTTGTGATTATTTAGTGCAATGATCTTTCTCTTTCTCATTTCAGATTATTGCTATAATTAACTGATTTAGTCCATTTGTTCTGTCAAAAATCATGTACAGTTTTTTAACATCTACAACTATGTTTACGGTTATTAGTCTACTTTTAGTTCTGTCAATTTTGCTTTATATATGAAGCTCTAATTTCAGGTACATGCAGCTTTTATATTTTTTTCTTTGTACAAATTTATGGGGTACCTGTGCAATTTTGCTACATACAGAGATTGCATAGTGATAAAAGTCAGGGCTTTTAGGGTATCCATCATTTGAATAATGCACATTGTACCCATTAACCATGTCTTCCTGATGAATTGACCCTTTTCTCATTCCATGTGCCCCTTTTAACAATTTATAGTAATATATCATGTCTTTAAATTGGCTTATTATGTATTTTCTGTTTAACCCATCTTTTTTACTTTTTGTGTTAATTAATTACAAATTAATTCATTAATTTATTTTCTATTAACTTGTTAAGTAGTTATTTTCTTATTATATAGTTAATGGTACACTAAAGATTAAAATAAACATATATTAGCATTCCATGGAAAACTTTTTACATTTTCCATTCTTTCATAAATGCTAGGAATCTGGAAGTATCTAACTCCAGGTATCTCCTTTCCATCTTTGTATTATTATCACGCATTTCAATACTATACATACTTTAAAATCAAATACTATTAACAGCCAATATTCATTTATGCATACCAAGACACTTAACATCTCTCTTGCTTTTTATTACTTCCAACAATTTTGAGTTTATCTTTTTTTTTCCTGCCTGCCTGTCTACTGGTGACGAATTATTTTTGTTTTGTTTATCCAAATATGTCATTATGTTACTTCTCTTTTTGAAGTGTATTATTTGCTGGATGTAGAATTTAATTGATAGCAACCGTATTTTTGGTACTTTAAAAATATTATTATATTTTCTTATGGATTTAATAGCTTCTTTTTACATATTAACAGAAGTCTTATTTTTGCTTTTTCTAGGTATTATATTTCTTTTATTCCTCTAATGCTACTTTTGAGATTTTTCTCTTTGTATATATTGTCGAGCAATATTAATCGAGGTAAAATTTTTTTTTATTTATCAAGTTTAGGTTTCTCTGACATTGTGGAATTTGTGAGTGTATGTATTTTATCAGTTTAGAACATTCTTGGTTTTTAACTCTTTAAACATTTCTACTTCAATTTTTCTTTCCAGGTCTCTCAGATTTCAATAATTTGTGTGTCACATCTTGAAGCTTCTGTTCCTTTTTCACTCTTTATTCTCACTATGCTTTAAGCTAACACAGGTATTCTATTTATCTGTTTTGCCATTCATGTAATTACATTTTTATTCTAGGATTTCCATTTCCCCTATGATATCCTGAAAAATTTAACCTTTGCCTTTTTTTCTTCACTTTTCCAGTATTTTCTTTAGCACACTATTTATTTTTACTTTAAATTCTTTGTTTGATAACAACATATAGATATCTCTAATGATGTGGATCTGTTTATTTTGGATATTTTTCTGTACGTTGAAGTTTATTAGATTCTGTCTCTTGGTATGCCATAAATGATGGAATAATGTAATGTATCCATCATAGAATGTGGAATGATGCACCTGCTGTGTAACATATAGTACAAGTCACAGATGGCAATTTCTTCCTTCAAATAGGGTTTAACAGTTCATCTTCTAAGAAGATTAAATAGTGGGGTAGCAGAGAGTCCTGCTTGCTTTATTCCAGTCAGGTACTGAGCCAAGTTGGTTCTGCATTATAGCTTAATGTGCTAGCTAGTTCTGGTTTGTCCCTGCAGGCCTTCCAGTTGAGAGTTTGATTTTTCCTCTAAGGGCCCGCATTCTCCAGTAGACAGAACTGTAATGTTTTCTCCTTAGAAAGACAAGATTGCAAAGGACCCCTGATTTTATTATTTATTTATTTTTGAAGACAGAGTTTTGCGCTTGTTACCTTGTTACCCAGGCTGGAGTGCAGTGGTGTGATCTCGGCTCACTGCAACCTCTGCCTTCTGGGTTTAAGCGATTCTTCTGCCTCAGCCAGCAAAGTAGCTGCGCTTACAGACTCACGCCACCAGGCCCAGATAACTTTTGTATTTTTAGTAGAGATGGGGTTTCACCATGTTGTTCAGGCTGGTCTCGAACTCCTGACCTCAGGTCATCCACCACCACCCCTCCGGCCTCCTAAAGTGCTGAGATTACAGGCGTAAGTCACCATGCCAGGCACAAGTCACCGTGCCAGGCGCACCTCTGAATTTTATATATCTAATTTACATCCAAAAATCTTAATAATTCTCATTGATTCTAACAGTTTATTTATAGATTTTGGGAGAGCTTTACCTATAGTTAGTAATATTTCCTCTGAAAGTAAAAAAATTTCTGTTTGTTTTTCCTTCCACCCTTTTATTAAACTTATTTCTATTTATTTGTCTTGGAGTACTTGCCAGAAACACTCTCTTTTTAAATTTTATTATAATTGTATTGTCCTGAGTTTTTATAAATTAAAATAACTTACTTTTAAATTTTCAATGAAATATATATTGTTTTCTGTAGGTTTTTGGAGATTCCCTTTACTTGCTTAAGGATATTCTATGTTAACTAAGAATGTTAAAATCAATCACCTGCATCTACCTAGGTGAACATATAAATTTTCTCTTTTAAGTAGTTTAAATAGTGAATTAATTATTTCTCTCATGCTAACCTAGTTTTTCTAGAAAAAACTCACCATCATTACATGTTTCTCATATATATATATGAATATAGTTTCAGGTTCTATGTGCTGATATAAAATTTTTACATTTATATTCACAAGTGATTCTGGCCTACATTTTATGTTATTTTTTGTCTTTGTGACAACTTTGTTCTCCAGTAATTTTTAAATTAGGTTTTCAAAGACAAGAAAGTTGAAAGAATTTTACAGTGAAGGTAAAATAAGTGCCACCTAGATTCTACGAGTAACATTTAATATATTTGTTTGAACATGTGACTGTCCATCTATCTATCCGTTTATCAGATGTGTTTTTAAAGCATCTCAGGGCATACTGAAGACATAAATACACTTCCTCACAAATCTGTCAGCATAGATGCTGATGTTGACAAGAGTTCAATTTTGTTTTATGGTTTTTTGTTTCTGAAAATGTATATGGAATAAAATGCAAAGTTTTTAGGTAATAATTCAATGAGTTAAAAAAATGCTTATTGTTGGGCATCCCAAACACTTATGATGTGCAGAATATCATCATTCCGGAAGGTTTTCACATTCCACTGTCTGAAACACGTCACTCACCCCCACCATCAGGCAACAATTGTTCCCACCATAAACCAGTATTGTCCATTTTACCACTTCATATGAATAGAATCATATACTGTGTACTCTTTCAGTCACATTCATGTTTTTCATACTCATTCATTTTGCATGCAACAGAAGTACATTTATGTTTCTTGCTGAGTAGTTTTCCAATGTGCGATTTTTTTTTTCCTGTTGATGAAACTTTGGGTTGTTCCAGGTTTTTGAACATTCCATACAAGACTACTTATAAACTTACACTCACGGGCATGGTGTTTTGGGAACATATGAGTATATGTTTGGTTTATAAAACACTGCCAGCCAATTTTCAAAAGAAGTTGTACAATTGTACACTCCAGCAACAGAGTATGAGGATTAGTTACTGCATATCCTTGACAATATTTTGGTATAGTCGGTCTCTTTAATTTTAGATGGTCTGGTAAGTGTAGTGGCATGGCACTGTAGTTTTAACTTACATTTCCCTGATAATGAGTTCTTTTCATGTATTTATTAGTTACATGTGTATATTCTTTTATGAAATATCTGCTCAAATAATTTGCTCATTTGTAATGGGTTATTTGACTTTTAAATATTGAGGTGTAGGGTTTTGTTGTATGTGGTTGTTTGTCTCATTTGACAGATTCCAACTTTTTAAAAAGTTTTTGAATGTTGCACCTGCTGGGTAAGAGTGTGTGTGTGTGTGTGTGTGTGTGTGTGTGTGTGTATGTGTGCGTTCTATTTATAATACTTGAGTTTAATAGAACGTCTTGAATTTATATGTTTGTCTTTTTAACAAATTAAGACCATAGTCAGTCAGTCATTATTTTCCCAAAATATTTGCTGCTGTACTATTTTCAGACTTTCCACTTGCTCTACTCCTCCTAAGGAAAACATTACAGATATGTTAGTCCTATTGATATTATGCTACAAGTGCCTGAGTCTGCTCCATTAAAAAGAATTAGTTTTACCATTTTTTAGATTGTATAATTTCTATGAATCTACTTAATTTTTTAATATTTATTCTTTGGTTAAGCCTAGTTAGTGATTTTTTTTAATTTTTTCAGGTATTATGTTTTTCATTATTGAATATTCATTTGCTTCATTATGCTTAGATATCCTTTTTATTGATTACAATAATGTTTTCTCTTATTTCTTAATTATAATAGCTACTGTAAAATTCTTGTCCTGTAATTCCAACATCTAGGTCAGCCTGTGTGGTTAGTCTTTATTAATCATCTCCCCTTGTCAGTATGAATTATGTTTTTCTGTTTCTTCTTGTAAATTAATTTTAACCTTTTCTGGCTCATGAATGATTCAAAGGATCTTTTTTGATGGCTACACTTTCTTTTTAGGAATATATATATATTTAGAAAAATATATATTTTATATATATTATATATAAGAATATATATAGGTATATGTATTAGTACAAATATCAGTTTCGTCTTCAATTTTTCAGGGAATGTCTTATATTTTTGGTGAGAAAGAGGTTTCATTATTTATAACCTATAAAAGCACTGTAATCACTCCTTTTAAAATATTACCACAGCTTCTTATCCAGCAGACTACCCTCTTGGAGAGTGTTCTATCAAAACTCCTTGATGCCAGCTGACATGCTCTCATCCATATGGCCCACAGAACACACAAACAACTTGTCACATAATCCTGAGAGTATCGACATGGGCTGTTTCATCTAGCTCTTCATATTCATTATTTCACACGGGGTGAGTAAAAATCAGCAAATCAACTCCATTGATTATGGATGGCCTTAAATTCTAGAGTATGCCTGTTGGGTTTTCCAGAGAAGGAAATAATCCCTGCTTGCTCTACTCTAGCTGTACTTTAGTAACATACTTTTTTTAAGCGTAGAACACTCCTACGTGAAGATACTCCTAATATTCAACAGAAAAGCAACAGCTTACCTTTTGACTATAGTAAAAGACATTTAAGTGATCTTATTTTGATTTTTGTTTTTAAAAATGTAGTAAAACATTCGTAACATAAAATTTGCTATCTTAACCATTTTTAACCTTCTTAACCATTTTTAACTGTACAGTTCAATAGTATTAATTCATTCACATTGTTGAGAAACAGATCACTAGAACGTCTGTGTCTTGCAAATCTGAAACTCTATACCAATGAAACAACTCCCCATTGCCCCTCCCTTGCTCCTGGTAACCATTATTGTACTTTCTGCTTCTAAGAATTTGACTACTTTAGTTGCTAATTGTAATTAAGAATTTGAATACTTCAGTTTCTAATTGTAATTTTAATGTATAATTGCAATTAAACATTATCTTTTATAAAAGACTTTATTTTAGAGCAGTTTTAGGTTTACAGAAAAATTGAACAGAAGTTAGGAAAATTTTTCATGTACTCCCTGCCTCCACACATACATAGATTTCTCCATTATAACATTCTCAACCAGAATAGAACAATAATTACAATGCTGAGCCTACACTGACACATCATTAACACTTAAAGTCCATAGTTTACATTGGAGTTCACTCTTGGTGTTTTACATTCGGTGGGTTTGGACCAAAGTATAATGACATGCATTCACTATTCTAGTTTCAGAGTATAGTGTCACTACTCCAAAATTCCTATGTGCTCTGCCTACTCGTAACATGCTTCCCACTAACCTCTAGAAACCATGATATTTTTATTGTCTTTATAGTTTTGCCTTGGCCAGAATATCATTTAGTTAGAATCTTAGCATCATAGAACATTTAGTCTTTCAGATTGCCTTCTTTCACTTAGCACTCATTTAAGTTTCTCCATATCTTTTCAGGACTTGATAGCTCATTTCTTTTTAACACTGAATAGTGTTCAGTTTTCTAGATGCACCCTAGTTTATCTGTCCATTTACCTCACTGAAAGACACCTTGGAAGCTTCTAGATTCTGCAGTATGAATAAAGCTGCTATAAACATCTGTATGCAGGTTTTTGAGTGGACATAACTTTTCAATTTCCTTCAGGAAATGGCACAACTGCTGGATTATATGGTAGGTGTATGTTCAGATTTTTAAGAACCCCAAGGCTGTCTTCCAAAGTGGCTGTACAATTTGCTTTCCCAACATAAATGAATGATAGTACTTGTTGCTTGACATTTTTGTCAGCATTTATTGTTGTCAATGTTCTAAATTTCATCCACTCTACAGATGATTAGTGGTATCTCATTGTTGTTTTAATTTGCATTTCCCTGATGATATAAGATGTAGTGTATCTTTTCAGATACTAATTTACCATCTGTTCATGTTCTTTGAGGAAGTGTCCATAATGATCTTTGGCCCATTTTTTTTTTAATTGGGTTGTTTGTCCTCTTATTGGTTAGTCTTAAGAGTTCTTTGCATCTTTTGGATAACAGTATTTTATCAGATATGTCTTTTGTGAACATTTTCTACCAGTATGTGACTAGCCTTTTCATTCTTTTGATGATGTCTTTCTCAAAGCAGAAGTTTTAAGAATTTTAATGAAGCCTAGCTTATCAGTTATTTCTTTTATGGATCCCATCTTAGTGTTACATCTACAAAGTCATTGCCAAGCCCTAGCTCATTCTAGATTCTCCTATGTTATCGTCTATTATTTTTATAGTTTTGGGTTTTAGATTTAGGTCTGTGATACATAATGGATGAACTTTGGTGAGGGATGTAAAGTCAGTGTCTATATTCATACTTTGCATGTGGATGACCAGTTGTTTCAGCACCATTTGTCTAAAGATTATCCTTTTACTATTTTTATTGTCTTTGCTCCATTGTCAAAGATGAGTTGACTATATCTGTCTGGATCTATTTCTGGGATTTCCATTCTGTTTCATTTGTCTATGTGTCCATTCTTTCACCAGTACAGCACTATCTTGATTATGGTAGCTTTATGGTAAAACTTGAAGTTGAGTAATATCAGTCCTTCAACTTGTCCTTCTCCTTCAATATTGTGTTAGCTATTTTAGGTCTTTTGCCTCATTATATAAACATTAAAGTTAGTTTGTCAATATTTGCAAAATAACGTCTTGAGATTTTGCTTGAGATTGCATTGTATCTATCAATTGAGTAGGAAAGAACAGGTATCTTCACAATATTGAGTCTTTCTATCTGTGAATGTGGAATACCTTTCCATTTACTATGTTCTTTGACTTCTCTCATTAGAATGTTGTAGTTTTTCTCATATAGATTTTGTATAGTTTTATTAGATTTATGCAAAAGTATTCCCTTTTGGGGGTTGCCAATATAAGAAGTATTTTTTTAAACTGTCAGATTCTATTTGTTCACTGCTAGTACGTGGGAATCAATTGACTTTTGCACATTAATCTTGTATCCTGCAAACTTGCTCAAATCTTTTATTAATTCCAGGAACACTTTTATCCAGTCTTTTAGGTTTTCTACATAGACTATCATGTTATCTGCAAACAAGGACAATTTATTTTTTTCCTTCCCAATCAGTGTAACTTTTACTGCTTTTTCTTGTCTTATTGCATTAATAGGGCTTGTAGTACAGTGCTGAAAAGCTTTGGTCAGAGAGAACATTCTCACCTTGCTTCTGATCTTAGTAGGAAAGATCCAAATTTCTCTCTATTAAGTATGATGTTTGCTGTAATTTTTTTTTGTAGATCTTATTTTTCAAGTTAAGGATGCTCTTTTCTTTTTTGTTTATGTATTTATTTTTTATTTTAATTTTTGTGGGTACATAGTAGATGTATATATTTATGGGGTACATGAGATATTTTGATACAGGCATGCAATGTGAAATAGACGCATCATGAAGAATGGGGTATCCATCCCCTCAAGCATTTATCCTTTGAATTACAAGCAATCTATTGCACCCTTTACGTTATTTTAAAGTGTGTAATTATTATTGACTAAAGTCACCTTATTGTGCTATCAAATAATAAGACTTATTCATTCTTTCCACTTTTGTACCCCTTAACCATCCCCATCCCCCCAAGCTCCCAATACCCTTCCCAGTCTCTGGTACACATCCTTTTACTTCTATATTGATGAGTTCAATTGTTTTGATTTTTAGATCCCCTTCTATTTCTAGTTTACTGAAAGTTTTTTATCATGGATGAGTGTAAGATTTTGTCAAATGCTATTTCTTCATCTATTTATATGATTTTATAATTTTTCTTTCTTAGCCTGTTAATATGATTGACTACATTAATTAACTTTTTTGAATGTTGAGTAACTAGCCTTGTATATATGGAATAAATCACACTGGGGTCATGGCACATAATTATTTTCATACATTGCTGGATTCTATTTGCTAATATTTTGTCAAAAATTTTTGCATCTATGCTCATAAAAGTCATCACCTATACTTTTATTTTATTTTAATATCAGTCTGGTTTTGGTATTAGGGTGATGCTGGCCTCATAAGATGACTTAGGAAGTTTTCCCTGTGAAGCAATTCATTGTGCATTGATGGCCAACATGTCTGAGTCTGGTGAGATAAAACATCCACCCACACAACAAATTACATGAAGAGGATTTATTATTTACAGATAAGCAGCAAAGGACAATAGAACTTTTTGAAAATATTAGATTTGTTTGACAGATGCTTAAAGCTCTGCTCGGCAAGAATTTGAACAATTCACTCATATTTGCTCCCCACAAACTTGTAACTAGAAGTTGGTACTGTCTGCCCATTTCCCTAAAACAGAAGCAAACACTTTCCTGTCACAATAAAATTACGTTTTTATCCAACTGTTTTTCTTTAGAAACAGCTTTACTTTTGCTCAACTTATTTATTTCCATTTTAGTACATGGGAGCATAAGTTTATTCCATGTATTCTAAAAAAAAAATGTAGAGAAAAGGAAGAAGCTACATAAATTTTTCATGCGAATTTCTCAAAGATTACATACATGTTTAAATGAAAATGTAGAAAATAGGCCGGAGGTGGTGGTTCACGGCTGAAATCCCAGCACTTTGGGAGGTGGAGGCAGGCAGATCACCTGAGGTCAGGAATTCAAAACCAGCCTAGCCAACATGGTGCAACTCTGCTTAATGCAAATACAAAAATTAGCCGGGTATGGTAGCACACACCTGTAATCCCAGCTACTTGGGAGGCTGAGGCAGGAGAATCGCTTGAACAGGGAGGCAGAGGTTGCAGTGAGCCAAGATCGTGCCACAGCACTCCAGCCTGGGTGACAGAGTGAGACGTTGTCACAAAAGAGAAAGAGAAAGAAAGAAGGAAAGAAGAAAGAAAGAAAGAAAGAAAAGAAAGAAAGAAGGAAGGAAGGAAGGAAGGAAGGAAGGAAGGAAGGAAGGAAGGAAGGAAAGAAAGAAAGAAAGAAAGAAAGAAAGAAAGAAAGAAAGAAAGAAAGAAAGAAAGAAAGAAAGAAAGAAAGAAAATGTAGAAAATAGATAAATTACATAAATGTTAGTAAATGGAAATTTTGGTTAGGCACAGATAAACTTCAACAATAAGGCCAGGGGCATATTGCCATTTAAAAAAAATAAAGTTGAGATATGATTATGTTTAGTGGTGAAGTTATTACTGAATCCAACAGCACTCAGTGATTAAACTCAACTTGTTTATGAAAACAAAGGAATTTTAATCTTTCTTTGATTTATTGAGAAATACTCATTGGCAAACATCCTTTCTGAATCACCCCAGTGTACCCACTCACACACACACAAAATTACTATTATATCATCTAATTGAGCAATTTTTTTTTTTTTTTTTGAGACGGAGTTTTGCTCTTGTCACCTAGGCTGGAGTGCAGTGGTGCAATCTCGGCTCACTGCGACCTCCGCCTCCCAGGTTCAAGTGATTCTCCTGCTTCAGCCTCCAGAGTAGCGGGGATTACAGGCATGTGCCATCACGCCTGGCTAAATTTGCATTTTTAGTAGAGACAGGGTTTCTCCACGTTGGTCAGGCTAGTCTCGAACTCCCGACCTCAGGTGATCCGCCCACGTCGGCCTCCCAAAGTGCCAGGATTACAGGCGCGAGCCGCCATGCCGGGCCAAATTGAGCAATCTTAAAGAGAACTCACCAGGGAGTTTCACAGCAGCTTTTAGTCAAGTATTGGCAGAGAGCTTTGCTGAGGCCTGTTTCAGGATGGCCATTTTTGCATGAGGTTTTAGTTGTTTTTTTTTTAGACCTCTCTAATCTTAGATTGTTTTGGATGTTAATTCAGTACAAATTTTTTCTCATCAGAGATAGTCACTTTTTTGACAACATAGAATTTGACACAGTAATATTATAATATGAAATATTTTCCTCTTCTTGTTCTATTCCAAAAGTATCATCTTGTCAAAGACTGCATAAAGCCTCTCTATTATGTTAAAAATACTTTTCCCATGAAGTTTAAAGAAATTTTCTCCCTTTTGAAAATGTGTTGGGATTTTTGGTCCTCAGGGATTTGAGGCCTTTCTATCTGCCTTTGTTAAATGACTTTTTACTCTGAAAATGACTTGTAATGTAAAAGTTAAAAATTGGGAAAGAGTTACCACATAGTTTTATGCACCCAGGAAAATTTTAAAGACAATAAGAAAAGCTTTTGCTGTAGCATAGTGTCTATTACATGTACAGGGCATAAGAGCTTGAGGTGTTTGTTCAAAATTTGGACATACTGTCAGAATGAAGAGGATTATTTGTTAACATATAATAGTTTGACATCTGGTATAAAAATAATAGTGTCTTATTTCTTTAGATGAATGTACTAAATTGTAAATTAAGAGTATAAGGAGAAAAAAATAATAACAATTATATGTTCATGCAAATTAGCATAGAAATTAATGAAAAGGATAGAAGATACAGACTCATTTCAAAGCATGCTCTCACTGGTAAAAACGTTGATGGTGCCTATGTAAAACAAAATTTCCTCTGTATTGTCAAGTTTACTAAGAAATACAAAACAGTGATGAGAAATTTGTAAAAGCATAAAATACAAAATCATGAAAAGAATAATGATGGGAGATAAATAAATATTCTCTCCCTTCTCAAGAGAATGGATGGTTTACAAAGAAAAGTTTAATAGCTTGCTCTTGCAAAACTTTTTAATTCTAATGCTGGGATGATCTTATGTTCAGCTAAGATAATTGAATGAATATTGGACTGAGCATAAAGAAGTTTTGGAAAAATTCCAAAGGAAAGGTATTAGGAGCAAAAAAAAAAAAAAAAAAAGCTACACCATCCTCACTTTATCTTATCAAAATTTTTGCAATTTTTTTCTCTGACATACTTGTTTTTATTCATTGTATTTGGTTATAACTAAGAAAACCCTTAAAAATGTAATTTCAAGCACATTATTTCTTAGTACATGCTCTTTTTGTCAACATTATCAAAATTATTTTTTCTTTATTACAGGAAATAAGTTTTTTACCGTGTGTAGTTACCAAAAACAACAAAACTATATGACTTTGAAGAATTAATAAAAGCCAGTTTTATGTTTTAATAATTTAACATTTTTATGGACAGAGTTTTATGATAGAGACTAAATTAAGAAAAGTCAATGTCATCTTGAAGATAACCCATAAAAAATGTGTCTGAAATTTACATGTTTAGTGTAATTATTAGGTTTTGTTAAGACTATTTTTTAATACCAGAGAGAGACAAATGGTTTAGTGAAGAATTAGACTTACAGTTTAATAGAAATACGATTCTCAGAAAGTTATTTATAATTTCTGAGCTTAAAAATGTTATTTTAAAAAATTATTATATGAATCACATTTATCCCCTCAGATATTCTGGGGTTATATGATATTTTTTAAAACGATACTTTGAAATATGTTTAAAACTTTTAAGGTGCTAATATTTGTTTAAAAAACTTTAATATGAATTGGAGTTAAGAATTTTACTTCAACCTGAGTTGAATTTGTTAGACCTTGAGATTTCTATGACTACTATTACAATCATGCAAAGAAGGCATTAATTAAACAAAAATAATATTTTATGCTCTTGGTATGGGATAATCATTTCCAGTACTAACACCTTCTCTCTGTGAAATTCAAATAATCGTAAGAAATTTATCCATATTTTTTACAATGTAGGAACTCCTCTCTTTAACATACATGAGTTAAATGATTTTTAAAAACAGCTTTATTGAGCTATAGCAGATATACAAAAAACTATGCATATTTAAAATATAAAATTTGATGAGTTTGAACATATATATCTACCACATCAAGGTAACAGAAATATCCATCAAGGTTTAATTTATACCATAATATTCATATTTAATGAGTAAGGAAAATATTGGCTTACAATATTTTTAAGCCAGTATTACATGTAATAGTCAGTAACAGGTAATATTTAGATGTTAACTATAATATACATAAATCTGGAG
Source organism: Homo sapiens (assembly GCF_000001405.40). Classification (NCBI taxonomy): domain Eukaryota; kingdom Metazoa; phylum Chordata; class Mammalia; order Primates; family Hominidae; genus Homo; species Homo sapiens. The sequence continues at coordinate 24,800,583 of NC_000021.9, forward strand.
ACCTTTTTATTGCCTACATGTGTTTGGATATTTCAGGTGCTATTGATAGAGATATAATATTTAATTCATTGGCTCCATATAATTCAAAAATGAAAAGACATGGAGTGCAGAGTGTTGGTTTTTTTACTAAATAACAGTTACAATCAATGTTTTATTTATATGAAATGGAGTCAAATAAGTTGAAGGCCATTGTAATTAATAAGTAGGAAATGAAGTGTGAACACATTTCAACGTCCCACTGGGAAATCTAGGTGACCAGGAGCAGTTAAACTGGACACCGGTTGTCATCTTCCCAGGAGAGCTCTTTGTCATCATCTTTAAATGAAGAATGCAAAACATCATTTTTAGATATTTTTGAATCCTTACAAGTCTGAAAGCCTTTAAACATCATAACTGAAATAATGAGAGACTATTAATAAATGTGATTGACTAAAAGAGTTGCCAGGTGGGTTTGATTCCCAAGTAAGCCAAAAAAAGGCAACAGAAGCTTATGAAATGTCACAACAATTTATGACAACTTTTGTTAACACAAAGAGAGTCATTCAATTTCCAAAATAATGTAATTTTAGAAACATGTTATTTCATTTGATCATAGACGCAAGTTCTATATTTTATTATTAAAATATTTTATTTTTCTTCTTTCTAAATAAAATAAAATTAATTAGAAACCTGAATAATCAACAGCAAAAATGTGGACTAAAGTTTTACAGTTGTGACACAATACTCCATTTGATGAACAAAGAGAAAACTATTATATGGTTTAAATTGTTTCCTGAATTAAAAGTAATTAAATCTTTGGATTTGTAAAACTAAATACATACATTAATATGGTAGATGTAAAAGTAAAAGCCGAAATAATTTATCTGTTTCCACAGAAGAAAGAAAGGGGTAGGGAGAGAGGGTGAAAGAAGAAAGAAAAGCAATGAGCAAATATTCTTAGGCTTCAGTTCTGAACTCTAATTGCTGATTTATCTAACAAGTTGTGCCTTGTTTCAGAACCTTGGGGGTTATTTTAAATATAAGCGTTAGAAAAGTATGTTAGAAAAAACTGCTCACTTTTTATGTGAGAATGCCAAACTTGGCCAAAATGCAATATATTTATATATGTCCTAAGGTCAAGGTTTTCATCAATAAAAATACTAAACCTGCGTCCTAGACTCAATATAAAAACCATAAAAAGTGACTTTTATAATCCGAATATTTTTACCCAGTTCAGTTCTCAAATTATTTTTATTCTTCTGTCAAAGCCACGTATATACAAGTCTTAGTGTCTCCCAATATCAACCAGGTTCTACTGCTTAAAATAGTCCTAAAGTGCTTTATTGTTTTAAAGATGAGGCAATAATGAATAATTTCAATGTGCTTCTACACAACACACCTTACCCCTACAATTCAGAGATTCCAAATTGCCGATCTGGGATGATGTTGGGACATTGGTATTTTTGAAAATACTTGCCAAGTGTCTAATGAGTAGGCAAGATGTGAAGCACTTTATGAGGTAATTTCAAGTAAAGGTTCTTTGCTTAAAATGAAGCTAATGCTTCTGCTCATTTATGTAACAAATATTATTGAGAAATAACTTCAGCACAAAGATTAATAAAACACTATCCTGTTCCATAATATACTTAAATTTTAATGGAACGTGTTTGTGTGTGTGTGTGTGTGTGTGTAAAACATAGACAACCAAAAAGGTGTAATTGAATGACTCTCAAGTCCACATTCCCAGAACAAAAGCTGCTTCTCAAATACCTAAATGTTCTTCCATTCCTAAAATTCATCATGACCTAAACCAAACTCAGGATCATGTGTCATAAATTAGTTTATCCACCTGACGTTCTTATTTCTTAAAGTTTCAGCATTGTTCCTGTTGACCCAGTTTTATTCCTTAATTCAACTTTTAGACATTCCCAGACATTCTGAGTCAATTTTAAAAATCACTTTTAAATATTACTTCAAAACTATATATTATATAAATCTGACTTTTCTCTTCCTACCACCAATATGCAGATTCTTGTCCTCATTACTTCTCAGTATAATTATTCTACCCACGGTCTCTAAGGGTTAAGCTTGGCATTGCCAATTATTACACTCTCAGAAAAATGTTTTGTACTCCCTCTGCCTTTGTATGGCAGAGAACACCAGCTATTTCTCAGGATTCGTTCTCCCCTCTTCTACAGTAACACACACACTGGTTTTCAGTAGGAATAGAGATAGTTTCTACCATCCTTGTTGTATGTATGAGGTGGAAAAAAAAATCCTGGTCAAAAGTATATGAGAAACTTCCAGGAAGTCTCCTTAGACAGACACAATGCAAATTTCTTCCTTTCCTTTTTTGGTTTCCCTTTTATTTTTTCTTTTAGGCTGGAATGTTTATGTTATTGATGGAACTTGGGGAGACACATTTGGTGACCTTGGGAATGAAGATCTATCTGTAGGGGATATAGAACACACTTGGCTATGAGAAACTGTATACCACGATACCAGGCATAGAGCATTATATTTACATGAAAAATAAATAAACTGCTATGTACTTACCCACCGTTATGATGAGCTTTTGGTTACTCTTAAGTAAATATAATCCACTTTAAATTTCCCTCTTTCTATATCTGATGTAATATTATATTTCTCCTAGAAGTATCTTCTTGACTATATAACTACTCCATTCCTTGTTTTTAGATTACATCTTATCATTTGGTCTTTCAACTAGTGTTCAATGAGGACCTACTCTGTGCCAACCATATTTAAATTGCATAGACGCCAGAGTTAAGTCAGATAAAACATTCAGCCCTCATGAACTCTATACTTAAGTTGAAGAAACAAGTAAACAAATGACTCAGGAAATTCATATTATGTTATCTGGCAATAAGTGTATTGAAAAAAAAGTAAATTAAGAAAGAAGGATAGCAAACATCAGGGCTATGGGAGGATTGTGGAGGGGGAATTGTACTTTAAAATAAGCCAGGGAAGGCCTCAATTAAAAAAAATAATTCTGGCCAGCACAGTGGCCCACGCCTGTAATCCCAGCACTTTGGGAGGCTGAGGCAGGCAGATCACCTAAGATCAGGAGTTCAGGACCAGCTTCACCAACATGGAGAAACCCCGCCTCTACTAAAAAAAAAAATACAAAATTAGCCGGATGTGGTGGCACATGCCTGTAATCCCAGCTACTTGGGAGGCTGAGGCAAGAGAATCGTTTAAACCCAGGAGGTGGAGGTTGCGGTGAACTGAGATGGCGCCATTGCACTCCAGCCTGGGCAACAAGAACAAAATTCCGTCTCAAAAAAAAACAATTGTATCATGACTTGAGGAGAGAAGGAACCAACTACAATGGTGTGTGAGGATAGATACTGGAACCTACTAGAGGGAGGATAGAGGGTGAGGGACAAGGCTGGAAACTACCTATTGAGTACTGTACTCACTATTAAACCCCAATGTCATGTGATATACCCACATAACAAACCCGCACATGTATCCCCTGAATCTAAAATAAAATTTGAAATTATTTGAAAAAGAAAGAAAAATGTGGGGGCAGACCCTCCCTGACTCCCAACTTTTGTTCGTGGTAATTTCTCTACCTGAAGGACCCTTTAACATTATGTTAGGTTTTTGAAATTCAAGATTTCTTTTAAGATCTCAAATACACTTTCTTTAAAAAGCCTTTTCTACTACCCTTGTCCAGGTGATCACTCCTCAGTGACATGATAGCCTGACTGATTTTACTTTCTATCTCTTACTAAAGTCTGGCTGTAATTAAGTAAGTCTTAACCCTCTTCTCTGATATACTGTGTCCTGAAGTTATGCCTTGAAAGATAACATTTATCATGCAATACCAATTAGCACACAACAAAACTCATTATATACCCATATATGCATGTATGTATACTTCTAACTCAACAACATGCCATTTTAATATCATACATTTTAGCACAATCAATTTTACTAATTAAAATGTTTGTTTCCTTATATCAGGTATGCTGGAATTCTAGTTAAGTATGCACAAAGTAGCTTAGCAAGTGAGGATTATCAAAGAGAGAAGTGTAATGATAACAATACTTTTTAGGCTATAAATGAGGATTAATGAAACAATTCTACATCAGATTTCTCACCAAACATACTAATTATTGTTGTCTTTTACTTGACTGACTGGCCAAGAGAAAGACTGTCAGATCCCTGTTTTCTGAAACAGCACAGTTCTATTCTTTTGCAGTTGTGGAGGCCAGAATTCAGAAATGGGTTTTACAGAGTCAAAATCAATGCCTCTGAAGGGCAATGCTCTCTCTGGAGGCTCTAGTGGAGAATCCTTTTGCTTGCTTTTTCCGGCTTCTAGGTCTGTAATTCTTGTTTACCTTGCCTTACGGCCCCTTCTTGCATAGCCAGTCAACAGCACAGCACCTTGCTTCAGTTATCACATTGCCTTCTTCTGTGTAAAATCTCCCTTAGTTCAATCTTAAAAGTACACTTGGGATTATATTTACCAACTATTTGAGAATCCAGAATAATCACTCCATTTTAAGATTCTTAATTTAATTACATCTGCAAAATCTTTTTGGCCATAAAAATGCTCACAGGTTCCAGGCATTAGGACATGGATATCTCCAGGGGCCATTATTCAGCCTACCTTCATGCCATATAATAAAACAATTTGGCTTGAGAAGACAAGCAGCGCTTTGTTCTGAGAAGAAAGTTCACCAGCACAAGCAGCACACACTGGAAAATTGAAAATATACTCCTTTTATATCTAGAATGCTTAAAATTTAAATTCCAATTCAAATATGCCACGCAAGTATTCCCTATAGCTGTGGCAGTAACATTCTATCTACGGCAGTCTCAAGTGGAATTCCTTCATGACTTCCTCAGGATTTTGCCCATGACAGGGAGGGAACTGACAAGTATACTGAACATATTCTGTCTCTTCCATCCTTACCATATTGCAAAGGGTCACTTCATACTGTAGATCGGATGGAGAAGAGATTCAAACCAAACATCCAAATTAATCCTTCCTTCTTGTATTTTCTTATAAAATAATTATTCTCACAAATTGAACTGGGATGTTTGAGTTTAAAAGCCAAGAATTGGCCACCTCTCTTCTCTGGTGCTATCTGACAAATTCATTCTGGGGCAGATGGCAGTAGATGCCTTAATAGGGAAACATAATGTGGAAAAAAACCAGTTATCACCTAACATTATACACACACACAGAGTACATATTTTAAAACGTATTCATATTTCTTCCCCTTGAAGAGTGTCCTAAAATTTCAGCATGTGTCAGCATCACCTAGAGGCCTTTTTAAAAAAGATAGCCAAATCCTACTCCTAGAAAATCTGATCCAATTGGTCTGCAGTGGGGCCAAGAATTTCCATTTCTAGCAAGTTCCCAGATGATACTGGTCCTACATATTCAGGGACCACTGCTTTAAAATACAACTGATACTACGTCCTCAAGTTCTCAGTCCACAGTTGGTGACTAAAAAGCCGCTTTTATCATGGTTCTGAAATGAGATCAATTTCACCTATGATACACAGCCTACAAAAAAAAAAATGCCTTATAGTAGCTTTAATCTTGTATAAGGCATTTACAGAAGAGATTTTCACAGTGTCAGTGAACCTCAGATTTGTAGTGAATCTCAATCTCCTCCTACATGTAATTTTTCTCCTTATCATAAACCTCAACTAGAATTAGGGCAAGCCCCTCAGTGAGACTAAAATTCCATCAGCTTCAGGTAATTCCATTACCTACAGAAGTCTTTTCAGAAAGAGAACCTTTGATCAAGCTTCGAGGGTGTCATGATTTCTCTGAGAGATGGAAGGGAAAAAAATAAAATCCATTACCGCAAAATAACCAGCAGAGAATCCTTCCTCACTCCCATCTCTAGTCCCCTTGCTGCATAATTGCTTTAAGGCTTATTATGGCCACATTAGGGTTTGAGCTCAAAGTCTTCTCTAAAACACAAAATGTAGAGAAGTAATTCTTTACGAATACCGAATAAAGCTTACATTTTTTGTACGTATTTTTATTAATGTGGAAATTCCATTTATTACCAATTCATGTGGCAGGAACATATTATCCTGTGAATTAAAATCTCTATGGTGACATGGCAAGACCCATCTAAGAAATTCTCAAATGAACATAAATTAAGATCACAAACCACATAGATAAAGGGCAAGGAAATTTACCTTTTTCAAGATATTGTTAATTTTTAAAATGTTCTTTATTATGATTTTCCAGAATTTTAATCAAGCTCACATATGAGCTCTACTACTTTTTCTCCTACAAAACCAATTACTTAAAGCTCTACAAACATACGTTTACTGAAATGAGCAGCTTTGTCCTTTAGCCTTGCTGCGGGCATCAAATACCATGGCAATTATGGAAAGACTATTCAATGTATACCAATTGGTGTCAAAAATCAATAAGACTTGGCATTGCCTCTTTATGTAAGGACGGTAGTTTACCTTCTAACATTATTATGATAGTTATTTTGTAATTCTTGCCCTGAACTCTGTTTTTAAAATCTGGATTATAAGGTAATTTATTGGGATTCTATTACTAGTTGGCATAAAAGAAATGAGTCTACTGGTGTGTTCCCTAGAGCTTACTTCAGATTTAATGCTACAGTAACAAACTTTTTGCCATCCCTGTGGAAAGCAAGAGACTCTCTTGAAAGGCTCTTAGATATCAATTATTGCCTTCATTTCCTGAAATTAAGCAGAACCATTGTGAATGTTACCAAATAAAGGACTACAGGACGTAAATCATATACACTTGAAAGAGGATATGGGAAGGGAAGGTCTGAAAAGGGCACCTGGAAGTTCAGAGAGAAGTCACCAGTAAGCCCTCTTGAAGCACTGAGGTCTGGAGACAAGTCTGAATTTTCAGGCTGGTCCAGACGCCACAGTGGAACCATGAAGGGAAGCTAATGGGAGCTGTTGCCTCTGTGCCTCTCAGTGGGCCTGAGATCACTGTGGGTCAGCAGAGAAGTAGGGAAGAAGAACTGGGTTAATTAGTGGGAGGGAACAAGGACAAGTTGGACCCCGCTGGCCTTTCTGCAGCTGGCTGTCACCTTGTGTAATCATGAAACCTTCAAAAGGCAATGGGTCTTCCTTCACCTCTAATTTCCAAATCTCATGAAATGCCTCCGTGGCCAACTCTAACTCAGAACCACACAGAGAAAGGGACTCAGGAAAACTTAGTTCCGGGTTAGATACATTGACACAGAGCAAAACTACCACTGTGGTTTTGTAATGGAAGCATTACCTTTTGCTACTTCCTTATTAAAATCAAATAAATGTGTGTTTCAGTGTGTAAATGAGTACCTCGATGGCTAAATTCTGGTTTTGACTATATCCAACAAATATTATATATATATATATGTAAATATATATATAGAGGGAGCATGCATAGATAGGTACAAATGCTATATATTTATATATGAATACGTGTGTATTTTACATATAAACATATGAATAAATATGTAAATATTTGGAGCTATTTTATGATACATACACATATAAGCACACACATATAGTCAAAGATCAGGGCTAGTTAGAGGTGTCTTCTGGCACTCAGCAATTCTTTTTCTCTTTGTAAGGAAATTTAATTAACATTATCATTGATCCCTCATATAATGAGGTTATATATTTTGCATGCTTAATTAAAAACTAGACCTGGAGAATAAACAAAATAAACAATGGTGGTAATAGTAAAACATGAGTTCCCAGGTGTTTTTTAGAAGTATCGGTATGTGATAATTATCTATTTCTTGAAACATGTTTGAGGGTCAATTTTACTCTTTACAATTTTCCAGCATGATACAGTTGGTGTTAACTATGCTGATGATTCCAGTTAAAGACACTTATAAATATCAGTGTATTCTACTGTGCAGATTCATAGGACAAAGTGATTTTAACTGGGACCAAAAACTGAAATGAAATGAGGTAAGCACACTGCCTTGGTGGGATTTGTTACTTAATCAGTTGCAGGACACACAGCAGTTGATGTATTCTGACAGGGAGAATGAGAAACCTGGATTATGCTAATCCTTTCATATGTTAATCCATAATCCTAATAAAAACAGATATGTTATTCTCTCATTTAGAAAGTTAAAGCAAAGGCCGGGCGCAGTGGCTCACACCTGTAATCCCAGCACTTTGGGAGGCCGAGGCAGGAGGATCAGAGGGTCAGGAGATCAAGACCATCCTGGCTAACATGGTGAAACCCTGTCTCTGCTAAAAATACAAAAAATTAGCCAGGTGTGGTGGCGGGCGCCTGTAGTCCCAGCTACTCCGGAGGCTGAGACAGGAGAATGGCGTGAACCCAGGAGGTGGAGCTTGCATTGAGCCTAGATTGCGCCACTGCACTCCAGCCTGGACAACAGAGCGAGACTCCATCTCAAAAAACAACAACAACAACAAAAAAGAATCAGATCTCATGAGAACTCACTATCACAAGAACAGCAAGAGGGTAACCACCGCCATGATTCAATTACTTTCCACAGGGTCCCTTCCACATCATATGGGGATTATGGGAACTACAATTCAAGATGAGATTTGGGTGGGGACATAACCAAACTATATCACAAGTTTAAACAAATTTAACCTCTATTTCATAAAGGAAATTATTAAGACTAAAAATATGCTCATATGTGGGCTTTGCTTTACAAATGTGACCAAACTATTTCATATTAACTGTGAAAATATTATTAGCTTTGAGAATTAATAATATGAGCAAGTAAAATGAGCTTCTTCTCCTTCCTTTAAAAATGTGCCAACCAAGATGAAAACATTAGCTCTGCTTGTAATCATCAATTTTCAATAACTCATCAAGTCCCAATGCTTGATGTCACTCAGATCACCCTACTGGCAATCGGTTTTCTCTAACCTTGTGATATTCTGTGTCTCTGATCCAGGGCCACCACAGCAGTTAACTTATTCAATCATGCCTGCAGCAATTCACTTTATACTTTAGAAAAATTAACCAGGAATAATGTTTCCAAATCATGTGGCCAAAACTAACTGTGCAAGGGACTATCATAACCCTTGCCCAGAGGATGAGTCAAGTTTCTTAACAAGCCCGTATGTCCATATCATGAATTGCTATTTTATGTGTATGGTGATGACTATGGAAGAGGAGAGGATTTGGATCTCTGCTAGAAAGTGTTGGTACATTTCCTACTCCTTTTTTATACTTCATTCCAGAAACAATCTGCTAGGCGCATTAGGAAAATGCCAGTTCAGTCATAACTTTGATCTGAAAATTAAGAATTTAGGGATCAAAGGAGAGTTAGTACTACTCTTAACACCCTCATAGGTGCAGGATCAAGAGTCAAGAAATAACTGACTTCAAACACTTTGAAACTGTGATGTCCACAGTTGAAGGATTGATTTCAAAAAAACCCACAAAAAGTCCGGCCACCTCCAAAATTTAAAAAGCATTAACATGTAAAAGAGTACATTATTTCTCAATAACACTTTCTACTTGTGGATATAGCTTAAGACTGGAAAGAAAGATCAAAATACTTGTAATGATTACATCATTTTTATGTATTGATGAGTATATTTTATAAGTTCAGAAATGTCAAATAATGTACCAGATTGTATATTTCTGTGCACTCATACTGAATTATTTCTGACCTAAAAACAAAATAAAATTGACAACTACTAATTTAATATAAATATTTTGTGAGAAAAAGGAAAAACAATTCCAAATGAGATCAATTCATTTCACATAATGCTTCTTTGAAGCAAACTGGTGTCTGAGTTTCTGTTGGAAATTTACTATCCTATAGAATTTCTGGTATGTGTACATAAATAAAATTGCTTATATTCCTGAGTATTATTTTGTTTTTCCAGTTCATCTCTGGGCACAAATGATTTTGAAGAGTGGGAAGAATTTAGTCTTTATAAATAAAGAATATCTAATGGACAAAAGTAAGATTTCTGGATTATCATTAGCAATCTAAGTTGCTTATTTTCTTTAATTATAATATCTCAACCTTAATGAAGCAAAAGTAATATGAAGCATCTGTGAAAATATATTATTGACTTCTAAGATTTCTAAACTTGTTTAGTTTTAAAAATTTACTTCAAATATGACTTCTAGATTTTTCAAAGTTCAGAAGACTGACCTATACTTCTACATGCCTATATTAAGAAAGGATTAAGGGAAGAACACATCGGGAAAAGTAGAGCAAGAACTTCCAAAAATCCACTTTTCCATAAAAACAATGATAACACTGATGACATTGTCAAAATCAATGTTTTTCAGAACTCTGGAAATTAAACAAATGCTTACAACCATCCAAGGAACGTTTATTCCACAAAAAAGAAAATTGGTGGAACTGGAAGTAGGAACAGTGAGGTTTGTAGTATTTAAGTTTCCTTATTCCCATGCACATTCGCACACTGCCCTCTCCAACAGCTTCCCAAACATGGTAGCTGTCAAAACCAGCAGGCTAGAAGCAACTTAAGGAAGCAGAACATGTTTGGATCTCCTCAAAAAGCTCTTCTCCTATTGTCCCTATTTGGCCCAACAGCTCCCTAAAAAATCTCCATTTGCAGGACTTGTCTTTTCTTGACCTGACACAGAGCTCAGGTGATAAAAAGCCCTTGATTCAATTTTAATATCTTACTGCTGACGACGTTTAAGCCCCACAACTACCTTGCTCTTTCCCTTCTGCTCCACTTCTGGAACTCTAATAAGAAAGTCTAGATGCCACTTCCTTTGGTGTCTTTGCAACTTTTAAACCATGCAATTCTCTGTCCGTATGCAAGCGCCCTTGCACTGGCACCACCCCCTTATAACAATAAAAATCCCAAGCCTGTCTACTTCTAAGTTTTTAGTCAAGACATTTGGGACCAACTTGAGAGGCCTCTCCTGCTGTCCTCATAAAGCCTTAGTATGTAAATAATAAACTTTCCATATTTCCAAGTATTTGGTGTGTGCTTATGGCATCATTTGCCTTGACATCTGAAACAAATTGTAGATGGGAATTGGTAATGTCTCTGCAGGATGGCCTGAACAATTGCTTCAGTGAGCTGGGTGTCTAGAGAATGACCACTGTCACCATGGGTCTGTCTTCTCTTGCGTCAGCTTGTTAACTGACTCTGTTATCTGCAGGTAAGCATAGATTTTGAGCTGCTGCTTGCTGGTTAGCTTGCACTTTAAGCTGTGCTATGTCGTGCCTCATTTGCCGAATTACACCAAGCCTCTGTTAAAAAAAAACAAGATCTAAGTCAGAAATTTGGGTAATTGACATTTTGGGACAGGACTACAGGACTGGAAACTTCGTAAAGTCTCTCCTTTTTTTTTTTTTTTTTGAGACAGAGTCTCGCTCTCTTGTCTAGGCTGGAGTGGGCAGTTGCATGATCTGGGCTCATTGCAGCCTCTGCCTCCCAGGTTCAAGCAATTCTCCTGCCTCAGCCTCCCGAGTAGCTGAGACTACAGGCCCATGCCGCCACACCAGTTAATGTTTTTGTATTTTGAGCAGAGATGGGGTTTGACCATGTTGGCCAGGATGATCTTGATCTCCTGATCTCATGATCCACCCACCTTGGCCCTCAAGGGTCTTTTGTCTTTATTCCACACCTATCTGTGTATCTTAGCATGAATCATGTCTCTCAATTCCAGCATAAGCCATGACCGATGGTATACTCAGGGGAACAACTTCTATACCCTATGTGGTACATGGGCCCTTTGGATGGTAACATATGTGGAGAAAAAGCACTTATTATTTAATAAACAGTAATTCTTTAAAGATTTGAGTTACCGATGTCTACACTCCTAAAGGTGAATGGCTCAGTTGTACCCTACAAAATGCTTCTGTTGCTGTTTCTGCCTCTGTTAAGACAAAGATCATGATTCTCAGGACTATAGGGAAATATATCCATAACATTCCTGTGGTACACCCACTTAAGCTCAGACCCTTATGGCCAATAAAACAACTATTATTGCCATGGCTGAGGCCCTAAAGATGGCAATACTACTGGTCTGAGGCTTTTTTGGAGGAAGGAACTTAGAAATATGAGCAGGGTAGAAAGCCTACCACCCTAAAGTGTATCAAGTAATCACAGAGATAGGGAGACAGAGAGAAAGAAACAAAAAGAGACAGGGAGGGAGAGAGAAAAAGGACAGAAAGAAAATGGGCAAGGGGGAGGCAGGGGAAGAAGTCTGGATATAGGAAAAGTAAACAAAAACAATGAAACAGAGGTCCCCAATTTGACCTAACTTGAAAACCAAAATTTGCTAAAAGAACTTATGTAACAGAAAGATAAAAGGCACTGATTGTATTTTGCACCTCTACAGCAAAGGCTCTGAAATAATTTTAACACCTGCTAAATTACACCAATTTGCAAACCTTCGTGGCCTTAATACTAGAATTCAAATTACAGTTATAGCTGAGAATCTAATTTAAACAAGATTTAACCTATAAATTTAGGGCAGTTCTTGAACACAAAATATAGGACAGTTATAATCCATCTTAACTACACTAACTGTTGTCTTGCTTAAATTCCCCGAGGACGTAGTATTTATTGCCCTAAAATACCTCTAGTAGTCACAATTGCTGCGATACATTATGTAATAGATTAAAATTAAATGAAACCTTTGGCATTTACAAACTGGCTTGACAAAATGGGGCCCCGTAGATATTGTCCCTTCTTCCCAGTTAAAATAGTTAATACGTCCCAATGTAAATTAAGATAGGACAATCAAAGATTGAAACCCATTGTATAAGAGCTATTTAGAGGAGGAATGATTATCTCCACTCATTTTCACTTAACCCAATTTTCCCAGTTCTTAAATATTGAACAAATGAATGGGATCTCACAATATATTATTGTAGTCTTAATGCTAAGGCTTCATCTATTGGACATCGATACTCAATATTATTAAAATTACCAACACAGTTGAATCAGCAAAATTATTTTCCTATTATACATCTCAATAATAAATCCCAGTCAATGCTTATTTCAACAGCTCTCTATCTACAATTTGCCCTTCACTCCAAAGAGATACAATAATCTTTTACCTGGCTATCCATGGGGTATGGGTACAGGCCTTGAAATAATGTATAACCATCATAAGCAAGATCTTCACAGCATCTAGCTTTCTTCAATAGCATAGGCATGACGTTATATTGGTGACATCCTTACCCAAAGAGATTCATTTGACATGCTTACAAGGAAGCTCACAAAAAAAGAGAAAGGGCCATTGCTCCACGCATAGTTCATGGGCCAACTGCCTCAATCAAATCCATGAGAATTATTTTAATAAGTTAACAGTTGTTTTATCCCTGATAGTATCAAGAAACACCCACAATGTTAAAATAATCCTAATATATTTTAGTTTTTTATTGTGCTTTGGGTGCAACATATATCCCTCATATAAAAATTTTACTTAAGCCCATTTATACTGTTGCTTTTAAATTTACTTAGCTTTGAAATGGAGCTTTTCCCAACAAAACTTTCTAGACTCTGTCAAAATTGCAAGACAACAGGCATCCCCATTTGTTTCTTCAGACACTCTTCATTGTAGAAGCTTTGGAAACCTACTCTCATATCTTCTGGAGTATGAGTCACCTATGATGACCACATGTTGTCCATAGTCTTGTCCTGAAAAAAACCAGCCCCGTTGGCCAGGCACAGTGGCTCACACCTGTAATCCCAGCACTTTGGGAGCCTTAGGCGGGTGGATCACGAGGTCAGGAGTTCAAGACCAGCCTGGCCAACATGGCGAAACCCCATCTCTACTAAAAATAAGAAAATTAGCTGGGCGTGGTGGCAGACGCCTGTAATCCCAGCTACTCAGGAGGTTGAGGCAGAGAATTGCTTGAACCCGGGAGGCAGAGGTTGCAGTGAGCCAAGATTGCACCACTGCACTCCAGCCTGGGCAAGAGAGCGAGACTCCCTCTCTAAAAAACAAAAAACAAACAAAACTAGCCCTGTTGGTTCCATGCTGTATATAATTACAGCAGCAATTGCTTGTGACAAGCTGGGATCTCCTGGAAACCGAGGATCTCACAGGTTCTGGGTCTTTGGTCCTATCTTTCCAGTTGCATGTTATGCCTTGGGTCATAGAAGCAGCACCATACAAGCTCAGCATGGCTACTGAGGACTCTCCTGCAGGACGGAGCCAAACTCTGACATATCCCATAAGCAAGAGGAGGTAGCTACACCTTTACTCACTTCTTTACAGATGCCTTGTTGCCAGAAAATGTCATCCTTCTTTCAGATGCCATGGCTACCTGGGAATATCTTTGTGATGACAGCAAGTGACAATAGAGGTTCATACACATCACACTTGATATTACTGGTATTATGCAAGAGGAACCCAGGGGAGAGTTGCTACTTTTCACACCTTAACTAGGACATTCCTGATAAAGGACAAGATCCAAGAGTCAGTACATTTGGCAGTCATCTTACCACTGGATGTCCTGGAAAACAGCCTCAGCATATAGAATCTTGGGGTATTAACAATGGTTGGCCTTCTGGGTCAAGCCAATGGCAGTGATGATAACTCTTTATCAAAAGTTACCCCCTTAGGAATCTCTTGACTCACAGACACTCAAAATATAAACCAAGGTCACACATGTCTCTGCATATACTAAAGCCACAGTAAAGAGCCTCACCTCCTTAATCCCTTCGGACTTCCAGACATTGGCAATAATCTTGGAGAAATCACTTATTGCGGTTTCAAGTCTCTTATTTAATAAATTATAGAACTATATATTTTTCTCCTGCAAAAGAAAAGAAAATTTCTTTCTCCAGATGTCATATAGAGAGTCTCTTCACCAAGAACTATATTATTTTAATTTTAATAAAGATTTCCATATCATTTGGGTGATGCAACTTAAGGCAATAGGTCAGCACTTTAGAGCTCTTTAGTTTCTGGTTAATCTTTACCTTAGTCTTTTTTGGATAGAATGATGGTTTAATTACAATTTCTTCTTTTGCTGTTCCCTAATCTTGCACATAAATCTCCCTAGCCTCAGGAGGATGTCAAAAAGAGAGCTAATTTTTGCAGCATTTTTTTTTCTGGGATCAGAATATGTCTGCTCTCTTGGCAGAATCAGTTTTTAGTCTAGAATTTTCCCTGGTAATTGTGATGTATCTTATACGACTACCAAGATGCCTTATTTATTTTGTAAAGCCTTCTAATTATTCTCAGTGAAAAAAACAAATTAAACCACTCAATACTCTATTAACTGATGCAGAACCTTAGCTAATGTTATGTCCTATGAAAAAACTATCATGAACTAGCAAAAACAGATTCATAAGTAGTCTTATTCAAGTGTAAGCTGTTAGGTTATTTTATGTATAAAATGACAAAATCATTACTCTAATTCTAATAACTTGACCTCATGATGGGGTTAGTGTCATCCTTTATGTGTGACTGTCACATTTAAGACACTCTCATCACACTATCAGCCCCAAAATACCTGGAAATTCAAATGCATTTCACCTACCTATCTATTCTTGATGAAGATATAAATTCATGAGCATAGCTTTTATTTTAATGATACATCTTAGAAAGATGCTGTATTGCAGTGTCCAGTCTATCTTTAATCTACGTCTTATAATATTCTTCCATGAAAAACTGTGTAAGTAAACAGATGGTAAGTTTATGTAAATTGTTAAGGTTGTATCTATGTGTATGAATACATGAATATTACATACATACAGTACATGTATATGTGTGTATATACGTATATGCATACTTATGCATGCCATTTTTGGCTAGATAACCAGACAACTTTAGAATCATTTAAGTGAAAATGCTGTATTTTATTTACATATATATTTATTTGTAAACTTCGTCCCCAAAAATGAATCAAAGCAGCAGAATGCACGGCCTAAATGAAGGAGCTTTCATATCACAGTGCTATGCACATTGTGTAGTATCTTTTTACCTTTCCTAACCAAGTGAAATTCAAAAGAAAAGAAAATGATTTTTCTTGTATTACAGCTTGATTAAGCTTCTTATTTAGAACACGACTAGATAAATTTACGGGATATTTTATGAAGGTCATCTAAATTCCACTAAGAAAATTAAATTAATTCACAAGGGTTGGCTGGGTTTTTATGAAGTATTATGAAGAATTCCATTGTTATTACCTATTTTAAGATAATTGTTAAGAAGTAGATATCCCTTGTTAAATTAACAGATTAATTTGAAAAATCATAGCTAATATAATAGTTACCCACCCAGTTATATCCTTTAGTTACTCTATGGAAAAAATTACTAATATCAGGGCCACCAGCAACAAGAATTAATCAAAGTGCCCTCATTATGAAAAGAAAAACAATTTACTTTTTTTCAGTTTTTTACAGTGCACTCAGAAATACAATTATTAAGCTTTTAGCACTTGACTAATATTACAATTTTGTAATGAACAGATGTATACCATTTCAATTTTTCAATATGATATTATTAATATTAAACATATTATTCCCGGTGGTGGAAAACAAATTTTGAATATATTCATTCTTATAACTTTAAGAATATAGTTGTTATTGTTCTTGTCATTCTTTATGACTCATTGATTTCCCTCAAAAATTAAAAATAAAAAAGTCAACAGTTTTTATTACTGTTCAAGAAATGGCACAAACTGGATGCTAATTATTGAAGGCTTAAGAATGGGTTTCAGATATTTTTAATTCTAACTACATATTCTGAGCCAGGGGTTCTTAACGTCCAGTTCGCAGACTGGTACTAGTCCATGGCCTGTTAGGAAACAGGTGGCACATCAGGCACATCAGGAGGTGAGCCGCAGGTGAGTACGCATTACCCACTGAGCTCTGAGCTCCACCTCCTGTCAGATCAGCGGGGGCATTAGATTCTCATTGGAGGAGGAACCCTATTGTGAGCTGCACATGTGAGGGATCCAGGTCGCATGCTCCTTATGAGAATCTAATTAATGCCTGATGATCTGAGGTGGAACAGTTTCATCCCAAAACCATCCCTCACCCACGTCTGTCTGTGGAAAAACTGCCTTCCATGAAACCAGTTCCTGGTACCAAAAAGGTTGGGGACCACTGTTCTAAGCAATCTGTGGTATAATACACTTTCTGAAGGCAAACATTTTAGGAGGCATTTGCTTTCCACTTGTAGACTGAATGTTTATGTATCCCTGCCCCCACTTCCTATGTTGAAGCCCTAATCCCCAATGTGATGATATTTGGAGGTGGGGCCTTTGGGAGGTAATCACATTTATCTGAGGACATATGAGCAGGGGGCCTCATGATGGGATTAGTGTCCTTATAAAAGGAGGAAGAGAGATCAGGGCTCCCTCGCTTTAGCCACATGAGATCACAGGAGAAGACAGCCATCTGCAAGCCAGGAAGAGGACACTCACCAGGAACCTGAGCATGCTGCACCCCAAACTTGGACTTCCTGCCTCCAGAACTATGAGAAAAAATTGTCTGTTGTTTGCAAACACCGCATGTTCTCACTCATAAGTGGGAGTTGAACAATGAGAACACATGGACACAGGGAGGGGAACATCATACACGGGGGCCCATCGTGGGGGTGGGGGGCTAGGGGAACAATAGCATTAGGAGAAATACCTAATGTAGATGACAGGTTGATGGGTGCAGCAAACCACCATGGCACATGTACACCTATGTAACAAACTGGCACGTTTTGCACATGCACCACAGAACTTAAAGTATAATAATAATAATAATAATAATAAAAATAAATGTTTGTTGTTTAAACCACCTTGTCTATGTTATTCTATGATAGCAACCTGGACTAACATACCACTCATTCATAAACATCACATTCAAGGCTAATTTGCAAACTTTTGTTCTTGATTGCTTGATACTCTAGCTTCTAATTTGCTAGAACTTATTTTGCATGTATAAACAACTTAAGCAACCCCAAAAGGATGGTTAAACAAAGAAATGTTTGCAAGTATAAAATACCATTTTCTTGAACTTTGGTCATATACTATGGAAATGATAACAAATTTCAAGTTTTTGTTGCTGTGATTATCCTTGCAAATGTTAAAATAAAGAAAAGTGAAAAAATGAATAGACTTTAAAAATAAAATAAACAGAAACAAATAATACAAAATTAATTATAGCAATTTATATTTGTTGGATGTTTTAATAATGCCCCTGAATAAAACATTTTTGCTATTGATTTATGCAGCACAAGCTATAACTATATGGGTTTTCCCTCAAATTCTTGGCCTTTTTAAAAATAGCTTATGCTAACCAGAGGAATAATTTTACTGTAATGTCTGAGAGATTAGCTTTTCCCCCCACAGTATTTTTATGCTAGCGGTAAGCTGAATAGTGGCTCCAAAAACACCCAGATCCTAATGCCGGAGTCTGTGGTTCTTATAGCACAGAGAAAGAGAAAAAGAGTCTTTGCCACTGTGATTAAATTATGGATATTGAGAGAGAGAGATTATCCTCAGGTTGAACTTAAATATAATCACAGTATTTGTACAAAAGAAAGTCACAGGGCCAGTTGACTACAAATAGAAGAAAAGTCAGCCATGTAATAGGAACAAAGACTGGCAGAGTCAGAGAGAGAAGATGCTATACCTCTGACTTTGAAGACAGATGGGCACCATGAGCCAAGAAATGTAGCTCTGCATGCAGGAAAAGGGAAGACATAGATTCTGCCCCAGAGCCCCTGAAGGGAGCACAGCCTTGCCAACAGCTTGATTTTAGTCCCACAGCACTGATTTCTGGTCATCAGAACTGTAAGAAAATTAATTTCTGTTGTCTGAAGTTGGCAAATTTGTAGTAACTTGTTACAGTGGCCACAGGATAGTGACGCAATATTGTGAATTTATTTTTTCCTCGTTAATATATATTGTTTTTAGTGCTACGCATTCTCCCCCACTCGCATAAACATCTGAAGGTACATGCAGCATGCTCTTTCCTTGTTTTCAAAATATCCTAATCAAAGTACAAAATTTTTCAATTGATAAATAAATTTGACTAATACTCTAAGATCCACTTCTATAAAGGTTAAATTAAATGTGTATACTTTTTGAAGCCTATTGATCAGAATCAAAGGTACTTAAATATGCATCTACTCTTCTGAATCCAATTTTGAAGGACATTTTGCATTGTAATGTTAGAAATACTTAGAACCTGAAACGGTGGTTATTTAGGTTAAAATAGCTATTTTTCCCAAGACAGAGGTTATTCTGATATGTGATAGGAAGAACCTAGGTGGTATTTAACAATCCATTTCTTTGAATTACTGCTTCACACCAAAACAGTCAATCTCTTTCCATTTAGCATGGAGTTTTAAGATACTGACAAGTTACTATTGATTCAAGAAAGTAAATTCATTTATGACTGGAAAAGTGCCCACTTTCTCATTTTAAAAACATTATCAGAGTACATATAAGACCGAAGTTCTTGTTCTGTGCTTCTCTAATCATAGCATTACATTCATTCCTAACATAATAACTAACTAACTGTATTGAGTGCTTACTATATGCCAGGCACTGGTTAAAAATTATTCCATGTAGATAGCAAGGTAAGTAATTTATTTTATCACATTAATCCTGTAATATCAATAGCGGTTATGCTACAATTACAATTTTACTGGTGGAAAAACTGAGAAACAGAGAGGTTACAAAAACTTGCCCAAGAGTGCACACATAATAAACAGAAGAGCGGTTTATTTGCAAAAGCCGTATCCTTAACCGTAATGCCTACTGAGTTTCTGTAAGCAGGGGTTGCACGAGCAACTGCTGGCAAGCCACCTAAAGCTCCTGAAGGTAGCAAGATGGTAAAACATTTCTTAGTCGATGCTAAATATACAATGTATTGTTTACACAAACACACAAATTTTCAGTGTGCAATATAATATTCACCTAGGATGGATTAGACTGGCCACACGTTAGCACCGTTCTCCCCAGAGCTGCATATGCTCTAACTATAAAACATTCAAAAGGTTGCTTTTATATGTAGGGTATATGAAATTTAGTAAGATACAATCTATAGATTCTACTTCTTAATAATTTTTAAACTTAATATGGAATCTAGATACATACATCTGTCTCTAGTACCTGTATAAACAGTGTAATCTGACCCATAAGTTCAGCATGAAAATCATTTTAAAATATATATATAAACATTTTTAAAGTTTTAAATTACACTTTTTACAACTTTAAAATTTAAATTTATTACTACAATAATGTTTTTACAGGCAGCAAATATTCCTCTCTTGGATTTTCTAAACACCTCTAGGTTTTCGTAGTTCATCTGCCCTGGAAACCAGTTACATCTCAAATGAAAGAGTTAAGCTAAGCTGGTTTAGGCAATGAGTGGGGATGCATCTTGCTTTTAATTATCCTGCTGAAAACTGGTCTACACAGTCTGATATATGATACATATTTTGTATATTTCATGATCTCCTCTTAGACTTCCCATAGGCATTAAACAAGGTGATTTTCTCCTTTCAAGTTAAGCCTGCCTGAGAGTGCCTGTTCTGGCTTAGGGCAGGAGATGGAGGATTGGGAGGTGGCTACTTATTCACCAGCCCTAATGTTTTCTTCTAGGTGTAAGCGTCTGTATTCACTTGGCACTCTTGTTCTTTTTTCACTCCCTTATTTACTCTCCCCATATCCATTTTTCTTCTCTTTTTCCTTTCTTATTTGTCTGCTCAAAAATGACATGTTTTCAATGGCTCCTGGATGTGCAGTACGCTGAACAGTAAAAGTTCCGTCCCTGTAGGGCATGGTTTTCCAAGATCCTGTGCCTACCAGGGGGTCACACTAATACTGACATGCTCTGTTATAAAGCGCATTTCGGACATACCAGATCAAGTCCTTTAGTTCAGCTTTTCGTTTTTAGATAAAAGTATTATTTGATTTTTATCTACCTTTCATTGAATATTTCTCATCCTGTTACTTGCTGTAATTCTTACTTTCTAAAAATCTTTTAGATGTTCTTTTTCATTTTAAATGTTCTTTTTCCATAATTGCCATCTTATGTTTTTTCATCCTATTCTTGTATTATTAGGTATCCATCTATCTTTTTAATTCTATCGCAGATGAATTATTTGAAACCCTTCCCACTTACTCTGTACTACAGTTAAAGAGTTGGGCACAGTCTATTCTGTATCTTGAGAGGAGGGTAAGTAAGGAAGAACCCAGAAAGTATTTAACAGCTCATTTCCTTGAATTATTGTTTCGCCCCAAAACAGTAGATCTCTTTTTATTTAGAATGGAGTTTCCAGAGAGTAATTTCTTTCGGATGAGTAGTGTCTTACATGGAAGACTTGAGCTCAGCTCTCTGTTAAGAAATTTTGTGGCCTGACTGTTTTTAGGGCCCAAATATCCTCTGTTTCAGCCCTTAGAAAAATGATTTAAAAGCATTGAGGTTTAAATTGGAATTAGATTTTACATTTCATAACATTTCCTTTATGTGGTTGCTGTTTGTCTGAATTTAACTATCCCTTTAATAAGCTATTGATGTTGGAATACTCTGGAATTTTGCTAGGTAGTCAATGGAATCTCTTCTGAATACCATCCCTCAAGGTTATAACCACAGGCTACATAACTTTCAGACAGTAGCTATAAAATTCACCATGATCCATTCCAAGATTGGAATATCAGAGTGTAACTGAAATAAATTATATCTAAAACCTCAAAATGTCAAATTATGCACTTAGTTTTTGTTGTTGTTTGCTTGTTTGTTTTTTTCTGGGAGACGCCCCCTCCCCATCACGGCTCGTGATCTCTGAAAGGGATTCCCCAAAGGGAGAAGACTGAACTGACCTCCAGGCTCTAGTTGGGTAGATGCTGAAGTACGATCAGCCTGTGTTTACCATTGCTTCACTTTGCCACATAGTGTATATTCTGAAAACTGGTCTAGTGCTGGCCCGGATCCCTGTGCTGGTCCCTATGAATATTTGAGGGATACTGCCATAGTTCCTTCACTGCTTACCCTGTTAAACGTGTTTCCTGGGACACAACTGACTCCTAGTGCCCTGAGTGTTCTGGGTCCTGTGTATTCATGAGCTAAATCATGAATCACTACCAAAAATCTTGTGCCAAAATTGGTTTAAACCAATGGTTCTCAACCATGAACAATTTAGCTCCCCCAGGAGACATTTGATTATGTTTGGAAACTTTTTGGTTGTCAAAGCAGGGACAGGAGGTTACAACTGGCGTCTAGTGTGTAGAGGCCAAGGATGCTGCTAAACATGTTACAATGCACGGTGCCGCACCTCAAAACAAAGAATTACATGGTCCCAAGTGTCAACAGGGCTGCAGTTGAGAAACCCCAATTTAAACCCTTAGAAACTTAAGCCAAACTTTCAGTATGTGGTATTTGGTTTTCTGTTCCTGAGTTAGTTTGCTAAGGATAATGGCCTTCGGCTCCATCCATGTCCCTGCAAAGTACGCAATCTCATTCTTCTTTATGGCTGCATCCTCCCACAGCCAGGGACCATCTTAAGTGTAGGTCATTATTCTGAGAGCATTGTAGTTGTGCCTACTGAGGATAAAGAAAATTGTGAAGAGCACCAGACAATGCAGATTAGGCCTTCACCTCAGAATTCTGTTTGCTTAGAATTGAGGTTTGGAGTCATGTTCTCATGTCTGATTAGTTTCTAAAGATTTAACATTCCTGTTGTCTTCTGTGTTCTAGAGTTGTCTGATGAAGAAGGGAGAATTCGATGTTCCTCTCATAGATGCATTTTGGTTCATAGAAGATTTTGTTCTCTCAGGTGGGACAGTGCTAGGAAGGACAGTGCCACAGCTGTGCCCACCTCCTTCCTTGCGGTTTCCCATGGGAGGAATGAAGCTAATATGAACAGTTCGATATTGGAGTATCTATTGGGTGACTTTCAACACCTGGCAGCCTTAGAATGACCAAAACACAATCAAGTGCTAATCACTCATCCTCTTTCACTTTCTGTTTCAAAGAGCATTAAGGTCTTTTAAATTGATGCTTTCTATAGAATAAATGACTATGAAGAGGGCTGCTCTGTTTCCCTGTGTCTTCTTCCAGCTCTCTCTGTACCTGCCAATCTCAGCACTTTCTCTATCCCTGTTTGTGACTGGGTGGAGTTATCCTTCCTCAGGAGATAACTTCCATCATGTCACTGGTTGAATGGCCACAAAATTATGGCCAGCTTTGCAGTCTGCTTTGCTATATATACAAAGATTAAATTGAATTATAAAATAAATCTAATTACTAGTATTTCCTAAGGCTAAATATATTTGACTTGCTACTCTTATGTAGTCTACGCTCGCACCATTCATTGAATAATTAATAACATTGATTTTATCACAAATTCCATATGCTGTATGTGAAAATTAATTACTTTTATGAGAAAGCTATTATTGAACAGAAATGGTTCTTGGCTGTGGTGTCAGCCACCATGTGTCATTTAGGACCTCTGCAACTGAACCTAGGTCACTACTCCTGTGTACAGTTTTGCAATCTGATCAGCTACAGTGAGGTGGCTTCATACTGGTAGGCTGGGCTCATTCCTGCTGATCAATGGAATAATCGCTCCTAGAACAGTTTTAATGAATTATGCAAAATGTTCATCTTAATTCTGTCTCAAGTAGCTCTATGATTTTGTCCATGCCTCTGATTTGCCATTTCTCCATGGTTCAAATGAAAGCATGGCAACAATAAGAGTTCGCCGCCTAATCTGTCAGTTATCAAATTTCCAGTGAGGGTCGGGGTAGGGTTCCTGTCATTGTCTGACACTGCTCTTAGTTGAATTAGCAAGTAACCTAATACTTCAATTTCACAGTCAATGTAAGTACAGAGGACTACATTTAACTTTCTTTTCCTTTCAGAAGCTAGGCCTTCCAGCTTTCTGTTTTGCTCCTAGACATGAAAATAAGGCTGCAGGTGGTGACTCTCATTAGCCTAGGTAGTTCATTTTCTATCTGGCAGTGAATAATCATAGTTGTGATCTAGGTAGGCTCTGACAGGAGGTCAGTTTGGTAATCTTCTATGTTTTTCAGTTCTACTTTTCCACTAAAATTACAAATACATGACTTAATTTCGCATTCACAAATTAAGTACCTCTCAGAGCACTTTTCTTGAAAGATGGTTGGTCAGAATCTCTGAACTCTTTGGGATGTCTACAGTGATCTTTATAAGAATTTTGCAGCCTATGATACCTTTCTCTATCCACTGCCTTCATGTCACCAAACACACGTAGGCAGATTAGGAGGGATTCTCCTATTGTGAGGTCAAATTTGCACCAATTTTATGGGGGTAGTCACACCTCATCAATATGACTAGATGAGTTATATTCTGTTAAAAATTTAGGTCTGGGAGGCTCTTTCCTCTAACGTAAATTTGGAAAATGTAAAATAGGAGACAGACTCTTAAAATCAGGTAATATAAGGAGATTAATATGTCATGTAACTACTGATCCCTCTGCAGTTTTGAATGGAGTATATCAATTTATTACGTATAGAAAAACACCAAAATATTCCCACCTGACAGAATATAGCAGACCTAAGTTTCCATTAAATAGTTTTCTGAGCAGAAGGAAAAATGACTCAAATGACTCAATGTTCTCCTAATTCTGGAGGTCCCAAAGTCTATAAAGAGCAATTTCCATGTCTCAGTCCCGGTGTCCTCTTACTGATGATGAACTTATTGTAGGAAATCTCTAGCAATATAATGATGCTCAAAATACTGAAACAATAATGAATTTCCTATTCATTGTATCTGGAACAAAGCCTTGTATCTTGCAGTTGGGAATATATTTGTGTACATGAGTGTGTGTGTATGAATGTATTTACACATATGTTTTGACCTTACTGTTAGAAACATGAATATATTTCTGTACGTAAATATATTTTCATACATATGTTTTGATCACACCATTATCTAAGTCTGCATACATTTCGTAGATAAATGTTTTTCTAGTTATCTAAGGGATAGGCCATTGTCAGATGTAGTTAGAAGCTTCTTAACTACCCTTTTACACATCTGAGGTGATGTACAGTCATGTTCTGAGTGACGTCATGCCAATGGCTTTTAGAAATGTCACTTAAACACCACTAAAGGCTTATAATCTCTGTTTAAACGTCTTCAAAATGTTTTTCTCAGGCAGAAAGTACATTTCTGTTCTTTTCCTTGAAAAGTTTATTGTTTTTGAATTTTTATTTTTTAAGAATAAAATTATTATATTTCTTGCAATAATTAAAAGCAATTTTCTTCTTCATAATTATAATCTCACTGAATTAAATGAATGCCTGGAAGACATGTGATTTTACATTTCTTCTTGACTGAACACTCAATTACAAGGATCCTCATGACAGAAGCACTCAGACTGAGGTAGAAGCACACAACCTGCCAGAAACCTGGTAATGGAGCAAGACACAGAGGGCTCCCTGCAAACACACATCTTCACAGTCACAGACCATTCAATATTTAGTGTGATTTGTTTTTAAATTTAAAAATGCATATTAATTATATATTGTGTGTATGTGTGCATGTGTGTGTGTAAGCATGTGTGTGCATGTATGCCTAAATGCAAGCTGGAGATAAACTTATTCTGAGGCATAGACATGCTATGTAAGTATTTCATATTTGTTCAGAAGGTCTATGCTTTCATACAGGTATAGATACGTACATATCTATCAGCCATCTATCTATCTTTCTCTATTCTGAGTGAGAAAGAGATCTACCCCCTTTATTTAAGCATAGTAGACACACACACACATATATGTAAAGAAACAGAGAGAGAAAGAGAAATTCATTCCAGAAAATGGTTCATCTCAAGAAAAGTGACTGAGTACTAAAATAAAATATTCTTTGAGGATAAAGAAACAGCTGAGGGTTGGGGAGTAACACTGAATACAGTGCACTTTACTCAAATTTTACCTTATACCAAGCGTACTCCTCCTGGACCCTTAGAGTACTGGGTTTGCACTTAATGAACAAGAAAACTCATTAAAAAATATATTAACATTATAATGGGACTTTGAGAGTACATGGTGAAATGTACAAAGTCAGTCACTGACCCTGGCAGGATCCGGAAGTCACGCTAGTGCTTTAAGCACTTCCAGGAAGAGAGTCCTTAGCACAGACAGCAGTCTCAGGTTCAGGCATTACTGTCAGGGGCACAGATGGCAGCCCAGGCCCCATCACAGTGAGGCCAATGCCTTTGCCAGGTATGAGTGCCTTAGTAGTTTCTCCAGGCACAAAAGCACAGGTGGAATAGAAGAGAAAACTGCCAGTTGCCAGGAAATGCCCAAGGAGACTAATTTATAGAGAAGATTCAAAACAATCCCTGAACTTCCCAGATTTTTTTGAGAAGTGTTTGGCTGGAATCCCAATACAGCGATTGGAAGCAGAACTAGAGAAAATTATTTTCTTGTGTTTATAATTAGCTACATAGTTTTGTATAGAGTTTGATGGTTTGGTTTCCTAGTCATACATTGTTATTTTCTCCATAGTATAGGAACCTAAGAGACCACAGCAACTGGTATCAGTATCATTCTGTATGTGTGACTGTGTGTGGGTGTATGTGTGTGCATGTATGTTTGTGACTACATAACATCAATGTCTTATCACAAAGTATCTCTGTAAAAATCTTATCACATTTTTGTGCATACATGCTGTCAATTTATTTTAAAAGGGACTTTCATTGGATGTAAACATAGAATACCAGCCACTACATTAACACTAAGGAAATGTTTTGTTTTCATTTTGGATAGATTAGAAAATAAGCATCTATTTTAAAATGCATTTGCATTACAAATGAAATACTACATATTTCAGAGGTTCCTACATTTTCTCTGTTCATGGAATCCTTTCATATTTTTATTTTTTACTTTTTTGTCAAAGGAACCCTAAACTAAAAGAAATATCTAATAGTTTCATGTATAGTAGTTAAGCCCAACAACTGACTAAGTATTATTTATTAACAACTTAACACCTACGGCATACAACAACGTCTCACACTTCCAAATCGGATTGCATTCTATCACCCTCATTTTCTGCTCTCCACTGTTTTTTCTCAAAGTACTTGCCTTTTATGTTAGCTGTCTCTGAAAGCCCAGGTTCACAATAATAAGACACCACTATAAGGAGAGTCAGTGATCTAATGCTTAACTACGAACTACTTCAAGCGAGTAGTTTTGGAGAAGCTGCTGTGTTCCCTTGAAAATTTAAAATGACTCCTAATCTCAGTATGAAAATTTTAAAATTTTCAAGGCAACACAGCAGCTTCTCAAAAACTACTAGCTTGAAATAGTTCATAGTTAAGCATTAGTTAATATGATGAGTTGTATTCCAGGTTCTCTCAGTTAGGAATATGAACTTACTGACAGACAATAGTCCTTTTAGGCAGTTGATGAATTCAGAAAAATTACAGATGAAAAATCTGGGAGAGGTATCTGAAACTCATACATCATCAGTGAAAGTTACTAGTACCCCTTACCTATGTGTGCTTGCTAATACAGCATCCCACTGAAAAGAACCTTATATCATCAGGATTTTTTTGCTGTAGATATATTGAGTATGCCCACTTACAACTTTTCACGTGATTATTTAATGGCTCAGCGTTCTTAAGAAATGACTTTCTTCTTTTATTAAAAAATTGAGGCTGAGGCGGGCAGATCATGAGGTGAGGAGATCGAGACCATCCTGGCTAACATGGTGAAACCCCATCTCTACTAAAAATACAAAAACAAAATTAGGTAGGCATGGTGGTGGGCACCTGTAGTCCCAGCTACTCAGTAGGCTGAAGCAGGAGAATGGCGCGAACCCGGGAGACGGAGGTTGCAGTGAGCCGAGATCTTGCCACTGCACTCCAGGCTGGGCGACAGAGCGAAACTCCATCTCAAAAAAAAAAAAAAAAAAAGTTTTCCTCTTCATTATCCTCAGAGAAAAGGAAATGACTTTATCTTATTCAAAAGATGAATGTGAGTTATGTCATGTGATAGTATGTTTAAACTGGCTGATTAGAACCTAAAAAATAATATTTGAAAAATTTATGACATATAAATAAGATTCAAAAATTAAGTTGCTTTGTTTTTATATTTTAAAAATGACTCATAATCTAATATGACCCTTTAAAAAGTTAAAACAACCCTGTGAATTCACTGTGCTATACTGGATGGGCCTTAATGCATAATGTAGGAAGAGCAGATGTACTCAAAAGTCAGTGGTAAATATCAGAGTAATAAGTACAGTAGTTCTAGACATACATGTTAAAATGTTTACCCTAAGGGAGCACTCAGCAATACTTGTCATTATAGACAAAGGCAAATAAAATTTGATCTTATCAAGGTAAATTAAATGTCTAGTGAATAGGGACCTTAGAATTGTATGTATGTTTCTAGGCTAATATTTGCAAGACATGTCTAAGGTTTAAAGTTTTTCCTATTCCCAGACAATAGTAATATATTATCTGTAACTGTTTATACAGTGAAAGTGAATAAAAACCAGATAAAGTCATTATTTCATTTTAGTATGAAGGAAATAGTTTGTCTAAGAATTACTTCTCCACAGACGATTGAGATTTTATTGGCATTAAACTAAGCCATATTAATGATTTGCTGTTTGTATGAAACAATAATAAAAATTTTAATTAAAAATTCTAGCACATGAAAGTTTAGTACAAGCAAGAAGCTGTTGCTTTGTTCACTTGTAAGCAGGTGAGATATCAAAAAACAAATAAAAAATAAGATTCATTTTTGTCTGAATGAGAATTAATTTATTAAATGCATTATTTTATCTAATATCCCCTTATATGTTCCTAAGGTATTTCCAAATACCATTATGAAGCTCCACCTTTTTATAGGACTTCCTTTTAAATAATGTAAAGCTAAAATCAAATTTGAATAAAATCATAAATACATAGAATGCATTATTGCAGTGCTAAAAATGCATAGCAGTTTTGTGTATGTATGTGTGTGTGTGAGTATGTTTTCCTTCCTCTATAATTATCCTTGTCTGTCAGCTTAGTCTATCTGAACACACAAGCTCCCTGTTGCAGCACGAAATCTTAATCTGGTGTCTTGGGGCTCTTATCACTGGCAATTCTGCAGATCATGTTCCCAGACCCAGCCTTGGGTCACTGTTCCCTCCAGTGTCTCCAGAAGCAGCTCAGTGGATGAAACAGCCTCTCAGTAGTCACAAGATTCTAGCTTAATTTTTTCAAGGTTTAGAATTTATACTATACTAGGTCCAGCAGAATGAACACCATGAAAGCTCTGAACAAAAAATTGGAAGCCTTGGTTATATTTCCTAGTTTCTGTCCTGGAACCCAACAGGCCTGCGGGCTCAGCCTCAAACATAACTAATTTTTTTACTCTGATTCGGATCCATGGTGATTCACAACTTGTTTTTAAACACAGTTAACTACTTTTTCCTATTTTATCAAAGTTTTCCATAATTTGGCAAGTGAAGGAATGAAAGATTGTCTAACACGTGAAATAACAGCACCAACTTGACAAGATATTTGCAGGCCAGGAAAAAAAAAAGCATAAGCAGAGTATGAATCAAATGTGAAGAGGAAATGGAGAAAATAGAGGAAAGTGATTAACATTGTTTAAATATAAAGGTGTAAGAAAAGGGAATTTCATATTCAGAAATAACTCTCCCTTAGGGTAATGGATTTCAATAGAAAGCAAGTGCAGAGAAATTGAAAGCAGCTCCGTGAAAATTCAGGAAAATATCCTTAATTCAATTAGGAACTGACTGTCATTACAGCTTTCTATCAGCTCTGGACAGAGCCTGATGGGCACATGCATCAGCCTAATAGTTTAGTTCTTAGTTAAAACAAAGTTAAAAAAATAAATATTTAGTTGGAAAGGAAACCTTTTTCTATAAATTTGTTCCATAAACGTTCATATTCCTTTAAATTTGAAATAACTGAAATAAAAGGTGAATAGTCTACATAAAATGCAACATTATAATTTACCTTCACAGATACTGTTTTGTTTTGGATATTTTTGCAACAACACAACTAAGTTGAAAGGATAATTTCCAGCTTTACTGAGGTACAATTAACAAATAAAAATCATATATTTTAAGGAGTACTATGTGATAATTTGGTGTGCATATGCATTGTGTAAAGATTACAACAATTAAATTAACACGTTCATCACCACACATCGTTACTCTTGTGTGTGTGGAGGGTGAGGACACTTAAGATCTACTCTTTTTGCAGATTTCAAGTAAAGAGTACAGTATTGTTACCTATAAAAATTAGATCCCCAGAACTGATTCATCTTATAACTGAAAGTTCCTACTTTTTGAGCAACATGTGAGATCATGTAGTATTTGTTTTTCTGCATCTGGCTTTTCCATTTAGCACAGTGTTCTCCAGGTTCATCCAAGTTGTCACAAATGGCAGGATTTCCTTCTTTTAAATGTCCGAATAATATTAAATTATATATGTATATCTGTACAGTATATATTAGTTTGGTGAAAATGTAATTGCTGTTTTTGCCATTACTTTAATATATGTGTATATGTATTGTATATATGTGTATATTTGTGCATATGTACATATATATGTATACACACACCATATTTTCTTCATCCATCAATGAACACTTAGGTTGTTTCCGTATCTTAGCTACTGTGAATAGATCATTCTTTTCTGTTTAGATGACACTTGCCCTTCTACTCACTAATTCAGTAACCTTTTTTGGGAGGTAACTTAACAATTTGCCCTGCTTGCATCATATGTAAAATAGGGGTGGTAAAAATAGTTCGCTTACAGCATTGTTGTAGTAATTAAGTAACTTACTATGTGGAAATGTTCAGAGCTACACATAATGATGAATAAGTATCTTCTTTTGTTAACCTTTGATTGCAAAGTTTGATCTAACATGTTTTGTTTGATGGTCAGGACCACAAAACCCCCTCACACCTTACACATATTTATTACAAAAGTACTCAGGAGAGATCAGTCAACTCCGATGACAAGTGATTTTTGTTTCTATTCTGAGGTTTTGTTGCCTGTTGAAAGAATGTGACCAGGTGTATTTCCTAAGATATATAAGGAGTCACATATAAAATTCCGAGATTCCAGGTACCATAATTCAAATTTAGACCAATGTCATAGCATTGCTTCTACTCTGGTGCCAAATAAGCTTCCCAGATGGCCCATCCATGAACCTGGCTCTGATTTTTAATAGAGTTAGTGTGATATTTTGGAAAGAAAATTGGATTTGGAGTTAAGCAACCAAGTTTGAACCCTAACTCAGAAATTACTTAGCTGTCTAAATTTGGGACAAGTTACTTAACTTGGCTGAGTTTCCATCAGGATAAAGGTGATAAAACAAGAATCTTGTAATGATTCTGAAACTTACAGGGAACATAAGTAGGGCAAATAACTCAGTGCTTGGTCTTTCTATTTACCATACTTATGTTTCTCTCTCTTCTTTTTGATATCAGTGACTTGGTTTTTCTTGAAGAAGCCACATCTTCCTCACTCCCTGTTTAGGCAGTGCAAGGGATCTATAGCAATCTTGAGCAATGCCACATGCCTAGGCCACCAGCTTTATGAGCACTCTCCCTGTGACTTTTGCAAGAACTAGCGGAGGAGACATTCTGTATGCCATGGAGTGGCCCAGCTAGTGGGGAGGCCCTATTTTCCACCACTCTGAAAATTTGTCTGAAAATGAAATCAACTCAAAGAATAAAACATATCTGAGCTGCAAGAGCAAGAGTGATGCCAATCATTCCAGAAGACAAGTTTACCACATGGTTGGAATTAGTCAATAAATTCCTTTTTGTTAGTTAAAAAAAAGTTTCTATATTTTGTAATCAGTTTTAGTTGCCTCTTACTTTTTGCAAACTGAAATATTCCTGGAAAATATAGTAGCTAATCAATAGTGGAGGGATATATTTATTATTAGTCTATCTCTCAAATATTAGAGCCCCAAAAAGCAGAAGCCAATATCAATGACCTGGACCATCAGCTTTTTCAGGGTCTCAAGCCTGCTGCCTTTAGACTGGAACAGCACCATAAGCCCTTGTGGGTCTCCAGCCTGCTAGTTCACTCTGCAGCCTTATCAGGCTCCATAATCAAGTGAGCCAATTCCTTGTAATAAAAATTTGTGTGTGTACACACACACACACACACCCCCTATTAGCTCTGTTTGGTTCTATTTATCTGGAGAACATTGACTACGCAAAGCCCTACTTCTCAAGGTACACGTTTCATTGCAACAGAATGAGTTTCCAAAAAATCAGGCTCTTCAATTTTGCATGCCAATATAGGCCTCCTAAAAATGAATTTTTATTCCATTCGTTTCAACAACTATTAAAATCATTAATGGCTTTTTATTGTTAATGAAACTGCAGCATGGCTAATAAAAACTTAGTAGAAGAAATTTACAATCTCTAGAGAAAAGACATTTACTACTTATTATGGATATTATACTCCCCAAAGAAATAGGTTGAACCCCTAACTCCCAGCAGCTCGGAATGAGATGCTGTTTAGGAATACAGCCATTGCAGTTAAATTAATATGAGGTCATATTGGAGTAGGGTGATCTCTTGATCCAATATGACAAGTGTTTTTATAAGAAAAGTGAAAACAATGTAAAGACAAACACAGGAGGAGAGATCTCCATTGGCAATGGAGGCAGAAAATGAGGTGTTAACAGCTGTAAGCCAAGGAACTACAAGGATTGCCAGCAAACCACCACAATTTAGGAAACAGCAAGGAAGAATTCTCCCCTACAGGTTTCAGAGGAAGAATGGCCCTGCAGACATCTTGATTTTGGACTCTGATGCTTCAGAACTATAAAAGAGCAATTTTCTATTGTGTTAAGCCATGTAGTTTACTGTGCATTGTTATGGCAGCTCTGGGAAACTAATCACTGCCCAAGTAATATTTGTTCATTTCATTTTTTTAGATTTTACATCTAAAGTTACTCTATTTATAAGAACAGGATTTGGATGAATTTCTATAAGTTGTGGTATATTTTTTAAATAAATCTTAATTTTTACTACTATGGGGCAAAGAATAATTTTATATGAAACCAAAGTGAAGGTAGCTGAAAGTAATAGTAGCAATCTAAATTATCATGTCATTTTGTATATTATCTCCCAAAGAAAAATACATGGATGCCATTTTGAGAGTATAGAAGTAGCCAATATAGTTACCTACTGACTGTCATTTCAGTCAAAAGTACCGGGTACTAGGCTTATTACCTGAGTGACAAAATAATCTGTACACCAGACCCCCATGACACAAAATTTACCCATATGACAAACCTGCACGTGTGTTCCCAAACCTAAAATGAAAGTTTTAAAAAAAGTGTTCTTTGTGATAAAGACTATAACCAACTCAATTCAATTTATTTTGATATTGAGAGCTTTATACAAAGTATCAAAATATCTAACAGAGAAATAAAACAATGAGAACTATGTTATTTTATTTTGAAGTACCTTACAAGGACCAAGAGAAGATCCTTGTAAGATAAGAAAGAAAATCAGTATCAAAAATTGCTTTTAAATTAAATAAATATCCTTAACATTCTTTCTTTGCAGAAGGGGCATTCGGGGGAAAGTGAACACATTTGTACCTGTAATTAATATATTTGAAAGGTATTAAAGAATAGTTAAATAAAATATTCTGCAAGAGAGAAATTCTGTTTCAAAAATCTGACACATCTTTGTTTCCTCTTTTTATTTCAAGCCCCACATTTAATTGAAGAGTATATACTATTGATTTCAAAATATATCAAAATTAAGCCACCTCTCTCTGCACTCCACTTCTGTGCCAAGCCACTATTGTCTCTTATATGAGACAACAACCTTCTGGTGTTTAAGCCATCCAGTTTGTAGTAGTTGGTTACACCAGCTTCTTAATGAGTTTTAACCTGACCTTCCTATTTTAAAATTTCTACATCTAGTACCCCAACCCCACACTGACCCTGTTTACCCTGCTCTATTTTTCCATAGCATTCAATATAATTTGCTTTTTAAATGTTAATTGCTTAATATCTTCTTTCTTCAACTAGAATACAAGTTGTACAAAGTCAGATGTTTTTGGTGCTTTCACAGTTGTACAGCAAGCGCTTTGCCTAAAGCTTTATATGAAGTAAGTGCTTTGCTTAAAGCTTGGTATGAAGTAACTAAGTACTCAATATACTTGCTAAATGAATGAATTAATTACTACAATGTAATATATTCTACATTTCAGTTTGAATAAAGAATACTGTGAGATATTTCAGTGTCACAGTATGGTATACTGGAGTGACTTGTGAATTTGTTATCGTAACAGTTGGAAATGACCATGCGATGCCATTGTGCAGGCATATATAAAATTAAATAGATTAAGGAACAATTTGGTTACAATATTTTAGTAACAAACTATCATTTCTAGATAATAAAAGAAGGTAGAATTTCTGACAGGTTATGAAGCAGCTCTATAGTATTATCCATCAAGGACTAACAAGTAATAACTCCTCCTAGTGTTAGTCAATGCTGTTCTAGGATCTGAAGCGATAATTATAACATGAAATACTGGTCCCTGGGTCCACATGTCTCTTGATCTGTCTAAGTGAAAAACAATTAACAATAAAGCAAATTACAAAGCAAATAACTGTGTGATAAGAACCAAGAGAACTAAAACAAATACATTATTACAGTTCAAAAGCTGGAAAGGATGAAAAGAAGTTGATGGATGGGTACAAATATACACTTAGAAGAAATAAGACTTGATGTTTGATAGATCAGTAGGGTGACTATAGCTATCATTAATCAATTAACCATTACAAAATAGCAAGAAGAGAAAAATATAAATATTCCTAGCCTAAAGAAAAGATAAATTTTTAAGATGATGGATATATCAATTGTCCTGTTCTGGTAATATGCATGTATAAAGTCATCACATGTACACTGGAAATATGTCCCTGTAATATGTATTAATTTAAAAAATACAATTATAAAAGCTGTAAAAAGTCATTATTGAAGAAGTGAAATGAAATGGATCCTGAAAAAAATTCCTAAAAGCTATATTCAAGATACACCAGAAGGACTGGTTCATAATTCTGTTTCATCCATTGTATAGACTTAGAATCATTCACAGAAGCAAAGGTATACAAGTCAGAAATGGCACTATAAATTTTATATGTACAGAAAAAGATTAAAATTGGAGAAATGTAAATTTTTTTTTTTTTTTTTGAGACAGAGTCTCACTGTCGCCCAGGTTGGAGTGCAGTGGCACGACCTCGGCTCACTGCAAGCTCCGCCCCCAGGGGTTCACGCCATTCTCCTGTCTCAGCCTCCAGAGTAGCTGGGACTGCAGGCGCCCGCCACCTCGCCCGGCTAATTTTTTGTATTTTTAGTAGAGACGGGGTTTCACTGTGTTAGCCAGGATGGTCTCGATCTCCTGACCTCGTGATCCTCCCGCCTCGGCCTCCCAAAGTGCTGGGATTACAGGCATGAGCCACCGCGCCCGGCTGGAGAAATGTAAATTTTGAAAGCATAATGTATAGCTGTAGCTTAACAAATAGTGGCACATTTATATTGACCAGATGAAATTGAGGTAATATAAAAATATACACATGAGATATTAGGTTGGTGCAAAAGTAATTGCAGTTTTTGCCATTGAAAGTAATGGCAAAAGGCCGGGCACCGTGGCTCACGCCTATAATCCCAGTACTTTGGGAAGTCGAGGAGGGCAGATCACGAGGTCAGGAGATCAAGACCATCCTGGCTAACACTGTGAAACCCTGTCTCTGCTAAAAATACAAAAAATTAGCCAGGTGTGGTGGCGGGCGCCTGTAGTGCCAGCTACTGCGGAGGCTGAGGCAGGAGAATGACGTGAACCCAGGAGGCGGACTTGTAGTGAGCTGTGATTGCGCCACTGCACTCCAGCCTGGGCGACAGCGAGACTCCGTCTCAAAAAAAAAAACAAGAAAGTAATGGCAAAACACCCGCATTACTTTTGCACCAACTTAATATATTATTATATAAATATGTGCCTGTGTATTCTGATCCAAACTCAACAGCAAAGAAAAAATTTGATATGTATTTTGATTCATCGAGACCAGTAAGTGGTCAAAATTTACTTTGTGAGTGTGTATGATTTCATTAACATGAAATAGTATTTATTTATTTTAATTATATATTTTAAAAATTTTTGTATTTTTAGAGAAAGGATCTCACTCTGTTGCGCAGGCTGGAGTGCAGTGGTGTGATCATAGCTCACTGCAGCCTCAAACTCCTGGGCTCAAAGGATACTCCCGCCTCAGCTTCCCCATTATCTAGGACTTCAGGCACCTGCCACCACATCTAGCTACATTTTTTTGGCGGGGGAGGTGGGATCTCAGTATGTTGCCTAAGTTGATCTTAAACTCTTAACTAACCTCAAGCAATCTTCCCATTTTGGCCTCCCAAAGTGCTGGTATTATTAAAGGCATAAGCCACCATGCCTGACCTTTAGTATTGGTATTACTATTTTTTAAAATAATTTTAACTTTTATTTTAGATTCAGGGAACACATGTGCAGGTTTGTTACATGGGTATATTGCATGATGCTGAGATTTGGGATATGAGGGATCCTGGCACACAGGTAGTGAGCATAGGACCCAATAGTTAGTTTTTCAACTTTTTCACTGTCTCCCCCTCTCCCATGTAGTTGTCCCCAGTATCTATTGTTGCAATCTTTGTGTCCATGAGTACTTAATATTCAGCTCCCACTTATAAGCGAGAACACGTGGTATTTGGTTTTCTGATCTGTATTAAGCAATTTATGATAACGACCTCTAGCTGCACCCATGTTGCTGCAAAAGAAATAATTTCATTTTTAAGGCTGGGTGGTATTCAATGATGTATATGCACTACATTTTTATTATCTAATCTACTGCTGATGGGCACCTGGGTTGATTCCATGTTTTTGCAATTGTGAATAATGCTGCAATGAACATGTGAGTGCATGTGTATTTTTGGTAGAATGATTTATTTTATTTTTTTTGATATATACCCAGTAATGGGGTTGCCGGGTTGAATGGTCATTCTAAATCCTTTGAGAAATCTCAAAACTGATTTCCACAGTGGCTGGACTAATTTACATTCCTACCAACGGTGTATAAGTCTTCTCTTTTCTCTGCAACCTCACAGGCATATGATATTTTTTGACTTTTTAATAATAGCCAATCTGATAGGTGTGAGATGGCATTCCATTGTGGTTTTGATTTGCATTTCTTTGATGATTACTGATATGGAGCATTTTTTCATATGTTTGCTCATCACTTGTATGTCTTCTTGTGAGAACTGTCTGTTCTTCTCTTGAGTATATACCCAAAGAAAATAAAAATCACCATTTTGTAAAACATATCTGCCCTCCCATGTTTATTCAGCATTATTCACAATAACCAAAATACAGAAGGAACTTAGGCCGGGCGCAGTGGCTCATGCCTGTAATCCCAGCACTTCAGAAGGCTGAGGCGGGCGCATCACCTGAGGTCAGGAGTTCGAGACCAGTTTTGCCAACATGGTGAAACCCCGTCTCTACTAAAAATACAAAAATTAGCCAGGCGTGTTGGTATGCGCCTGTAATCCCAGATACCCAAGGGGCTGAGGCAGGGAATCGCTTGAACCCGGGAGGCAGAGGTTGCAGTGAGCAGAGATCACACCATTGCACTCCAGCCTGGGGGACAAGAGTGAGACTTCTACTCAAAAAAAAAAAAAAAAAAAAGAAGCAACTTAAATGTCAATTGACAAAATATGTGTAAAGTAACTCTGGTGTGTGTGTGTGTGTGTGTGTGTGTGTGTGTGTGTGTATGCATATAATCATATATATAAAATGACTATTATTCAGCCTTTAAAAAGGAGATCCTGACATTGGCCACAAAATGGATAAACCTGGAGGACATTATGCTAAGTAAGCCAAACACAGAAAGAAAAATATTGCATTATCTCATATGTGGAATCTATTTCTTTTAAAAGGGCAAATATACAGACACAGAATAAAACAGTGGTAACCAGGGATTGAATGGAGAAGGAAAGTGGAGGATGTATGTCAAAGGATACAAAGTTGCAGATACATAGGATGAAGAAGGCTAGAGATCAACATGAAGATGTGAAAAAGACTATAGTTAATAATATTGTAGTTTTCGGGATCTTTGCTAAATGAATAGATTTTAGCCGTTCTTAGCACACAAAAAAATAAATAGCTATGTGAGATGATAGATATTTTAATTTGCTTTATTATACTGACCATTTTACTATGTGTATCTCACATCGTGTTGCATACACCTTAAATATCCACAACACGATTTACTTAACAAATAAAATAAACCAATGTTTATTCAAAAACCAAAAAAGAAAATAGACATGAAAACTCCATTTTATGTATTTAACAGCAGATTAGACACAGGTGAAGAGAAAATTAATCAGTAGAAAGATAGGTCAAAAGTAAACATTCAGGTAGAAGCATAAGCAATTAAAAGAAGGAAAACGGGCCAAGCGTGGTGACTTATGCTTGTAATTCCAATGCTTTGGGAAGGCTAAGACGGGCAGATTGCCTGAGGCCCAGAGTTTGAGACAAGCCTGGCCAACACTGTGAAACCCCTCCTCTACTAAAAACACACACAAAAATTTTGCTCAGCATGAGTCCCAAGTAGCTGGGAGTACAGGCATGTGCCACCATGCCCAGCTATTTTTTCTTGTGAAGCACGAGAATTTCTTGATTCTGGGAGGCGGAAGTTGCACTGAGTCGAAATGGTGCCCCTGCACTCCAGACTCGGGGACAGATGGAGACCATGTCTCAAAAATAAATAAATAAAGTAAATAACAAAAGAAGGAAAATGTTGACTAGAGGGTAAGAACGCATGTAACATGGTGAAAGTTTCTAACATATATTTAATTAGAGGAAAAGAGTTGAGAATTATTAGGAATCAATTATCAAATAGGTCATGTCTGAGAACTGGCAAAGCCTGGAAGTGACATTATGCCACAGACATAAAAATAATAAAATCTTAAGTGGGGGAAACTAAAAAATACCAGACCACAAAACATCAAAAAGTATAAAAGAATTGTTGAAAACCAAAGATGCAGAGAAAAACTTAAAAACAGTCAGAAGTCAAGATGAGAGTAGAGATAGTGTGTCCCGAATTGGTGGGTTCTTGGTCTCGGTGACTTCATGAATGAAGCCGCGGACCCTCGCAGTGTTAACAGTTCTTAAAGATGGTCAGGAGTTTGTTCCTTCAGATGTTCAGATGTGTCCGGAGTTTTTTCCTTCCGTAGTTTGTGGTCTCGCTGACTTCAAGAGTGAAGCCGCAGACCTTCGCGGTGAGTGTTACAGCTCTTAAAGGTGGCGCATCTGGAGTTGTCCGTTCCTTCTGGTGGGTTCATGGTCTCCCTGGCCACAGGAGTGAAGCTGCAGACCTTCGGGGTGAGTGTTACAGCTCATAAAGGGGGCATGGACCCAAAAAGTCAACAGCAGCAAGATTTATTGCAAACAGCAAAAGAAGAAAGCTACCACAGCATGGAAGGTGACCCGAGGGGATTGTGCTGCTGCCTCGGTGGCCTGCTTTTATTCCCTTATATGGCCCCACCCGCATCCTGCTGATTGGTCTATTTTACAGAGAGCTGATCGGTCCATTTTGACAGAGTGCTGATTAGTGCGTTTACAAACCTTTAGCTAGACACAGAGTGCCAACTGGTGCGTTTAGTAACCTTTAGCCAGACAGCAAAGTTCTCCAGGTTCCCACCCAACCCAGAAGCCCAGCCGGCTTCACCTCTCAATAGCGCTCGCCCAGGATTTTACTGCGGCACCTAGTCCAGGCACTCTGGCAGCCCAGAGGGAGCTCGTCCCCCAATCAAGCCCAGCAGGCGCCAGCCTGCCGCGCCGAGTGCAGGGCCCGCTGAGCCTGGGCCCACCCGGAACCCGCGCCGGCCTGCAAGCGCCTCGCGCAGCCATGGATCCTGCCCGCGCCTCTCCCCACACACCTCCCCGCCAGCAGAGGGAGCCGGCTCAGGCCTCGGCCAGCCCCAGAGAGGGGCCCCCACAGCACAGCGACGGGTCGAAGGGCTCCTGGAACGCGGCCAGAGCGGACGCAGAGGCCAAGGAGGCGCCGAGAGCCCAGAGCGAGCAAGGGCTGCTAGCACGTTTTCACCTCTCAATAGGAGGAAGTAAAGGAAATTTTACCTACAAAATAGCAATACTAAGCTTTACAGCTGACATTACAACAGCAACAAGAAAAGGTAAATTATAATGGAAAGTATTTTCAAATAGTTAAAGGTAATTAACTGCAAATCACTTGGAATTCTCTACCCTCTAAAAAATAATGTCTTCATTACTAACTTCCACTGTCATTGGAGTTAATTATTCATGTTCCCTCTATGTTTAATGTATACATATTTATTCAGCTAGTTTGTCTATACTTTCCATTCACCATGACAAACAGGTTTTGTGTTTATATTTGGTTTGATCATCTATCACAAGGGCTACCTTATCATAGGCCTTAATAAATGTTGTTAATCCTATGTATAAGTGCCCAAGAATCTCTTGACAATAGTCCCTCCTGAAAGTTAATCTTAAAACTCTTCTTTAAATAGGACTAAAATGGAAATACTGATTACCTTTAAGGTGAATCTATTTTTTTCATATTAAAAAGATGTAAAGTAATTTAAATGAATGCACATGTCAAAGGCATGTCTTTCAGTGACTCACATGATTATTGGTCCAATTGATATGGCTCCATTGTCTGGGGAAACACCCAGGGTTTTTGGTCTCGTGCTGAGAACATTAGTGACATGGACACACGTGGAGCGGATTAAGGACTGGAAAGTTTAGTAAGCAAGAAAAAGAAAAGAACAGTTCTTCCTTACAAAGGGAGGAGGGCTCCAAACAGAATAACCCTGCTGGGGCGGAAGGCAGTAGGTTACACTGGGAGGCTTGAGGAGGTGGCGTCTGATTTGCATAGGGCCCAAGGGATTGACTTGACCAGTTGTGTCATTCAAATAGCCCCCCCAAAAAAGTCCCTCCCACCCTAACTTTGATTATGTAAATGTGACTACTTGGCTGGTCGCCATGATACCTGTACACATGGCCTCTACCTGGCTCACTGTCATGATGTCTGCACACGTGGCAACAAAGAAAAAGTAGCGGGAACCGCCATATTGGGTGTACTTGGCTCTGAGCCACCTGCGTTTACATATGCAAGCCTGTGACTTGCATATCGATGCTTGCAGGTCTGGTTTTTCAGGCTGCTTTCTGTCAGAAAAGAAATGTTTTGGGGGCTGCTTTATTATTAAAAAAAAAGCCTTACCGAGGACTCTTTTACCCTTTCTAGCTGCCTAAAATAATTTCTTTCTTTATTTTTCTTTTTTTTTTTTTCCCGAGACGGAGTCTTGCTCTGTGGCCCAGGCTGGAGTGCAGTTGCACGATCTCGGCTCACTGCAAGCTCCACCTCCCAGGTTCACGCCATTCTCCTGCCTCAGCCTCCCGAGTAGCTGGGATTACAGGCGCCTGCCACCACGCCCGGCTAATTTTTTGTATTTTTAGTAGAGACGGGGTTTCACCGTGTTAGCCAGGATGGTCTCGATCTCCTGACCTCGTGATCCACCCGCCTCGGCCTCCCAAAGTGCTGGGATTACAGGCGTGAGCCACCGCGCCCGGCCAAAATAATTTCTTAATAACTCCTGTAATACAATCCTAGGAACATAAAAAGTACCTGAAGTTTAGTGGCGCCATTCAGAAATCTAATTTTCAGGAAGTAGCACTGTGTGCGTGGCCGTGTGTTATGCTTCTTCAATTAGTCCCTTTCTTTAAGTTCATCAGTTCACATTCTCTACTTTTCTAATATAATCCATAAAATCAAATTTTATCAGTTACCATAGATATCTTTCTAAAATATAACTTTGGTTTCTTTTCTTTCTTTTGAAATAAAATGCATTTTACTTTTTATATTTTTATTTTTTAACTTTTATAATGATATAAATGTATACTTACAAGAGTTGCAGAAATAACGCAGAACCCATTTACCTATCCAGCTTCCCAAGTGGCGTTTACTTATATAATCAAAAAGTGCAATTATAAAAAATAGTTGACATTAATGCAATACTATTAGCCAATCTAGGGATTTTATTCAACTTTTATTCTTTGTATCACTAATATTCCTTTTCAATTCCAGAATCCAATTCAGGCTCACACATTGAATTTAGTTGGCATATTTCTATAGTTTCCTCTAATATGGAGTATTTTCTCTGTCTGTCTTGACTTTGAAACTATTGAAGATTACTGGTCAATCATTTTGTAGAATACATATCAATTTGCATTGTCTAATATACACTACAGAAATTATGCTGTGTTATTATTGCATTAGGAGGTATCTGATGTTGATAATATTACTGGGATATTTATAAGAGAGAACTATGTGTCCAAAATATGAGGTACATGAATAAAAGCATTTAGGAATAATCTCTGCAAGCTTCTGTACTCCATCAAATTTAAGACGTATTGATTATAAGATGCTTCATTGAATTTACCTGCAATATTTAGAAGAAAAAAATAATGCTTTCATGAAAAGTACAATGCAATAACTTTCTAACAACTAGAAATGTTACAAAAGTCGAAAATTTTAGTTTGTTTTTATTTAAATAATAGAAGTGCTGATAACATGAACAGTTATTGACCAGGTTCATAAAGAGTAGTCTGACAGTAGTATATCCCCACAACTGCCACCAGACCAGCTGTGATTGGTATTCCCTTCTCAGGTTCAGAGATGTTAAAATGGGCAGGGGGGAAGAGGAGAAATAAGTATTTTAGTATAAAAAAAAAAAGAATAGATTAACACCCTTCAGCAATGGTAAGAAGTCACACTTCAGATTGTATACAGTGAAAACTCCTCCTTTTTTTTTTGTTATGGTAGGGGAATAACATGATCATAACATGTTGTTGATATTATTACTGGGATGCTTATAAGAGAGGATAATATATCCAGAATATGAGGACGGTTTTATGCACTGGGATATATTACCTTCCCCCAACACCAGGAATGACAATAAGGGAAAAAGTTTCTGTTTCTTTGAGTTTGGGGATCATATTGCTAAGAAAAGAAAAGAAAAACAGGACATCTATTTATATGCCTATGCTTACATAGCACTATAACCATAGTGCTAAGTTAATAGTCTCCTGCTTTAATGTAAACATTGGGAAAAGCTTAAAACAATTTAGAAAACAAATATAAAGATCCTAAAGCCATGATTTTCCAAGCTGGAGGTCACTTTCCCATTTCACAGCCTGGTGTTTCATGGAAATGCTTTATATTCTCCACCCAATGATTAATGAATACAATTACAACAGTAGGAAATTTAACAAGACAATAGGAAACAAACTTACAATTATGAGTATTCATTTACCAGAGTGGCAGATTTTTACTGTGTAAAGTAAAAAAGTGCATTTCCAAAAATGTGTAGTATGGCATAGAAAACCTGAATTAATTGTTTTAATTAGAGAATCAATCTAGCAGCTTAGGTTGAAGAAGCAAAGCCATTTCATTGTATCTGCATAGACCCACCTCTAAGGGAACTGCCTGTGACAATCCTTTATGCCTATTGTCCTGGCATAATTATTAATACCATTCTCTTTCACTGTCACCATTTTTCCAGTTTGACAATAAGTTATACGCCCATTGAACTGATAACTGAATTTAAGTTGTAAGTAATGTAGAATATGCAATATCAAAAATACATTTATTTTGACATTAATTTGCATAAGTGAAAAGCAAGAACCTAAAATTATAAATGTTATATAATAAACTCCCAAAACTTATTTTTAATTTCAAAAATGCATTTATACTCTTGAGTTTCTTACATTACTTTTATTTTCCATGCTTATTCGAGGTATATGGGATGCCCAGGAATATACCTGTCAAATAGATATAAAAACATAGAGAATCTGGAGCAGTTAGGAGCATGGGATTTCCCATAGCATTTGAATCCTGGCTCTGTAGTTATCACTAAGTAACCTTGCAGACTCACTCTAAGCCTTCTGTGTCTCAGTTTTTAAATCTCTAAATCAGAGGTCATTGTAACATTTACCTTAAAGTATTGCTGTAAGAACTGAATGAGTGATAAAGCTCTATATAAATTAGAGAATGTGGCTGGCATTTTGTAAGCATTACATTACGTAAGTACAGATAGCCCCCAACTTAACTATAGTTCAATTTATGTTTAATTAAAGGATACTGTGAAAGCAATATGTATTTAGTAAAACTATACTTGAAATTTTATATTTTGATCTTTTCCCAGGCTAGTGATATGCAGTATGATGCTCTCTCCAGATGCTAGGCAGTCAGCCAGCAAATCAGTAGGATAAACAACCGACGTTCTTCAGCGTACCGTGTTGTCAGATGATTCTGCCCAGCTGCAGGCTAATGTAAGTGTCCTGAGGATGTTCAAGGTAGGCTAGTCTATGCTATGATTGA
This sequence comes from Homo sapiens, assembly GCF_000001405.40. Taxonomy (NCBI): domain Eukaryota; kingdom Metazoa; phylum Chordata; class Mammalia; order Primates; family Hominidae; genus Homo; species Homo sapiens. The sequence goes on from NC_000021.9 coordinate 24,844,955, forward strand.
TGTTCAGTAGTTTAGGTATAGTAAATGCACTTTCAACTTAGAATACTTTCAATTTATCATGAGTTTATAGGGACATAACCCTATCATGAGTTGAGGAGCGTCTATATTTAGATGAATAGATAGATAAAGAGGAATTGGGGGATTATTGCCTCTTATACAAGTTCAAATTCACTTGGGAAAATGGGGGAAGTTGATGGGTTTTTAAGTACAACACTCTGAGAGAACACAGAAAGAATAAGCAAGAAACTTGACCCAAAAAAGAGATAGTGAATCTTTAACACACTTCAGGACTCAGGGCACCACCCAGGTCTAAGGTAACTTGCAGGAATATGACATGGGTATAACTTTCAAGAGCTTTGAATTTATTTCTTAAAAGAGCTCAACATAAAATCAAAGTGAGAGCAAGAATATTTTAGCTTCCTTCTCTGTTCTCTTTATCTTTTACTCCATGTTTCATATATTAACAAACCCTGTTGATACTAACTTTAAAATATTTTGAAAATGTGTCCATATATGATTACTTTCATTTATACTACATACTCCATGACATCATCACATTTATGTCAATTGTCTCCTAATTTGTCTCCCCGTTCTGCCCTTGCTCTCTATTCAGTATATTTTCTCCAAGTAACAAGAAATCTTCAGTTAAGGCAGAAGTCATGTCTCTCAAAACCATCCATTGGTTTCCTGTTTCAGTCACCATAACAGTCAAAGTCCTTAGAATTGTATATGAAGCACTCTGTGCTTACCTCTTTATTACACTTTTTTTTGTTTCTTTTTTAAAAATTTTTTTTAACTTCTTTATTTCAATAGGTGATTGGGGAACAGGTGGTGTTTGTTTACATGAATAAGTTCTTTAGTGCTGATTTCCGAGATTTCAGTGCACCCATCACCCAAGCAGTGTACACTGTACTCAATGTGTGGTCTTCTATCCCTCAGCCCTACTCCCACCCTTTCCCCCAAGTCCCCAACGTCCATCGTATCATTCTTATGCCTTTGCATCCTCATAGCTTAGCTCCCACTTGTAAGTGAGAACATACAAGGTTTGATTTTCCATTCCTTCACTTAGAACAATAGTCTCCAATTCCATCCAGGATACTGTAAATGCCATTATTTCGTTCCTTTTTATGGCTAAGTAGTAGTCCATGGTGTGATTGATATATATATATATATATATATATATATATATATATATATATATATATATATCACATTTTCTTATCTACTCATTGATTTATGGGCTTTTAGTCGGGTTCCATATTTTTGCAATTGCAAATTTTGTTGCTGTAAACATGCATGTGCATGTATCTTTTTTCATATGATGACTTCTTTTTCTCTGGGTAGATACCCAGTAGTGGGATTGCTGGATTAAATGGTAGATCTATGTTTAGTTATTTAGGGACTCCCCACACTGTTACTCATAGTGGTCGTGTTTTAGTTTCAGCAATGCACCAAGATTGTCTTGTGCTCAGACAACCAAGCAGTCTCTTGTTGTCTGACGTAATACCTGGAGTTCTTTGTCCTACCTCCAAGAACATTAAGGAGAGCAGAGACAAAAGTGAGGTTCGAGCAAAAGTTTTGATAAGCAAAAGAAGAAAGCTCTCTGCCAGCGGAGGGGGGAGCCGGAAGGGGGTGCCCCCTCTGAGGCTAGGGTCCAGGGTTTTTATGGACTGGGAAGGGGAATAAATGTGCTCAGTCCATAGACTGTCTTAGAGAATGCGTGATTCAGCTTGGCCCAGGACCTTGGTCTGGGACCAATTAGAAAGCTTGGCCCAGGACCAATCAGGGGCTGAAGCGATGATGTATGGAGGCTACTCAGCTTGCCTCAGGACCTGTCAGGAGCTGAAGTAAAAGCTTGTCCTGAGACCTTGGTCCAGGACCAATCAGGGGCTGAAGCGATGATTCATAGAGGCCGGGCTCACAATCAAAAAAAAGAAAGGAGAGTGCCCACTGGAACCCACTGGAGCCCACTGTGGCCATGCCCACAAAAAGAGAAGAAACTTTTTCCTGGGAGCCCACTGATTATACAAGGGACAAAGGCATTTCTACGCTGGGCCTTGTTTTTTTTTTTTTTAATCTGAGTGAGCCAGAGGTTTGTGCAAGTGTTTATCCAAATGGGCCGGAGGTTTTTCTATCTGTGCAGCCGTAGCCATGTCTCTAGGCATAGCACCATGTGCTAGTTCCCTTATGGTGTCTGCAGCTTGATTTTTTTCCCGGGCTGCTTTTTATGTTATGTGAGGATGAGGCACTGACCTATGGGCCAGGGGCTCTCTGGGGACCCTTCTTTGCTATCTACCTAAGGCAAGCTAACTCCTTTCAGTTGTACTAGTTTACATTCCCAGCAACATTGTAAACGTCTTCCCTTTTGATCACATCTGTGCCAACATCGATTTTTTTTTAATTTTTTGATTATAGCCATTCGTACAGGAGTAAGGTGGTATCGCATTGTGGTTTTGATTTGAATTTCCCTGAGAATTAGTGATACTGAACATTTTCCCATATGCTTGTTGGACATTTGTGTATCTTCTTTTGAAAAATGTCTATTCATGTCCTTGCCTACTTTTTGATGAGATTGTTTGTTTTGATGATTTGTTTGAGTTCTTTGTAGATTCTGGATGTTAGTCCTTTGTCAGATGTATAGATTGTGAAGATTATTCTCCCACTCTGTAGGTTGTGTGTTAACTCTGCTGATTATTTCTGTTATTCTGCAGAAGCTTTTTAGTTTAATCAAGTCCCATCTATTTATCTTTGTTTTTGTTGCATTTGCTTTTAGGTTCTGGGTCATAAAATCTTGGCCTAAGCCAAGGTCTAGAAGGGTTTTTCTGATGTTATCTTCTAGAATGTTTATGGTTTCAGGTCTTAGATTTAAGTCTTTGATCAATTTTGAGTTGAGAGATGAGGATCCAGTTTCATTCTACATGTAGCTTGCCAATTATCCCAGCATCATTTGTTGAATAGAGTGTCCTTTCTCCACTTTATGTTTTTGTTTTCTTTGTTGAAGATCTGTTGGCTGTATTTGGCATTGTTTCTGGGTTCTTTATTCTGTTCCATTGGACTATGTGTCTATTTTTATACCAATACCATGATGTTTTGGTGACTATGGCCTTATAGTATAGTTTTAAGTTGGGTAGTGTGATGCCTCCAGATTTATTCTTTTTGGTTAGTCTTGCTTTGGCTATGTGGGCTATTTTTGGTTCCATATGAATTTTAGGATTGTTTTTTCTAGTTCTGCAAGAATGGTGGTGGCATTTTGATGAGAATTGCATTGAATTTGTAGATTGCTTTTGACAATATGGCCATTTTCACAATATTGATTCTACCCATCCATGAACATAGGATGTGTTTCCATTTGTTTGTGTCATCTATAATTTCTTTCAGCAATGTTTTGTAGTTTGCCTTGTAGAGAGGTCTTTCGCCTCCTTTGTTGGGTATATTCCTAGGTATTTAATTTAATTTAATTTAATTTTTTGCAGCTATTGTAAAAGAGGTTGAGTTATTCATTTGATTCTCAGCTTGCTCACTGTAGGCGTATAGCAGAACTACTGATTTGTGTACATTAATTTTGTATCCTGAAACTTTCCTGAGTTCATTTACCAGCTTTAGGAGCTTTTTGGATGAGTCTTTAGGGTTTTCTAGGTATGTGATCATAACCAACAGCAAACAGCGACAGTTTAACTTCCTCTTTATTATACTTTCTAGTATTCTCTCCTTTCCTTATTTTCATAGAAGCTGCAATGGTTCCATGCTTGTACCCAACAGACACATGGGTGACTCATGGCTTTGCTCTTCTTCCTTATACATGAAAACTCTCCCCCCAACATAGCCATGCGGCTCCAAGGTACACCTCCTCAGGATCTTTGCTAAACTTTCTTCTTTAGTAAACCCTTTTCTTGACCCTGTAAGATAAGAAGTTCTCATCTGTTATGGTCTAGATTGACAACATATCAAGGCATGTATAATAGGTAAATGCTTCTCAAACAGCCTGAGGCTTGTTTAATTTGGGCTGTGTTTTTCCTGTGATTAATATGTATTTCATTCAACTATATATGAATATCTTATATAAAACAGTATAATGTATAACAATTCTGAGGACAGTGCTTTTATGGAATAAAACATTCAATTTTTTTAGTTTTCTGAGCCTAACTTGGTATTTGGAGTTAGAAAAGAAGTGGAGGTATTCCATCTTTTTTTGTTTGTTTTGTTTTGTGAGACAGAGTTTCGCTCTTTCACCCAGGATAGAGTGCAGTGGCACGATCTTGGCTCACTGCAACGTCCTCCTTCTGGTTTCAAGCGATTCTCCTGCCTCAGCTTCCCGGCTGGGATTACAGGTGCCCACCACCACGCCTGGCCAATTTTTATATCTTTAGTAGAGACGCAGTTTCACCATGTTGGCCAGGCTGGTCTCGAACTCCTGACCTCATGATCTGCCTGTCTCGGCCTCCCAAAGTGCTGAGATTACAGGCGTGAGCCACCGCACTGGGCCAGAGGCATTCCATCATTTAGGGGTTTCTCTTCTTCAAGTATACTTCCCTTCCTGGTAGCCCTCTACAAAGAGTCAGACGTCCTAAAGAATCATTTTCTCCTTTCCAAAAACAACTCGTCTCTAGAACACTTGGTCAGTGCCCACTTAGTATACAGCATATTGTAGATTGAGTTCATAAACCTGCTTTGCCAGAATGTGCTGTCAGCATTCTTTGCATCAGAAGACCAAACTTAGATTTGTTATGTTCGGAAAGAGAATAATATATCATAAATTTAAAATACTGATAATTCTCTATAGAACATGTTTATGTACAAAATATAGGCAAAATTCTTATCTGTTAAAAGGGTGATTACTATATGATCACAATATTCTTCGATAATATGATCAGATTTGTCTTCTCAAAATGTCATAAAGTAATATTTCAAAAAGCATTCTCAAAACAGGTAGGCCACAGTCTGCTAAATAAAAGGAAAAGAAACCAGTGTATATTCATTAACAAGTAGGTATTCCTTGAATGAATATATTTTTGGCTTTTTACTCTTTTTAGTGTTGCTTTTGCTTCTCTGGACACTTCCCCCTATAAAATGATTAGTTGCCATGCTCAGATGTCATGTGTTGAATCTGAGACAAGAGTTGCCAAAGTATATTGAAATAGAATCAGACATTCAAAAAGACCAGCCACCTCTTTAGTGATAGCTCCAAGACACTATTATTTTGATACTGAATTTTCTGCATCCACCCAAGATAAAAATGTTTAAACCTATGTTAATAATGTAACTTAAACATTAAGAATTGTTTTGGAATGCCAATTCATCTCCTTTATGTGCATCGAAGAGATTAAGTTACCTAAGATGCTTTATTTTGGAGGATACAAATATGCTGATTGCAGCAGAATCTGCCCTGGAAAGAATGTAAATAACATAGTGAATGGTGAACTCAGTGCACTGCATTTATCTTCTAGATTCATTATCAAAGTGTCCTTTGAGTTTAACTTTTTTCATTTAAAAAATGAAGACCAATACACTAAGGAAGCATTTTGTTTTCAGAAGTGATACATTGGACAATTCTTATGTAGGAATTAATTAAGTAAAATGTCTTCAAGTGAACAATTGGTTCAATCACCAGATGAATTCAGAAATGTTTCTCTGAAGGCAGACCTATTATATTTTCACCTTTAGGCACCAGGGGGTAACATGTCTTATTAATGCCTATATTAAAATTGATCTGCTTCCATAGGTATAGTACCAAATAGACAGCTCATCAAATAAAATGAATGCTTTTAAAAGGATTTTATACATAGTTATGCATTTTCAAAAAACAAATTTCCATTTTGATGCAGGAAAATGAGGAAATTTAAATACACTGAATCATTTTGCTAGCTAGAAGACAGCAATTTAAATCATTATTATTGGGAAAATACCAGATATGATTATATTATAAAAAGCTACTTAGCAAATAGCATCAGTTATACATTATAAGGATGAATTTTATGTGATTTTCCTTATAGAGATCGTGCTTTTTTTCTATAGATAAATGCAATATTAAGGTTGGAAATTTGACTTACCCAGCATGTATTGTTTAAAGAGATAGATTCGTGCGTTCCAAATCCAATTTAAATAATGCATAAATTGTAACACTAACAGATAAGCTTGGTTTTCCTAAAATATCAGGATCAAGCAGACAAACCCTGTCTGGTTGTAACTTGATCAGTCATCTCTATGCTGTGGCTTGTATTCATCTGCTGGAGACATCTATGTGATATCCTCAAATAATTACAGACGTTTGTAGAAATTACATAGACTGTACACCAGAAAAAGGCAGTGTTCATAATTTGTTAACTGACGAATAAGATAAAATCTCAGACTCTTCATCGTTCTTGACAATTTTGGCAGTGGACATGTGATAGTGACAGATGTGTTCTGAAGAAGAGAACTAAGGTCCTTGAGGACGGATTGAGAGGATTTGAGGGAAGCCTGTGTAAGTTATGGTGAAAATGACAAATTGTATGGTCAACAGCTCTATAAGTGGTCCTCCATTTTATTGCCTATAATCAAGGATGAATTGGATGGGTGATTGCAGAATAAAATACTGAATAGCATCTGGTTATTACTAACTCCTCTGGGGAGGGAGAGTTACTCATTAACTGGCAGGCAGCCTCTGGTCCACCTCACTTTAACAACTAGTATTAAATCTGTGCAAGGTGGATAGAAAATCTAAATTCTTACAAGGTGGATAGAAAATCTAAATCCATTACTGGGTATATACCCAAAGGACTATAAATCATGCTGCTATAAAGACACATGCACACGTATGTTTATTGCGGCACTATTCACAATAGCAAAGACTTGGAACCAACCCAAATGTCCAACAATGATAGACTGCATTAAGAAAATGTGGCACATATACACCATGGAATACTATGCAGTCATAAAAAAGGATGAGTTCATGTCCTTTGTAGGGACATGGATGAAATTGGAAATCATCATTCTCAGTAAACTATCGCAAGGACAAAAAACCAAACACCACATGTTCTCACTCGTAGGTGGGAATTGAACAGTGAGAACACATGGACACAGGAAGGGGAACATCACACTCTGGGGACTGTTGTGGGGTGGGGGGAGGGGGAGGGATAGCATTAGGAGATATACCTAATGCTAAATGACGAGTTAATGAGTGCAGCACAGCAGCATGGCACATGTATACATATGTAACTAACCTGCACATTGTGCACATGTACCCTAAAACTTAAAGTATAATAATAATAAAATAAAATAAAAAAAGAAAATCTAAATTCTTTTCAGATGCAGTTTACAGAGATGCACACCAACTCTGGACAGAAAAAGAAGTAATTTACAACTACTCTGTGCAGAAAACAGGCAAATTATTAAATTTCCACTGGTTCTCTTTGGAAAAGTAAAGGGTGTAATGCTTATAAAGGAAAAATGGCAATAGCTGGGACATCTTAGGGCTTAGACCTTCCTACACTTCTTAGAGTTGTTGGGATGAGACAGTAAAAGATCTCAGACTGCCTGTACAGTAGGTCTTAACTGTAATAATGGATCTTTGGCTCTCTAGGAGATAGTTCCTTCAAAGAGATGAATTCCCATGGGAAAAAAATATCAATGAAACGTTAACTAGTACCAAGGTTTTTATAGCCTTAGATTGGGTTTACGTAGCTGTGACTTCATCCCGCTGCAGAATGTGAAACAAACAATCTAGGTATATTTTTTTGTGTTTATCCTTGTGTGCCATGGAAAACTTCACTAGATACTATGTAGAGAACTGGGAAGAATTATAGAGATGTTATCTTAGTAATGGTGCAGGAGATGCTGTGGATTTAGGTGTACTCCTTAAAGGAGTCATGGTTGTGTGAGTCAAACTTGAATCATTCAGAGGGAGAACATCCACTGGCCCCAACCCAGAAAGCAGTGTGACTGGCACTGTTGAGAGAAGGGATTCTCAAAACTGCCATAGATAGTGTCAGTCATGATATTCTCACAGCCTGATGGACCAGACACATTTAAAGTCTGTTTGATTGAGGCATTGGAAACTGAAAGCAAATGTACCTTGCCTGTTAGCTGCAAGCCACTCTCTACTGATGTGATCATCTTCTACCCTAGCCTCAGATGCTTTAAGAAAGATGAATAGAACTGGGACCAAGATGCCTCTGTCTCCAAAGAAAAATTAAAATGACATGCACACATTCAAGTTTGCAGGGAAACTTTGACCCTGGAATCTAGAACCCTGTAGGTAAGCTACAGCAGACCACTGAATGTGCTACACTGTGAAACATTTCAGTGAATTATGTATGAGTATTTATGCAAATGCATGTCTGGGGCAATATATAATATAGCCCATTTTCCATGCTGGTTATGTGACGTGTTGAGTACAAGTTGTAGGAAGGACCTTTCAAAGCTTCTTTCTACCCTAATTATCTTATTAACTTTGCCTCAGTTCCCAATTCCTAAGCACCATGATACCTATCTTCCTTTAATCTTTCTTCTCACTATGTATTTTCCAGGATTGAGACTATGTTATAATTCTCTAGTTTCAACCCTTTCTTAAGTGATGTAGGTATTTTTCATGGCATTTTGCCTGTCCAAGTATTTAGCTGATGCTTAACCCATTGACTTGACATATCCTTGCTCACATAAAGATATAGACAGAGTCTTCTACTACTACCCGTCTCTTTCCCCACGGAACAGTTCCTCTGTACATCCCCTTAGGTAAAATGATCAAAATATGAGAAGGAGAGACAAAGTGTGGTTAGCATGAGTAAACCACATTAATACAGAGAGAACATTTGACTGCGTCAATTTTGCTCTATATGCTTTTTGTAAGTATATTTACCAGCCTTGTTGAGACCAAAATTTGGGCCAAAAATATAAGTACCTGGCTGTTAAAGCTGAGAGGGAACTATGTAGCATAATTATAACACTCTGAAAAGAAAAAATTTGAAGATGCTCATTTTGATTATGTTTAAAAACTCCAATCATGGATATAAAATTCCTAATTTGCCTACCGGATGAACAAGTAGTACATCCTTGTATTTGTATAGCATCTGTTTCCATGGAATATAAGTAGTAAATGTTAGCTACAGAATATATATATGCAGATTTGAGTATAAAAAATATCTTTTACAAATAACATTTTATTTCCATTTTAGTAATAGCCCCAAACTCAGTCAGAAGTGCAACAGTATTTTGGCTGAGGGCCTGTTTGTTGTAGGAAAACAGGGCTATTTTCCTCCTATTCATAACATGCTTTTTCTTCTATTCAATTCACAGTGTGTTTCATTTTTAGGAAAATTCATTTTGGAGAATTTTCCTTATTCTCCATTGCTTCACTATATCAATCTATGTGAATGACATTGATTTCTTAGGGGGAAACACTTCCCATCAAGGTACATTTGGTTTACACATAACCAGCAGAAGCAGAAAGGAAAAAAAAACAGTCTGATGATATTTAGAAGTAAACAAACTTTACTTAATTTACAGGAACCCCTACTTAGTTTAATGTGACAGACAATAATGAGGAAAAATATTCTTGTTCATTGTCAGCTCGTTTAGATGTATCTGCGTTGAATTTCAGAAATGAACATACTTTAGGCTCTAAGTGTAAAATGTGTTGAATGCGTCGTCTGGATGCAGTTTCTTCAGTAAATTCCCTAGAAACCAGAAGAGGCTCTTCCTCAGATTGGCTTCTAATAGTGAAGGATTTTTTTTTAATGTACACGCTTTCATTAAACTTCATTTTTTTTTTTTTTTTTTTTTTTTGAGACGGAATCTCGCTCTGTCGCCCAGGCTGGAGTGCAGTGGCGCGATCTCGGCTCACTGCAAGCTCCGCCTCCCGGGTTCACGCCATTCTCCTGCCTCGGCCTCCCAAGTAGCTGGGACTACAGGCGCCCGCCACTACGCCCGGCTAATTTTTTGTATTTTTAGTAGAGACGGGGTTTCACCATATTAGCCAGGATGGTCTCGATCTCCTGACCTCGTGATCCGCCCGCCTCGGCCTCCCAAAGTGCTGGGATTACAGGCGTGAGCCACCGCGCCCGGCCTAAACTTCATTTTTAATGGCCCGCATAAGTGACTCTTTCTTCCCAGACCATTAAAAATAGTAATAATAGGGAAATAGAAGCAAGAAAGGAGGTCATTCATAAGTTAAAAATTAAATAAAAATGAAATACATCCCTGAAAAAAAAATGCTGGGAAACACAGAGACTTTGAAGACTAAAAAAAAAACAGCTTCCTCTTTCTCTTGAAGTATTATCTCTTGAATTTGCCTACCATTCATCTGATAGCACCCAAGGATTTTTTTCTAAAATATGAAAGTTTCAGTAGTATTGAAGCACTACCCTAACTCTCAATGTTTTAGAAAATAAACGAGGATTGATTTCTTCTTCTAAGTTACCTTAAAAAAAAGAAAAATTGATAAACCAAGAGGATTGAGTTGAGGCATAAAGAGATTTCAAGAAACACTAACTCAGTCTTACCAGAGTCATTAGCAGATTTCTTCTTTTTTTTTTTTTAATTTGGGTAACTGCTTGTCCCTGGTAGAGTTGGGTACAGCTACATTCTATTGCAACAACAAATGCAAGGACAAACATGGTGATTAAGGTAAAAACATAGAACTCAGAGT